>NC_000013.11:97502979-98127979 GCF_000001405.40 Homo sapiens
TCCTTGGGCAGCTCACTGTGGACGATTCTCTTAGTTTGACTGCTCATAGCAATGGGAGACATGCTCCTTTGCATTGCATGATTTGATCAATGGCAGTTAGTTTTCTCATTTGCTCAGTAAATCTTAGCTATTGCCTTGCTTAGGACTCTTCTTCACACATAGGAAGCATCTCCAAAAGCTAATCGAACTCCATTATTTTTTAATCTCTCCTAAGTTCAGGCTCATCTTTTCCTCTTGATGACAACTCAATGGGCCCTCTGTGGGGCTGGCCATGTGATGCAAGCCCCACCACACTCTCAAATCCAACAACTGCTTGACAGATTTTGTTTCCCAGTTTTACATGAAACATCACAATAAAAGGAAACAGGAACTCAATGAAGATAAATTAGAAGCAGTAGCTAATACCTACAGAAAAAAATTCCAAGTAGCACACTCCAAGGGATCATTTTATAGCCTTTATTCTTTATTTGGGAGAAAATGAGCAGACTAGTCAAAAAATATAACCAACTAATTTATATCTGCCTTACCAGCCATTAGAATAAGCCAGTGAAACATGTCTCTGGTGAAATTCTTAGCTTTACATTTTCATCACAGGCAGTTTCGCAAGCCATAAAATGTTATCAAATATCTGCAGAACAGATCAATGGTACTGCAACAGGGAAGCCCTTTGTCATAAAAGGCCAAAGACTGGCCACCATCCTTGAATCTCGGAAAGATCTGTTAGCAACCTTTTTGGTAGTCACAGGAACTTCTGGAACTAGATGGAAATGTTGTAATCAGTAACTGTTCCCCGTAATTGGCTGTGTTTCCATTTAAGATCAGAGTGGAACTCTGAATGAGAAGGTGGGAGATTTAAGTGTTTCAGAAGCACTTTTCATGGCTGGATCTAAATTGAGATTCAACTGAATTCTATGAGTACTTATGGGAAATCTGCTCCACATACCCCACTGTGCTTAACATGGCCATGTTATTATACGACTCTGGGCAGAGGCATTCACGACCTAGTCCCTAGGATTGGCCTCCCTAGAATTCCTGCACAGTCACATATGATGCCCATCATGTTAGATACCATGGGCCTTTCAAAGTCTGAGGAGGACTCTCTCTGCCTTCAAAGAGCTTTTAGGCTGGCAGGAAGGAAAAGATTGCTACAGAAGCAACTATTATACCAGGCAGAACAAGCTTAGTAGCAAAATGGAAGTGAGTAACCAAAATTGAACTCCAAGTTAACTCAAAATGTAAGGAATGGGCAAAGGAAGGAGGATAGTGGGGAGAAGAAAAGCTGGGATTATTTTGTGGGAGGCTCCAATGTTTGGTGTTCAATTGGTAAGGCATCAAGAATTATGCTTTTGGAAGAAAAAAGTGACAAGAAAAAAAATGGCACATTTTTCAGGAGTCTGGAAGACAGGTAAAAAGACACTGCAAATAATCTAGATAAAAGATAAGGGGGCCTGGGCTAGTGTGATAACAGTCAAAATGGAAGAAAGGTGATGGACTTGGAAGATGTTTTGACATTTATAAAAATTCACTTCTGTTCACCATAAAGTTATAGGTGAGAAAATTTGTAAGAAATAAGGGCTGATTAATCCCAATTTTAAGAATAAGAAACAATAGAGTTAAATATATTAGGTTGAATAATATTAAATTGTCCTTTTCGTAGGTAACAAAATAGTTGACTATTGATAATTTCATAAAATTTATACTTACTTTATAATAAGTGCTCTTAAATATACAACTGTAGAAAAAGCATAGCCCCAAACTTAATAACTTTAGAAGAAATAACAATTAACTGTAAACAGAAGAGAGCCAGAAATCATTTATTTAGCAGTGAAACAGGTGAGGGCATGTTTTAAAGAACAGATACAGTTCTTAAGGGATATTGCCCACTAGAGAACCTCTGGTGGCTTTCAGCCTAAGGAAAAGGTTCAGACAAAAGTGGTTAGGTCACTGAAAGCCCTGTACTGTTCTGGAATAAAAGAAGGGCATTGTAATTTACTTCCATTTATAACCTGTTATACACCTCCCTTTGGGGCTTTCTTAAGAAGATTTGAGCCAGAGTCATTGGCAAGCATTGAAAGCACCTCTAGTGAAATTTTCCCTGAGTCCATTTCTATCCACACTTCCTTCACCATAATACACACTGAAGGCAGAATCTAGGAATAAATAAAGCTTAACTGTGTTGTGCTAAACTTAGGCAAACTTTCCATTACATGAGGATGTTATTAAGTCACCCCATAAATGTTAATGATTACCTGAGGGTGAACGCTGTGAACCCCAGTCAGAATGACACAGGCTATAGAACCTCCATAATTTTTACCTCCAAATTCTGGGCCACATCAATCTGCCTCCAGGACTTTGTTCCTGTTCATCCCCTTTCCTAGAAAGTTCTCTCCCCTCCCTACTTCTTTGCCTCCCATGGAATGACAACTCATCCTTCAAGTCCTGACTCCGAGTTCACTCCAGAGGAACCAAGTCTTCTTCTATGAACACTCAGTTCATGCCTTTGTTTTCATTTTTGAGTTTGATGTCTACCAGTCTAATTTTGGTTTTCAATCAGATTTGATCAAGAAAGGTAAGCACAAAAATGTGTTGAGCAGTTTAAAAAAAAGGAAAATAAATTTCAGATTGTGTGCTGGTAATATGCTGCATTTGTGTCAGTAAAATGTCAAAAAATGCATTGCAAAAGAAGGCAAATATTTTCATTTGTGCATAAAAGTATACATGAATTATGTATAATAGAAATATGTTTGCATAGGCATAGAAAACATTTGAAGGGATAGCCATCCATTTCCCCTAGGATGTTGGGAAGATTAGCTACTTTTACAGTATTATTTAATCATTTCTTCATTGCTTAATTTTTAAAAGAATACTTTTATTAAAATAAATATACATACCCCTCCCACACTGGGTCTTGGAGAACTGTGGTTCATTCAAGATCAGCGTCAAAGGGGATATGTACCAAAGCCCACAACACCCACTCCCAAGTGAGACCTGTCTTCAACATGTTCCTTAGTGGTTTCCATTAGAAAGTGTTTGTCATATTACAGGGTGACCTTTCCAAAGCCAAACACAGCCAGGTTAACTAACTCCGGAGGCTACACTCCACAGCCTCCTGCACTGATAATTTGGGGTGAATGAGGCAACCTTTTACTTACTTTTTAGAGTAACAAAAGGGATTGTTGCCCAAGAAAAAAAGGACTGGTAAAAATTGTGCAGTAGTTCCCCCATCCGCAAAGGATATGTTCCTAGATCCCCAGTGGATGCCTGAAAGCATAGGTAGTACAGAACCCTGTGTACACTATGTTTTTCCTACACATACATACCTATGGTAAAGTTTAATTTACAAATGAGGCACAGAAAGAGATTAATAGTAATAACTAATGATAACATAGAACAATTATAACAAACCTCAGCCACACTACTCTTGTGCTTTGGGACCATTATGAAGACAAATAAAGGTAACTTGAACACAAGCACTGTGACACTAGGACAATCAATCTGATCATTGAAATGGGCTCCTAACAGGATGGTAGTATAGACAGTGTGGAGATGCTGGACAAAGGGAGGATTCATGTCCTGGGTGGCATGGAGTGAAACTGTGTGAGATTTCATTGTGATACGCAGAATGGCACACTGTTTAAAACAGAGTTCCCCAACCCTGTTAGGAACCAGGCTGCACAACAGGAGATGAGCAGAGGGCGAGTGAGTGAAGCTTCATCTGTATTTACAGCTGCTTCCCATCGTGCACATGACCTCCTGAGCTCCACCTCCTGTCAGATCAGCAGCAGCATTAGATTCTTGTAGGAGCGGAAACCCTATTGTGAAATATGCATGCCAGGGATCTGGGTTGTGTGCTCCTTATGAGAATCTAATGTCTGGTGATCTGTCATTGCCTCCCATCACCCCCAGATGGGACCATCTAGTTGCAGAAAAACAAGCTCAGGGCTCCCACTGATTCTACGTTATGGTGAGTTGTATAATTATTTCAGTATATATTAGAACGTAATAATAATAGAAATAAAGTACACAATAAATATAACATGCTTGAATCATCCTGAAACCATCCCCAACCATGGTCTGTGGAAAAATTGCCTTCCACAAAACCTGTCCCTGGTGCCAAAAAGGTTGAGGGTCACTGATTTAAAACATATAAATTGTTTATTTCTGGAATTTTTCATCTAATGTCTTCAGACCACAAACATTTGAGCCTTACATTTGAGTCATTAATCCATCTTGAGTTAATTTTTGTAAATGGTGAAAAGTAGGAGTCCAGCTTAATTCTTCTGTATATGACTAGTCAGTTACCTTGACTGAAGGTACCTGAAGTCATGGAGAGTGAAACCCAGATAAGAGGGGGACTACTGTAAATGTAATATTTGACGTCATTGTATGAAGCACTGAGCAGCCACTTCCCAGCATAGGATATTCTCATGGCCAAATAAATGCTTAGGCCTGAGCTTCCCACCATCTCCTTGCTACTCTTGCTTCTCCAACATCTTCTCTTCCATTTGCTAGCTACCAATCTTCAACCATCGACTTCCTATTCCTTTATTATGCTAAACTTTTCATCCTCTCAAAGTAGGTTTTAGATTTACCTTTAATATCCAAAAATGTCAAAACTCACATTAAGGGGAGCCTGCTTAACAAAGGACCCTCTATCCAAGTCTCTTTCTGTAGCAACCAACAAATAATTTGGTGAACCAGCATCACATTTCTTAGGCAGGGCTTCTAATCAGACCAAGCAGAGCCCACTGGAGATTCTATCACTAGAATCAAAGTTAGAAAATTAGAGCTTGGCTATATACGCCTGACATTCTCACTGACAGGACTTCCACATTGGGAGTGAAGTGAAGTAGAAGGAAGGTCTTCCTAGAACAACAATGAACATTCATCAAGCACTTTCTATGGACTAGCCCCTGGACTAAGGCATCTTTCATGTAGCATCTCACTTAGTTTTAACAACTCTGTGAGATTGCAATGGAAAAATTTATCCCTGGCTAGGCTTGGTGGCTCACACCTGTGATCTGAGCACTATGGGAGGCCAAGGCAGGAAGATCACTTGAGGCCAGAAGTTCGAGACTGAGCTGGGCAACATAGTGAGAACCCCATCTCTACAAGAAATAAAAAAGATTAGCCAGGTGGTGCTGGTGCTGACCTGTAGTCCTAGCTACTTGGGAGGCTGAGGCAGGAGGATCACTTCTGCCTAGGAGTTCGAGGCTGCAGTGAGTTATAACTCCACCACTGCACTCCAGCCTAGGTGACAGAGTGAGACACTGTCACTAACAAAAAAAAAAAATTGTCCAGAATATGGTCTGTGTGATGTAATCACAGTCTTCTTAGGAAAAGAAATTAGACTTTTACTGATAATATATTTAAGCAGTTTTCTGATGAGCTATAAATGGGATTAACACTTGCTCTGGGAAATGATCACTAATTCACAGCTGATAAATCAGTGTCAGATTCTAGTGATACTTTCTTTTTTAAAATGTAATTTCAACTTTTATTTTAAATTCAAAGGGTACATGAGCAGATGGGTTACATAGGCAGACTGCATGATGCTAAGTTTGGGGTAAAATTGATCTCATCCCCTGGGGAGTGAGCATAGTACCTAAACATTAGTTTTTAACCCTTGCCCTTCTCTCTTCCCCCTCTAGTAGTCCCCAGTATCTATTATTGCCATCTTTATGTCCAGGTGTACCCAAAATTTAGCTCCCACTTACAAGTAAGAACATACAGGACTTGGTTTTCTGTTATTGCATGAATTTGCTTAGGATAGTAGCCTCCAGCTGCATCCATGCTGCTGCAAGGGACATGATTTCATTCTTTTTATGGCTGTCTAGTATTCCATGTTGTGCATGTACCACATTTTCTTTATCCAATACACTATTGATGGCAACCTAGGTTGATTCCTTGTCTTAGTTATTGTGAATAGCACTGCAACGAACATACAAGTGCATGTGTTTTTTTTTGTTTTTTTGGTAGAATGATTTATGTTCTTTTGGGTATATGCCCAGTAATAGAATTGCCGGGTCAAATGGTAGTTCTGAGTGTTTTTTTGTTTTTGTTTTTGAGACAGAGTTTCACTCTTGTCACCGAGGCTGGAGCACAGTGGTGTGATCTCGGCTCACTGCAATCTCCACCTCCCACGTTTAAGTGATTCTCCTGCCTCAGCCTCCCAAGTAGCTGGGATGACAGGTGCTCGCCACCATGCCCAGCTAATTTTTGTATTTTTAGTAGAGACAGGGTTTCACCATGTTGGCCAGGCTGATCTAGAACTCCTGACCTCAGGTGATCTGCCTGCCTCGGCCTCCCAAAGTGGGTAGTTCTGTCTTAAGCTCTTTGAGAAATTTCCAAACTACTTTCCACAGTGGCTGAACTAATTTACATGCCCACCCCCGCCCCCAACAGTGTATACATGTTCCTTTTTCTCTGCAGTCTTGCCAGCACCGGTTATTTTTTGACTTAAAAAAATATTTATTTATTTATTTATTTATTTAGAGATGGAGTCTCACTCTTTTGCCCAGGCTGGAGTGCAATGGTGCGATCTTGGGTCACTGCAACCTCAGCCTTCCAGATTCAAGTGATTCTCCTGCCTCAGCCTCCTGAGCAGCTGAGATTACAAGTGTGTGCCACCACACCCAGCTAATTTTTGTATTTTTAGTAGAGATAGGGTTTTTTCATTACATTGGCCAGGCTGGTCTCAAACTCCTGGCTTCAAGTGATCCGCCCATCTCAGCATCTCAAAGTGCTGGGATTACAGGCATGAACCATCGCACCCAGCCAGCCACCATGCCCAGCATGACTTTTTAATAATTGCCATTCTGACTGGTATGACTTGGTATCTTATTGTGGTTTCGATTTGCATTTCTCTGATGATTAGTGATGTTGAACATTTTATCGTATGTTTATTGGCCACTTACGCATCTTCTTTGGAGAAGTGTCTGCTCATATCTTTTGTCCATTTTTTAATGGCAGTTATTTGGTTTTTGCTTGTTGAATTGTTTGAGTCCCTTGGATGGTAGACCCTTGTGGGATGCATAGTTTGTAAATATTTTCTCCCATTCTATAGGTTGACTGTTTACTCTGTTGAATCTGGTTTGTTTTTGTTTTTTTTGCTGTGCAGAGGCTCTTTACTTTAATTAGATCCCACTTGTCAATTTTTGGTTTTGCTGTAATTGCTTTTAAGGACTCAGTCATAAATTTCCCAAGCCAATGTCCGAAATAGTGTTTTCTTCTAGAATTCTTATGGTTTTAGGTCTTACATTTGAGTCATTAATCCATCTTGAGTTAATTTTTGCATATGGTGAAAGGTAGGGGTCCAGTTTAATTCTTCTGCATATGGCCAGTCAGCTATCCCAGCACCGTTTATTGAATAGGAAGTCCTTTCCCCATTGCTTAGTTTTGTCTACTCTGTCAAAAATCACATGGCTGTAGGTGTGTGCCTTTATTTCTTGGTTCTTTATTCTGTTCCATTGGTCTGTGTGTCTGTTTTTGTGCCCATACCATGCTGTTTTGGTTACTGTAGCCTTATAGTATAGTTTGAAGTCAAGTAATGTGATGCATCTGGCATTGTTCTTTTTGCTTAGGATAGCTTTGACTACTCAGGCTTTTTTGGTTCCATATGAATTTTAGAATAGTTTTTTTTCTAATTCTGTGAAAAATAGCATTGGTATTTTGATAGGAATAATGTTGAATCTGTAGATTGCTTTGGGCCATATGGCTATCTTAACAATATTGTTTCTTCCAATCCATGAGCATGGAATGTTTTTCCATTTGCTTGTGTCATCTATGATTCCTTTCAGCAGGGTTTTGGAGTCATACTTGTAGAGATCTTTTACCTCCTTTGTTAGATGTATTCTTATTTTATTTTTTGTGGCTATTGTAAATGGGATTGTTCTTCATTTGGCTCTTAGCTTAAATGTTATTGGTGTATAGAAATGCTACTTTTCTGTACATTGATTTTATATCTTGAAACATTACTGAAATGGTTTATCAGTTTCAGGAGTCTTTGGGGTTTTCTAGGTATAGAATTCTAGGTTTAGAATTATATCATTGGTGAAGAGAGGTAGTTTGACTCCGTCTTTTCCTGTTTAGATTCCTTTTATTTATTTCTATCATCTGATTGCTCTGGCTAGGACTCCCAGTACTATGTTGAATAGGAGTGGTCAGAGTGGGCATCCTTTTCTTGTTCCAATTCTTAGAGACAATGCTTCCAGCTTTTGCCCATTCATTATGATGTTGAATGTGGGTTAGTCATAGATGCCTCTTATAATTTTGGGGTATGTTTCTTCAGTGCCTAGTTTGTTGAGACTTTTTATCAAGAAGGGATTTTGGATTTTATCAAAAGCTTTTTCCACATCTATTGAGACGATCATATATGGGTTTGTTTTTAATTCTATTTATGTAGTGAATCACATTTATTGATTTTCCTATGTTGAACCAACCTTGCCTACGAGGAATGCAGCCTATTTGACTGTGGTGAATTAACTTTTTGATGTGCTGCTGGATTCAGTTTGCTAGTACTCTGTTGAGGATTGTTTTGGTCTATGTTCATCAGGAATATTGGCCTGTAGTTTTCTTTTTTTCATAGTGTTTTTGCTAGATTTTAGTATCAGGGTGATACTGTCTGCATAGGCTGAGTTAGAGAGGAGTTCCTTCTCAATTTTTTGGAATTGTTTCAGTAGAACTGGTACCATCTCTTCTTTGCACTTCTGGCAAGTTTGGCTGTGAATCCATCATATCCAGGACTTTTTTTGATTGATAGGTTTTTATTACTAGATCAATTTCAGAACTCAATATTGATCCATTCAGAGTTTCAATTTCTTCCTGATTTCATCTTGGGAGGTTGTGTGTTTCCAGCAATGTATCCATTTCCTCCAGATTTTCTAGTTTGTGTGCATAGAGGTTTTCATAATAGTCTGTGAGGATCTTTTGTATTTCTGTGAGATTGGCTGTAATGTCACCTTTGTCATTTCTGATGCTGCTTATTTGGATCTTCTCTTTTTTACTTTGTTAATGTAGCTAGCATTCTATCAATCTTCTTTATCATTTCAGAGAACCAACTTTTGTTTTCATTGACCCTTTGTATGAATTTTTGTTTCTCAATTTCATTCACTTCTGCTCTGACTTATTTCTTTTCTTCTGCTAACTTGGGGTTAGTTTGTTCTTTTTCCACCTCCTTTAGATGTGATATTAGATCATTAATTTGAGATCCTTCTTTTTGAGATAGGCGTTTAGTGCTATAAACTTTCCTCTGAACACTGTTTTTGCTGCGTCTCACAGATTTTGATATCTTGTGTCTCTGTTTTCATTTACTTCAAAGAATTTTGTGATTTCTGCCTTAATTTCGCTTTTTATCCAAAAGAGCAAAGAGCAAGCTGTTTAATTTACATATAATTGTGTGGTTTTGCTAAACCTTTCAATTGTATTTTGAAATTCCTTTGATGAGTTTTTCAGTTCCAGAAGCTCTGATTCAATTCAAGATATTTATCTCTTCCTTCATTTCTTGGATTGCTTTAGTAGTTTCTTTGTGTTGATTTTCAACCTTGTCTTGGAACTCATTAGGCTTCCTTGCAACTCATGGTTTGAATTCTTCATATGCCATTTCTGAATTTCCATTTTGTTAAGAACCAGTGCTGGAGAGCTAGTATAATTTTTTTGTGGTGTCACTATACTCAGATTTTTCATGATGCCAGAGTTCTTACTCAGGTCCCTTATCATCTGGAGACACTGGTAGTTTTAATTTTTATAATTATTTTTGTGCAGTTAAGAAATTTTTCTTTTCTTTCTTTATGATATTACTGTTTTCTTCTTTTTCTCTTTCCCCTTATCCCTAGGGAGTGTGACTGTAGAAAATGTTGGGTAGGGTCTCTTGACTTTGCCTCTATAGCCCTATGCACTTCCATTGGCAGGTTTTATACTGGGCTATGCGGTTTGACCTGCAAGCCTGTAGATGGCACTTATGGGTAATTGCTGGCTGTGGCCAATCTGGCTGGGTATATACGTGATCCTTATTTACTGGGAGAAGCTCTCTGTTGCCTCAGGCAATGGGCTGATCTGTGTAGTGCACAGTGGTCTGACCTCCCTGCTCAGCCCAGGGAAGAAGGGGCCACCACGGGTAGGACCAGACCAGGCAGGCCTGCCTACAAGTCCACCAACGGCAGGCACAAGCACCACCACTGGGGGAATCCAGTGGGCAGCCACCAAGTGCCCAGAGGTGTGCCTAGGAGTTTCCCAGTGTGCCTGGGAAGCCTCCTCAGCCTTAAGTTCTCTGTATGAGTTGGGGGTTGGGGCTGTGGCCTAAACTCATAATCCAGGAGCATGGGTGTTCCTGATGTCTGGAGATCTGCCTGGGCATGAAGTGGAAAGGGCTCTCCTGCACCCAGATCTCTGCACAGGAAAGATGGGGTGGTGCAGGCTGCCAATCTGGGCAAGCAGGTACTTTGAATGCCTTGGGATGGAGCAGAGAGGATCTCCCTCTACCAGAATCTCTGCACAGGAATGGTGGGGTGGATCAAGCTGCTGATACAGGTAATTGGATGCTCTGATGCCTGGAGATCTGCCTGGGTGTTAGGCAGAGAGGGTCCTGCTTCATCACAGTCTCTGCACAGGAAGGATGGGGCAGCTCAGGATGCTGGTCCAGGTGAATGGGTGCTCTGAATGCCTGGAGAGCTGCCTGGGTTAGAATGGAAAAGGCCTTGGTGCACCACAATCTATATGCAGGAAGGGTGGAGCAGCTCAGGCTGTCAATCCAGGTAAGCAGGTACTTTGAAGGCCTGGAGATCTGCCTGGGCATAGAGAAGAGAGGACCCTACTTTACCACAATCTCTGCACAGGAAGCATGGAGTGGTCAGGCTGCTAATCCAGGTGGATGGATGCTTCAACTACCTAGAAATCTGCCTGGGTGTTGAGTTGAGAGGGTCCCCACTATACTAAGATCTATGTTCAGGAAGGGTTGGTGGCTTATGCTGCTGACAGGTTGGTGGGTACTCTGAATGCCTGGTGTATTTGCATTGCTATGAAGGAATACCTGAGGTGGAGTAATTTCTAAAGAAAAGAGGTTTATTTTGGCTCACAATTCTATAGGCTGTACAAGAAGCATAGTGCCAGCATCTGCTCCCGGTGAGGGCTCAGGAAGCTTCCAATTATAATGGAAGGCAAACGGGGAGCTGGTGTATCACACAGTGAGAGAGGGAGTGAGGGAGAGGGGTAGGAAGTGCCACACTCTTTTAAACAACCAGATCTTGCATGAACTCAGATTGAGAACTCACTCATTACTGCAAGGAGGGGGCCAAGTTACTCATGAGGGCTCCACTCCCATGATCCAAACACCTTACACCAGGCCCCAGTCCAACACTGGAAATTATATTTTAACATGAGTTTTGGAGGGGACAAACATCTAAACCATATTACCTGGAGATCTGCCTAGGCGTGAAGCAGAAAAGGCCCCCCTGCACCAGGATCTCTGCAAAGGAAGGGTGAGGTGACTATGGCTGCTTGTCCAGGCAAGTGGATACTCTCGGAACGCCTGGAGATCTGCCTGGGAATGGAGCGGAGAAGGCCCTGCTGCACGATGATCTAGGGGAGCAGGCTGAGGCACCCAACAACAATACACTCAGACCAGTTCCAGGTCACCAAGCCGGTCCTGGCTGCAAGTCTCATCACCCAGGAGAAACTGCAGCTGTAGCAGCTCTCTGGCTGCCCCAGGCCTATGACAGGGAAGAACACAATTCCAGTACCGACTGCTGAGGCACTTTCCACCATTCTGGCTATGGAGGCCCCTACCCTACTCCAGAGCAGATGTTCCTATCTCTGGCCCAAGACTAAAATGCCTGTGTGGCTACACTGCCAGGTCACCAAAGAATGACTGATTTTGTATGTGCCTGGATTAAAAATAGCATGCTGCTCCTGGTCTTGAGTCTGAGAAAATACCTGCAGCTTTTCCTGGTGTCTGTCCCTCTCAGCATCTCCAAGCCACTTTCCAAGTTAGCTTCAGGGCTTCAGAGAAAGAAAGTGCTCCTCCCTCGCCCTGGGTCACTCACATCCCCAGTGGAGAGGTGAGTCACAGAAGGAGGCTTCCTGCCACTCTTAAACAGAGGGGCTTCATCGCTTTTATCAGCCAGGTGCCATCTTGGGGGCTATTTGCCTGCATTCTCATCCCCAGCATCTGGGATGTCATTCATGACTTGGGTGGATTCCCGTTTTTCTTCTTGAATTAAAGCTCAGAGAGTTGATCTTTATGCACTATTCTGCTATTTCCAAGTGGCTGAGGTGTGCTAAAAACTCTAGTGACGTATTCTAATGACTTATTTTTCTTTAAAGAATCAGTCAAACAGTAGTTGTCCCTAAACTGTCTACTCCTGTAAAATGTCTCTACCAAAAGTGAATGCTCCTTGGCCTGTAAGAGGATGTTTTTCTCCTTGTGAGATTTCCATAGAATTTGGACACATGCTCATGACCAAATTGCCTGAATGTTCTTTTAACTAAGTAGAGATGACTGTTTTCCCATGTGATATCTAATGAGTAGCAACAGAGTCACAGCATGAAGGTAGATTTGTCTGACTCCAAAATCTGGGCCTCTAAGTATTCTAATTGGCCTCTCACTTCATTCCATTCTCATCCCACAAAGTTTGTGACTGACAATCCCACTTCTCCAATAAAACTGTTCTCTGTAAGTTCTATCAGTCAGGACACTGGGCACACCCTAACTTTCCAATTTTGATCATGGTGATAGAAGCTTCAAATGGAGAGAAAACCTGGGTCCACAGCCCAACTCTTGTGTCTCTGTAGATTATTTTTTACCTGAGGGCTCGCCTTCACCTCCCTAACTATCCCTGCTGCCACCCACAGGCCTTAGATGGGAAATTGCCCCCTTTCATGTCCTGGGTTCAATGGCAACTGAGAGTCTTATGCCCTTATCCCAGCTGAGAGCTGCCTTGACACTTACACCAGATTTTACTCAGGACTTGGGAGAAGAGAAACAGGGAGCAAGATGCAGGTGGATGACATGCTGTGCAAGTTACAGGAACTCACAGTTTAAAGTCTTCAATAAATGGACTACAGAGTCAGGTCTCCTGCAGGCCCACGACAGAAATCATCTTAACCTGACACCCAGGAGGGTCCTCAGGTATGTCTAGACTCCTTAAATTCTAAAGCCCCAGAGGATGAAGCCAAAAGATTTTGGTTACCTGCCTAAGTATCATCTTAGGAATTTCCAATCACCTTCCATAGGAACACATTGTTCTATACCCCAGAAATACCAGCAAGTATCTTAAAACACATTTCTCTCCCATAGAAAAATGTCTAATCATTGAATATCCATTCATTCATTCATTCAGGAAACCCACCTGTGCCCTCTCTCCTGCCTTTGATATTGCTGGTCTTCTTTCTGAAAGGCCCATCTTCCCCTCTACTTTCTCTGGATGACTCACTCTCATCCTTTATGTCTCAGCTTTAATATTCCTTCTCCAAGAAGCCTTCCCAGATACCCCTTAATGCCTTGCTCTTCAGCCACTATACATCTTATCCCTCTTTATTCTAATCACCTCTATTTTTGTCACCAGACTCATACATAAGCCCCATGAGTTGAAGAATTGGGCCTACTTCTTCAACACTGTATTTCCAGTTCTTGGCTTAAATAAAGTTTTAGGTACATATTTAATTAATAAATGCATCATGTAGCATAATGCATTGCACATGGCTCTTGATACATGTTGGTTGGATTAAACAAAGTGCTCAAATTCGGTTGTTTTCTCTTTGGCATTGTTGATGTCTGCGGGTAGAATGAGCTTCAAATACTCTATCACATAACTGATTCAAGTTAGTTTCCTCTTTTTTGCCCTGGAAGGAGTTTGGATTATACTGATTTCCTTCCTCTAGTCTGCTTATGCACCATGTTTCTGTGAGATGATTTAGTTGCATTAAATCAGGGTAGCCATTTAGCCAATGGGACGGTGGAGCATATAAGGCCCTACATATTATTTCTGACTCTGCTCACTACCTTCAGCAACTCACTCAGTGGTCTTCTGTGTCTGTCCATGAATTAAGATGTTCAATGACCAGCGATTCTTAGAAATTCTCGGGTGCAACTGTTCCCCAATTCTCAATCACATATAATATTCTCAATTCAATCATTATTGGTGTACCTGAGGAGAGAAACCCAACCTTATTAAAATGTCTCTTTGAGTGTTGTTGACTGTAAATTTAACATCAGACCACCTGCACTCATCCGCACTTAGGTAAAAAGTACTCCTGCCAAGCCAAAGATCAATTCAAAGCAAACTCTTACTAATGGGAAATGTTGAAATTATAAATTTCCCTGCATATGGCTCCAGTTATGATCAGCTTAGCTTTTGAAGTGAACTCCAACTTCCAGTAAGATAGCAGCTGGTGGCACTTCTTTTGGGTTCAGGAAGAAGTCGAATCAGACTATTTATCACCTTTTACAGAATGCTAGTAAGCCAGAGTGGGATGTGGGAAGGATCTGTGGATGACCTACTATAAGCAATTCTACTCTTCTCTATGTCTTTGATTAACCCTTACATTGAAAAAGAAATACATGAAGGTGATTTTCATCTCTTTATATTTGTTTCTTATATTTCTAATCTACTAATATTAAAGGATATATTAAATGTGGTTTTAACAAAGCAAGAGATTCTTTACCTATAGGAATACATTCCAATTGGTTTCTTTTATGGGAAAATAAAACCAGAAACTTTGCATGGGAAAATAAAAGCATTATAGAGCAATTTCAGAATGATGAATCTGATGACAAGAACAGTTCTGGAGAAACACATACCAGGAAACCTCTGTGAGGGAAGACAGTCCTTGTCAACTTGGGAGTGCTTTAACATCACACTTGTAGCCTTGAAGGTATCGAGGCTATGTGTAGCTCACTCTGACAAACTGATCAGAGTGAGCGATGGATATGTCTTTGCCCATATTCTAAGCAGGTAGTGGCTTTTGTCATTAAAAGAAATTTTATATCCTCCTCCCATGAACTCAGTGCAGGATGCTGATCCCAGAGATAGTGCAGCTGGCAGAGAGAACATAGGCAAGACCTCAGCTCACATTAAAGAGAAACTTGCAAAATCAAGGAAAGAATCAAATATTATCCCTTTGACTAATATGTAAAAAAGCATCAGCACTTTGCAGAGTGTAGAGAAAGGAAGCAAAGACTCCATAATGACTATATTCAGTGTGGACTGTGTTTTGCATAGGCTATGACTGAAGATCATCTAGAGATAGTCACAGTGTTTTAAAAGTCCCATCCTCGTGCAGAATGGCATGAGACAAGATGTCATGGGACTCATGGAAGAGAATCAGTGGAACTTGAATGATGCAACAGGAAAAGAGATCCAAGCTATACCAGAATAAAGACTGTTTCTCAAAACACACTGATTAAGGGGTCTGCCTAGATTCTTTGCAAGAACTGAAATTTTATATAAGAATCCCACTACATATAACTTTCAAAGATGTATGCTTTTTTGTTTGTTTGTTTTTTGACATGGAGTCTCACTCTGTTGCCCAGGCTGGAGTGCAGTGGCGCGATCTCCACCCACCGCAAGCTCCACCTCCCGCGTTTGCACCATTCTCCTGCCTCAGCCTCCTGAGGAGCTGGGACTACAGGCACCTGCCACCACGCCTGGCTAATTTCTTTGTATCTTTAGTAGAGACAGGGTTTCACCATGTTCGCCAGGATGGTCTTGATCTCCTGACCTCGTGATCCACCTGCCTTGGCCTCCCAAAGTGCTGGGATTACAGGTGTGAGCCACCGCACCCGGCCTTGAAGATGTATGTTTTTAAATGTATGTGTGAGTGTATACCCATATACATGAATATATGAATATATACACACACACACACACACACACACACACACACGAATGTACATATGTGTGTCAGGTCATTCTTGCATTGCTATAAAGAAATACCTGAGGCTGGGTAATTTATAAAGAAAAGAGGTTTAATTGGCTCACAGTTCTGCAGGCTTTACAGGAAGCATGGTGCTGACATCTGCTTGGGTTCTGGGGAGGCCTCAGGAAGCTTACAATCATGGTGGAAGGTAAAGGGGGAGCAGGCACATCACATTGCCAGAGCAGAAGCCAGAGAGAGAGCGGAAGGGGGAGGTGCCACTAACTTAACCAGATCTCGCAAGAGCTCACTCACTATCACAAGGACAGCACCAAGCCATGAGGGATCTGCCTCCATGACCTAAACACCTCCCACCAGGCCCCACCTCCAACACTGAGGATTACATTTCAACATGAGATTTGGGCCAAGACAAATATCCAAACTGTATCAATATATCAACATATGTGTGTATGCATTGCCTTGTTAAATATAAAGTAATTCTCATTTCAACTGTTCTAAAATTACTCTGATATATTTATGAAGTATTGAGTTATAAAATCTCTCAGTGTGTTATATACAGGCTTTGAGCAGGGTGGCTCCTATCTGCTTCTTACACTCAGGATTTTAGAACCCAGAGTGGGTTAAAGAGATAAGTAGCCTCCCTTTCATAGTCCTATAAGGATAGAGTTTTATTTTATTTGGATTGACAGCATATTTCATGTGTAGTGTGCACTGTGTATGAATTTTTTTACTTTAAATCTATGTCAACTAAGATTCAGAAGCTGTTTGCCTTCCTTCCAAAAAGAAATATTCTGAAGCCCTTAACCTTTTCACCCCAGCAGTGTGTTGAATTGTGTCCCTCCAAAAGATACATCTGTGAAAGTCCTAAGCCCTGGTACCTAGGGTAACCTCATTTGGAAATAGGGTTTTTACATTTGGAATCAATTTAAGGTGAGGCCATAATGGATTAGGGTGGTCCCTAAACCCAAAGACAGAGAGTCCCCGCCACCAAGAAGACTCTTACCAGGTGTGTCCCCCCTTGACCTTGGGCTTCCCAGCCTCCATAACTGTAAGAAATAGTTTTTCTTTTAAATTAACCATTTTAGGTACACTGTTATTTGCAACAGAAAATAAACTAAAACATGCTTTTTCATGTTGAAGTACTGTGTGTAGGGTAATATCTGTGTCATGACCTTCAGCGACTGTCTTATGCCCTTCAAGGTGCTCCCATGGACAAAGTCATTGTCTTGGACAAAAATAGAAACAAGACAAAACAATATGTCTTATATCTGAGTAGAAAATATAACACGGGTATACAGAAAAGGTTTATTCTCCATTGGCACTAGAACTTTGTCCTCTGTGGTGCAAGGAAAAACTGGGAGGAATATAGAGCTGTGCTTTCCAATGGAACATTCTGCATTTATAATCTGCACCACACAGTACAAGACCCATGAGTCACATGCAGCTACTGAGCACTTGAAATGAGGTTAGAGTGATTTACAAACTGAGCTTTGAATTTAATAATTTAAACTTAAATTAGACTATGAAGACCCAGAATCTAAACAACATGGTAAGAAGAGACTAGAAGTAGGAAAAACAAATAGAGAACTTAAAATGAAAAAAGCACAAAAATCTATTTAAGTCAAACCCAGTAAAAACTAACAGAAAATAATTGTTTAGGTGGACTAACCAATAAAGTTATACAGATAATTCTTTCGATGATCATGTTTATCTAATATAAAGTACCTAGAAGAAGAATAATTGTGCTAAATTAGTAATAAATGTTAAAAAGAATTTCTGGAATAATTAATCAAATCGGCCAAAACAGATACTCTTGTACATCCAATGGCCACAGTCTTACTGGACTAGATAGATAGAAATCATCATTCTTATGCACAAAAAAATAGACAATTTAATAAAGTGAGGGTATAAGATGAAAATTCAGTAGAAGAAAAAGAAATGAAAAGCTCCAAGAAAGACTAAAAGAATCATTCACTTTTTAATAGCAATAGCAAAAAAGGGACAGGAAAGAAGAAAGAGAAAAGAAGGAAGAAGTTGGAGGAGGGAGGTTGGAAAGGAGAAAAGGATGAAAGAAGAGAGAGAAAGAGAAGCAAAAGAAGCAAACTCTCATCCATAAATTCAAAAGCTGTTGGCATTTGGAGGAAACATTTGGGAAGTTCCTAAAAGTTGAAGCGGTGTTACTACTTTTGAAAAGAAAACCCCAAGACAGATGGCATGAGGAAATGTCATATGGAGACATCTGAATAGAAAGATGCCAGTTCTTACAGACCAGCTAGAATCTGGAAGTCCTCATCATCTGATATACTTCACAACCAGATTTAGGATCCAGTTGAGAAACTCACGATGGCATACAGGTCACTTGCAATGCTCCCTGAGCTCTCCATCAAAATCAGGAATCCACTTCTGTGAAAACTTGGAGATAATAAATCATTGAATCTGGCCAAATGTATTCTACTAACATTGCTAAAAGAATTATACTGACATCTGTTTTGTTGGGAGTTTGTAATACTGCCTGTGTCTATAGCAGAAAGGAAATGAAATCAGTAAGATCCCTCAATAGGGGGGTAGTGAAAATACCCCATATTTTGGAAAGATCTTTGGAAAGATCTTTGGAAGATCAAAAATCTTTGGAAGACCAAAGATTGCAGGAAACCTGTAACAAATCTAGTCCCTCTTGTGTATTGAGAAATGATTTTAAGTTGTGTCAAATTTTATTGCATTTTTTAAAAACTTGGAATCAATGACATGGATGACCAGTTAATCAAGGCTGCCCACTTGGATGCCTTTTTTCATGTCTCTGCAAATTCAGAGAATTCATCGAACATTCACTAAGCATCTAGAGCCAGGAATGGTGTGGATACTTATTAAATTATTGCTGAATAAAATAGTAAACCACACTTACTTAGAAGCTGGTCTTGCAGATATTACAGAAACACTTGTCAATCATAAAACAAGATGCATGTGTTCTTATAACCTGCTGACCGGTTTATCAAAGTTCTCCTCAGAGTCTTCCTTAGGTAACTGCCATCTATTCAGCTGGTTTCCCTAGCAACAGCTGACATCCTGAGAAAGGCAGCTGTGGCTCTGCCTTAGCTCCATCCATTGCTCACTCTAGTGGGTTTCTGTAATTTTCCATAGCAGCAGCACCTATGTTCATGTTGTATTATCTTCTTATTGTTCTTGTGAATTTTAAAAAAATAAGGGTGGGTTATATACACAGTTCGACTCATTTCCAATAAAAACAATTAAAATGATGGATAAAATGAAAACAAACAAAAAACTCACCATCATAAATATGTCCCCAAGCTGGCAAGAAAGTAAGGAATCCTCAGATTAAAAACTGAATCAAGACAGGCACCCAGAAACAAAAACAGAGACAACCTTTGCATTGAGGATATTTGCCATGAATTTGACCCTAGGTGTTCAAGGTCTTGCAGGGTATGGAAAAACAGAGACAAAGACTAGGGCCCAACCAGGTTGTGATTTAATAGAAACCCCACCCCCACATATAAACCCTGGACACCAAAGCCTATACCCTACAAGTAAACATGCTCTCTGCCCCTCTCCCCAGGGGACAGTGAGGACACATACTATCTGGAGTCACTGACTGTATTAGTCTGTTTTCACGCTGCTGATAAAGACATACCTGAGATTGGGTAATTTAAAAGAAAAAGAGGTTTAATGGACTCACATTTCCATGTCGCTGGGGAGGCCTTGCCATCATGGTGGAAGGCAAAAGCCATGTCTTACATGGCAGTAGACAAGAGAATGAGAACCAAGCAAAAAGGGAAACCCCTTATAAAACCATCAGATCTCATGAGATTTAGTTACTACCAAGTGAACTGTATGGGGGAAACTGCCCCCATGATTCAGTGATCTCCCACCAGGTCCCTCCTATAACATGTGGGAATTATGGGAGCTACAATTCAAGATGAGATTTGTCAAGATGAGATATAAACCATATCACTGAGTATACAGGGAAAGTCTCCTCTGGGAATTTGCAACTGTACACTGGCCCTCACATGATTTGTAACCCAAATTCATACAATCTATGTTGTCTAAAAAACATACCGTCAAAAATGTAGTTTAAAGTGATCCCAGGCTGGTAGTAGTACTGCTTGCCTAGCAGAACCAAGTGCAGTTCTTTTCTGGAAGAACTACCTTGCTTCTAAAAACAGAAGGTAAGATATGGCCTAAGACAGAATAGTGAATTTAAAGATAAACCTAAAGAAACCACAAGAATAAAGCATAGAGAGAAAATAAGATGAGAAATAGGAGAGTTTGAGAACCATGGAGGAGAGAATGAAAAGGACTAACACAGGTCTGATGTGAGAATGACAGGGAGAAAGAAAGAATCAGGTAGAAACAATATTCGAAGAGAGAACAGCTGAGAGGTTTTTAGAAAGCCATCTACAGATTGAGAAAACCCAGCTATGGCTGGGCGCAGTGGTTCAAGCCTGTAATCCCAGCACTTTGGGAGGCTGAGGTGGGTGGATCACTCGAGGCCAGGAGTTCAAGACTGGCCTGGCCAACATAGCGAAACCTTGTCTCTACTAAAAATACAAAAATTAGCCAGGTGTGTTGGCACATGCCTGTAGTCCCAGCTACTCAGGAGGCTGAGGCAGGAGAATCGCTTGAACCTGGGAGGCAGAGGTTGAAGTGAGCCGAGATTGTGCCATTGCACTCCAGCCTGGGCAACAGAGTCAGACTCTGTCTCCAAAAAAAAAAAAAAAAAAGCTATAAATATAACCATAAGGCAGGATAAATGCATAGAACTGCACTCCTGGACACAGCAAAATGAAAACTGAAAACCGTGAGAAGATAAAGTCTTCCGTGGAGAAAAGACATACAACCTTTCAAGAAGTGATGCTTAATTTGATAGCTTGCCTCTTAATGGCAACAATGGGGGCCAGAAAATGGCAGATCTGTACTGAGAGGAATAAAAACACTGATGGAGAAGTTGAATCCCAGGTTCCACATCTCTCAAATATAAGGGCTAAGTAGACATTTTTAAACAACCCAAAACTCAGAGAGTTTGCAACATTTAAACACCCAGTAAGGAAAATTCTAAAGGATATTTTTTTCAGGCAGAAGAAAATGATCCCAGATGGAAAGTCTGATGTAAACAAAGGATTAAAGAACAAAGAATATGGCAAATGTGGGTAAACCAAAGCTAATATTGATGGAATGAAACATAATTAAAATATCTTGTGGAGTTAAAAAAGCATGATAAGACTAAAATACTTGGCAATAGCATACAGATGGGAAGAGAATAATATTGAGTTTCTTGTGTTTGGTGGGAGAAGGATAAAAATACTGCTTTCCTGTAGAATACAGTGTATACAACTTTCAAAATAGAAGAGGAAAAACAATGAGAAAATAATAATCAGTCCAAAAGAAGGTGAGAAGAGAGAAGAAATGAAGTATAGAATAAGAGAGAACAAACAAAAGGACAAGATAACCAGGTACAAATAAATCTAATTTATAAATTTAGTAATTATGACAAATATAAATGGACTTAAATCTTTAGGTACAAGGCTGTGTTTACAAAATGTAGTTATATGCTTTTTATCAGAGATAATATGAAATACTTACAATGGCAACAAAAGCTAAAATTGACAAATGGGATCTAATTAAACTAAAGAGTTTCTGCACAGCAAAAGAAACTACCATCAGAGTGAACAGGCAACCTACAAAATGGAAAAAAATTTTTGCAATCTACTCATCTGACAAAGGGCTAATATCCAGAATCTACAATGAACTCAAACAAATTTACAAGAAAAAAAAACACATCAACAAGTGGGCGAAGGACATGAACAGATACTTCTCAAAAGAAGACACTTATGTGGCCAAAAGACACATGAAAAAATGCTCATCATCACTGGCCATCAGAGAAATGCAAATCAAAACCACAATGAGATACCATCTCACACCAGTTAAAATGGCGATCATTAAAAAGTCAGGAAACAACAGGTGCTGGAGAGGATGTGGAGAAATAGGAACACTTTTACACTGTGGGTGGGACTGTAAACTAGTTCAACCATTGTGGAAGACAGTGTGGCGATTCCTCAGAGATCTACAACTAGAAATACCATTTGACCCAGCCATCCCATTACTGGGTATATACCCAAAGGATTATAAATCATGCTGCTATAAATACACATGCACACGTATGTTTATTGCGGCACTATTCACAATAGCAAAGACTTGGAACCAAGCAAAATGTCCAACAATGATAGACTGGATTAAGCAAATGTGGCACATATACACCATGGAATACTATGCAGCCATAAAAAATGATGAGTTCATGTCCTTTGTAGGGACATGGTTGAAGCTGGAAACCATCGTTATCAGCAAACCATCGCAAAGACAAAAAACCAAACACTGCAGGTTCTCACTCACAGGTGCGAATTGAACAGTGAGAACACATGGACACAGGAAGGGGAACATCACACACCAGGGCCTGTTGTGGGGCGGAGGGAGTGGGGAGGGATAGCATTAGGAGATATACCTAATGTTAAATGACAAGTTAATGGGTGCAGCACACCAACATGGCACATGTATACATATGTAACTAACCTGCATGTTGTGCACATGTACCCTAAAACTTAAAGTATAATTTAAAAAAAAAATACTTAAGTCTTTAAAATGGAATGGAGAAAAGATATCCCAGATAAATGTTAATTGAAAGAAAGCTAGTGTAATTATATTAATACCAGCCCAAATAGACTTAGTATTTAAGCATTGATTGGATTTTAATATACAATGTGTATTTTCTTTTTCTCCCAGTGAAAGGTCAACAGAAAGCTTCCCACCAAGGCATGTGCTACGTATCTTTTTCTTCATTCTTTGGCAACATCAGATAGTGTTATTCCTTTAAAAAGTTCTAATCGCTCACTCTCTCAGAAATTAAATTCTTTCTTTCTGTGTTTTTTCTTGTGTTGTTATTGCTATTTGTTTGACACAGAAGCTCAATCTGTTGCCCAGCCTGGAGGGCAGTGCTGCAATCACAGCTCACTGCAGCCTCAACTTCCTGGGCTCAAGTGATCCTCCCACCTCAGTCTCCCGAGGGGCTGGGACTGCTGGCATACCCCCCACGCCCAGCTAATTTTTTTGCTTTTAACTTTGTAGAGACAGGGTCTTGCTGTGTTGTCCAGGCTGGTCTCAAACTCCTGGATTCAAATGATTCTCCTGCTTCCCAAAACACTCCCAAAGTGCTAGGATTACAGGTGTGAGCTACCACACCCAGCCTTAAATTGTTCAAAAAAATTTTTTTTAGCATTTATGCTGGAGAAAAGTATTTTATGGTGAAAAAGAGTTGTCCTACCTCCTCCAAATGTTGCTTAAATCTATAATCACTTGGCCTTGTAACATCTCTGTCATCTGTTTATCCCGTTTCCATGAAAACATGCCTGATTTATTTTAATGGTGTCATTGATGCCTTTCTTTTAATTTCTCAAGTTTTCACTGAGGTTCCATGGGCTTCTCCTTACATTGAGTCCCTCTTGTTTGGATCATGGCATTCACTCAGGGTCCAACTCTCTCATTAGGTTCCAACGCATTTTTAGGTGAAATCAATGAAGTTTTTTTGAATCAAATCGTTTCATGGTATTTTAAGTAACAATCCTGACTTCAATTAAACCTTTAATGTCTTGAGCACATACCACTCACCTTAAATCTTGGTTCTTTTAAGCTAGCTGAGTTTGACCTTGTATTTCACATTAAGCCCATCTCATTTCTCAGTTGCAGCTTGGATTAATCTCTTTGAACTTCTTACTTCATTTGTTTTAGTCTGATTTTTAAGAGGTCAAGTATATTTAACTGTTTGATCATATAACAGATTTCCCCTGTCTGGATTTTTATACTGTGTATGGCATGTGGTTGGTGGCTCTATTCCAAGCTTTTCCCAAAGGTGTAATATGCACACAGCCAACTGCTTTGTTGCTGCTATCATTATTACCAACTCAGGTTTATTAAGCACTCCCTGCCTATGTCAATATGGTGCTTATGAATCAAAGAGAATCTTGGTTCTTGGTCATCGACAGTTGCCTGCACTGATTCAAAGGACAGAAAATAATCATGTCAGCCACAGCAAACAACCGGACCTAGGAGGGAGCCTTTCTCTTCCTCCTGGTGTTCCTAAACTCTGAAGAAACAGCATGAGTTTTACCTTCAAAGGCTTTGGATTGATTTTTGTACAGCTCATGAACCAGCTAAGTGAGCTTGGGAAAATCATTTAACTTCTTTGAGCCTCCGTTTTCTCTTCTGTAATACTGGAATTATGATGAGACCTGCTTTTGTGAAGACTAAATATAACAGTGCATGGAAAGCTCTTTGCACACTGTAATCTGACTAATTAAATGGCATCTGACTAATTGAATAATCCTGATTCTCCTTAAAACCAAAACTTCTCCCAAATTAAGACCCTCATATAGGGCTT
Organism: Homo sapiens; assembly: GCF_000001405.40. Lineage (NCBI taxonomy): Eukaryota > Metazoa > Chordata > Mammalia > Primates > Hominidae > Homo > Homo sapiens. Next base: position 97,527,290 of record NC_000013.11, read on the forward strand.
CTGGGGACCAATCTCTCTGACTCTTTCAATCACGTAATAATTAGATTTGGGCTGTTAAAAGATAAACTTTGGCACAATTATTTTTGGAAATATGGGCTAATAACAATGACGTATCAGCTGAATCTAGGACTTTTTCAGGTGAGCTCAGTGTCCCTAGAGTCTATAAAAGGCTTCGTCAAGTTGTTTTCTGTGACTCTAGCCTGGTAACTCATATCAACATAAATACAACTTTGCGTGTGGTTGATTCATATCTTCTCAAATGCCTAGAAATATTTGAGCATGAGAGAGTATGTAAATATCAGTTCCAAGAGGGACAGGCTACTGCATCTCTGACTGCCTGCCATGGAAGACACCTAGCAGATAGAGAACACACAGCACGCCATGGGATTGGAGTCCCCACCAGGCCAAAATGGAGTTTGCAGGGAAGCAGCTTCAATTTTCTTCAAGTAACTCAGTTATCTTCGAGTAGGACGTAAATTATTTTCTAAAAAAGCATAGATGGGTTGATTGGCTTCTGCTTTTCTGTTGTTTTTGTTTTTTTGAGATGGAGTCTCACTCTTGCTCAGGCTAGAGTGTAGTGGCATGATCTCAGCTCACTGCAACCTCCACCTCCTGGTTTCAAGCAATTCTCATGCCTCAGCCTCCCCAGCAGCTGAGATTGTAGGCATGTGCCACCACGCCTAGCTGATTTTTGTATTTTTAGTAGAGACAGGTTTTCACCATGTTGCCTAGGTTGGTCTCGAACTCCTGGCCTCAAGTGATCTGCCTACCTCGGCCTCCCAAAGTGCTGGAATTACAGGCATGAGTCACTGCACCCAACCAGACTTCTGCTTTTGTGGATGAAAATTTTTTTAAAAAATTTTGGCCGGGTGCGGTGGTTTACGCCTGTAATCCCAGCACTTTGGGAGGCCGAGGCAGGTGGATCACGAGGTCAGGAGATCGAAACCATCCTGGCTAACACGGTGAAACCCCATCTCTACTAAAAATACAAAAAATTAGCTGGGCGTGGTGGTGGGCGCCTATAGTCCCAGCTACTCAGGAGGCTGAGGCAGGAGAATGGCGTGAACCTGGGAGGCGGAGTTTGCAGTGAGCTGAGATTGTGCCACTGCACTCTGGCCTAGGTGACAGAGTGAGACTCCATCTCAAAAAAAAAAATTTTTTTTTTGTTTGACATGTCTAATCCTGATATTTTTGTATTCTTTGATGGATCAGCCTTCTGCTCAAATATTTCAAGGCAATGGAGAAGATCTTTACAATGTACAAAGATTCATGTATTTCACTAAGAGTATCAGGCTACAGTCTTCAGTAGGAGGATTAGTCCAAAACAACCAAGTCAGCATCCTCAGAAGCTGCTCCTCTTGTCATGTGTCTTGAGAATTTTTGTTGTGATCTCATATTTGTTGCGATTCTATGTGTGAAACTTCTGTGAGGACACCATGAGTGGTTCATTTCTCTAGATGACTTGCATTTTCTAAGTGCCTGGGGGTGTGATTTCCAGTTTGAGCATTTTAGAAATCTATTAATTTAAAAGTAATATTTTTATTATTTGTGAATAAATTTTAGTTTGTTGCTTTTCAGTCAGAGAATGTGGCCAATAAAAATGTTATTTTGAAACTTCTTAATTTTCACTGTAGTCAGGTAAATGGTTTATTTGCAACTGTCTGATAGACATAGTGAAGAATGTGCATCTTTGTCCGTAGGGCAGAAAATTATCTACATACCTAATTTTAAATCAGATTTATTGATCATATTATTTGAAATATCTTTACTCTTGTTTAATGTTCATTGATTTAAGTGTATTATAGTTTCTGGTATGATTTTGGATGTTATAAGGTCTCTGTATTTCTAGTTTTTATTTGTTTTGCTTTATGTATTTAACTGCTATTTGGAGACATTGAAATTTGTTAATTTATTGTAATTTATTATAGATTATGCCTTTTATCTTTTCCCCATACAATGCTTTATGCCTCAAACTCTTCTTTATCTAGTATTATGTTATAGCAGCTTTTTTTTCTATTTTGCTTAAAATGTCTTAGTATATTTCATTATTTTCTACATTTCTTTACTATTCTATTTTAGTTGAATTTATTTTTAAACAACACATAGCTAGAATGTGTAAGCATTCTGTTGTTTTTTTGTTTTGTTTTGTTTTTGTTTGTTTGTTTGTTTTGAGACAGGATCTAGCTCTGTTGCCCAGTGGTGCGATCATGGCTCACTGTGGCCTCAAACTCCTAGGCTCAAGTGATCTTCCTGCCTCAGCCTCCTGAATAGCTAGGACTGCAGGCGCATGTCACCATGCCTAGCTATGAAGTTGCTTGTCTTTTTATATAAGAAAGCATCTCTTCACTTTCATTGTGATACTTAGTATCTTTTATTTTTCCATTTTACTTTATGTTGATAATTATTTTGTTGTTTCTTCTTACTTTTTTTCCTAATTTGCTGTATTATTTTAAATTTCCACTCTAATTCTAGAAATTAGGAAATTCTCTCTCTTAGCTAGTAGTTTCCTAACTTTTAAGTCACAAAATCATAGATATGTGGTAATAAATTTAAAGTAATCGTCCCCATATCAAGATTTTTATTAATCTGCTCTGGAACCAACTTTGTTGAGACTTATTTAAAACTGAACTCTTAACCTAAGTATTTATTCAGTATATATTAGCAAGTGCTTACTTCTGGGAATACACATAGGATTTCATACAGAGACATGCAGTCTTTCTTTTCTGTTAGGGAATTATTACTTACCTCACATTACAGTTCACAGCCACATGACCACCATCCTTTAGACTTCACTATGTGTTTTACAGGACTGCTCACTGCGGTTTCTTGTATTCTTCATCTTCTCCTGTCCTGAGATCTAGGTTATCCTTAAATTCGGTTTGGTTGGAATATATAAATAAGAGTGTTTCCTTAAAGAGAGTGGGCCATAGCATTTTTAGTAATGGCTTTCTTCTGTTCTCACATTTAAATGACATTGTGATTCATCTCAAAATTTTGTAAATCTTTACTGTTTTCCAGTTTCCATTCTGTAGTGAGACTGATGCTAGTCTCATTCTCCTCTTTATGTAACAGCCCTTTCTTTGCACGGGGAAGTTTATGAAACTTTATCTTACCGGACTTCAGAAGACTCACTTGGATGAGATTGATTTCTTTGTCATTGTTATTACAACTTCCTGGTGTTAGCTGAACCAAAAGCAAGGTCTCGTTCAGCACAGGGAAGTTTCATCTATTATTATTATTTGTTGATCAGTATTTATCTTCCATATATTAATTTCTTTGTGTGTGTGTGTGTGTGTGTGTGTGTGTGTGTGTGCGCGCGCACGCGCGCGTTTTGAGACGGAGTCTCGCTCTGTCGCCCAGGCTGGAGTGCAGTGGCGCTATCTCGGCTCACTGCAAGCTCCGCCTCCCGGGTTCACGCCATTCTCCTGCCTCAGCCTCCCGAGTAGTTGGGACTACAGGCGCCCGCCACCGCGCCTAATTTTTTGTATTTTTAGTAGAGACGGGGTTTCACCGTGTTAGCCAGGATGGTCTCAATCTCCTGATCTCGTGATCTGCCCTCCTCGGCCTCCCAAAGTGCTGAGATTACAGGCGTGAGCCACCGCACCCGGCCATTAATTTTTTTCTTAAATGCACACCTATGTCTTCCATGTCTTTTGTCTTTTCATCTATGGTTCCCATATTTTTGCATCTATGCTCTGGGTTGTGAGCTATTTCCTCCACTTGATCTTTCTGATAACCAATGTGATTTTCATCAGGAACTGCTCTCTTTTCGAGTTCATCTCTTAACTTTACATCTAGAAATTAGGCATTTTTTTTTTAATTCCAGAAATTTTATGTTCCCTTATTTTATCTCCTGAAGACTTCTCATTACATTTTCATTAACTCTCTAGTCTGTTTTTCTATAAATTCTGTCTCAATAGGACCTAGGTAATCCAGTCATTTAGGCCTCACAGTTTATTGAAATAGTCTGTTATTTTCTTTTCCTACTCAGGCCAGTGAGTGTGGATTTCTTCAGTGAGAAATAATGCAAGTCCAGCTTGGGTCTTGCTGGGGATAAAGAACTGACAGGCCTGTTTTTTTCTTGCTCAGAGTAGGATAAAAGACATAGATAGAACAGAAAACATGCCTGCTACTTTCCCTCCAAAAGGGCTCTCTAGTGAATCAGTTCATAAGCTAAGGCATTTGGGCTATGACGTGAAGCCCCCTCTATTTTCAAGATTTTGCAGGTTCCTCAATCCAACCCCTTCTGTCCTCTCCAGGTCTGCTGGAAATGCTAGATCATCCCCTAAGCAGGCAGATGCAGGACTCCTTTGGAAAGATACACTCTGGCCAGCCCCTGGTACAGTAGATCCAGATGGCAGTGCATACCCAAAGACTCTGTAGACTCATAACTTATAACCTTGTCATGACCCCCCAAAGCCTGGAAACAAATTTTGTTCATAAGGAATGTGGAAGAAAAAAAGATGACAAATAGAAGCTGTTTATTATCTTTCACTCCCAAGGCCCTACTACAATTATAGAGGGAAAAAATTGCAAAGGCGTAAACAACAAAAACAAAAAATAAAACAGGTGATATCAAGGGCCACGTTTTTTTCATGTTTTTCAAATGCAAAGTAGATGGGGATTGATTTAGGGATTGATTTAGCGAAGGAGAAGAGGCTGCTGCTGTTGAGAGCAGATACTGGTGAGAGGAGAGCCCATTCACCCTGCCCAAGTGGAGGCCTGGAGGGAGAAGACACGTGGCAGGGGAGGGAGGCTTTGGAGGCAGCATGAGGTTGGGTTGAGAGTTTCCATCCAGGAATCCAGGAATGAGCAATGGAGCAGCCTGGCACCAACTTTGCAGGCTGCAGGAGGCTGATTTCTGGCCCTCTCCTGAAGGCCAATCTAGAGCAAATGGTTTGAAAATATTATAATTACATGAAATTGAAGAAGAAACTCCCTGATGATTCAGGTGATTAAACACTAGAGTAGGCTTTCAGATAATTCAGAGGCCTGAAGTTAGAATCTTATTCCAGTGTACTTTGCGGCATCCTTTTTGGAAACAGATGATTGGACTAGGTTCATTCATTCATTCATTTGACAAACAAAAAAAAGAAAGGCATCAGATACCAAATCCACTTCATATCTGTGATGCCTGAAGGATTAGGGGGCATTAGGAACAGTGAGTACTGGACAGTGAACAATTATCTGATTATAAACCATTAAATACCAAGATCCACAATATTTATTTGTTGTCTTTCATTTGCCCAGAGTGAAGCGAAATAAAGAGAAGGAGAAGTCCGTGATGTATTCATTGTGTGTAGTTTGAGCTTGTCTCTGATAGGGAACTAAAGAAATCAATTTAAAGGAATTAAATGATAACTAATAAAATTATTCAATGCAAGTAGCATTCCTGCAACCTGTTTCTCAGGGACAATCATGACAAGCTAAATACCCTACACTTTATTCAGTTCATCCGCCATCTCTCACAGGTGTCAATTTATGATGTCACCACTTATTTTTCCACCGTTGAGTTCCTCTGGCCCACCCAAGTCAGAATTCCACCCCCACCTCCTGATCACAAACTTTTCTGACAGAAGTCATCATCCCATTATTCTCTCAATTGCCAAATGCAAGGAACTTTTCTGAGCCTGTGTATTACTCCATTCTCACATTGCTATAAAGATACTACCTGAGACTGAGCAATTTATAAAGAAAAGAGATTTAACTGACTCAGTTCCCCATGGCTGGGGAGATGTCAGGAAACTTACAATCATGGCAGAAGGGGAAGAGGCATGTCTTACATGATGGCAGGAGACAGAGACAGCGTGCAAGAGCAGGGAAAACTGCCTTATAAAACCATCGGATCTCATGAGAACTCACTCACTATCACGAGAACAGCATGGGGAAACCACCTCCATGATCCAATAACCTCCCACTGGATCCCTCCCCCTTGATATGTGGCAATCCTGGGGATTACAATTCAAGATGAGATTTGGGTGGGGACACAGCCAAACCATATCAGTCTCTCTCTCCTTTACTCTCTCTGTCTTTCTCTGATACATTAATCAGCCCTGATGTCTCTATGGCATAGGGTCATGTTGACAACCTGCTTTACCCTGACATTCTCCCATAGGTTAACACTTGTTGGATCTACTCTTCTGGCCCACCCTATAATGCTGGTCCTCCTTAGCTTCTTGATCTTCTTAGGCCATACCTTCATCGAGTTCCATGGTTTTGTTCCAATCCATGCGCCAACGGCATATGGATATGGCTGTGCACTGGGGCAATGCTTTTCTGCTGCACCCCGGGCCCATGTATCCAACACCTGGATGTCTCCTCTGGATCGTGCACAGGAGGCCATGTGGTATACAGGGAAAGAGCAGGGATTCTGGACGCAGGCTGTCTGTGTTCAAAATTGGCCGGGCATGGTGGCACATGCCCGTAATCCCAGGAGAGGCAGGAGAATCGCTTGAACACAGGACGCAGAGGAGGAGGTGAGCCAAGATCGTGCCATTGCACTCCAGCCTGTGCAACAAGAGCGAAACTCTGTCTCAAAAAAAAAAAAAAACCATTAAAAAAACCCACACTGCCATTTTCCTGGCTGTGAAATATCAGGCAAATTACTTAACCTCTCTGGGTTTCAGTTTCCTCTTCTGGGAACTTGAAATTAAAATGTTACCTATTCCAACTAGTTGTTAGGTGCAATTATTATATGTAAATTTATGTAAAATGCTGAGACCAACTCATGGCATATGGTATACATAAAATGTAAGCTATTGTTTTTGTTATGATTATTTCAGACAAGGGATTTGAAAACAACTTTATTTTCTCTTTATTCTTATTTACCATGGTAACATCATTTGTCTCCTCGCCTTCTAAATCAGAAATATGAAAGTCATTCTTCACTCCTCTCTCTTTGGAGTCATTAGATACAATTGACCCCATTTCTTCTATCAGCCTGCTCCTCACCATCCCCTGCGCCATTCTCATAGACTCTGTTTACGCTCTCCCCATCTGGTCTGGAATACTGCAATAGATTCTTAACTAGTTGTGTCTTCTATTTTTTCTCTCCCTTTAAAAATCACCCTTTGCAATGAAAACCCAGTAGTAGTAAAAAAAAAAAAAAAAAAAAAAGAAAGAAAAAGAAAAAAGAAAATGACGATGGCAATGATGATAATACTAATACCTTGTTTTTAGACATTATTCTCATTTAATCCTTACAACAAATCGATGACGTAGACACGCTTACTATATTGTCTTATAAAACTGAGAAAACTTAGGCTTTGAGAGGCTAAGAAACTTGCCCAAAGCACAGAGCTGAGACCTGACAGGTCTAGAATATCAATGCCAGCTGTCTGATCCCAGAACCTGCACTCCCAACCTCTGCTAACTGCAGGCCCATTCCTTCCAGCCATTCTCCAGTTACTGATTTCCTGCAGATGAAACTGTGCTTTCCACAGGGCCCTTTGTCAACTGATCCAGGAAAACTGCTCCAGATTCACATTGTAATCATATCTTCATAATCCTCACTTTGCATGTTACTCTTCAGCAATACCATACTGCATATGGTTCCCAAACACTTCATGGTGTTTTTCTCCTTCATGACTTTGCAAAAGTTCTTTTCTGTTTCTCTGTTTGTTAACCCTGAAAATAACTACTGAGAAAATGTAGCTTATATGTCACTTCTCTGGCCCTCTGATAGGCAAGCATTCCCATCTTTCTTCCATGCTTCTTTCATTAATGCATTCTATTTTTACTGGTGTATATACTACCTTTATCTACGTTAGTAGACTAAGAGCTTTTGGAGGGTGAGGACTGTGTTCTCATTGTATTCCGGGTACAGTCTTAGAAAATATTTGTTGAATTAAATTTATTTCAAAATAGTTGGCCTGTGTGTAGACACAGACCATGCTCAGATGGTATCTCTATTAGTCCTTCTCTTCTTACCCTTATCACACTGACCATTTAGGGCGTAAGCATCCTTCCCTGAGAGGACACTCATCTTCCGTCTTCATGTTCTGCTCTCTAATCACCATTTTTGGTGATAACCTCTCCTATCAACCATGGCTCCATTCTGTCATTTGATAATCTCAATCCCTTTTCTGCATGGAATGAGGCTGAAGCCCACAAACAAGCCAATGGGAGACTTGGCCTGTGGCCTCTATCATACTGCAGAAAGGCCTGGGAGGCCCAGCTGGGGCCAGGGCACCCAGGACTCATGGCTAGCTGTTGGATCAGACATGAGTAGAGTCTACCAGGCAGGTAGATACAGAAGGTGTTCAGAAGGGAGCTTGTCCAGGCACATGGATTTGGAGTTACAAGCATTCAGATCGTAATGGAAGAAGCCAAGAAGGAAAAGAGCTTAACAAGGGGCAAGAGTCCTTAAAGGAGACTGAGTCAGGGTGGCTGGTGCAGTAGGGAACCAACAAGAAGAATGAGGAAAAAGGTCATTAGGCAGAGGTAATATCCTAATTGAACAATAAGGAGAACCAAATTCTTAGTCACCAACGTGGGGGATTCATATGTTTCTTATGTCTCAACATTCTAATGTGATTGCTAGTAACAGAGCTATTGTGACTCATAACAGATGACCCAACAAATATCATCATTCTGGTCACAATGAAATAAACTGAAAGAAGTCTTTTTGCCTTATCTATACATTGCATGATAACCTTTGACATTCATTATTAGCAATCAATATTCTGTGTTGAGGAAGCTGAGGAAGAAATGAACAAAAAAATTTTAAAAACCCTCAGCCCCTGTATTAGCGTTCTCTAGAAGGACGGAACTAAGGGAATATATATACGAGTTTCTTAAGGATTAACTCACATGATCACAAGGTCCCACAATAGGCCATCTACAGGCTGAGGAGCAAGGAGAGCCAGACCGAGTTCCAAAACTGAACTTGGAGTCTGATGTTTGAGGGCAGGAAGCACCCAGCATAGGAGAAAGATGTAGGCTCGGAGGCTAAGCCCGTCTCTCTTTACGCATTTTTCTGCCTGCTTATATTCTGGCCACGCTGACAGTTGATTAGATTGTGCCCACCCAGATTAAGGGTGGGTCTGCCTTTCCCAGCCCACTGACTCAAATGTTAATCTCCTTTGGCGACACTCTCACAGACACACCCAGGATCAATGCTTTGTATTCTTCAATCCAATCAAGTTGACACTCAGCATTAACCATCACAGCCCCTGAATTCTGCCCTTTTCTACTGCCTGCTGGTAGATTGCACTCTCTGTGCAGGGCCTTTAAATATTCTTTATTTTCTTTTACAGACTTGCAGGATTCCGCTCAAGCCCTTCACACTCCACAATATTCCCCACTCAGTCAGCATTCTCAGTGTAGGTAAACGATACACTCAGGCAGCTATTGCAACTCTTCCAATGAGATGATGTTTTCAGATGTGTATGCACACTACATAAAGGTTTGAAATGCAAGTTGTCAATGGTCATGTAAATGGTAATTTTAATTGTGCAAAAATTTTAGAAAGCAACTTGACAATGTATTGTCAAAGACTTTAAGATGATCATACACTTTTTCTGAGTAACTCCACTTTTAGGACTCACATTAATCATGTTAATAATCAGAAACAATGGAAACAGGCTTAAATCACAAAGATCTTCATCACAGAATTACTCATAATACTTAACGACAACAAAACCTTAATGTCTAAAATAGGAGAATAGCTAAGTCAAGTATAGTATCTACTACCCATGTTAATAAGGGGGTATTATGGAGCCATAACAAATTGTGTTTCACGTCAGTTCAATTCAACAAACATGTATGGACTGCTTTAAATCTCTAGCACCACCCTAGCAGCTCAAGGCCTACCGTTGAGTGTTAAATTAAGTTTAGCCTACAGCTGCCTCCTTACATATTTTAAGTCTGGCCTAAAGCTTTCTCTGTACATAGTAAACTGTAACTTAACTGATAGTGTAAACAGGCTATAAATTTACTTGTGTGCCAATCACCAAGTTAGGGCCAACCAAAGGCAGCCAACTGTTGAAACTGGGTTCACATAAGGCAAATGTGAAACTGTTTACAATCTGACTGTTTCTGTACCTGACTTCTGTTTTCTGTAAGTCACTTTCCTATTTCTGTCCATAAATCTTCAACCATGTGGTAGCACTGGAGTCTCTCAGAGCCTACTCTGGTTCAGGGGGCTTCCCGATTCATGAATCATTCTTTGCTCAATTGAACTCTGTTAAATTTAATTTGGCTTAAGATTTTTCTTTTAACATCAGACAAATATAAATATTTGAAATAGAATGGAAGTGCCACAAAAGCATAGGGGTGACTCGGCTACCCCAGGAGGGGAAAATGGGGGAGAGGAGATGAGAACGAGTACCAAGGAATACTCAGTTTGTAACTGATGGTAGCATCCTAATTTTGTTATTTCCCTTAAACCAATAAGATTAATGCAGCAAATGGTTTACTGGGAAAAATCCAGTGTGCATAGAAAGGCTTCTAATTGATTTCTGAAATAAACAACGATTAAGATGAAATCTAGGGATGAGGAGGAGTTAGCAACAGAACAGGAGTGGGATTGGGAAGAGCGTTCAAGGTAGAAGGACTGGCCTGTGCAAAGACACAGAAGTGGATAAGAAAATGAGATGTCAGGGGCACCATAATTAGTCAAAATGGTTGGAGCACAGAGTTTCACACAGTGTCAGTGTCAACAGCCTGAAGATGGAGGTGCACAGGGCCTAAAGCTTCCTGAAAGATATATGGAGCCTGGATTTCATTTTGAGGATTAACGGGAAAGCACTGGAAGTGTTTGTGTGAGGAACTGACCTGCATAAGTTGTTACTGGTAATAGAGGAGGAGCAGCTTTAGGGAAAAACAATGATGAGTCTGGTTTTGGCCATGTTGAGTAGAATCCACCAGACATGTAGACACAGGAGGTGTTCAGAAGAGAGTTTGGCCAGACACAAGGATTTGGAGTTAGAAGCATTCCCATTGTAATGGAGGCCAAGAGGCAAATAAGCTTAAGTGGTGGCCAGAGTCCTCAAAGGACACTGAGCCAGGGTGGCTGGAGCAGCAGGACAAACAGGAAGAGTGTGGCATTGCAAAACACAGGAAAATGTATGTTTCAAGAAGTGGGTGACTGTGCTGAGAGTTACTACGGGATCAAGTAAGATAAGGACTTAAGACATTCTAAGGAAATTACCAGCAAGAACATCCATGAGCCAAGCAAGAGGAGTTTTGGCAGAATGTTGAAAACAGAAGCCAAATAGCAAAATAGCAGAGTACTGTGGCATGTGGATGTCATGGAAGCAGAGGGGAGAACGCTAAGGCAGCCATGAGAAAAAAACAAAACAAAAAAAACTGTCCTGTCAATGGGGGAATTCTACTGTACTTTTTTTTTCCTTTCAGATTGACAATGCTGGTATTCAGTGATTGGGTGCTGATGGAAATGATCTATTAAGGAAAGTGGAGGGTTAAGGGTCAAGGTGAGAGAAGAGAGAAGGCATAATTGATATAATGAGGTTCTTTGGGGTGTTGGAAAGGAAAGGGATGCAGAAACTTAGTTGGAGAAAGAATCTCTGTATTGGAATTTTACTCTGAAGGAAACGATGGGGTGGATGGAGAGCATGTAGTTTGTAGGTTTGGAATTTGGAAGCTGGGGATAAATCCGTCTTGTGGCTTTTATTTCCAATAAGAGGTAGAAGTCATAGGCATCTGCCAAGAGTGTGTAAGAGGAGGTGGGGAAGGAGACTGAGGGAAAAAGAGAAGGTTTGCAGTTGCTGTTTTGCAAATTGGATTAATTAGGAGCAGAGGAGAAGGCAGAGTTGCCCAAATCATGATGTCCATCAGTATAGTTGTGTGACTTTTTCCCAGCAGAGCCAACTATTTCTCAGTTTTTCACTCTGAAATATGCATATTTAAGCAAATTCAATAAACTTTATTCCAAGTACCCAAATGCAACTTTTGAAGGATTTATTTACCATAGGGAAATCCAAGCTCTCCAGGAAACTTCATTTCTTGTTTTCCTAGATGGTGGAGAAGCATGGTAGAAGCTCTGGTAGGAAAAAGAAGGGCATAGCAGGGAAAAAAAAGTCCAGTACATCACAATCGGTTTACATTCATTAAACATTACATAATGCTTTTTCAGTTCAAAAGGTATTGTAAAATATATTAATTCACCCCATCCTCCCAATAATTTGCTCAAAGTCAAAAACCAAGAGGGACCATGTTAAGACCAGGCTATCCTCCAGATTTTCTGAACTTAGAGTACCTCTCTTTTTAGGATTCCATAGACCCCTCTGTTGACATGGTAACTGTAGGAAGAATGTATAGCATCTGACCCAAGGATTATTCTACAGTGAAGGTCCAGGATCCTTCCTTATAGATACTTGCAAGCCTATTCTAAACACATACACACACCTTGTGTTCAACAACAACTAAAGGCAAGTGCTCTGTGGTTGATTTGCAGACTCAATTGACTGTTTGGCTCAATGTCAAGAAGAAGAAAATTGTTTCCTGCCTTTTCTGGAATAAGTGATTTCTTGACCTAGAGAGTTATAGTAATAGGAAACGTATATGTTACAAAGAACCTATGCCCAGTTAAACAAGCCCTTTTCAGCAAGCTGTCAGCTGGTATGAGTCACTTACATAGGTTTACTACAAGCCCTCTTACTCCCCTTATGAGTAAGTAACATCCTTAATCACTTTCTGAATTTTATCACAAGATACTCATTTTTGTTGAGTAGTTGGAATTTCTCGTACTACCATGAGGAAACTGAGACTTCCAATCCAAGATGAGGTCATTGGTTGATTGTTGTCTTATCTTCCACAGTTTTTGTCATTATTGCCGTTGTTGTCATTGCAGTTATCAACATCATCATCATCATTTCCCATGATTACTACCAAAATGCAGAGACTATTTTGAAGCAATATCTCTGTCTTCCTTGAGGATAAATGTTAGATATACTGGAACTTCACAAGCATTTAATATTTGATGCCTAGCAGCTACATGGAAGAAACTCAAATATACATGCTTTGTTTCCATTACAAATTTTGTTTTTGAAGCAGGCATAGGTTTTAGAGTCAGGCAGACATAGAGTCAAATTCTAGTTACATAACTTACTGGTTGTATGAACTTATTTAAGTTACTTAATCTCTTTGAGCCTTGGTGTTCCCTTGTAAAACAGGGAAAATATCTCCTTTTCAGAGTTTTGAGAGGATTAAAAGATATACTGTAAGTGAAGCACATAATAGACTTTTGATATTGGTTTCCAGCCCTCCTCCTCTTGAACCGGTTTCCCACTTCCTAGAATTATAAGTAGTCCTCCACAAAATCTTACTTACAAATTAAAATATTTGCTGAGAAAAATAACTTTGCAGGTGTCAATGTTATTTTTATTTTGTCCTGTGAAGACATGACAGGACCAGACAATCTTTCCCCAAAGCCTAATTAGAGTTTCTCCATTACTATATTTGTGTTTGTTTTTGCTTCCTTTGTTCAAATTAGGTTTTTAGGCAACCAAAATGAAACGCTCACCAAAAGTCATCCTTTGTAGCAGTAGCGACACAAATTACATTGTTCTCTAGGGTTTAAAACGCCCAGCCATTAAACTTAACTATGTGAGCTTGGCAAATCATTTCAAAAGCAAAGCAGCTGTTTCCCTTTTGCTCCTTTTTTTGAAGCCTTGCTCAACGACTTAAAGATGTACACACTCCCATCGTAGACCCAGGGAAAACCCATGAAGTACTGTGAATTCCAGCATGAAGGCTACAACAATAAAAAGAGAATGAGGTGTTTGATTTTATTTTCGAGCAATTGCATGGTTTCTAGTTGTTAAACAATATAGTGCTTACAATGTGTCAGGCACTATTCCAAGTACTTTATGAATAATAATTTGTTTAATCCTCATAAGGTATGTGCTATTATTATTCCCACTTTGCAGATGGAGACTCCGGCATAGAACATTTAACAGCTTGCTCAAGATCGTCCATCTCCTAATGGGCAGAGCTAGGTTCTGGATTCAGACAGCCTGGCTCCACGATCCAAGTTTTAAGTAGGTTCTTCCACCTCTCATTGACTTATTCTATTTATTTCATTTATTTCTAATCATTTACTTTATTTCTAATCATTTATGTTGTGTCCCTCCACTGTTTCTGCTCATCACTGCAAAGTCTTTGTTTTCATTACCCCCTTGTGACTACCTCTCTGCGCCAACAAAGATGCCATCCCCTAAGTGGTCACCATCATTGGAGCTGCCCACAGGTGTGTCTCTCCATAGGGTAGGGGAACCAGTAGGAAATTCGACTCCAGTCACTAATTCACAAGATGGCCTGCAGCTCAGATTAAGGGCAGGGTAGCTACCGCTGGAAGAGGCTTGGCAAAGAGGCCACAGCCACGAGCCCATTTTGTGCCTTTCACAGTGATCATCTTCTCAGGTCTCTGTGCTGAGTCCTTTCTCCCTGTGACACTCTCAACTCTCAAATTTGTTCAATGTATAAATGAATATGGGAATCTGTCACTACTGCTCCTGGCCAGCACAGGGCCCTTGGGTGAATTAGAAGTTATCCTCGGGCACCTGGCTAGTGACAGTGTATGGATGTGGTCTGTGGGCAAAGAGGATACTCACTTTGGGTCAAAAATAACTTCAGAGATCACCTAGTGGTCCAAGCCCAATCACTAGTTCCTTTAAGTGTAATAGTTCAATCCAACAAAACACTGCCTGAGCATCTTCTGAAGACCAGGAAGTATGCTAAGTACAGGGGAGATGAAGAGAATTGTGGAAGGCCACCTATAATAAATCAATGACAGAGTTATGCCTGGTCCCTTAGAGTCAAGAAAGGAAGGTCACCATTCTCAGTGGGGTCTTTCTTAGAGAGGGTACCTGAGCATACTGCTTGGAACATTATACGTACTTAATAAATACATATAGAGTGAAAAATGAATGCATGTCTTAAAGAGCAAGCATTAATGAGACATAAAAGAAGAAATATATTCCAGACAAAGAGAATAGCACAGGAGAAGGCCAGAGACAGGAAACAGCTTTGTGTCTCTGGGGAATTTCAGTTCAAATCCCAACGAAGGAAATGGCAGGAGTTGGAGTGAGAGTCAGGAGAGAAATCTTATTCCAGTGTAAGAGGCTCGAGCCTCATCCAGCAAGTCAGTGCTTCTCCAACTCCAGTATGTATACAAATGTAAACAAATTACTTCAAGATGTGATTGTGATTCAGGAGGTCTGGGCTAGGACCTGAGTTTCTCTGGCTCCAGCAAGCTCTCAGGTGACGCTGTTGCAGCTGGTCCATGGACCATACATTGAGTGGTAAGACATCAGGAGCTAATGAAAAGCACTGATGGATTCCAGAAAGAAAAATGACATGTGTTTGGCCCCTGATAGTTAAGAAACATTTAAAAATAAGAACAGTGAAGTATATGAGGATATGAACAATGATTAAAGTTTACTCTATTTCACAAAGGTAATGAAACAAGCATTTACTGAGCACCGTCCACATCCTGGTCACTGCACTAGGCACATGACAAACATTATCTCTTCTAATAATAGAAACTAAAGCCATAGCCCAAACTGTACCACTTTTAACTCAATGACCAGTATAAACAAACAACTCGTTTGTGTAATCTTTAAATAGAATTAACCATATTGAAATTAACTATCAACCAGGAATGTTTAGAGTTGTATATATCTGTGTATATTGTGTTTTATAATAACAGAATAGTATTTTTCTCTTGGATCATTAGTCCAGGCACATTTTTAAAGTTGATGAAGCCACTGCTCACCTATTTGATGTTCATTATTGGGTAAGAAATCAGCTTAAACTTGTACACTTGGTCACCACCCCACAACTACCAACTCCTGAAATAGGCCTAGATTTCTCATTTTAAATTCAAAATGAACACTTTGCTTCCTGTCTAGTCAGCCTTGGATGTTTCTGGCTACTGACACCACCTAAAGCTTGATTATTTGGAACTATTATTTTCAGAGAGAGAAAGACAGCTAGAGCAGAAAGGAATAAAAGAAGAGAAGAGTCAAGTGGAGAAGGTCGGCTGAGCTGCCTGGTCCCTGTTCCCACGGAGACCGCTGAAATAGATCCAGGCTGCGTCCTGTTGGATGGGTTCCTCCTGTGCTTACCGTGCTCCCCTTGTCAACCTGGCCCACTCATCAGTTCCTCCCAACTTGTTTACACTGGGGACAAGGGCTGCATGGGTACAGCAAAGGAAATTAAAACTGAGGTAGCACGAAAGAAAAAAGTAGAAATGCATGAAAGGAGATCAGACGCAGTGTTGCTGACTCCTTTCTATGAAAACCAAGCATTTCCCCAGAAGAGTTCAAAAGGTTTATAAACACAAGCCTGTGGATCTTCTGGAAGGTGGATGTCACCTCTGTGCTATTATACTCTGTAGCATAAAGAGGGCTTGACAGAGGAAGGGAGGAGGGGAATAACAGGTTCTTGGGCATTGGGCAGACAGAGGTTCCTATCTCAGAGTTGTCACTGACACATGTGCCTTGGCATTTGAACATAACTAAACATTGGATCTCTTTCTCCATCTTTAACTTAAGGTGATATCGTGGAAGATATGTTTGATCTTTGCCTTTGCTGCATCTTTTCCTTGCCTCTTCTGGTTACAGCATCCCTCATTTCCCTTTGTTGGGTAAAGCCTACCCCCATTTCATGCAATCTTTGGGAAGACTGTCAATCAAAGTATTCTAAGGGCTAAGAGTGACTCAGGCCAGGACAATCAAGACACCACCCCCACCCCACCACCCCATCATTTGTAGGACTGAGCCAGGGTCCAAAAGCCATTGGAGACTGCCTGAACAAATTGTTCATTTGTTCCTGCTCATAAAACCTCCCAAAATTGCTTTGGTTCTTGTTCTTCCTTGCAGCCTGTATGTTTAACTGTCCCCCTCCTTGCAAGCCTAACAAATTCCAAATTCCTTTTTTGGTAAAATTAACTAGTGTTGGTTTCTGTTGCTTGCCACAAAGAACGCTAAATGATGCAAATACTTGACCTCTTAGGGCTGCTGTGAGGATTAGCAATAACAAATGCAGTTCTAGGTTTAAAGTAAAGGCTCAATATCTGCTCCAAAGAATTACTACTAGGGAATAACTTAAGGTTATAACTCTAACAATCAATCCAAGGAAATTCACAAAGCTAATGAGTCTGTGCCACAGGGTGTTAAGCAATAGGGTGCCCCTTCCACAGCTCCTTCTATGGTCTAATTAACCAAGAGGTGTTGCACATTTCCCAGATCAAAAGCACCTTCCCCTACTGGCCTGCCATCCTTTCTGCAATTCCCATCATTCCTGTCATTTGTCAAGTTTTATCATAAAGAAACACTTAAAGCACTTAAATGTGGTGCTTCCTTGAACCAGTACGTTATTGGCGTGTGTGTGTATGTGTGTATGTGTGTCTGTAAATGCTTATGTGTTACTTTCCCTAAATGCAGAGAACACATGTTTGACCAATTTGGAGAGAAGTTTAAACTCACTAGGCCTAGTATGTTACTTGTGATCAAGGTTTACAATCATAAGCATTTAAGAAATTCTGTGTTTTTAAAAAATTTTTTACTTTATTGTGTAGAGCAGTTTTAGGTTCACAGCAAAACTGGACAGAAAGTACAAAGTATTTATTTGTCTGTCTGTTTCTTTTTTTTGAGAGAGGATTTTGGTCTGTTACCCAGGCTGGAGTGCAATGGTGCAATCATGGCTCACTACAGCTTCTACCTCCTGGGTTCAAGTGATCCTTCTGCCTCAGCCTCTTAAGTAGCTGGAACTACAGGTGTGTACCACCATGCCCAGCTAATTTTTAAAATTTTTTGTAGACATGGCGGTCTTGCCATTGAGAGGTGACAGCGTGCTGGCAGCCCTCACAGCCCTCGCTCACTCTCGGTGCCTCCTCGGCCTCGGCGCCCACTCTGGCTGTGCTTGAGGAGCCCTTCAGCCCACCGCTGCACCATGGGAGCCCTTCTCTGGGCTGGCCAAGGCCGGAGTCAGCTCCCTCGGTTTGCGGGGAGGTGTGGAGGGAGAGGCGCGAGCAGGAACCTGGGCTACACATGGCGCCTGCGGGCCAGCTGGAGTTCCCAGTCGGCGTGGGCTTGGCGGGCCCTGCACTCGGAGTGGCTGGCCAGCCCTGCCGGCCCGGGGCAGTGAAGGGCTTACCACCCAGGCCACCTGCTGTGGAGGGTGCGCCAGGTCCCCCAGCAGTGCTGGCCCACCAGCGCTGTGCTCGATTTCTTGCCGAGCCATAGCTGCCTCCCCTGGGGGCAGCGCTCGGGACCTGCAGCCCTCCATGCCTGAGCCTCCCCAAGCCCTCGCCCTGCCGTGGGATCCTGCGCCTCCCGGGCCTCCCCAAGGAGCGCCGCTCCCTGCTCCACGGCGCCCGGTCCCATCGACCACCCAAGGGCTGAGGATTGCGGGCACAGGGCGCGGGACTGGCCGGCAACTCCACCTGCGGCCCCCATGTGGGATCCACTGGGTGATGCCAGCTGGGCTCCTGAGTCTGGTTGGGACTTGGAGAATCTTTATGTCTAGCTAGGGGATTGTAAATACACCAATCAGCACCCTGTGTCTACCTCAGGGTTTGTGAATGCACCAATCGACACTCTGTATCTAGCTACTCTGGTGGGGACTTCAAGAACCTTTGTGTCCACACTCTGTATCTAGCTAATCTGGGGAGGTGGAGAACTTTTGTGTCTAGCTCAGGGATTGTAAATGCACCAATCAGCACCCTGTCAAAACGGACCAATCAGCTCTCTGTAAAACAGACCAATCGGCTCTCTGTAAAACAGACCAATCGGCTCTCTGTAAAATGGACCAATCAGCAGGATGTGGGTGGGGCCAGATAAGAGAATAAAAGCAGGCTTCCCGGGGCAGCAGTGGCAACCAGCTGGCGTCCCCTTCCACACTGTGGAAGCTTTGTTCTATTGCTCTTTGCAATAAATCTTGCTACTGCTCATTGTTTGGGTCCACACTGTCTTTATGAGCTATAACACTCACCACAAAGGTCTGCAGCTTCACTCCTGAAGCCAGCGAGACCATGAACCCACCGGGAGGAACGAACAACTCCAGGCACACTGCCTTAAGAGCTGTAACACTCACCACGAAGGTCTGCAGCTTCACTCTTGAGCCAGCGAGACCACGAACCCACGGGGAGGAACAAACAACTCCAGGCACGTTGCCTTA
Organism: Homo sapiens; assembly: GCF_000001405.40. Lineage (NCBI taxonomy): Eukaryota > Metazoa > Chordata > Mammalia > Primates > Hominidae > Homo > Homo sapiens. The sequence continues at coordinate 97,546,436 of NC_000013.11, forward strand.
AGAGCTATAACACTCACCTCGAAGGTCTGTAGCTTCACTCTTGAGCCAGCGAGACCACGAACCCACCGGGAGGAACGAACAACTCCAGGCACGCTGCCTTAAGAGCTATAACACTCACCGCGAAGGTCTGCAGCTTCACTCTTAAGCCAGCGAGACCACAAACCCACCAGAAGGAAGAAACTCCGAACACATCCAAACATCAGAAGGAACAAACCCCGAGCACGCCTCCTTTAAGAACTGTAACATTCACCGCGAGGGTCCACGGCTTCATTCTTGAAGTCAGTGAGACCAAAAACCCACCAATTCCAGACACACCATGTTGCCCAGGCTGGTCTCAACCTTCTGGCCTCACGTGATCCTCCCACCTCAGCTTCCCAAAGTGCTGAGATTACAGGCCTGAGCCACCACTTCCAGCCAACGTGTGTGTATTTTAACTATTTTATTATGACTTCAATTTTTTCTTTGTGATAAAACATAATTATGCAGTCCTATAAAACCTTAAATCAATATACTCTATTGAACATAGAAGGAAATAACCAGGATATTTTCTTGATAAAAGGTGATGCTTGCCTCACGACGTGGAAACCTGTAACCCACCCCTGAAAAGCTTTGTTTCCTCCGAGTGAAGCAGCAGTCTTAGCCTCTTGCTCTGAGAACTGCCTGTTTATTACTTACTTGTTAGATTTCAGAAGCACACATCCTCAAGGCCATATGCAAAGGACTCTGTCTCGTTGGTCGTGAGCATCCTTCTAACCTTGCAATAGCCCAAACAGTGGAGTGTCAAGGGCAGCAGGAAACAATAAGGCAGGGGAGAGACGCAATCGAGGAGCTTCTCCGTGTTCTGTCTGGATGCCACTTAGCAGAATATCCCTCAGAGCAGCCTTCCATGGAACTAAGGCATCTTTTTGTTTTCCTTCTAGAAGAAAATAAAGACAATTTCATCCAGAAATCAGAAAAACAGTGCAGAAAATGAAGCTGAAATTTTAGGTTCCTGTTGTAAATCACAGCTTATTGTAGGGCAGGCACTTAAGATGTGGTGCCTCCACCCACACCAGAGATCTGCTGCATGTTCACCATGCGCCAGGTTTACCAGCCCTGAGCGTTAACCTCTACAATGCGAGTAGTCCCACTGGTATCATTTTCCAGCTGAGGAAACTGAGGTTCAGAAACACTCAGAAACTCATCAAGCAAATGGCAGAGCTAATATTTGAACATCAGAGCCCAAGCCTTTCTTATTAGGTATCTTAGTCCAGGCTGCTCTAACACAATACTGTAATGGGTGACTTACACAACAGACCTTTATTTCTCACAGTTGTGTGGGCTGGGCAATCCAAGATTGAGGTGCTGCCAGACTGGGTTCCTGGTGAGGGCTCTCTCCCTGGCTTGTATCTTACTGTGTGTTCACCTGGTCCTTCCTTGGTGACAAATTGTAGAGGAGATAGCAGACATATACAACTAAAGAGGGTAGCCAAGCTTTTAAATTTTTTTTTAAAAGTCATCTCTCTAGACAGAATATACATATGTGGTTTTGTAGCTATTTTTTACTAGAGATTATAAACAAAGGTAGCTGTAAAGCAATGAATTCTCAATTCACTATAAAAGTTTTGGAAGCACCATTTTATGCTAGGGGAAGTCCTAGGCACTTGAGTTCCTGTCCCCAGGGATGTTTGCAAGCAAAATATGGACAATTAAAATATAGTTGTATAATAAAGATATTAATAAAATACAAATCACCATTTCTTTTGTGGGGGTGAAGGTGGAATGGGTGCTATATTGAAATATTTTTACATATTATAAAATGCCTCATTAAGAGCCTGTCTTTTCCTGCACCTTGTCTTCTACTTCCTGCTCAAAAGTAGCATATGAACTTCCTATTTCTGCCGGCAAGTCAGGTGAGAAGAGAAAATGAGTTTATGAAAGTAGGCATGTGTCAGTGCTCTCTGAAAAAGACTTGTCTGTATGCTGCATCAGCACACACCATCATCAAAAAGCAAAGCAAAGCAGGATCGATTTTATTTTAGTGTCTGCGATTTTAAGGACAACAGAAAAACAACAAAAACCTCACATGTATTATATCATGGAAGTCTGCCAACCCTCTACCAACAATACTATTCTCATTTTACAGATGCTGAATCTGAGCATCAGAGAAGTTAAGGCACTCGATAAAGACTTCAGTGATTTTTCCAGATAATACAGGGGAAGAATTGGAACTTAAAGCCAGGTCTTCTGTCTCCAAATCCCATGACCTTTAGAGCATGTTTGAAGGAGAAAGTTCACACATTTTCATCTGAGATACCTACTACTCTTTCTAAAACTAAATGCGGAGTCTCAGCTGCTTCTATGAGCTGGTAAGGGTGCTGTCGTGGCTTTGTGACATGTCAGCTTGGCTAGGCTGAGCTTCATTTCCCAGAAATCCCTCCCTGTATGTTTCTGGTTTGGGTGGGTCAAAAGAAACATTCTGGAGGCAGAAGGGGAGGAGTAGCCATTCTGTAGCTCACAAAGATTGTTACTGATCTGCTGACTCGCCTCAGTGCTCTGGCGCAGCAGCTGAGGCTGCAGCTCTTCTCCCTTCTCATGGATCCTTTTTCAGCTTCTATGATGCCTGGTCCAGATATGTGTTTAGTTCCCAGGGTCCTGGGTTCTGCAGGATATCCTTGACACTATGGTCCAAGTCATCAAAAATGGCATAGATTTTGGTCCATCAGCATGGGACTCATGCTGTGAGTTCTAACTTGTTCTTGATCCCTGTTTACATCCATCTTCACTTTCTGACATGTGGACTTTAAGCTCCAGTGCCAAAGGCAAAGGCTACAGCCATCCAGAGGCTGCTTAAGCAGTTCCCATGATTGTAGAAGGTCAAATCCCTGTAACAAACTCAGATAGACAGATCATAGAGAGAGGACAGATGGGTAGATAAGACAGAGAGAGTTAAGAGGCTGAATTGTATCTGCCCACAATTCATATGTTGAAGCCCTAGACCCTGGTACCTTAGAATCTGACTCTATTCGGAGACCAGTCCTTTAAAGAGCTGATTAAGTTACAATGAGCCTGTCAGTATTCAATCTGACAGATGTCCTTAAAAGAAAAACATACAGCTGACCCTTGAATGACACAAGTTTGAACTGTGCAGGTCCACTTACACATTTTTTCAATAAAAATTACAATGAGTGTGTCTGTCTCTCCTGCTTCCCCTTCCACCTCTGCTACCCTTGAGACAGCAAAACCAATTCCTCCTCCTCCTCAGCCTACTCAATGAGAAGATAATGAGGACGATAATCCACTTACACTTAATGAATAGTAAATATATTTTCTCTTCCTTGATTATCTTAATAACATTTTCTTTTCTCTTACTTTATTGTAAGAATACAGTATAAAACACATATAACATATAAAATATGTGTTAATTGAATGTTTATGTTATTGATAAGGCTTCTCGGTCAACAGTAGACTATTAGTAATTAAGTTTTGGGGGAGTCAAAAGTAATACATGAATTTTCAACTGTGCAGGGAGGTCAGTGCTCCTAACCCCCACATTGTTCAAGAGTCAACTGTATCAGGAAATACAGAGAGAGGCACGATGAGAAGGTGGCCATCTGCAGCCAGGAAGAAAGGCCTCAGGAGAAACCAAACCTGCCGACACCCTGGTTTCAGACTTTCGGCCTCCAGAACTTCAGGAAAATAAACTTATGTTCTTTAAGCCACTTAGTGTGCAGTACTTTGTTATGGCAGCCCTAGCAAGCTAAGAAAGTAAGGAAAGCAAGGAAAGAAGGAAGGGAGGAAGGGAGGGAGGGAAAGAGAGAGAAAGAAAAGGAGGAAGGGAGGGAGGGAGGAAGGAAGGAAAGAAGGCAGGCAGGCATACATACATGTGTATATATTAGTGTTCTTCAGAGAAACAACAAATAGGGTGTGTGTGTGTGTCTGTATTATGTATCTATGTGTAGACATACAGAGAGAGATTTATTTTAAGGAAGCAGTTAATACAGTTGAGGTGGGGCTTTGGTGCTGGCAAGTCTGAAATCTGTAGGACAGGCCAGCAGGTTGGAAATTGCAGCAAGAGTTGATGTTGCAGTTTTGAGTCTGGAGGCAGAAGTCCTTCCTCTTTGGGGGACCTCAATCTTTTCTCTTAAGACCTTCAAGTAATTGAAGAGCTCCCCACTCACCTGATGGAGGACAATCTGCTTTACTCAAAAGTCTCCTGATTTGAATCCTAATCAAATCTAAAAAATACCTTCACTGCAATATCCAGACAGATGCTTCACCAAACAACTGGGCATCATAGCCTAACTAATTTTGACACATAAAATTCACCATCACTGTGTGTGTGCATCCTAGTGGTTCTGCTTGTCTGATTGAACCCTGACAGATTGATATAGGTGTCCTCATCTTATTTTTAAAAATCTGCAAAGTTTCTGCATGCTCTCCTTTGATAATTACTGCTATTCCTCACTCCATTAAAATAACACCCAACAGCTGAGAGAAAATGCAGTGCTTGTGTTAACTGCCCTGACAGGCCCCAAGCCTATCTGCTGGGGGCAAGATAGGAGCTCCCCACAGGTCCTCACATTTAAAATAGTGGTTCTCAAACTTTAGTGTGAGGCTAGGCTAAGCTCCATCAGAGCCCCCGAGGAGTCTGTTAAAACACAGACTTCTGGGTCCCACTCCCAGAGTTACTGATTCCATAGGTGATATGGTTTGGCTCTGTGTACCCACCCAAATCTCATGTCAAATTGTAATCTCCATGCTTTGAAGGAGGGACCTGGTGGGAGATGACTGGATCATAGGGGCAGTTTCCCCCATGCTGTTCTCATGATAGTGAAGGAGCTCCATGAGATCTGATCGTTTCCCCAGCTCTCTCTCTCCTGCTGCCTGTGAAAAAGGTGCCTGCTTCCCCTTTGCCTTCTGTCATGATTGTAAGTTTCCTGAGGCCTCTCCAGCCATGCAGAACTGTGAGTCAATTACAACTCCTTTCTTTATAAATTACCCAGTCTCAGGCAGTTCTTTATAGGAGTCTTAGAATGGACTAATAGAGTAGGATTGGGGTAGAGCCTGAGATTTTACATTTTCTAGCGAGTTTTCAGATTATATCTATGCTAGTGGTTTTGGGACCACACTTTGAGAACCACTTCTCTAGGATACCTCAAAGCCTGGGTCAGTGAACTTTAGCACTGCTGTCAGAACAAATGCTAAGAAATCAAACCTTAGGTAAAAGGAATACTAATGTTCCACCTTGATTTGGAAACACTCTTAACTCCCACTCTGAAAACATATATTTTATAAATCTCCTAGGTATATGCCCAAGAGAAACAAGCATGTTTTGTCTACCAAAATACATGCACAAGAATGTCCATAGCAGATTTTTTCACAGTACCCTAAAACTGCAAACATAAATATCCATTAACAGAAGAATAGATATATAAAATGTTGTGTCAGAAATAAAGAAGAATGATTTTGTATTATATGTAGCATCATGAACAAATCACATATATTCTGTTGAGCAAAATAAGCCAGACATAATAGTATACACTGTACAAGTCCACTTAATAGTCACAACAAGCAAAACTAATTGATGTGGTGGCGACAGGATTAACTGGGATGGAGACGGGGGACCCAGTGGGGATGGTGGAAACGTCCCTGATCTGATTCTGAGTTTTGGTTACCTAGGGTGAGATTTGAGTACTTCCTGCAAGTCATAGCTAAGCTATTTTATTTATTTTATTTTTTGAGATGGAGTCTCGCTCTGTCACCCAGGCTGGAGTGCAGTGGCGCAATCTTGGCTCACAGTAACCTCCACCTCCCGGGTTCAAGCAATTCTCCTGTCTCAGCCTCATGAGTAGCTGAGACTACAGGCACATGCCAGTACGCCTGGCTAATTTTTGTATTTTTAGTAAAGATGAGGTTTCACCATATTGGTCAGGCTTGTCTTGAACTCCTGACCTCAGGTGATCCGCCCGCCTCAGCCTCCCAAAGTGCTGGGATTACAGGCATGAGCCACCGCGCCCGGCCTGTAGCTAAGTTAGACCTCACAGGACTGACTTTTCCATTAGGCAAGGGAAGCTCAGTACACAGGGTCCACATGGGTCCCATGTAGAGGCCCATGAAAATGTTTTAATTTCTTCTAAAACCAGCAGAAAAATCTGTAATCTAGCCTGGATTATATTGTCTTTAAGCCAACAGTCATAAGATACAATTTTTAATATTTGTTATGGAGGAATGGACCTCCAATGGCGAAAGCGTCTACAATCCACAAAAGTCATAAGGCAGCCCTGATACCACATTTAAAAGCACAGATATGCACATTTTTTCTGAATAGACATAGCTGTAGAAAGCATTTAGGATTATTTTGTCACCCAACCTGTTGTAGTCTTTAACAGCTTTCATTCCCTACAAAGAAGTTCTGAAAGGCGAAATGATTCCACACATCTGTGTCAGATACAAGGAAGACAGAAAGCCAAGAGACAGGACGGGCTTCCTCTACTTGAATGTCATTTAAACAGAAAGAGAGGGTAGGTCTGAGATCCACTGGACTGAAGGAGTTCTGATGTAGGTCTTCCTGGAGAGGAAACTTCAGGAACACTAGAAAGATGGAGGCATGATGCGTCTGCCACCTTGCTCTGTAGCCCCAGCCAGCGGTGATGACAAAAGGATGTAAGAGGCCAGAGAGGTTCCTGGGTCAGCTTTGCAGCTTTGCTCCAGGCTTTTCTTTAACTTTTATTTTAGGTTTGGGGTACATCTTCGGGGTCTGTTATATAGGTAAACTCATGTCACACGGGTTTGTTGTACAGATTATGTCATCACCCAGGTACTAAGCCTAGTACTCAATAGTCATTTTTTTCTGATCCTCTCTCTCCTCCCACCCTCCACCCTCAAGTAGGTCCCAGCGTCTGTTGTTCCCCTCTTTGTGTCCATGTGTTCTCATCATTTAGTTCCCACTTATAAGTGAGAACATGCAGTATTTGGTTTTCTGTTCCTACGTTAGTTTGCTAAGGATAATGGTCTCCAGCTCCATTCATGTTGCTCTAAAGAACACGATCTCATTCTTTTTTTCTGAGCCACTCTTTGCACTTCCCATTCACTGGATTGGGAGGTTGGAGGGACTGAAGGGAGAAGCCTAAGGGAAGACCTCTGTGCTTTACAGACCTGATCCACCACTCAGAAGTGGGGCCCTCACTGAACATTCACCAGTGCCCCGCCCAGTGCTCTACTCTGTGGGCACACAGAGATTTATAAGACCCGTCGGAGTCCCTTTCCTTGGAAGACTATAATTCAGTGGTGGAGTGGTGTACACAGGGGAGGGATCAAATGCTAAACTGGGGTTACTGGACAAATGCTTTGGGAAGAGACAGATCAAAGCAGGTTCCCTGCTAGATAGGATCTAGTTTCCTAGCTCTAAATTGGGGCCAGAGTTTATTCACTTTTTTGAATGAACCAAATTATTGCTCTTTTCTTCCTTTAAATAACCTTCATATTGCTATATCACAGAATATTTTATTAGTGCTGTGGGGTTTGGGTTTCAATTAAAAACCCTCTGTCCCCAAGGACATGAATCCTTTTCTAATAACACTGAAGATTAAAGACAGTTAGAAGCTAAAGTACAGTTGGTCTATACAATTGAAAATAGCCTTGAAGAGCAAGTATGCACTTTTTAAAACCTAAGTGCATTGTTACAGAAAAGTTATTATTTGTTTGGAAAAAAATAAGAAAAATCATTGTCATGCCATAGCAACCAGACTGGTAAGTAATACAGAACAGGCTGAACTGATAAAAATATCTGTGAAAATGTCCAGATTGATGAAATATTCTAAAAATTATTTTAACAAAATAGTGAACAAAATTAAATTGGCCTAATTTTCCATACATGCCATCTCATGTTTTATTTTTTTAAAGCTAAAATATTCACTTTGAAAATGATTTTAGCACTACCATCTGGTAAAAAAGAAAGTGCAAAGCCCTAGACGTTGGACAATAGGAAGATACTCTGTAGATCTAAGGAATAAAACTTCAACATTCTAATGGCAAACAAATACGTACATAGCCCAGCATTTACAGCTGATACTTCCCCATGCTAAGTCTTCAAAGTAATAGTTTAGAAGTACCTACAGCCTTTAAAATGAGTACTAACTTCTTCCCCACTGTTATTATTTACTTCTCTTTTCAGGATTTCAAGCAGATGAGCACTGTTGCTTTGCCAGCTTGCAGAGGAAACAGAATTTCCAATTATAAATTCTAACATTAGATGAGCAAAACCCTGATCCAACTCTAACAAGGAAATTGACGGTTTTATAACAGCAGTGTTTTAAGGGAGAAACTGCCAGCATTTGTTGGTATAGATTTAGAAGGGAACTTGCTTCAGGTCAGCTGTCAATCAAGGGCTCTTTGTGTTTTCAGAGTAGACTCTGAGAAAGCGAGTTACAAAGCTGAGCTACTCCAGAAGATAGTTGAGTATTTTTCTATTCTTCTATGAGCAGGAAAGACAAAGCAGTGAATTGCTTTTTATGGGGCCTAGTGCCCTATCATTGCAAGGGTGTACTGGGGAGTGCTTTTGAATCACATCTTCACTCATTCACTCATTCATTCAACGTTGATTGAATTAGACAGATGGGACCCATGCCAAGCACTTGCTAGGTCTTGGAGATGTGACAATGAATAACACATAACTCCTTCCATGAGGAGTTTAGGAAATAAATTTGGACACGTAAGCAAATACTTTTTTAAAGATTATGCTATAACCCCTAAAAATTATTAATTATATTAATACATTATATTACCATCAAATTTATAATACAAATATTTAAATTAAAATTAAATGTTAAGTAAATATTTAAATTAGTAATTTGTATTAATATTAAAATATTAACTGTGATATAAATATGTAAGATTCTTTTAGGGCTCATAAAGGGAGAATAGTTTATTCTCCCTGGAAGAGTCAAGGAAGGCCTAATAAAGGAGTGATGATTTTGCTGAAATTTAAAGATTGGTAGGTTGTATGAAATCTACCATACATGGTGTAAGGAGGGAGGATCATTTCAGACCAAAGGGATACTGTTAGGAAGGTCATGGAAGCATGAAATGGTTGTGGCTGGAGTAGGGGACACAACGGTGGGTTTTGAGGGGCTAAGAGGTAGGGGACCAGGTTGCAGGAGATGAGGACCTTGCTATATAAAGCTGTGTGATTTGTGGAGAGTGTGGATCTTATCCTATACATAGAGGACAGCAATTCAAGGGATTTAAGCCAAGGAATAATCTGCTCAAACCTACACTGGCATATGTAGAGACTGAACCCAAGTAGGAAGCAGGTAGTGAAAGCATCAAGGAGGCAACAGTAGTAATTGGGTTAATAGGTGAAGAGGGCATGAACAAAGGCACAAGAGAGGTTGAAGAGGGGACGTTGGAACTGGCAGGATTTGGAGGTCAATTGTATTATTGGATGGAAGAATGGGAAGAGATTGGGATGACTTTCTAGTGTTTACCCTGCAGGTGTGGATGGATGGTGGTTCCACTTACTATAATGAAGACATAAGAGAGGATGGGGTTTGAACAGGTTGAGCTACTGAAACTAAAGGATCCTCGAGGGCAATGCCATGTCTTACATCACATTTGATACTCCTTACTTAAGACAATAACTATAATATAGTAACTTTCAATAAATAGTGAATGAATAGATGAACTGACTGAAGAAAGAAGCCATGTCTGTTTGACATCTGGTAAACCACTGACCATTCAGGTTAGACACGTAGATCTGGAAGATTGTTTAAAACTCCTGCTAGGGGAAGTAGAAGAGATATGGGCCAATAATAAAACTTTAGAGAAATATCAGAATAAAAAGGTCAAGCACAGAAAAAAGAGACAGCAAAGGAGTCTTGAAATTAACAGGTTGAAGAATGAGAAGAGATATATCTATATTGTCACATCTCTCCGTGTCAAATCCTAACACTGCCCTTTTCTATTGAGACTTTGAAAAAGTATTTAATCTCTTATCAATTGCCTCATCAATAAGATATGAATAATAATGCCTACCTTATAGGGTTCTTTTGGGGATTGTCCATATATGAATGTGTATAACATATAGTAAGTGCTCAACAAATATTAACCCCATCACCTTTTTAAAATATAACAAACACAACATCACCTTGGAGCCCCTGGAGTTGAAAGTTTCAGTTCCAACACTTAGTAATCATCTCAGGATGTCCAAGACCTGATGTTGTAACCTGCCTTTCGGTTAAGACACCAATATAAATACAGACATTAGGAGGTGAACGTGTGGCAATCACCCGGCTTTCAAATGTTAAAAGATCTTTTGTGCTTTCTGCTCCTCTGGATATCTTAATTCTTGCCAAGTGCTATGATAGCATTTTTAAAAATTGAGTATTTGCAAATATCTGAGGCTGTATAAAGGGCCTACTCTATAACAAATAAGAAATAAAATTATAGATGGAAACTCTATACTAAATAGTACACAAAAGAGACACAGATAATGTGTACTAAAATCATTGAAAGCAAATGATAGTCTATACTTATTTAAATGTATTGCTATTATGTAGTAATTTCTGAGTGATTATTATGACTTAAATCCCACTTGTTTCGTGGATTCAATTTGTTTCTGGCTGATGTACATCTCTTTCAGTACTTCCATCAGATCCAAGAACTGTATAAACTCTTTGCTTGTCTCAAAATGTCTTTATTTGGTCCTCAGTTTTTAATGAAATATTTAGTGAAAGAACTTGGATACTGAGTTCTTATTTGATATCCACTCTCTGTCAACCCTTTGAAGATGTTATCCTATTGTCCCTGTCATTGACTGTTACAAGTAGATTGCTGCCAGTCTAATTGTTGTTCTTTTGTAAGCTCTTTTTTTCTCGGGTAGCTTTTAAGGTTTTGTTTTTCTCTTTGATTTTCTGAAATCCCACTATGATGTGTCTAGATGTGAATTTATTGCTATGTACCTTACACAGAACTTAGATTCTTATAGTTACAGGTTGCATTCTCCAAAATGAGATACTGTGATGAAGTGTGGCTAGAAACATATTTATTAGGGTGGCAACACCTGGCCTCCCTTCTAGGGGGTACTATCACCCTCACTGCAATCATCAAATGAAGTTCTATTACAGCCTCTCTTACTGTCAGCTCTCATCTGCAGAGAACCACCATGGAATGTTAGTGATGCTGATAGCCCTCCCATTGGCTCTATGGGACATCCTGTGTGGCTTTGATAAATGGTGCATCACCTAGGATGGTTATAGCACATAACATCTGGCCAGATGCCTAACCACGTGCAGAATATCCATTCTGGTTGCTCACTTCCTGGGGCCTCTTAGTCCTTTTCTTCTTGGCAATGTCTGCATCAGTGATTCTAGCATTTCAATGTCACTCAGTATGGGCCATCATTTTTTCCATGCACTTGGAGGCATCCTAGTAGCAATTTTGAACCATTTATTGGGATCTTTGCCAGGATTAAACTTCTTTATTCTATATTTCAGGAGAAGATTCCTAAATATACTTACCTGCCCAATTTTATATTTTGGTGCTCTTGATCAAGTACCCGCAGAATCCCGTCCCACATGTTACTCTCCAGTTCCTGCCAGGGCATGTTGAGCAGGGCTTGCAGCACCTTCTCCAGTACAGTCCCTTAGGCCCAGCACATCAACAGCTGGATTGTGCTGCACCTTAATTATTGGCCCCACATCCAAAAGGAGATGTGGAGGCAGATTCTGGAGACAGGAGGAGGACAGGTTGCCTTGGGAGAAAGTCCTTAGCACTTTCCAGGGCACTTTCCATGATTCCAGAGTGCTGGGAAGCTGCTGTGGAGACTGGGGATGCTCACTCTTCATGGGGAAGACTGGGTGACATCTGCAGGCTCAGAAGGCTGGAGGAGTCTTAAGAAGTCAAAATCTCCAAGGGCGTCCACCTAGATGTTCCCACGCCATGTGGTCTGGGGCCCAACTTGGCATAACAGACCCATCCTGGTGGGGCATTTGACAGCCTATGAAGTTCGCCCCTCACACTCTCAGTTTCTGGGCTTTGTTCTCATTTTTCTCCACCTTCCTGCTAGAGGAGAAAAATTCTTTCTGCACAACCACAGAAGACCCCTGGCTTTCCCACCTGGCTTTCTGTTGCTTCTAGTTTATCCTTAGCCTCTCTCCATCTCTCTGGACATCATCAGTGTCATTTAGCAGCAGACGCTCAATCTGAACAATCACTATTTTGTCCATAATTTATTATTTTTATGTATTTTTATTTCTTTAGGTTTTGGGGGAACAGGTGGTATTTGGTTACATGAATAAGTTCTTTAGTGGTGATTTGTGAGATTTTGGTGCACCCATCACCCGAGCAGTATACACTGAACCCAATTTGTAGTATTTTATCCCTCACCGCCATCCCATCTTTTGCCCCTGAGTCCCCAAAGTCCACTGTGTCATTCTTACGCCTTTGCATCCTCATAACTTAGCCCCCACTTATAAGTGAGAACATACGATGTTTGGTTTTCCATTCCTGAGTTACTTCACTTAGAATAATAGTCTTCAATCCCATTCAGGTTGCTGCAAATGCCATTAATTCATTCTTTTTTATGGCTGAGTAGTATTCCATTGTATATATATACCATAGTTTCTTTATCCACTCATTGATTGATGGGCATTTGGGCTGGTTCCACATTTTTGCAATTGCAAATTGTGCTGCTATAAACATGCACGTGCAAGTATCTTTTTTGTATAATGTATTTTGTCCATAATTTAAATGCATGAGATAGCCTATACATCAGAGCATTCCTTTCCACTGATTCACCCTCTCAATTCACCACTGGTGAGAGAGTTTTAACAATATGCCAACTTGTGCCAGGGGCTGTAGAAAATAATAACAGAAGAGGGAGTGCCAATCATTGCTGCCATACATCTGAGACACTGTGACATCTCATTTCATTAGTAAGCATTAACTGTTGACATTTGGGCTTTTCCTGGAAGCCGGAATTGGGATTATTTTTTCCCTTAAATTCATTTATGCTGGCTTCCTGGAGTCTGTATAAAGATTTCAAGAGAATCTTGCAGTAATTTACAGATACCATATAGCCTCTGCCAACAAGAATCCCACGTACAGTAGTCCCTTCTTATCCACAAGGGACCCAAGACCCCTGTGAATGTCTGAAACCACGGATTGTACCAAACCCTACATATTATATACTGTCCTTTTTTTCTATACATAAAGTTTAATTGATAAATTATACACAGTAAGAGATTAATAACTAAAAATAAATCAATTATAACACTGTATTGTAATAAAAATTATGTGAATGTGCTCTCTCCTCTTTCTCAAATTATCTTACCTAATTTTGTACTCGCCTAATTTGGGACCATGGTCAACCTCGGGTAACTAAATCACGGAAAGTGAAAACACAGATAAGGGGGGACTACCATACCTTCAAAACAAGGAAATTGATGTTGGGGTGTTTTGTATCATAATTTGCACTATTCATTGTAGATTGCTAAGTACTTGTTAAGACACTTAAAAAGAAAAAGAAAAATGTCCTTTCAAATGGGCAACAAATATAAGTCTTTTGACCTTAAACAACCTAAACACAAACACAGTTTTAAGTTATAATGACAATATTAGCAAAGGAAATCATCATTTAAGGTAAATTATCTGTGAGATGAAGAATGCTCCTCACTATAAAGGCAGAACTGCCTAACAAGGGCATGGACAGTTCAGGTCTCTGCTGTGACAAAGAGCGCTGCATGCACCACCCCGTGAAGCCAGGGAGAGGCACCGCCAAGTGCATTCAAGGACTCAAAGGAGCACACACTTGTGCAGCCAAGAGAAGCTAAGTATATGGCAAATGATCCAGCCCTCTCTCCAAGGGGAGATTTCAAGTAGGGTATTTTCAATTACTCTACTGTCTATGCAAACTTTGCAAGGAATTTAATTGGAACAGAGTATTTAAGGGGAATAACTAATGATACAATTGATTGGTAATGACCAGTAGCTGCACTCGTAAAACCATGGCGCATTCTGAGAATGGCATTTTTGCTCCTGGAAAAGAAAGTTCTAATTATAATGTTTCAGCATTCAAAACTCTGGAGCTTTTAAATGTTCATGTTCTTTTAGAGAGGAGATAGACTCTAACGGTTTTATAATTGTATGTTAGCAAATGTTGACAGCACTGGAAATCAATAGTCTGAGTGCTCTGCTCCTCTTAGCTGGCATTAACTAAAATAGCCCTTGTACTAGATCAACTGTCTGGTTTGTCTGGGAAGCAGATTTTTCTCTACGTATAGTCCTAGGTCAAGACAATGGCTTAGGTGTATTTTATCAAGGTGGAGAATATACTATGAAGGCACTGTTCAATTTCCTTTCTTGGCTTCTTTGTATAAAAGAAGACTGATTACAACTATGAACTTTCAACATTGCAGATTCTATGTTGTCTGACTAGTAAATGTGAAATCACAACATCTATTCACTGTTAGTTTAAGGCAGGACGGATATGCACTATTATCCAATGTAACTTCAGGCTCTTTCTAGGAAAGATGTCATACCAAATAAAAATTTTCTCAGCAACTGAAATGTCACTGAGTTATAAATTATCACATTGTATATAAATTAACACATATCTTGCTCACATATTCTGACATAATTTTCAATACTCTGAGTGTTTCTTAATGTATATACATTGTGAGTACTGTAGTAAAAATGGAAATTATTTTTTCTAATTTTTTCACAGATTTTATTATTTTCCCTTTTGTAAGCCATTCCATGCTAGTAGACTATCAAGCCACAACTCATAGGTAATTTCATCCTCACGTTTTCCAAACTTCTAAATTTGCCTTCATAGTTCAAGGTCAGATTTTGACTAAGTGAGAATGGAGTGAGTGGGAGGAAAAAGGAAAAGCATGAAACCACCTTTGTGAGGGTGATGTGTGTGGGGAGAGGATGAAATGGAAACAGTAGAAAGGAGGAAATGGTATGCAAAAAGTCTTAGACAAATTAGGCTTTTCATTCTTGGGCTGTGAGTCAAATGCTTTATAACCCTTTACCACTGTCCTTCAAAATGCTCATTGGCTCACAGATGGTTTACCAGTCTTCACCTGTTCTCTATTCTTTATTATTATTATTATTATTATTATTATTATACTTTAAGTTTTAGGGTACATGACATGGGCACAATGTGCAGGTTAGTTACATATGTATACATGTGCCACCTGTTCTCTATTCTTTAGACACTTCTATGAATGGGATAGTCATTATGACTCCAGGATGGAAATGAGTCTCTAGGCTTCAGGTGGAACTGTGCCTCACAGAAGAGTAGTTTGAGAAATGCATCTCCCAACAAACCCATTCAACTTACAGATGAGTAAGGAAGGCACTAGAGAGGTAGATTTAACACCAAGATGAAAGCTCAAGAATGCGGTGTGATAGTTAATATTGAGTGTCAACTTGATTGGATTGAAGGATGCAAAGTATTGTTCCTGGGTGTGTCTGTGAGGGTGTTGCCAAGAGAGATTAATATTTGAGGAGTGGACTGGGAAAGGCAGACCCACCCTCAATCTGGGTGGGCACAATCTAATCAGCTGCCAGCATGGCCAGAATAGAAGCAGGCAGAAGAATGTGGAAAGACTAGACTGATTTAGTCTTCTGGCCTACATCTTTCTCCTGTGCTGGATGCTTCCTGCCTTCGAACATCATCAGACTCCAAGTTCTTCAGCTTTGGGACTCCTGCTGGTTCCCTTGCTCCTCAGCTTGCAGACGGCCTATTGTGGGACCTCACCTTGTGATCATGTGAGTCAATACTCCTTAATAAACTCCTCTTATATATACATCTATCCTATTAGTTCTGTCCCTTTAGAGAACCCTAATTCACATGGGGTTTGGAGTCCAATAGCCTGAGGATGGGTGCCACCTCCACCACCTACTAGCTGTGTGATCTTGATGAGACTAATTTAATTGCCTCTTTAAACTTGAGCATCTTAATTTGCACAATGGGATGTGATTCCTATGCCAAAGGAGAAATGAGATAGACGTGTTGTGTTCAATGCATTCACATGCAGTCAGTGCTCAACTAAAGGCAGTTGTGGTTGAGTTTCCATGTCTCCTTCCCTTGTACCTGCCATTGTTCTTTCCACTCTACTACTTAAATTACAAATCATAAATTAAATGAGTGCTCTACTTATAAAAGTATTTGCCACATCATTATTTAGAGTTATGTTCCCCAATTATGTTGAATGGTCTATTTATACCCTACTAAGTACTTGACAGAGATGTGAGAGAAAATTAGAAAAGGAGAATGTCAAGTTTTCTGAGCTACCACTAAAAAAAAATGTTAATCTGGAAGTAAAAATCCCTGAAAGTATCATGAAGAAATAAAGAAGCATAATCTTACACAACTTATCAGGAATACATTATTATATGAAGAGGTACATGTATGTATTCTTGTCCTAGGGCAGCTATAACAAATTACCATAAGCTAAATGGCTTAAAACAGCAAAAATTTATTATTTCATAGTTCTGGAGGCCAGATGTCTGAAATTAAGGTGTTTGCAAGGCCATTCTCCCACAAAAGGCTCTAGGGGAGAATTCTTCCTTGCCTCTTTCTCATTTCCAGCAATCTCTGGCACTTCCTGGCTTGTAGCTGCATCCTCCAATTTTTGTTTCCGTCTTTATATGGTTATCTTCTGTGTCTGTCCAAATCTCTTTCTCCTTTCCCTTATGAACACACCAACCAGTGGATGTAAAACCAACCTATTGAGTATGACATCATCTTAACTGTATTAGCAAAGGTGCTATTTCCACCCAAAGTCCCATTCACAGGTACTAGAGGTTAGTATTTTAACATATATTTTAGAGGGACACAACCCACTACCATGTGTAAAATCAAAAATGTGCTTTAAGGTAACAAGGCCAATTTTGATGCAGGGCTAGTGGAATTCATCTTGATACCTTATAATTGTAAAATCAATCATAATAATAAGATGTATTTAAAGTGTAATAACATCAAAAGTACTTTTTAAAGTATTAGTCTTATAAACATTTATTTTCACCCTCAAACCTGGTGTATCTCATCTTTAATACCCAGAGAGATGCAACAAAGACCATGAACCTTGGTTAGTGTCCTGATTCCACTGCTTACCCTATAACCTTATTAATCATGTCAACACTTTATTAAACTCTGTGCTAACCACTTTACAAACATGATCTCTATATCTTCATGCAACCCCATGAGGGAGGTAGTATTATTTCTACTTTATAGATTAGGATTTGGAAGTTTTTAGAGAAGTTAATTGCCTTGTCTAAGACCAAACACTTAGTAAATTCTGCTGTAAAGACTTGAGCCCTCGTCTGTCCAACCAGGATGTGCACTTAACCATAATGCTCTTTTTAATTTGAGCAGAAATGTTATTTCTAGGAGCCTCTCCAAGCTTTAACTTCCTTCCAAGCAGTCTGTGATGGTTTGACTCTTTCAGCCATGACTCTGCCCTCTTGGTGTGCCTTCCTATAATGCAGAGGCTGGAAAGCCTAAAACTGCATCCCACAAATGCTCTTGCAAGTAGGGTTCTGGATGTTAGGCTCCATCACTTAGAGCCTCTCCTGTGTATCTAGGAGGCCAAAGTGAAGCAGAGGCCATCTCCTTGCCATCTGGGCTGCTTTTCTGCTAGCAAATCAAGTTGTGGGAAGTGAGGTTTGGGAGCAGATTTTCAGCATTCATTCTCCAGGTCCTTGGGTTGTAATAGGAAACATGGATGAAGGCAGTGGCTGCACTTCCTATCCCAGTGGCCAGTCATCAGCTCCGTGAATGTAGAGAGCAGGAAGAAAAGGCAGCTTTCCGCCTAACTTCCTGATCCTTGTATTGTGCCACGGTGGAGTGTTCTTGAACTCAGAAGTTCCAGAGGCAGCTTTGGCAATAGTCACTTCCTTGATGGTCAGTTCTGAATTATTTGGGGAGTTACCATTGATGACTAAGACTAGAACCCATTCCTCTAGCCCTTCCAAACATTCTGTAAACATCTAACAACCTGAAATGGTTTCCTATCAAAACCTCTTGGAATGGATTCTATTTTATGCACTGAACCATCCTTGATTAATACATAAATCAAGATTAATAATCCTTACCCATAGAAGGGTTTTCAGGCTGGACGTGGTTGCTCACGCCTATAATTCCAGAACTTTGGGAGGTGGAGGCGGGTGGATCATGAGGTCAGGAGTTCGAGACCAGCCTGGCCAACATGGCAAAACCCCGTCTCTACCAAAAATACAAAAAAAAAAAAAAAATTAGCCGGGTGTGATGGCAGGCACCTGTAATCCCAGCTACTCAGGAGGCTGAGGCATGAGAATCACTTGAACCCAGGAGGCGGAGGTTGCAGTGAGCTGAGATTATGCCATTGCACTCCAGCCTGGGTGACAAGAGCAAGACTCCATCTCAAAAAGAAAAGTGTTTTCATAAGAAAACTGAATGGAAAAATGTATATAAATGTACATCACAGTGTCTATTTTATTAATTTCCTTGTGTATTTATTTCTCAGTTCTTCCTATAAAATCAACGGACACTATCAGCCTGTGTTATATATACTCAGCATTTTCCCACAAACACATATCAACATAAAAATTGCACCAAAAGTGTATGAACTTGAAAGATAGAACATTTATGTCCATTCTCCTGTCTTGTTTTCTCTTGGTTGACATCCTTCATTTATGCGACATTTACGGAGAGCTTGTTATATGCCAGACATTGTGTTATGCTTATTTACATAGTAAGACTGTTTTCCTGCCAAACTAAAGGCATTCTCTAAAAAAGATTGAATTCCCACTGGAGATGAACCCCAGGCTCATGAATAAATTCTTGACAACCGAGAAACATTTCAGGAACATGAGACGATGTTCACTTTGTGATCTGATCCCAGCAAAGATCCTCTCGGTGGAGTCAGATCTGCTGGAATTTTGCTCCTTTAGGAAGTTCACTGTGATTAAAACAAATGGCCAAGGACTAAGGTAATGCCCTCCTAGAAGGACTATCTTCTTATTCATGTTGAAAATGGGGTTTTGCCCAGTGCTCAGCCTACTGGCCCACTCTGCAGGCTGATAACAGCCCCCAAACCCATCTGTCCTGAAAGGCCAGTTATATCAGAGAAGCAGGAAAGGCAGGATACACAAGGGAAAGAAATGTTTTCCCAAATTAAAAACTACCTAAGACAATAAGGATAGCCAATAGTCCCCAGGTCCACCAAAGATGTGGCATTTGACACCATCATTAAAGAAAGGTGACTTCCCTCCCTCCGGTGCTGGAATCAGGCAAAAATCGGGAAATTACTGCAGCATTCCTCTCAGACTGTGACCAGGTGGGTCTCAAGGCTGAAGTATGGTCTGAGAAAGTCCCCCAGAATTTTCCCTAGTAAAGTCTAGGACAGTTAGGGAACCTAAAAGGTTGGTTCTCCCTTTTTTGAGCACCCCACACATATCTCTAACTATATCTGTGGGCTCACTGTTCTGAAAAGACACCAAGTTTTTCCAGACAGAAAGGGTCCAATGACCTATTTCTGGTGACCAAGAGAAACATAAAAGCCTCAAAAACCTCAAACACAAAATACTCCCCACCCCCTACATACACACATGCTGCGATTTTGTAAAAATGTAATTCGTTGGCTGTTGGATTCGTTTTCTTGCTAAACAAAGGCTGCTCCCTGTTTCCTCATATGATGGGCATAATTACCAAAGTGATCCAAGTCTGCACATACTATTTTCCTTCCATTCACTGCAAGTCTGGAACAACAACAAGAGAAGTGACACTCCCAGAAGTGGAATTAACACACACCCCACATACTGCTTTCATGTCTCCTCTGGCTGCCACCTAAAACAGAGTTACAGATCCTGACCCTCCCCATCCTCAGACACAAGGATCACAATTGATCAAACATTGTGGCAGGTGATTGTTTGGAGGAAGACTGAGATAAATGTAAGCTTTTAAAAACAGCTGGTGTTCTTACTTGAATTAAGAGTTTCGAGATCAAGCTATGCGATAAAGAAGTGTAATCCCTGACCATCCCTCTGATCTGGATTCTTCTCTCTGCTACTATGGAATATTTGTCAGTGTCTACCATTTGAAGACTAGGAGGAGGAGAAGGGAACCCTCTGTCTTCCCTCAGATTTTCACTGCCACCTCCACCCCAGCATCTCAGCTGAAATCCACATCTGTTCACAGAAGCCTCCATACTTCCCCAAGTCTGCCCATACACAGGCTTCTGGAGAGATTAAGAAGTTTGACATGGAGAAAGGGTGGAACAAGATGGCCAAATAGAAGGCTCCACTGATCTTCCCCCTCACACGGATACCAATTTGACAAATAGGGTGACCTAGTATTTGCTAGCACAATAGGATGCACAATAGGTGACAAATCAAAAATAATTTAATTGTACATTTTTAAATAACTAAAAGAGTACAGTTGGATTGTTTGTAACACAAAGGATAAATACTTGAGGTAACAGAGACCCCATTTACCCTGATGTGATTATTACACCTTGTATGCTTGTACCAAAATATCCCATAATGCCCCATAAATATATATACCTATTATATACCAACAAAAATTAAAAATTTAAAACAAAAGTTTTCTAGGTACTCCAGGATGGTGATGGTGTTAATGAGCACTGGCTAACACAGGGGCAGGCTGAGGGTGAGGCAAGAAGCAGCTCAAATAGACCCTTTGCAATGGACTGCAGCGGAGCCACGTGGGGAGATGTGGCATTGGTTGTCCACTTACAGTTTTGCTTTTTGAGTGATTTTTATGGTCTCTGCAAGCCTTCTGCAAGGTTTCTTGGATGTGCTTTAAATATTTAACTAAGAAGTTAGTGCCTATCTCACCTAAATTGAAGCTGTGCAGGAAGACTGGTAGCAGTATGGCAAAGAGAACGATCTGCAAGAGAATGTTAGAGCCATCCAGAAAACAGGTGACTGGTGTCAACAGAGTGGATTTGTAGAACACATGAGCAGTTTTAAGGGAGTTGCAGAAATACCTGGGTTGAGACGCAACAAAGTCTGCCTGAAAAACTTTGCCTTGTAAAAGGAGTGGCCACTGAAGGACCAGAGATTCTCTTTGTCCCCATGGCAAGCTAAGAACTTGAGAAGACTTTGGCATACTGTGATCTTGCCATTTCAACTAGACCTCAGAGGATCTAATGGATTCTCATCAACAGCCAGCAGTTCACAGGCTACTTTCTGAAAACAACTGATTCACCAAAACTGAGCCCTAGAAGGCATAAGCATGTGTGGCCATCTCCTGTGGCAATGTCACAACCTGAAACAAACAAATAAAAAAAGCAGAGAGTCCATATGCCAAAGATCAAGGGTGCAGATGTATCCGGGCATTCCCATTGGGACCTTTATTGTGTGAGCCTGAGAAGGACAGTGAATGCAATGTATTATAGGTCCAAGGACAACCAAGCTACTGGATAAGAGAAAGGATGCTGGTCTGAGTGAGAATCTCAACTTCAAGCCCTTAATCAGAATATGCTCATCTAGTTCTGTCTCAGTTCCCCTGTTCATAATGGCAGAAGAGAGGCAAGGGACTCACAAGACAATCTGCAATGCTCTTTACAGCTTGATGACTCAAAGCAGGAGACAGAATTGTGGAAGGTGGTGCTGTGGTGTGAGCCCTAGGCTGGGTTCCCAGACCAGCCCACAGGGAAGCTTCTACCTCTGTTGCAACCAGGAAGTAAGGAATGAGGAAGCTGCCACCGCCCCTGCCACATTCCAGGACACACACCACCAGGGCTGCAGTCTAGGAATCGGGAGCCTGGAAGCATGAAGCTGCCACCACCACTGCAAACTGACTCTTTATACCCCTGGAGCTGGAGTGAAGAGGTTCATGTATTTATTCCCTGAATGATCATCAAAAACAATTTACCCAATCTGCCTGCAGTGAGGGCAGCTTCATCCACACAGGAAAAGAAACTGGGATTTGGGACATTTTTCAAAAGTGAACACAAAGAACGCATATGTTCTAGAAAAAGCACCAGACTAATTAAGTGAATGAGCTTTGAGAACAGACAGATCTGAGTACACAGACTGCCCCCACCAGATACCTGCCTCATTTTCCATATCAGTAAAGTGGGGGTAATAATTCTACCTATATTGCTCTGCTATGACAACAGTTACATGAGGTGATGCACATAGTGTACCTAGCACAGTGCTGGAAAAGGGTGCCAGCTATGCTCGGGCATCCAGCCACCTCCTTCTCCTGTGCCTTCCTGTATTGCAGACCCCTGTTGGATGACAGAGTTGGGAAGCTAAAAGCCACCACAGCTAGAGTTCTGCATGCCAATCAGGGTCTGTGTGGCAGATGCACTGTCATGCAATTTGGAAGGCAGAATCCAGGAGACGCCCAGCGCTGCTACTTCTGGCTTTCTGCTGGTAAGTAAGGTTGTGGAGATGTGGCATTTCTGCAGTGGTGTCCCACTGTCCAGACACTAACTCTAAGGGTGTCAAGAGGCAGTTTGCAGTGGTGGTGGCAGCTTCATGCTCCCAGCTTCCCAATTCCTGGACTGCAGCCATGGTGGTGTGTGTCCTGGAATGTGGCAGGGTCAGTGGCAGCTTCCTCATTCTCCCCTTCCTGGTTGGAACAGAGGTAGAGGCTTCCCTGGTGAGCTGGTCTGGAAGCCCAGCCTGGGGCTGGCCACCCCCACCACTTCCCATGATTGTGTGAGCACCACCTCCCGACACTAATCCCTTCCTGCTTAAAACACCAGGCATCTTCCAGATCCCTGCAGTGAACTCTGACAGTTATGCACCCCATGGAGCACAGGGTAAACTTCCAATACAACTTGGCTATGTCTACATTTTCAACTGAGGACCTACTATGTGCCAAGTCCTAATATACATATTGTTTTAACCCCCAATGATTCTGCCAGCTATGAATTTTTATGACTATTTGTATACATAAAGACGTTCAGTGATTTGCATAAGGTCACTCAACTAATAAATGACAGATGAGTGTGGCCGCAAAACTCATAAGAACACATAACAATCTTAGGACCGACAGAAGTAAAAACCTCTTTGTGTTTTTGCTTTTCTTTACTGATATCATATCAGAGTTCCTCCAGCGAATAAAAGGATCCTAGATGGCCCCTGGGGGCAATTAACTGCTTTTTGGAAGCTTTCAAACTAATGAATTATGAGATGCAAAAATCAATGGAGACTTACTTTAAAAAAGAAACAGCATCCATCATTAGTGATGTTAGAACCAGGTAACACAGAGTTCTCCAAAACTTTAAAGATGCAGACTGCAGCAACTCTGAGAATGGCTCCTACACCTTAGGTGACAGGCCATGTAATTAACCGAGGGCCCCCCTGTACCTCCCACAGCTGTGCCTGGCCAGTGAGTGATCCTCAGGGACGCCAAAGCAGCCGGTTTCTGGGAGACACTGGACTCTTCTGAAGGTTGATCTTGGCCCAAAGACTCCCCAGTAGCCTTACAAACCTTCCTTAAACTGCACAGCTGTTTCAAAACCACAGTGCTCCCACCTAACCTTCCCACCCTCTCCTCTTCCCTGGATCAGGCTTACAGGGCGAGCCGAAACTCTCGCAGCCTTTTCTGATACTCTTCATCTTCTCTCACACGGTAGTGTCCGCTAATGGAATCTTGGCACATTTAACGCCGTTTTGCCATCTGCCTCCCATAAAGCCTGGACTAACACATGGAATTCAGCACTATCGTCTACCCTCCCACTCACAAAACAAGAATTACATTGTATTTTACAATATAAAATGCATGAACACATTTAATGTACTCAGACTCATGTCCAAAACATGAGAGAGAATGTTCTTTAGCACTAAAACTGTTCACCACTACCTGAAGAGCTAAGGAGCTAGTTTTCTTACCAAAAAGAAAAAAGGCGGGGGGAGGGGTGGTGGCGGGTAGAGGGCATTTAAAATAACATCTGAGAGAAGACTATTTAACTCCCAAAACAACTAGATTCCACTGAAATAACAAACAGAAGTAGAATTGCTAAATCCATCTCTTCTCAGAGAAGAAAAGCACATATTTGCTTTTGCTCCAGAGATTTTTTTAATACAGTATTTAATGGGAAGGCTGAGTTTGTAGGGCAGTTAAATCACAGGAGACCCAGAGAACCAAATACTTCACTCTGTGCTTCATCCGACTTTCCCAGTAGCTCTCCGCTGGCCATTATGCCTCATAGAATGCATTCTAATGGCTTAAAATGACAGTGTTTTGTTTACAAAATGGCTCCATTCCTCAAGGAACCCAAGAGCCTGTGCACTGTAACAGGGCTATTGATAGAAAATAAACTGCACAGTGTGACAGAAGCTGGTCCCACCTTCCTGCCCTGTTATCCATTTTGAGGTCAAACGTATCAGCTCAGAAGTAAGGCCTGAGGGGGCACAGCCAAACATCCCTAAGAGAACTGAGCAAAGAGCTCAGGAAGGTGAACTGAGGGCCAACATCCTGGCACCGATACCAAGGAGAGGATTTGACCCAAGTGTTCACTAAATATTCTGACCTTGAGAGGCAAGTCCTGGAATCATGTGGATTTGCTCTGTCTGCTGAATTTTAAAATGTCAGTCTTAGACTAGAGCTTTAGCAGGGGACTCAGCAGCCTCTCTCCTTTCTGTTTCTAATGCCAAAAAAAAAAAAATACTAAACGCAAATATGATCTAAAACAAGGAAGAGGGTCTGTTTTCTGTAAGAGGCAGAATTTATAAGCTTAGAACAATAAGCGAAATATTAGTCCTTAAATTAGTAAATTCCACTTTGATCTTCTATGAGTGAGAGGAAGAGTTTTGCAAGGGAGAGTTGTAAGGAATTCTCTAGAAACAACAGGCCCTGAAATAGGGTAACTTAAGGTGGTATGTCTTTGTTACTTTTACATATTGCACAAATGACCCATCCAGCCTTGGATAATCACTGTATCCTCACTTTGAGAACTTCCAGAGTAGTGACTCAGTCATCAGTTTTTTTAGTACTCGGCCATATTTTAGTCAACTTCAATAAATAAATGAGTACAGGTTTTTCGAGGGTTAAAACAGTGAATATTTTTTATATCTAAGGCTTTTGAATATGTGTGTATGTGTGTGTGTGTGTGTGCATATATATATTTCATTCATATATTTCATTCATATATATACATATATATGTATATATGTATATATATGTATATATATGTATATATATGTATATATATGTGTATATATATGTATATATATGTGTGTATATATGTATATGTGTGTATATATATATGTATATATATATGTGTGTATATATATGTATATATATATGTGTGTATATATATATGTATATATATATATATATGTATATATGAATGAAATCCCTTAATGGACATAGTGGAATATTAGCCTTAAAAAGGAAAGAAATTATGATAACGTGCTACAACAGAGATGAACTTTGAAGACATAATGCTAAACAAAATTAGCCAGACACAAAAAGACAAATACTGGATGATTCCACTTATATGAGGTATCCAGAGTAGTCAAATTCATAGAAACAAAGTGGAATAGTGGTTACCAGGGTCTGGGAGGCAGGGGAATGGGGAGTTGTTTAATGGGTATAGTTTCAGTTTTGCAAGATTAAAATGTTCTAGAGATTGGTTGCCCAACAATATGAATATACTTAACACTTCTAAACTGTGCACTTAAAAATGGCTAAGATGGTAACCATGTTATGTGTATTTTACCACAATTAAAAAAATGTCTGGCTAGGTGCAGTGGCCCATGCCTATAATCCCAGTGCTTTGGGAGGCCGAGGAAGGAGGATTGCTTGAGGCCAGGAGTTCAAGACCAGCCTGGGCAACACAGTGAGACCTCATCTCTACAGAATTAAAAAAAAAAAATTAGCCAGATGTGGTGGTGCATACCTGTAGTCCCTGCTACTCGTGAGGCTGAAGCAGGAAGATTACTTGACCACAGGAGTTTGAGGCTGCAGTGAGCTGACTACACCACTGCATTCTGGCCTGGACATCAGAGGGAGAACCCGTCTCAAAAAAAAAAAAAAAAAAAAAAAAATGGCTGGGCGCAGTGGCTCACGCCTGTAATCCCAGCACTTTGGGAGGCTGAGGTGGGTGGATCACGAGGTCAGGTGTTCGAGACCAGCCTGACCAATATGGTGAAACCCAGTCTCCACTAAAAATAGAAAAAATTAGCCAGGTGTGGTGGTGCACACCTGTAATCCCAGCTACTCAGGAGGCTGAAGCAGGAGAATCGCTTGAACCCAGGAGGCAGAGGTTGCAGTGAGCTGAGATCACACCACTGCATTCCAGCCTGGGCGACAGAGCAAGACTCCATCTCAAAAAAAAAAAAAAAAAAAACCTTACTATATTAAAGGGTTTACTGACAGATTGCATTTTTCTTCAGAGTCTGTTAGCAATGTCAAAAACATTACTAAAATCACAACAGAAATTCACAAAGCCCAGGAATTACATTTGTTCATATTTGGTGGGGAAAAAATCCTAGTAAAAACTGAACTTGACTGGGGCAGTTCCTATTACTTAATCCAAGGGTTCTGAGTAAGGCAAAGGATTTCTGAAGGAGAAAAAAATGTCAGAAAGATACTAGCTAGCCAGCCCCAAAGCAGTTCTTCCTGGGAATTTCTCTGATTTCTTTTTCAGCTAGCCCACCCACCACACCAAGTATCTCCACCAGATCATCAGGAGAGACAAATGATTCCTCCTCTTATCTCTTAACCAAATGTCCTACTGGTGACCTGAGAGTATCTGCATTTGCAACACATAATAAATGCTTGCTTGGCTAAAAGGGATTAGTAACTCTGACATCATGAACAAAGGACCACACCAGGGAACCATCTGGAATTTGGTAAATCACTACATAGACGGAATGACATTAATTCCAGGGCTTATTTGAGGCTTAATGTCCAAAAACTACTAAGCTATTAATTAGAGAAAATGAAATCCTTTTACACACAAAGCATGCCATTGTGGTATGTATTATGGTCTGGTATATATGTTGGTCCCTCACCAACCCTGGGGACTTCTATCTTGAAAACTATCGTAATTGGCAAAATCAGCCCTGGTCAATATCAGGCTTGCAGAGAAAATAGGGGATTAAGAGGGAGAAAATAAAAATGGTATTTCATATATTTTTTAAAGCAAAGGTTTGAGAAAATAGCAAATTATTTCTTTCCTTTATTTTACTGAATTCTTCTGTACCAAAGCAATGCATGCTTATAACAAGGACAGTGGAGCTATGTAAAGATAGTTAAGAGTCTCCCCCTCCATGCTTCTAATCTCAGTATCCTGAGATAACCAATATTAAGTTTTATAAGTACTCTCCCACAACTTTCCTTATGTTTATACACATATATGTAAATATATTTAAGGATATACAGGATAAATATATATGGAATATATCTCCTATATATGAGATAAAGGTGTACATATTATATAGGATTTTGCTTTAACAAAACTAATGTTACCACTACTTAGTAGTTTATTTCATTTAATAATAACACTATAGATTTCCCTTAACTTTGGTTCCTATAGATGTAATCTTTTATAAAAGCTGCATAATTATCAATAGTAAGAATGAGCCACAATTCAACCATTTATATTTTTTTCAAATAATTTTTTTCCATCACACACAATGCTGGGATAACAAACTTACACATACTTTACTTTTTTTTTAAATTTTTTATTTTTTGAGATGAAGTTTCGCTCTTGTTGCCCAGGCTGGAGTGCAGTGGCATGATCTCGGCTCACTGCAACCTCGGCCTCCCTGGTTCAAGCGATTATCCTACCTCAGCCCCCTGAGTAGCTGCCTTATTTATTTCTGTAAACTATATTTCTAAAAAATGGAACTTCTGTGTCAAAGGGCATATGTATATATATTACATTTTAATACCACTAGATTACTTTTTTAAGAAGACTGTAACAATTTAAATCTCCATGAACACTGAAAAGCATATGAATTTCCCACCACCCTTGCCAGTACTAGATGCCATCAATCTTCTAAACGTTTGCCAGTCTGACAGGCAGAAATCAAATTTCCATCATTTTATTTTTGTTTACCTGACTACTAGGGGGTTTGAGCATCTTTTCATATTTTATTGACCATTTATATTTCCTTTACTATGAATTGCCTGATCATAGCTTTACCTAATCTATCAATCAAGTTGTTTTTCTTTTCTATATCAGTGTGTAGGCACTTAGTTTATTAGGGATATAACCCTTTGTCTGTCTTATATGTGACAAGTAGCTTTCCCTAGATGATGATCATTTAAAAAAAAAAAAAAAAAAAAAACTACATATGATGTTTTGTGACATACGGAAATCTTTATTTTTATGTAGCCTAACTTGTAATTTTTTTTATGGCTTCTGAATTTCTCTTTCAAATGAACTTTAAAACTAGCTTAACAAATTTCTCTTAAATAAATCCTTTTGAGGTACTGATTGGGATTGAACTGAATTCATAGATTAGAGTAATGACCTCTTCACAGTAATGAGTGCCACCATCGCCCACCCTTGCCCCAAAAGTGGTATGATTTTCTCTATATTTAGGTTTTCTTTTATGTCCTTCAGTACTGGTTAGTACTTTCCTTCATTTAGGTCTAAGGCATATTTCAATTGGTTTACTCCTGGGCCTTGATGATTTGTCTGGCAACTAGAATAACATCTTTTCCTGCTCCAGTCTCTGGAGTAGAAGGCTGTGTTTGGAGGCAGCGCAGCCCAGTGGTGGAGGCCGAAGTCTGCAAGCTCAGATTCCCTCGACTGACATCCCAGATCTTCTACTCACTGGCTCTGTGCATGGAGCTAAGCTGACTCCTCTTTCAACAGATTCCCTCGCCGCTGAAGTAGGGATGACAACAGCATACCTCTTCAGTTTGTTGTGAGGATTAAATGAGATAATAACATCACATCTTTAGCACAGACTCTAGAACAGAGTAGTAATTATATGATAACAAAGACAGTGACTATGACGAAGAGAATGATGTAAATCTATTGTTCACACACTCTTACTGGTTTTCATTCCCTTGGCTTTTGTAGGTAGAAAATCATATACCCTTCTAATTGTGACGATTCATCCATTTCCTTGCAATGTTTATGGATTAGTCCGCTCTCGAATTGCTATAAAGAAACGTCTGAGACAAGGTAATTTATAAAGAAAGGAGGTTTAATTGGTTCACGGTTCTGCAGGCTGTACAGGAAGCATGGTTGAGGAGGAAATTTTCAATTATGGCAGAAGACAAAGGGAAAGTAGGCACGTCTAACATGGCCAGAGCAAGAGCAAGAGAGAAGGGGGAGGTGCTACACTTTTTAATAACCAGATCTCATGAGAACTCTATCAGGAGAACAGCACTAGGGGAGCGGTGCTAACCCATTAGAAACCACCCCAGTGACCCAATCCCTCTCACCAGGTCCCACCTCCAACATTGGGGATTACAACTCAGCATGAGATTTGGGTGGGAGAAAAGAATAAAAATGGTACCAAATATATTTTTTAAAACAAAAGTTTGAGAAAATAGTCAATTATTTCTTTCATTCATTTTACTGAATTCTTTCCGTACAAAAGCAATACCTACTTATAGCAAGAACAATGGAGCCATGTGAAGTGAATAATCTCCCCCTCCTTATCAGTTTCCATGTTTGTTTCTTTTATTGTCTAACTACACTGGCTAAGCCCTCCATTACACTGTTGAACTGGAGAAGTGAGAGCTGGTCTTACTGCTTTGGTACTGGCTCTAATGTAAATGCATTTCATTTTCCTAAGTATAACAATTACAGTATGTTCCTGATAGTCAACATAACTTATTGACATAAAGTTATTTATAATATTCTCGTATCATTTTTACTCCAATCTGTAGCCACGTCCCTTTTTCATTTATATTAGTTATAAATTCCCTCTATTATTATTGAAAAAGGTTTCCATATTCTATATTAGTCTCTTTGAAAACCAACAGTTGACTTTAATACCCACCATTTTGTATTTTTTTCTGCTCTCATCTTTATTATTTCCTTCTACTTTCTTTGGGTTTGTTCTTTTCTAATTATTGAGTTGGACCCTTAGCTCCCTAATTCTTTAATTTTCTTTTATATTGATTATATAACTTGTTTCTTTCCTATTCCCTTATGAATTTAAAATTATGCATGGATTTTTTAATAGAGTCTAGGGTTAATAAGGATTTCTACCTTCTCCACTTGTCTCCTATTTTAAATTGTTTCATTTTTCGTTTCAGTTTAGCAAGTAGATTTACTCACCAATGTATTTACCAATTTCTTTGACCATTATTTATTCATTTTTCTTTTTTCTTGAGATTCAATCCATATCCACATAATTCAACTATTTAAAGTGTACAATACAGTAGTTTTTAGTACATTTACAGAGTTGTGCAACCATCACTGCTATCAATTTTAGAACTAATCACCCCAAAAAGAATGTTGTGCCCATTAGCAGTCCCTCTGTTTCCCCAAACCTCTCAGCCCTAATCAACTACTAATCTACTTTCTGTCTTGAAATGTGCCTGTTCTGTACATTGCATATGAATTGAATCATGCAATATGTGGTCTCCTGTGTCTGACTTCCTTTGCTTTGTAGAGTGTTTTCAAGGTTCATCCATGTTGTAACATGTATCAGTACTTCATTACTTTTAACTCTCAAATAATAGTCCATTGTATAGATATACCACATTTTATTTATCTACTCGTTAGTTGATGAGCATTTGGTTGTTTCCATATTTGGGCTATTAAAAATAATGCTTCCATGAACATTCATGTACAAGTTTTTGTGTGGACATTTTTTTTTTGTTTTCTTGGTATAAATCTAGGAGTAGAATTGCTGAGTCATATAGTAGGTCTGTATTTAACCTTGTGAGGAACTGCCAGGCTGTTTTCCAATATGGCTCCACTATCTGACATCCCCACCAGCGGTGTATGAGGGTACCAACTTCTCCACATCCCCATCAACACTGTTATTTTCTCTTATTTATAGTCATATTAGTGGGTATGACATAGTATCTCATTGTGTCACTGTCCATTCTTCACATTCCTTCCAGAAGTATATTCTTTAAAAATCCATGTCAAAGATCTGTTAATAGTAAACTCTTCCAGTTCTTGATGATCCATATTGTCTGTATTTTGCTATGGTTCATGTTAGAGCTTAGCTGGATGTAAAGATCTACTTTGATTTATTCTGCTGTCTTTCTGGATTCCATTATCGCTGGTCAGAAGTCCACTATGTATTATTCCTTTGAAGACATCCTGGGTTTTTTCTGATTAACACTAAGGTTTCTTTTCCTTTGATCTCTGCAGTGTATCTAAATTCTCAAATGTTGATTTACCTCAATTTATCATACTTAGTAGGATTTGTGCTGTCTGTATCTGAGAATCATATCTTTAATCAACTCTAGGAAATTCTCAGCCATACTCCTATATTACAGCCACTGCTTCATCCTTTCTGTTATCTTCTCCAGAACTGCCGTTAAGACATGTGTTGGCCGTTCTCATCTCTTAATCTCTCATTTAAATTCTTCACCACTTCATACTTATGATGCATTCTAGAGAATATCCTCATTCTTTTCCAGTTTACCAATTTAGCTATATTTCATCTGTGCTTAACCTATTGAAGTTTTTTTATATCAATGACTATATTTTCCTTCTCTAAGAGTTCTATTTGGTTCTTTTTCAAATATGCATCATCTTCTTTTTTCACATTTTCTTGTTCTTTTCTGGTGTCTTAATCCTTTTTTAAATAGTTTTATCTATCTTAAACAAATGTAATTCAGTGTGTTTTTCTGCAAATTCTATGATCTAAATTCCTTAGGGGTCTAATTCTGCTATGTTTGTTTCTTGTATTAGTCACTTTTTTTTCCTCTTGTGTTTTATAATATTGAGCTAAAAACTTTCAAGTAACCAAAATGGAAAATATTTAACATAAACATTAGCCATAGTCAGGTAGTACATCTGGGGTACCTGGCAAGATAAATACCAAGAAGAACACTCTAAACTTGGGCTGCAATCAATCACCATAAATAACATACTTCACTCTTGCTTTTTTTTCTTCATGTCTCCCACATATACTCCTTACCAAGACCCAAGAGACACTATAACCACCTCCTTGTTTATTTCCCTTCTCTGATCCTTCTCCAAACCACTCTGTCCTCGCCATCAATGTGATATTTTAAGACTGTACAGCATGTCATGTAGCTCCCTTGATTAAGAATCTTTAGTGGCCTCCTACTGCTCAACACAAAATTCAAACTCTTTGCCAGGTATACAAGGCCATAGATAATCTGCCTCCTCCAATCTGCCACCTGCTGCTTCTCCTGCATGTTTCCCCATCACAAAGCTCCAAGTTACACTGGCCTTCCTTTTCTTCTGTGAAACCAACAAACATGAGGGGATGCCACTTGAGATGAGGCAGCAGAAAGGGAGGGAGAGGGGAGTGATACGGACACACTGCTGACATCACCAAGACATTAGATCAAATCTTGCCTAAAGTCTCTGGGCTTCACAATAATGTCTCTGGGCTTCACAATAATGTCTCATTCCTTTCTCTCTTCATTTCTTCCTTTCCAGCAACCACCTTCACACCCAGCTATTTTTTGTGAGTTAGGGTCTTGATCTGTGAGGAGCTGCTGTGTTACTGTATTGATCCTCTTTCAGAGACTGTCAGAGAAATGTCACAGCCAAAAGCAGAGTTAAGCTGTCTTTAGGGAGACCCTGATTCTATTTCAGGGTCCAGTAAAAGGTGAGAAAGAAAAGCTATTCTTCATATATTCTTGGGAATTCAAAGTTCCCAATACTTAGGAGCAATCAAGTACAATATTTCTATAATTTAGTTCTCTCAGTTCACTATACTTTCTGATAGGCCAGTTTTCTACACTTAACCATACTTATATATTCACTTTTAATTGACTGCCATTTAACATCAGTCATTCACCCTTCAGACTTCTGTGCAACATTAGTTCATATCACTACTCCAGTAGCCAAAACAATTGGTAAGACAATTTTTTATGACCTATCACTCTAGAAAATTCCAAATACTTGTCATATTCTCTTAGTTCAAAACATAGCAAAACAAATCATAAAAAGAATGAAGTTTATCATATTCAAGAATGAAAACCAACAGTTATGGTGTCTTCCAGTTTACATGATTGTTTAAACATGGGTTATTGCCTTAAATTCTAACAATGCTATACTCCTGCAATGTACTTATTATGAATGTCATCCTGGTTTTACCACTGATGGAATGAAACGGATGAAAATGAAACAGTTATTGAGCAACTGTTCTATGCAAGTCATCATCACAGAAGGAGCTTAAATATGTCATTTGATTTGATCATCTGAGAAAGTTGAGTGTCTTCATCACATCACACACTAATTGCCAGGGGCAGAACACATGCCCGGTCTGCAGAGCCCTCTCTGCTATGGCTGGCTTCTTCAACTCCACATTCATGGAGGCCTCTTTTCTATGCAAGCCTATGGGTTGAAAATGATTTATTCTTTGGGAGCTCATTGCTGCCTTTAAAAAAAAAATAGCTGCCGCAGACTTCTCTGTCTTGTGTCTTTGACTTAATGTGATTGGTACTGACTTTGGCACTTCATTATTTTCAAATGACAAAACAAGTAGCTCCCAAGACAATGTAGTTTGGACAAAGTAAGCAGTTCTTAAAATTAAATTACATATTAATAACAGACTTTCCCATTGGAACTCTTTAATATTGTTGCCTTGGGCATAGATCCTATTTTAGTTACATCCTCTGTGCTAAAAGCATTTTCTGGTGATGCTAATGCTGCACCTCATGTTGAAATAAAACACCTCCTTAGAGACATAGATGTTTGTATAATGCAAGTATGATCTAGCAGTCTTAGGGTGGCGTTTGAGCTCCAAAGTGAGATTTATTAAAAGGTAAAGCAATCATATACTGCCTTCCTTCTCCAGCTTCCCTTCTTAAATTAGTAATGTCAGTCTATCTCAGATTCTCCCTACCTCCTTATTCTTTGATTTTTCTCCATAATACTTATCTGATATGCTGTATATTTTATTTCTATTTCCCTCAATAGAGTGGCAGCTCCCTGAGACCAGGGACTTTGGCTCTTTTATTCAGTCCTCCATCCCCAGCACCTTGAATGGTGTCCGGCACATGTTAGACAGGGGGACTGAAGTCTATCATACTGGGGGTAGTAGGGAGCTCTTTAGAAAAAAAAAACCACAAAGGTACAAATATAAAAATTATATGTAAACTGTATCAATATCATTATCCTAGTGTTTTTGTTTGGTTGGTTTTTGTTCGGTTGGTTTTTTTTGAGACAGAGTCTCGCTGTGTCGCCCAGGTTGGAGTGCAATGGCGTGATCTGGGCTCACTGCAACCTCCGCCTCCCGGGTTCAAGCGATTCTCCTGCCTCAGCCTCCTGAGTAACTGGGATTACAGGCACCCATCACCATGCCCGGCTAGTTTTTGTATTTTTAGTAGAGACGGAGTTTTGCTATGTTAGTCAGGCTGGTCTCGAACTCCTGACCTCTGGTGATCCGCCTGCCTCAGCCTCCCAAAGTGCCGGGATTACAGGCATGAGCCACTGCATCCGGCCTCATTATCCTAGTTTTGATACTATAGTATAGTTTTGCACAATGTTGCCATTGGGGAAATAGGAAACGGGATGAATAATGCACAGAATTCCTCTGCATTATTTCCTACAACTGCATGTGAATCTACAGTCTCAAAATTTAGAATGTCTAATTTAAAATAACTATTAATATATAAAAAATATGCAAGAGAGTATTATTTAAAGTGAGAAAAAATATGCCCCCAAATTAAATAATAAAAACCTGGAAAATGCCACATAAATCACAACATCCACAAAAGTATTTTTATTCATTGATTCCCTGGCAAGCCTCAATGGCCTTTTTCCTACGTTTCTGTCTAAGTGCACTTTGACCATATAATGATGACTTTGTTAATATTTACTGAAGAGAGAATAGAAAAATCTTTAGGATTGTTGACCAAGTTTAGTTTTAAAACAATTCCTTTCAACTTTGTAACTCATTGTTGGTAATGTCATGTAACTGTTTAGGATTTTTGTCAAATTAGTGAAAATACCCTTTTCTTACATCTGTGAGCGAGAAGATTGTGGCATTTCAAATTTTCTCAGTGACTAGCCTTACATGCTCTTTGAATTAGAAACCCTTGTTAATCAGCTGGTTACTGATGAACTCATTGCAGTGACTTATTATGGGTATTTCTCTTTTTTTTTTTTTTTTTTTTTTTAAATGGAGTCTAGCTCTGTCATCCAGGCTGAAGTGCAGTGGCATGATCTCGGCTCACTGCTACCTCAGCCTCCCAGGTTCAAGCAATTCTTTGTCTCAGCCTCTCAAGTAGCTGCAATTATAGCACCCACCACCATGCCCGGCTAATTTTTGTATTTTTAGTAGAGATGGGGTTTCACCATCTTGGCCAGGCTGGTCTTGAATTTCTGACCTCATGATCCACCTGCCTTAGCCTCCCAAAATGCTGGGGTTACAGGCGTGAGCCACCACACCTGGCCCTTATTATGGGTTTTATGTTATCTGTGTCAAAATTTCATGTCAAATGAGTAAGAACGTGTGTGGACAGGCTTGAGTAAGGCCATTGTAGGAATAAAGATGGGCTTGGCGTGAGGTCCAGTTTAGATTGAGGGTGGTGTGTCAGGATGAAAGTGGTTGAGAAGCCGAGAGAAGTGTGTTGGAGGTAGAAAGGGCAGGAAGGTTAGCATCAGGTGCTGGCAAGTGTCCAATGGTACCTGGAAGATTTCTCTGAATTAAAGAATTCACCAAACAAGTGACATAATATAGTGGATCGTTAACAATACAGTCAAATCTCAAGCTTTGCCATTGTCATGAATCTTTCATAGCAACAACTTAGCTGCACACATAAATATATCTCAGTAAATTCAAACACAATAAATCCCTCACTCAACTGTCCCCTCGGGCAGTTTTCAAATCTCCTTGCAGCTCTTCTAACCTCACCCAGCATGAGAGGAAGTGGTGTGACAGAATGAAGTCAGAGGAGAAGGCAACAATCGTCTTTACTAATAGTGGCTCAAATATGTTACTTCTGCAAATTTTACAAAATTATGCAAACATGTGACTGCATTGCCCTCCGTTCCCCCCTGCGCCCCCATGGTCCCTCCCAGAGAGCTGGAAGGATGGGCAAAGAGAGACCCTAAAGTTTACGCATCCTTAGCTTCATGGTAAATCTGACTTTGTAGGGCCTTAATAAATATTTGTGGAATAAATGAATGCATGCATATTTGAATGCTTGAACTTAAGATCTAAGACCACATCCCAAGAGTACTTCCAAATTACATCAGTAGTTTTTAAAGCAAGCCAAGAAACAACGGAATAAGAGGGAGGCATCAAAAAAAACTCCTGAAAAGTGTAAATAACCAGGAGAAAAAAATAAAAGTTTCATCAAAGTATGAGTCTAACCCAGTTGACTGAACTCTGAAGAGCTACCTTCCAGGAGCCATGCTACAGAACCTCGGTTTCTCCAGAATCGAAAGGATGTGTTTTAAAATGTCTTTGAAAATTAAAAAGATAATTAAAACCCTTATATTCAACACATGATAAATGTTATGTTGAATGATTAAATTAAAGGAATACTGATGGAATAGATATCTCAAAGTGAAATAGCCTCACTTGCCCTTCCCTCCTATTGAGGATGAAAATGAACCTGACATTCTGGTTGCATCTGAAGGTCCAGTCTCAAAGGAACTCCCAGGTTTTTTTTTTTTTTTTTTTTTTTTTTTTTTTTGAGACGGAGTCTCGCTCTGTCTCCCAGGCTGGAGTGCAGTGGCGGGATCTCGGCTCACTGCAAGCTCCGCCTCCCGGGTTCACGCCATTCTCCTGCCTCAGCCTCCCAAGTAGCTGGGACTACAGGCGCCCGCCACTACGCCCGGCTAATTTTTTGTATTTTTAGTAGAGACGGGGTTTCACCGTTTTTTAGCCGGGATGGTCTCGATCTCCTGACCTCGTGATCCGCCCGCCTCGGCCTCCCAAAGTGCTGGGATTACAGGCGTGAGCCACCGCGCCCGGCCGGAACTCCCAGGTTTGACTTGCAGTGATAATCTCCTGGACTTGGTTGGAAGCAGGAAGGAATGGCCTACAAATTACTCTGCCCCTGAAGCAGGTTATTTCTGTAGCAGAGATTGTATGTTATCTGCCTTCCATCTGCTCCATTGCATTTTGGGATAGGAGCAAGATTGGCAGAGTCAAAAAGAAAGTCACAGGCACACCCAATTAACTTAAAACCCAAGAACTGAACCACATGTGGAAATAAACACCATCCAAATGAGAAAGGCAAAGGCAATTTATTCTGAGCTTGCTGTAGCAAGGGAGTCAGCCACCATCACAGGCATTTGTCAGAGACTCAAAGGCAGGCAGGGGAGTGGGAGAGTGTTACAGTGGACAAAAGGGACGGCTTCAGATGTGCCCTGATTGGAGGCCGTTGGTCTGGAGAAGCTGGAGGTGGCTAACTAGGAGCAGGCAGCCATGTGATTGGTTAGGGGCATATTTAGCTCTCTCTGGTTGGTCCTAAATTGGAAGCAGGCACAAAAACTAGGAAAGCTGTTAGTTATTAATCAAGTCCCAGCAATTTGGGGCCAACTGTTACACAAGTTATTGTTTAGCTTCCCAGATTGTTACTAGACACAGAGGTCTGACCTCCCCCAAGTCAGGTGGGCTTGCTGGGTTGTTTATTGTAGATAAGGGGTTGGTTTCCTGAGAGGTTGCTGGAAGCTATGGTCCAGTTCTATTTTTATATATGGTCTGACCATGGTCTATTTAGATATTCAGCCTCTCACACGCCATTTAGTGTTAAACAAAAAAGCGTTCTGGGTAAGTGTATCTCAGCAGATACAGGAAATGCAAGAGGGTGTGTGCACTGGTGTTGGTTGTTTTTCTTAGAAAACAATTGTTAATAGCTCCATGATGGGAGAACTTGTTAAAGGGTAAATAGAAGTGCAAGGTCCAAGCTGCATGAATCTCATCAGTGGTAATAACAGGCATGTGGTTAAGTGCTCACACACTGCGCTGGAAATTTCTCTTCAAATATTTTAAAAATTAAAAAGCACAAAGAGGATTCAGTTCATGTGGAGCCTGCCCCACCTACCCTGATCTCGTGCCCTCAGGAAAAAAGAAATGGGTCTGTTACTGCAGAAGGGTCTGAGAGGTCATTATTTTGAGCCACACATCATGACAATAACCAGGGCAACAGTCTCAGAAGTGATTCTAGATTATTGCTTACAGAGGAGCACTCTAACATTTTTTTCATTTGAGCCAATTATTTAAGGCAAAACTGTCTTTCACATTAAAAACCCAGTGGGCAACTTGTAAGCATCAAATAAATTGCACTGGGGGTCCATTTTCAGGCTCCGTTGTATAAAACTGCCATTACTTGCCCCACTAGTTATGGGGAAACAGAAAAGTTTGCATTATTCTACATTTCACATGAAAACAACTGGAGCTCAAAGGCATTTTAAAAATGCAATCTTGTCTTTCCAATCTTTGCAGCTTCCCTGGGCTCTATGAAATGGAGTGAGTGAGCTGAACATACTAAATTAGCCCCACTTGCTAACAGAATGAATGTCTCCCCAAAATCAGGCAGAGGAAAGAAGGCAGGAAGCCCCCTTCCAGTAGCAGCGACAAACCATTTCCTCTCCTTCCAGAAAGGGCCAAAAAATTAACTAAATTCTTATCCCTTCTGAGAAAAGCAGCAAAGATAACAGTGAAGATTAAGCTTGAAGGAGAGAGAACCCCTTAGCTGCAGATTAGCAAACCTGAAGCAAAGAAAAACTGCTGATTTCAGCTGCATTGCCTTGGTCCCCAAAATTCCAACTGCACAGCCCTTTGCGCTACATGGTGAAGAAAACCTCACTCAAATACCCCGTAAAGATGAGCTAGGTCCTCTATTTCATTATTTGTTTGAAAATATCTGAGCCTCTGCCTCACACAGGAGTTACTAGGCACATTCTCAGAAACGGAGAAAATAACAGTAGATTAACCAAAGCCAGGGGCACCATTTCCTCCAGCTTCAATTGCTTGCCCATATTGTGTTCTTCTGTTAAGCAAGAGCCCAGAAAGCTAATTAGACTGGTCCTGCTTCCGCAAGTCACCCTTGGGGAAGAGATGTTGGAGGATGAATGTCCCCCTAAGGCTCTGTGTCTTTCATTTTGCATGAAGTCAGTGCTCTTTCTGCTACAGGGGTGGGAAAGTTAACAAACGAGCCATCTTCCTGGACATTGTGCTTGTTGATTCTGGAAAGTATCACACACACAAAAAAAAACCCAGACAATGAAGCTGTACACCCAACCACAAGGATTTACATGTAACTGGAAAGAAAAAAAAAGACCATGCACTATGCAATATAATCATTCATTCATTTTTCAAATCGTTAACACCCATGATGTATCAGACACTAGGATTTCACAGATATGAAAGTCCTTATTCCCACCCTCAAGTAGCCCATGGTCTAGAAATTCAACATCCAATCCATGACCAGTCCATCACAAAATCTTGTCAATTTTACCTTCTAATTAGCTCTCA
The DNA here is from genome assembly GCF_000001405.40 of Homo sapiens. Classification (NCBI taxonomy): domain Eukaryota; kingdom Metazoa; phylum Chordata; class Mammalia; order Primates; family Hominidae; genus Homo; species Homo sapiens. Next base: position 97,585,964 of record NC_000013.11, read on the forward strand.
AAAGCATCCAATTCTAACTTTATATGCACCAGAGTGACCAAACCATCATCTCTCACCTGAACTTTTACAAGTCTTCTAACTGTTCTCTCCACATCCTCTCTTCTTCCTTATATTCTCCAAAGCCAGAATTACCTTTCTGAAGGTAAAGATACATCTTAAAATCTTTAAGTGATTGTCTTTGTACACCTTAAAATCTTTAAGTAATTGCTCAGTATTCATAGACTAAAAATAAAATGCCTTAAAATGTCCATAAGGCCCTAAGTGTAATAGCCCCAACCTGCCTGCAATCAAATGCAAAAAAACAAAAAAAATACTGCCCCAATTCTCCAGCCCTCCTATATCCATGGCTTTGGAGCATAACTTTGTAGCTTATTCCATTACAAAGGGGAGTCTACTTCTCCACCCATGAATCCAGGCTGCTTTGTGACTTGCTGTGGCCAATAGAATAGGATTGGAAATGATGCTGGTGTTCTAAAGCTACACCTCAAGAGGCTTTAGTCATTGTCATTCATTCACTTGGAATTCCACCACCACCATGTTAACGAGCCCAAGCTAGCCTGCTCAGGGCGACAGACCAAGTGGAGCACCACCACACCATCCAGGTTTCCTAGCCAAAGCTCCACACACAAGAGAGAACCCAGCCAAGATCAGACACCTATCCAACCCACAGCTGACCACAGATGATGAGTGAGTCCTGGTCAGCCCAACCTAGCAATGAGACTCACACCACTGACTACAGATGTGGAAGCAATGATAACTGGTTATCGTTTTAAGGCAGGACATTTTGTTTAGCAGCTTGCTGTGCAGCATAGCTAACAGATACACTGTTTCCACATCCCCATCTAGCCCTGTCTTCTTGTCTGAAGCCCTGAGACACCAGCCTTCTTTTCATTCTCTGATATTGGCCATGCTTCCTCCTGCCACTAGGCTTTGAACATGCTGATCCTTCTGTAGACATATTTGTAACCCTTCCCTCCAACACCATTGCCTAGTTAGCTCTTCTTCTTCCATCCAAATCAGCTCAGCCACTGCATCTTGAGGAAAGTCCCTACTGACCTCCTTGATTATTTCATTTCCAAATATTCCCTATTACATAATCTCTAGTATATGTGACAGTACAGCATAGTAGTAACAGCCCAGACCCTAAGGCCAGACTTCCTGGATTAGAGCCCTAACCTCCCCACTTGCTAGTTCTTAATCCATGGAAAGAAACAAGAGCTCTGTGTCTTGGTTTCCTTATCAGTAAAACAGTGATTATAAAGTTACCAGTTTCATAGCCCTGTTCTGAGGACTCAATGGGTTAGTAAAATACTTGGAATAGTTCCTGGCACGCACCAAGTGCAATGTAAGAATTAGCTATCATTAAAGTACCATGGACCTCTGTTAAAGAGATTGTAATTTTCCATTTATTTGTGTGATTCTTTGATGAATGTCTATAGGCCAGTGTATTAGTTAGGGTTGTCTAGAGGGACAGAACAGGAGATAAACATGTATATATGTTTATTAACTTACACAATCACAAGGTCCCATAATCATAGGCCATCTGCAAGCTGAGGAGCAAGGAGAGCCAGTCTGAGTCCCAAAACTGAAGAAGTTGGAGTCGGATGTTCAAGGGCAGGAAGCATCCAGCACAGGAAAAAGATGTAGGCTTGGAGGCTACGGAAGTATTGTCTTTTCACGTTTTTCTGCCTGCTTTATACACCAGCCACACTGGCAGCTGAGTAGATGGTGCCCACCCAGATTAAGGGTGAGTGTGCCTTTCCGAGCCCACTGACTCAAATGTTAATCTCCTTTGGCAACACCCTCACAGACACACTCAGAATCAGTACCTTGCATCTTTCAATCCAAACAGGTTGACACTCAGTATTACCATCACAAGCCCACCCTTTGTCAACTTGAATTCATGCATCTCCTGCGATCATACATAATCTTCAAATAAAGACAAAAATAAGGTCATAATTATGCCTAACATAATATAGCTATCCTTTGTACAACTGGAAATGCACCAATCCCCAACCCAAATACTATTACATAAAGTTAATACTTAAATGCTGATATGAAGTCAATAAATATGTCACATAAAAGAAAAAAGGAAATAAAATGAAGATATTTTCTTAGTACAAGTATATACATTCACAAACATGTTTTTAACAAAAGGAGGAAAAACTCATGACAATTACAGTCCTTGTTTCTGCAGCTGGTCAAGTGGTCATAGCTAGCATTGATGACTACCTTCTTCTACTACTCTTTCTGTATTCCCTTTGCCTTCAGCAAGCACCTCAGCAGATCATGGTTTTTTCCTGGTGGAATGATCCAAACCTTCATTCCTGAACTGTCTGGGTCATTTGTAGTCCTGCCTGGATTGGGCTGTTGCAGTTTCCCATTGACCTTAATCACAGGGCATGGTAATACTAAGAGATGCCCTAAGAGATCTACTGTATTACATGCATCCTCTTCCTTACCTCCATTGTGGAGTAGTAGAATGATTTCATCTTGATACTCCAGGTCGATCACCCCAGCCAACACTGTAACTCCCATCTTAGCCTATTGACTTAAAGGTAGGAGGAGCCCAAAGCATCCAGGTGGCAATCTTAACTTCTAGCTTAATGAAATCATTGCTGTGTCTCCTGGTGGCAGTGTTCCTCCCTCTGGAACTAAGACCTCCAGGCCAGCAGAACATAATGTCATGGGAACAGGAAGCAAAAATTTTGCTAGTGGATCACTAGGGGTGATGGTGAGTGGTGCCACTTCCACTTCTGCCCCCTGATTCCAGGACCCCTGAATCCTGACTATGGGAGAAACAGTTCCATATATTGGACATTGATTCAGAGCATGCACGGCCTACTGGAGAACTTTGCCCCAGCACTGCAAAGTACTGTCACCTAGTTGGCATTGTAATTGTGACTTCAAAAGGCTATTCCACCATTCTATCAATCCAGCTGCTTCAGGATAATAGGGAACATGGTAAAACCAGTGAATTCCATGAGCATAAGCCCACTGCAGCGCTTCTTTACCCATAAAGTGAGTGCCTTGGTCAGAGGTAATGCTGTGTAGAATACCATGATGGTAGATAAGGCATTCTGTGAGTCTGTGGATGGTAGTCTTGGCAGAAGCACTGCATGCAGGATAGGCAAACCCAAATCTGGAGTAAGTGTCTATTCCAGTGAGGACAAACCCGTGCCCTTTCCATGATGGAAGAGATGTAATGTAATCAACCTACCACCAGGTAGCAGGCTGATCACCCCAAGGAATGGTGCCACATCAAGGGTTCACTGTTGGTCTCTGCTGCCAGCAAATTGGGCACTCAGCAGTGGCCATAGCCAGGTCAGCCTTGATGAGTGGAAGTCAATGTTGCAGAGCCCATGTGTAACCTCCATCCTGGCCACCATGGCCACTTTGTTCATGGGACCATTGGGTGATGACTGGGGTGGCTGGGGAAAGAGGCTGAGTGGTATCCACAGAATGGGTCATCCTATCCACTTGATTATTAAAATCCTCCTCTACTGAGGTCACCCATTGTGAGCACTCATATGGGATACAAATATCTTCACAGTTTTAGACCATTCAGAGAGGTCCATCCACATACCTTCCCCAAATTTCATCATCAGTTTTCCAATCATGCTTCTTCCAAGTCCCTGACCATCCAACCAAACCATTGGCCATAGCCCATGAATCAGTATATAATTGTACATCTGGCCATTTCTCCTTCCATGCAAAGTGCACAACCAGGTGCACTGCTCAAACTTCTGCCCACTGGGAAGATTTCCCTTCACTGCTGTCCTTCAGGGACGTCCTAGAGAGGGGCTGTAGTGCTACAGCTGTCCACTTTCAGGTGGTACCTGCATATCATGCAGAACCATCTGTGAACCAGGCCCTAGTCTTCTCTTCCTCCGTAAGCTGAATAGGAAACTCCCCATGAGGCCATCAGTGCAGGTGGGGGAAGAGAAGGCAGGGTGGCAGGAGTGAAGACCATGGGCATTTGAGCCACTTCCTCATGTAACTTACTTGTACCTTCAGAACCTGCTCAAGCCCAATCACATATATACCACTTCCATTTAATGATGGAATGCTTCTGTGCATGGCCCACTTTATGGCTAGATGAGTTAGAAAGCAACCAGTTCATGATAGGCAGTTCAGGTCACATGGTGACTTGATGACCCACAGTCAAGCTTTCAGTTTCCACCAAAGACCAGTAACAAACCAAGAGCTATCTCTCAAAAGAAGAGTAGTTATCTGCAGAAGATGGCAGGGGCTTGCTCCAAAATCCTTGAGGCCTCCACTGTGATTCACCTATGAGGGCCTGCCTAAGGCTCCAAACAGCATCCCTGTCTGCCACTGATACCTCAAACACCATTGGATCTTCTGGGTCATATGGCCCAAGTGGCAGAGCAACTTGCACAGCAGCCTGGACCTATTGCAGAGCCTTCTCCTGTTCTGGATCCCATTCAAAACTGGCTGCCTTTTGGGTCATTCGATAAATGGGTGGGAGTAACACACCTAAGTGAGGAATGAGTTGCCTCCAAAATCCAAATAGGCCCACTAGGTGTTGTGCCTCTTTCTTGGTTGTAGGAGGGGCCAAATCCAGCAACTTATCCTTCACCTTAGAAGGAAAAGCTCAATAGGCCCCACACCGCTGGACCCCTAGAAACTTTACTGAGTTACAAGTTCCCTGAATTTTAGTCAGATTTATTTCCCAACCTCTGGCATGCAAATGTCTCACAATAAGTCCAGTGTGTTTGCTACTTTTTGCTCACTGGATCTAATCAGCATCATGTCATCAATGGAATGGACCAGTGCAATATCTTGTGGAAGCGAAAGGCAAGCAAGTTCTCTTCGAATAAGATTATGACACAAAGCCAGAGAGTTGATATACCCGTGAGGTAGGAAAGTGAAGGTATATTGCTGGCCTTGGCAGCCGAAGGCAAATTGCTTCTGGTGGACCTTATGGACAGGAATGGAGAAAAAGGCATTTGCCAAGTCAATGGCTGCATACCAGGTACCAGGAGATGTGTTAATTTGCTCAAGCAATGAAACCACATCTGGTACAGCAGCTACAATTGAAGTCACTTGGTTAAGCTTAGGATAATCCACTGTCATTCTCCAAGATCCATCTGTCTTCTACACAGGCCAAATGGGAGAGTTGAATAGGAATGTTTTGGGAATCACCACCCCTCCATCTGTCAAGTCCTTGATGGTGGCACTAATCTCTGCAATCCCTTCAAAAATAATGCAATATTGGTTTTGATTTACTATTTTTCTAGGTAGGGGAAGCTCTAATGGCTTCTATTTGGCCTTTCCCACCACAATAGACCTCACCCTACCAGTCAGGGAGCCAATGTGGTGGTTCTGCCAGCTGCTAAGTATGTCTATGCCAATTACGTATCTGGCACTGGGGAAATGACCACAGGATGGGTCCGTGGACCCACTGTAAGTCAGACCTGAGCTAAAACTCCATGAATTACCTGACTTCCATAAGCCCATATTTTAACTGGAGGACCACAATGACATTTTGGGTCCCCTGGAATCAATGTCAGCTCAGAGCCAGTGTTCAGTAGTCCCCAAAATGTCTGATCATTTCCCTTTCCTCAGTTATCCTGGTCAAAGGCCGGAGGTCTCCTCGGGGAAGGACGGGAGAAAGATTAACAGCATAAATTGTCGGTGGTATAATGAGATCCTTCCTTAAGGGGAGCCAGCCTCCCCTTCATTCAAGGGCTTCTGGATCTGTAAACTGGCTCAAGTCTGGAAACTGATTGAGGGGCTGTGATTCTGTTTTGTAATTCAAATTAATCTTTTGTCCATTCGACCTAGAAGTTTTCTGCTGATATAAATTAAGTAGGAATGCAGTAGGCTTCCTATCAATTTCACTCCTAGGAACAACCTAATTAGCCAATGCCAGAGCTCTATATGAGTCAGATTATTCTGATGGCTGCTTTGCCTCTGCTGTCCATTACAGTAGCTATGCCCTACTTGCCTTTGACAGTTGAGTGCCACTACTTGGCCCCTGCCACCTCAAGATCCAATTATTTACACTGTATTTAAATTTTGTAGTGGAGTGACTGTGGTTCCCACTGTTGTATCTGACATACAAAGAAAAGCAGAGCAATTACAGGGTCCTTCAAAGATGCAGGTGCTACCCTCACAAATCTATTTCACAAGGCATTGGTCAAGGGTATACCTTCAGGACCCTCCCAGCTGGGATGAGTAAGTCTAAAGTGACTAATCCACTCCACCATCCCAATCTCCCTAAGCCTTTGGACCCCCTCCTCTATCTAAACCATGGAAGATCAGGCATTTCCAGCTCATTCACAGTGAGCCATCTTTTAATCCATGTTTCATCTAACCAAGCAAATAAGCTATTAGAACCTTTTTTAACTCCACGAGCTGCAACATAAAATGCAGAGTTCCTACTTATGGGCCCAAATCAATAAATTCAGCCTAATCCAACTCCATGTTCCTTCCACCATTATCCCACACCCTTAATATCCACTCCCATGCCTGTTCTTCAGATTTCTGCTTATATAAATAAATTCAAGCAGTTCTTTTCAAGTGTAGCACACCTCCTCAAGGGTCACACTCTCAACCTCACCTCTAGGGGCCCACCCAGACTTTAGTCTAGTTATAGGTCTAGAAGCAAACAGGGGTGTTGGGGGTGGCTCTTGAGGAGAATCAACGTTATCTTGCCTGGCAACTGCCTCAAAGGAGGTCATCACAGTTGCCTCAGGCAACACAGGGTTTATGTCCTCAGGCAAAGGTGAAAAAGCTGATGGCAGCATGGGTCGGGGAGGGGATGTTGCCACTACTGGGCATGGGGAAGCTGTTTCTTCTGACAAAAAGGGTTTATCACAGTTTATGAACTCAGTGTCCCCAGTTTTATCAGGGTCCTCCCACATGTCCCCATTCCAAGTTGCAGGGTCCCATTCTTTTCCAGTCAATGTCCTCACTTTAACAGTAGACACCTGGCAAGGCTGTGCATGCACCTTTCATTGCATGTCAGCCATTCCCATGATAAAAGCTTGTGTGGGGATCTGGCAAGATGGCCAAATAGAAACAGCTCCAGTCTGCAGATCCCAGTGAGACCAACACCAAAGATGGATGATTTCTGCATTTCCAATTGAGGTACCCTGTCCATTGCAGGGTAGGGCATCACCTCACCCGGGAAGTGCAAGGGGCCAGGGACCTCCATCCCCTAGCTAAGAGAAGCTATGAGACATTGTACCATCCAGCCCAGATACTACGCTTTTCCCATGGTTTTTGCAATCTGCAGACCAGGAGATTCCCTCGTGTGCCTACATGACCAGGGCCCTGGGTTTCAAGCACAAAACAGCACAACTGTTTGGGCAGACACCAAGCTGGCTGCAGGAGTCTTTTTTCATACCCCAGTAGCACCTGGAACCCCAGCAAGACAGAACTGTTCACTCCCCTGGAAAGGGGGCAGAAGACAGGAAGTCAAGTGGTCTTGCTCAGTGGGTCCCACTCCCACGGAGCCCAGCAAGCTAAGAACCACTGGCTTGAAATTTTTGCTGCCAGCACAGCAGTCTGAAGTCGACCTGGGGTGATTGAGCTTGGTGGGGGAGGGGCATCTGCCATTACTGAGGCTTGAGTAGGTGATTTTCCCCTCACAGCATTAAGGAAGCCACCTGGAAGTTCGGACTGGGCAAACTCACCATAGTGCGGCAAAGCAGCTGTGGTCAGATTGTCTCTCTAGAGTCCTCCTCACTGGGCAGGGCATCTCTGAAAGAAAGGCAGCAGCCCCAGTCAGGGACTTATAGATAAAATTCCCATCTCCCTGGGACAGAGCACTTAGGGGAAGGGGCGGCAGTGGGCACAGCTTCAGCAGACTTAAATGTTCCTGCCTGCCAGCTCTGAAGAGAGCAGTGGATCTCCGAGCATAGCACTCAAGCTCTGCTAAGGGACAGACTGCCTCATCAAGTGAGTCCCTGACCCCTGTGCCTCCTGACTGAAAAACACCTTCCAGCAGGGGTCAACAGACACCTCATACAGAAGAGCTCCAGCTGGCATCGGGCAGGTGCCCCTCTGGGAGGAAGCTTCCAGAGGAAGGAGCAGGCAGCAATCTTTGCTGTTCTACAGCCTCCGCTGGTGATACACAGGAAAATAGGGTCTGGAGTGGACCTACAGCAAACTCCAGCAGACCTGCAGAAGAGGGGCCTGACTGTTAGAAGGAAAACTAACAAACAGAAAGCAATAACAACAAAAAGAACACCCACACAAAAAACTCATTCAAAGGTCATCAGCGTCAAAGATCAAAGGTAGATAAATCCATGAAGATGAGGCTAAAACAGTGCAAAACTGCTGAAAATTCCAAAACCCAGAATGCATCTTCTCCTCTAAAGGATCACAACTCCTCTCCAGCAAGGACACAAAACTGGACAGAGAATGAGTTTGACGAACTGACAGAAGTAGGCTTCAGAAGGTGGGTAATAACAAACTCCTCTGAGCTAAAGGAGCATGTTCTAACCCAATGCAAGGAAGCTAAGAGCCTTGATAAAAGGTTACAGGAACTGCTAACTAGAATGACCAGTTTACAGAAGAACATAAATGACCTGATGGAGCTGAAAAACACAGCACAAGAACTCTGTGAAGCATACACAGGTAGCTGAATGGATCAAGCAGAAGAAAGGATATCAGAGATTGAAAATCAACTTAATGAAATAAAGCATGAAAACAAGATTAAAGAAAAAATAATGAAAAGGAATAAACAAAGCCTCCAAGAAATATGGGACTATGCAAAAAGACCAAACCTATGATTAATTGGTGTACCTGAAAGTGATAGGGAGAATGGAACCAAGTTGGAAAACACACTTCAGGATATGATCCAGAAGAACTTCCCCAACCTAGCAACACAGGTCAACATTCAAAATCAGGAAATACAGAGACCACCACTAAGACACTCCTTGAGAAGAGCAACCCCAAGACACATAATCATCCGATTCTCCAAGACTGAAATTAAGGAAAAAAAATGTTAAGGGCAGCCAGAGAGAAAGATCAGGTTACCTACAAAGGGAAGCCCATCAGACTAACAGCAGATCTTTCTGCAAAAACTGTACGAGCCAGAAGAAGAGTGGGGGCCAATATTCAACATTCTTAAAGAAAAGAATTTTCAACCCAGAATTTCGTATCTAGCCAAACTAAGCTTCATAAGTGAAGGAGAAATAAAATCCTTTACAGACAAGCAAATGCTGAGGGATTTTGTCACCACCAGGCCTGCCCTAAAAGAGCTCCTGAAGGAAGCACTAAACGTGGAAAGGAACAACTGGTACCAGCCACTGCAAAAACATGCCAAAATATAAAGACCACACTATGAAGAAACTGCATCAACTAATGTGCAAAATAACCAGCTAGCATCATGATGACAGGATCAAATTCACACATAACAATATTAACCTTAAATGTAAATGGCCTAATGCCCCAATTAAAAGACAAAGACTGGCAAATTGGATAAAGAGTCGAGACCCATCAGTGTACTGTATTCAGCAGACCCATCTCATGTGCAGACACACATAGACTCAAAATAAAGGGATGGAAGAATATTTACCAAGCAAATGGAAAGCACAAAAAAGCAGGGGTTGCAATCCTAGTCTCTGATAAAACAGACTTTAAACCAACAGAGATCAAAAAAGACAAAGAAGGGCATTATATAATGGTAAAAAGATGAATGCAACAGGAACAGCTAACTATCCTAAATATATATGCACCCAATACAGGAGCACCCAGATTCATAAAGCAAGTTCCTAGAGACCTACAAAGAGACTTAGACTCCCACACAAGAATAGTGGGAGACTTTAACACCCCACTGTCAATATTAGACAGATCAACGAGACAGAAGATTAACAAGGATACTCAGTACTTGAACTCAGCTCTGGACCAAGTGGACCTAATAGACATCTACAGAACTGTCCACCCCAAATCAACAGAATATACATTCTTCTCAGCACCACATAGCACTTATTCTAAAATTGACCACGTATTTGGAAGTAAAACACTCCTCAGCAAATGCAAAAGAATGAAAATCATAACAGTCATCTGGCACAGGAGAAATATGTAGGCTGGGAGACTAGGCCAGTCTCTCTTTTCACATTTTTCTGCCTGCTTATATTCTAGCTGTGCTGGCAGCTGATTAGATTGTGCCCACCCAGATTAAGGATGGGTCTGCCTTTCCCAGCCCACTGACTCAAATGTTAATCTCCTTTGGCAACACCCTCACAGACACACCCAGGATCAATACTTTGCATCCTTCAATCCAATCAAGTTTTCACACAGTATCAACCATCACAACCAGAGATCAGCAGATCTTTTCTGTATGGCCCCTGTCTTAGTTCAAGTTCAGCCTGCTATAACAAAAATACTGTAGACTGGGTGGCTTAAATAACAGAAATTTATTTCTCACAGTTCTAGGGGCTGGAAAGTCCAGCATCAAGGTACCAGTTGATTTCTGGTGAGGGCTCTGTTCTTGGTTTGCAGATCTTGGTTTGCAGATGGATCATTCTTGCCGTATACTCACATGGCAAGAAAGAAATCATCTGTCTTATCTCTAGACTCGAGTTTGCAGGTCAGAGTTTAAAGAGAACTAAAAGAACACTCGCTACTGCTCTGGTCAAGCCTAACAAATCTTAAGAAGTAAACCCCAAAAGAACAAACTAATTAGTAGTTAATTTCTGAATTAATTAACTACTCCAAAGAATGGAAAAGACATTATCACAGGTATAATACTGTATTCCATATGCTCAAAAATGAAGTACAAAAATGGAAGTTTTTTTTTTTAATTAAAATATGTTCTCTGACCACAACAGAATCAAATTAGAATTCAGTAACAAAATGATCTCTGGAAACTTGCCAAATATTTGGAAACTAACACACTTCTAAATAACCAATGGACAAATGAAAAAAAGCGGGGCGGGGGGGGAATTAGATAGTATTTTGAACTAAAGAAAAATAAAAACACAATATATTAAATAATTTGGGATACTGCTAAAGTAGTATTGAGAGGGAAATTTATAATACTGAATGCCTCTGTTAAAAAAAATGAGAGATCTCAATGAGAGAGCCTAGTTTTGACCATAAACAGAAAAGGAAGACAAAATTAAATGTAATGTAAGCAAAATAAAGGAAATAATAAACAACAAAGAAATGAAAATCAATATAAAAGCCATTAAAACAAAAAATAGAGGAAATTATTGAAACCAAAAGCTAATTCTCTGGGAAGATACGTAAAATTGTTAAACCTCTAGTTAGACTAGTAAGGAAAAAAAAAAAAAAAAAAAACGAAAAGAGACACAAATTACCAGTATCAGGAATGAGGGAAGTGACTTTGTTGCAGTCTACAAATATTGAAAAGAAAATAACAAAATATTTTGAGCTGTCTTCTGCTAATAATGTGAGCAATGTAGATACAAACAAAACATACCTTGAAAGAGACAAAATCCCAAAGCTCATACAAGAATAGATGGCCTAAATAGTTACATATCTTTTAAAGAAACTACCTTGATAGTTAACTTCATACACACATGCACATACACACACACAAAACTTCTGGGATAAATTATTTTACTGATGAATCCATCCAAACATTTAACGAAATAATGCCAACTTTGAAGATACTTTTCTAGAACATTGGAGAGAAAGAATAGTTCTCAATGCATTCTATAAATCCAGCATTACCCTGTCACCAAAACCAGACAAAGCCATTACAATAAAGTAAATCTACAAACCAATATTCCTCATGAACATAGATGCAGAAACTCTAGACAAAATTTTTGTAGATAAAATCTGACAATATACAGAAAAGATAATAAATACTAGTCAAACTGAGTTTTTCCTAGGAATGCAAGTTTCGTTTAACATTTGAAAATTAATGAATGTACATCATCATATTAATCTAAAAAAGAAAAGCAACGTAATCTTCTCCATAAATGCAGAACAACTACATAACAAAATTCAATATCCATTCCTGGTTTTAGAAAAACTCAAAAAACTAGGAATAGAAAGAAACTTTCTGAATCTGCTAAAAGGCATTTAGGAAAAAAACCTACAAGTAGCATCTTACTAAGCAGTAAAAGATTGAATGTGTTCCCCCAACAATCAGGAACAAAAGGAAAATGCCTGCTCTCCCCAGTCCTATTCGAGATTTAACTAGGGTTTCTTTTCACTGCAATAAGACAAGGTAAAGCCATTTAAAGCATCTGCATCAGAAAGGAAGAAGTAAAACTATTTTTATACACAGACTATCATTTATAAAGAAAATCAAATGGTATGTATAAAAAAGCTACTAAAACTATTAAGTGGTCATAGTGAGCTTAGCAAAAATCACAGAATACAAGATCAGTATACAAAAATAAATTATATTTCCAAATCCTAGCAGAAAGAAAATTGGAGATGTAAAATATAAGACCATACTATTTATGATAACATCAGAATATAAAATATTTTGAGGTACATCTGAGAAAAGATGTGCAAGATCTATACACTGAAAACTACAATAAATCACTGAAGGAATAAAATAATTGACACTTTATCAAAAAAGATTTACAGATGACAAGCACTTGATGCCTGACATCATTAGTCACTAGAAAAATGCAATTTAAATGGCAAGGAGATACACTTATGAGAATGGCTAAAATGAAAAAGTTGGCCTAACCAAGTATTATCAAGGATGTGGAGCAAGTAGAATTCTCATGCACTGCTGATGGGGATGTAAAATGATATAACCATTCTGGAAAGTTATTTGGTAGTTGCTTGTAAGTTAAACAGACACATAGCACAGGATTCAGATACCCCACTGTTAGATATTTACCTATGAAGAATGAAATCAGACACCCACACAAAGACTTGTAAACAAATGTTCATAGCTGCTTTACTTGTAATAGCCAAACACTGGGAATAACCCAAGTGTCTATTAACATAATGGTAAAGTAAATTGTGACATATCCACACAGCAGAATACTATGCAGAAATCAAGAGGAATGAGTCATTAATACACACAACATGGATGAACCTCAAAATAATTATCCTGAAAGAAGCCAGGCAAAAATGAGTTCATTTAAATGAATATGATTTCATAAATATAAAACTTTAGAAGAGGAAAATCAATGAATAGTAATAGAAATTAAATGAGCAGTGCCTGGAGAGTATGAAAGGGGACATGCAAAATTTTGGGCATGATGGATATGTTCACTTCCTTGACTGTGGTGCTAGATATACCTGTATCAAAGCTTACATATGGCCAGGCACAGCGGTTCACGCCTGTAATCCCAGCACTCTGGGAGGCCAAGGCAGGCAGATCATGAGGTCAGGAGTTTGAGACCAGTCTGACCAACATGGTGAAGCCCCATCGCTACTGAAAATACAAAAATTAGTCAGGCATGGTGGCACATGCCTGTAATCCCAGCTACTCAGGAGGCTGAGGCAGGAGAATAGCTTGAACCCAGGAGGCAGAGGTTGCTGTCAGCTGAGATCACGCCACTGCACTCCAGCCTGGGCAACAGAGCAAGACTGTCTCAAAAACAAAAACAAAAACAAAAAACCACAACAACAACAACACAACGCTTATATATATGGTTATATATACACACTATACACACATACAGCTTATAGATATAGTTGACCCTTGAACAACATGGGTTTGAACTGCACAGGTCCAATTACACATGGATTTTTTTTTCAATAAATATATTGGAAAAATTTGGGAAAAATTTTCACAATTTAAAAAACTCATAAATGAGCCACTAGAAATATTGAAAAAGATTAAGAAAAAGTCAGGTGTCTTATTAATGCATAAAATATACGTAGATACTAGTCTATTTGATCATTTGCTACCATAAAATATACGCAAATCTATTACAGAAAGTTAAAACTTTCTGGGCACAGTGGCTCGCTTCTGCAATCCCAGCACTTTGGGAGGCCGAGGGAGGTGGATCTCTTGAGCCCAGGAGTTTGAAACCAGCCTGGACTACATGGTAAGACTTCATCTCTACAAAAAATACAAAAATTGGCTGGGCATGGTGGCTCACACCTGTAATCCTAGCACTTTGGGAGGCCAAGGCGGGCCGATCATGAGGTCGGGAGATCAAGACCATCCTGGCTAACACGGTGAAACCCTATCTCTATTAAAAATACAAAAAATTAGCCGGGTGTGGTGGCGGGTGCCTGTAGTCCCAGCTACTCAGGAGGCTGAGGCAGGAGAATGCCATGAATGCAGTAGGCAGAGCTTGCAGTGAGCTGAGATTGGGAGCCACTGCACACCAGCCTGGGCAACAGAGCAAGACTCCGTCTCAAAAAAAAAAAAAAAAAAAAAAAAAAAAAAAAAAAATTAGCCAGGCATGGTGGCACACACCTGTAGAAACTACTCAGAAGGCTGAGGTGGGAGAATCACTTGAGCCCTGGAGGCAGAGGTTTCTATGAGCCAAGACTGCACCACTGCACTCCACCCTGGGAAACAGAGCAAAACATTATATCAAAAAAAAAAAAAAAAAGTTAAAATTTACAAAAACTTTCATACACAAACACAAACCATACATGGCATCATTTGCAGTTGAGAAAAATGTAAACAAATGTAAAGATGCAGTATTAAATCATACTGCATAAAATTAACTATAGTACATACTATACTACTGTAATAATTTCACAGACACCTCCTGTTGCTATTGTGGTGAGCTCAAGTGTTTTGAGTATCCACTTAAAATGCCATGTAATGCGAATCATCTCCACATGAGCTGTGCTCTTTCCAGTAAATTGTGTATCACAATAAAAAGGGATCTCACACGGTTCTTGTGTATTTTTCATTGTGTTTAATGCAATCATGTAAACCTTAATAACCTTAAATAACACCAGTGACACCAAAGGTGCTCCCAAGAAGCAGAGAAAAGTCATGACACTGCAAGAAAAAGTTGAATTGCTGGATACGTACCATAGATAGAGGTTTGCAGCTGCAGTTGCCCAACATTTCAGACAGATGACTCATCTTGTAAACATACAACATAAATTTGCAGTATCAGTAAATGCAGTATGATGCCATAAATGTGCTTTCTCATCCCTATGATTTTCTTAGCAACATTTTCTGTTCTGTAGCTCAGTGGTCCCCAACCTTTTTGGCACTAGGGACTGGTTTCATGGAAGACAATTTTCCACAGACAGAAGCATTAGGGGAGCAAGGAGGATGAGGGTATGGGGGAATGGGGATGATTTCCACATTAAACTATTCCACCTCAGATCATCAGGCATTAGATTCTCATAAGGAGCATGCAACCTAGATCCCTCGCATGTGCAGTTCACAGTAGGGTTCATGCTCCTATGAGAATTTAATGCTGCCACCAATCCAACAGGAGGCAGAGCTCAGGGAGTAATGCTCTCCCAATACTCACCTTCCGCTGTGCAGCCCACTTCCTAACAGGCCCCAGAGTTGGGGACCCCTGCTGTAGCTAACTTTATTGGAAGAATACAGTATATAATATATATAACATACAAAATACGTGTTGATCAACTATTTGTTACTAATAAGGCTTCCAGTCAACAGTAGGCTGTCAGTAGCTAAGTTTGAAGAGAGTCCAAAGTTGAGGATTTTTGGTTGTGCAGGCAGTCCACATCTCTAACCTTTATGTTGTTCATATACAATTGTCAACTGTGTATGTGTGTTTATATTTACATATAGAGATAAACTTCTCAAATTAAACACTTTAAATACTTGCAGTTTCATTTATATTAAGATACCATATGATGCAAAACATTATATACCATAATAAAGATGTTTACTGAGAAATCGGACAGTCAATATCTAAATACTAAGTAAAATGAATGAATCTATGTATGCACCCTTCTCTAGTTTAACAATATTTACCCATTGACTGACTGACTGACTGACTGTACTTTCCACTGTCTTTAAATAAGGATTGTTGTCAGGTTCCAAGATGGCTGAATAGGAACAGCTCCAGTCTGCAGCTCACAGTGTGACTGACGCAGAAGACGGGTGATTTCTGCATTTCCAACTGAAGTACCAGGTTCATCTCATTGAGACTGGTTGGACAGTGGGTGCAGCCCACCAAGGGAGAGCTGAAGCAGGGTGGGGCATCAACTCACCCAGGAAGCGCAAGGTGTCAGGGGATTTCCCTTTCCTAGCCAAGGGAAGCCATGACTGACTGTACCAGGAAAATCAGGACACTGCCACCTAAACACTGTGCTTTTCCAACGGTCTTAGCAAACAGCACACCAGGAGATTATATCCTGGGCCTGGCTCTGCGGGTCCCACGCCCATGGAGCCTTGCTCACTGCTAGCCCAGCAGTCGGAGATCGAACTGCTAGACTGCAAGCCTGGCTAGGGGAGGGGTGTCCGCCATTGCTGAGGCTTGAGTAGGTAAACAAAGCAGCCAGGAAGCTCGAACTGGGTGAAGCCCACCGCACGTCAATGAGGCCCGCCTGCCTCTGTAGACTCCACCTCGGGGAGCAGGGCATAGCTGAAGAAAAGTCAGCAGAAACTTCTGCAGACTTAAACATTGTCACTGTCTGACAGCTCTGAGGAGAGCAGTCGTTCTCCCAGCATGGTGTTTGAGCTCTGAGAACAGACAGATTGCCTCCTCAAGTGGGTCCCTGACCCCTGCATAGCCTAACTTGGAGACACCTCCCAATAGGGGCCGACTGACACCTCATACAGCCAGGTGCCCCTCTGAGACGAAGCTTCCAGAGGAAGGATCAGGCAGCAATATTTGCTGTTCTGCAATATTTGCTGTTCTGCAGCCTCAGCTGGTGATACCCAGGCAAACAGGGTAAGGAGTGGACCTCCAGCAAACTCCAACAGACCTGCAGCTGAGTGACCCATTAGAAGGAAAACTAACAAACAGAAAGGAATAGCATCAACATCAACACAAAGGACATTCACACCAAAACTCCATCTGTAGGTCACCATCATCAAAGACCAAAGGTATTTGAACTCAGCTTTGCACCAAGCAGACCTAATAGGTAGGTTCTACAGTACTGTCCACCCCAAATCAACAGAATATATATATAAACAGAAAGTGACCACATAGTTGGAAGTAGAGCACTCCTCAGCAAATGTAAAAAAACAGAAAACACAACAAACTCTCTCTCAGACCACAGTGCAATCAAATTAGAACTCAGGATTAAGAAACTCACTCAAAACCGCACAACTACATGGAAACTGAACAACCTGCTCCTGAATGACTACTGGGTAAATAATGAAATGAAAGCAGAAATAAAGATGTTATTTGAAACCAATGAGAACAAAGACACAACGTACCAGAATCTCTGGGACACATTTAAAGCAGTGTGTAGAGGGACATTTATACCACTAAATGCCCACAAGAGAAAGCAGGAAAAAATCTAAAATCGACACCCTAACATCACAATTAAAAGAACTAGAGAAGCAAGAGCAAACACATTCAAAAGCTAGCAGAAGGCAAGAAATAACTAAAATCAGAGCAGAACTGAAGGAGATAGAGACACAAAATCTCTTCCAAAAAAAAAAAAAAAAAAATCAATGAATCCAGGAGCTGGTTTTTTGAAAAGATCAACAAAATTGATAGACCGCTAGCAAGACTAATAAAGAAAAGAGAGAAGAATCAAATAGATGCAATAAAAAATGACAAAGGGGATATCACCATCAATCCCACAAAAATACAAACTACCATCAGAGAATACTATAAACACCTCTACACAAATAAATTAGAAAATCTAGAAGAAATGGATAAATTCCTCAACACATACACCCTCCTAAGACTAAACCAGGAAGAAGTTGAATCCCTGAATAGACCAATAACAGGCTCTGAAATTGAGGCAATAATTAATAGCTTACCAACCAAAAAAAGTCCAGGACCAGACGAATTCACAGCCGAATTCTACCAGAGGTACAAAGAGGAGCTCGTACCATTCCTTCTGAAACTATTCCAAGCAATAGAAAAGGAAGGAATCCTCCCTAACTCATTTTATGAGGCCAGCATCATCCTGATACCAAAGCCTGGCATATAAACAAAAAAAGAGAATTTTAGACCAATATCCCTGATGAACATTGATGTGAAAATACTCAATAAAATACTGCCAAACGAAATCCAGCAGCACATCAAAAAGCTTATCTACCAAGATCAAGCTGGCTTCATCCCTGGGATGCAAGGGTGGTTCAACATACTCAAATCAATAAACGTAATCCATCACAAACAGAACCAAGAACAAAAACCACATGATTATCTCAATAGATGGAGAAAAGGCCTTTGACAAAATTCAACAAAATTTTGCTAAAAACTCTCCATAAATTAGGTATCGATAGAATGTATCTCAAAATAATAAGAGCTATTTATGACAAACCCACAGCCAGTATCATACTGAATGGGCAAAAACTGGAAGCATTCCCTTTGAAAACTGGCACAAGACAGGGATGCCCTCTCTCGCCACTCCTATTCAACATAGTGTGGAAGTTCTGGCCAGGGCAATCAGGTGAGAGAAAGAAATAAAGGGTATTCAATTAGGAAAAGAGGAAGTCAATTTGTCCCTGTTTGCAGATGACATGATTGTATATTTAGAAAACTCCACAGTCTCAGCCCAAAATCTCCTTAAGCTGATAAGCAACTTCAGCAAAGTCTTAGGACACAAAATCAATGTGCAAAAATCACAAGCATTCTTATATACCAATAACAGACAGAGAGCCAAATCATCAGTGACATCCCATTCACAATTGCTACAAAGAGAATAAAATACCTAGGAATCCAACTTACAAGGGACATGAAGGACCTCTTCAAGGAGAACTACAAAGCACTGCTCAATTAAATAAAAGAGGACACAAACAAATGGAAGAACATTCCATGCTCATGGATAGGAAGAATTGGTATCATGAAAATGGCCATACTACCCAAGGTAATTTATAGATTCAATGCCATCCCCATCAAGCTACCAATGACTTTCTTCACAAAATTGGAAAAAACTGCTTTAAAGTTCATATGGAACCAAAAAGGAGCCTGCATTTCCAAGACAATCCTAAGCCAAAAGAACCAAGCTGGAGGCATCACGCTACCTGACTTCAAACTACACTACAAGGCTACAGTAACCAAAATAGCATGGTACTGGTACCAAAACAGAGATATAGACCAATGGAACAGAACAGAGGCCTCAGAAATAACACCACACATCTACAACCATCTGATCTTTGACAAACCTGACAAAAACAAGAAATGGGGAAAGGATTCCCTATTTAATAAATAGTGCTGGGAAAACTGGCTAGTCATATGTAGAAAGCTGAAACTGGATCCCTTCCTTACATCTTATACAAAATTAATTCAAGATGGATTAAAGACTCAAATATTAGACCTAAAACCATAAAAACTCTAGAAGAAAACCAAGGCAATACCATTCAGGACACACTCATGGGGAAGGACTTCATGACTAAGACACCAAAAGCAATGGCAACAGAAGCCAAAATAGACAAATGGGATCTAGTTAAACTAAAGAGCTTCTGCACAGCAAAAGAAACTACCATCAGAGTGAACAGGCAACCTACAGAGTGGGAGAAAATTTTTGCCATCTATCCATCTGACAAAGGGCTAATATCCAGAATCTACAAATAACTTAAACAAATTTACAAGAAAAAAACAAACAACCCCATCAAAAAGTGGGCAAAGGATATGAACAGACAATTCTCAAAAGAAGACATTTATGCAGCCAACAGACACATGAAAAATTGCTCATCATCACTGGCCAGAGAAATGCAAATCAAAACCACAATGAGATACCATCTCACACCAGTTAGAATGGCAATCATTAACAAATCAGGAAACAACAGGTGCTGGAGAGGATGTGGAGAAATAGGAACACTTTTACACTGTGGGTGGGACTGTAAACTAGTTCAACCATTGTGGAAGACAGTGTGGCAATTCCTCAAGGATCCAGAACTAGAAATATTATTTGACTCAGAGAACCCATTACTGGGTATATACCCAAGGGATTATAAATCATGCTACTATAAAGACACATGCATACTTATGTTTATTACGGTGCTATTCACAATAGCAAAGACTTGGAATCAACCCAAATGTCCATCAATGACAGACTGGATTAAGAAAATGTGGCACATATACACCATGGAATACTATGCAGCTATAAAAAACGATGAGTTCATGTCCTTTGTAGGGACATGGATGAAGCTGGAAACCATCGTTCTGAGCAAACTATCACAAGGACAGAAAACCAAACATCGCATGTTCTCACTCATAGTAGGAAATCAACAATGAGAACACTTGGACATGGGGTGGGGAACATCACATACTGGGGCCTGTCGTGGGGTGGAGGGATGGGGGAGGGATAGCATTAGGAGATATACCTAATGTAAATGATGAGTTAATGGGTGCTGCAAACCAACACGGCACATGTATACTAACAAACCTGCACATTGTGCACATGTACCCTAGAACTTAAAGTATAATAAAAAAATAAAAATAAAAAAATAAAGATTATGTCCTTATCTCAAGAGAGATGCCCAATAATGCGTCCGATACAGGCATTATTCAGATAGAATGTCATCAACAGCACCTTCTTCCCTCCCTTTCCAGGACAAGGTTGTGTTTTCAGGACACCCCAACCACTACCACAGACACCACTGACTCTATTGCTGATTGCCCTCATTATGAATAAATCCTAAACTGTTCTTCCATCTCTGTGTCACTAGTTCAAGAGTCAAGAGTCAAGGTTCCAGAGAAGAGCAAAGAGTTGGCCAAGCCTGGGTCAAATAATCACCTACCAGTGGCCAGGTGATAGGAAAGGGAATATCTGTTTATCTCTGATTTTTTTTTTTTTTTTTTTGAGATGAAGTCTTGCTGTCTCCTAGGCTGGAGTGCATTGGTGCAGTATTGACTCTCTGCAACCTCCACCTCCTGGGTTCAAGTGATTCTCCTGCCTCAGCCTTTTGAGTAGCTGGGATCACAGGCATGCACCACCACGCCTGGCTAATTTTTGCATTTTTAGTAGAAACGGGGTTTCACCATGTTGGCCAGGCTGGTCTCGAACTCCTGACCTCAAGTGATCCACCTGCCTCGGCCTCCCAAAGTGCTGGGATTACAGGCCTGAGCCACCAAGCCTGGCCACCTTTGATTTTCATAGTGGGAGGTGAGGCAGTGTCTCAAAAAAGGAACCTCTTCCCAAATAGGATGGAGCTTAACAAAGCAGCATGTTCTGCACATGTGCCCCAGAACTTAAAGTATAATAAAAAATAAAGAGTCTACCTGGAAAAGGTACTAATGGAAATCTCATCCTCAGGGAACAAAAGTTGCAGCACACAAGTTCAGGCTGCTGAAAACAATTTAAGGGTAAAGGAAATGCAATTGTATGTACAGCATAATCTGTGTCACTCACATTTTCCTCCAGCCTCTCTCAGAAATTCATGCAGAGATCCTAGCATTGGTAGGAGGGTGGGGTGACCAAGTGGACCCAAGGCCATACCAGCATCCTTGGTCCAGACAGAAACAGCATCAGCTCGAGGGCTGGCACCTTTGCCAGCAGCCATGATGTCCTGGGCAGGCACCACCACCAAGTGAACATCTTCTGCGGACGTTGGTGCCCCAGTCACCATCTGTGGCATCATCGGAACACATGGAGGAGGAAAATGGCAGGAGTTACCCTGAACAAAAGGTTTCATCTGCCAAGCTCACTAGAGGTAACTCCTCGAGGGCTCCTGGAATGATTTAAGAATCGGGCAGCCAAGATGGCTGAATAGGAACAGCTCCGGTCTACAGCTCCCAGCATGAGCGACACAGAAGACAGGTGATTTCTGCATTTCCATCTGAGGTACCAGGTTCATCTCACTAGGGAGTGCCAGACAGTGGGCGCAGGACAGTGGGTGCAGCGCACCATGCATGAGCCAAAGCAGGGCAAGGCATTGCCTCACTCGGAAAGCACAAGGGGTCAGGGAGTTCCCTTTCCTAGTCAAAGAAAAGGGTGACAGACAGCACCTGGAAAATCCGGTCACTCCCACCCTAATACTGCGATTTTCCAAGGGCTTAAAAAATGGTGCACCAGGAGATTATATCCCGCACCTGGCTCCGAGGGTCCTACACCCAGGGAGTCTCGCTGATTGATAGCACAGCAATCTGAGATCAAACTGCAAGGCGGCAGCAAGGCTGGGGGAGGGGCGCCCACCATTGCCCAGGCTTGCTTAGGTAAACAAAGCAGCCAGGAAGCTCCAACTGGGTGGAGCCCACCATAGCTCAAGGAGGCCTACCTGCCTCTGTAGGCTCCACCTCTGGGGGCAGGGCACAGACAAACAAAAAGACAGTAGTAACCTCTGCAGACTTAAATGTCCCTGTCTGACAGCTTTGAAGAGAGCAGTGGTTCTCCCAGCACACAGCTGGAGATCTGAGAATGGGCAGACTGCCTCCTTAAGTGGGTCCTTGACCCCTGACCCCTGAGCAGCCTAACTGGGAGGCACACCCCAGTAGGGGCAGACTGACACCTCACATGGCCGGGTACTCCTCTGAGACAAAACTTCCAGAGGAACGATCAGACAGCAGCATTCGCGGTTCACGAAAATCTACTGTTCTGCAGACACCGCTGCTGATACCCAGGCAAACAGGGTCCGGAGTGGACCTCTAGCAAACTTCAACAGACCTGCAGCTGAAGGTCCTGTCTGTTAGAAGGAAAATTAACAAACAGAAAGGACATCCACACCAAAAACCCATCTGTACATCACCATCATCAAAGACCAAAAGTAGATAAAACCACAAAGATGGGGAAAAAACAGAGCAGAAAAACTGGAAACTCTAAAAAGCAGAGCACCTCTCCTCCTCCAAAGGAACAGAGTTCCTCACTAGCAACGGAACAAAGCTGGACGGATAATGACCTTGACAAGCTGAGAGAAGAAGGCTTCAGACGATCAAACTACTCCGAGCTACAGGAGGAAATTCAAACCAAAGGCAAAGAAGTTAAAAGCTTTGAAAAAAATTTAGACGAATGTATAACTAGAATAACCAATACAGAGAAGTGCTTAAAGGAGTTGATGGAGCTGAAAGCCAAGGCTCGAGAACTATGCGAAGAATGCAGAAGCCTCAGGAGCTGATGAGATCAACTGGAAGAAAGGGTATCAGTGATGGAAGATGAAATTAATGAAATAAAGCGAAAAGGGAAGTTTAGAGAAAAAAGAATAAAAAGAAACAAAGCCTCCAAGAAATATGGGACTATGTGAAAAGACCAAATCTACATCTGATTGGTGTACCTGAAAGTGACGGGGAGAATGGAACCAAGTTGGAAAACACTCTGCAGGATATTATCCAGGAGAACTTCCCCAATCTAGCAAGGCAGGCCAACGTTCAGATTCAGGAAACACAGAGAACACCACAAAGATACTCCTCGAGAAGAGCAACTCCAAGACACATAATTGTCAGATTCACCAAAGTTGAAATGAAGGAAAAAATGTTAAGGGCAGCCAGAGAGAAAGGTCGGGTTACCCACAAAGGGAAGCCCATCAGACTAACAGCAGATCTCTCAGCAGAAACTCTACAAGCCAGAAGAGAGTGGGGGCCAATATTCAACATTCTTAAAGAAAAGAATTTTCAACCCAGAATTTCATATCCAGCCCAACTAAGCTTCATAAGTGAAGGAGAAATAAAATGCTTTACAGACAAGCAAATGCTGAGAGATTTTGTCACCACCAGGTCTGCCCTAAAAGAGCTCATGAAGGAAGCGCTAAACATGGAAAGGAACCAGCCACTGCAAAATCATGCCAAATTGTAAAGACCATCAAGGCTAGGAAGAAACTGCATCAACTAATGAGCAAAATAACCAGCTAACATCATAATGACAGGATCAAATTCACACATAACAATATTAACTTTAAATGTAAATGGACTAAATGCTCCAATTAAAAGACACAGACTGGCAAGTTGGATAAAGAGTCAAGACCCATCAGTGTGCTGCATTCAGGAAACCCATCTCATGGGCAGAGACACATATAGGCTCAAAATAAAAGGATGGAGGAAGATCTACCAAGCAAATGGAAAACAAAAAAAGGCAGGGGTTGCAATCCTAGTCTCTGATAAAACAGACTTTAAACCAACAAAGATCAAAAGACACAAAGAAGGCCATTACATAATGATAAAGGGATCAATTCAACAAGAAGAGCTAACTATCCTAAACATATATGCACCCAATACAGGAGCACCCAGATTCATAAAGCAAGTCCTGAGTGACATACAAAGGGACTTAGACTGCCACACATTAATAATGGGAGACTTTAACACCCCACTGTCAACATTAGACAGATCAACGAGACAGAAAGTTAAAAAGGATACCCAGGAATTGAACTCAGCTCTGCACTAAGCAGACCTAATAGACATCTACAGAACTCTCCACCCCAAATCAACAGAATATACCTTTTTTTCAGCACCACACCACACCTATTCCAAAATTGACCACATAGCTGGAAGTAAAGCTCTCCTCAGCAAATGTAAAAGAACAGAAATTATAACAAACTGTCTCTCAGACCATAGTGCAATCAAACTAGAACTCAGGATTAAGAAACTCACTCAAAACCACTCAACTACATGGAAACTGAACAACCTGCTCCTGAATGACTACTGGGTACATAACGAAATGAAGGCAGAAATAAAGATGTTCTTTGAAACCAACAAGAACAAAGACACAACATACCAGAATCTCTGGGACACATTCAAAGCAGTGTGTAGAGGGAAATTTATAGCACTAAATGCCCACAAGAAAAAGCAGGAAAGATCCAAAATTGACACCCTAACATCACAATTAAAAGAACTAGAGAAGCAAGAGCAAACACATTCAAAAGCTAGCAGAAGGCAAGAAATAACTAAAATCAGAGCAGAACTGAAGGAAATAGAGACACAAAAAACCCTTCAAAAAATTAATGAAGCCAGGAGCTGGTTTTTTGAAATGATCAACAAAAAAGAAGAAAAGAGAGAAGAATCAAATAGATGCAATAAAAAATGATAAAGGGGATATCACCTCTGATCCCACAGAAAAACAAACTACCATCAGAGAATACTACAAACACCTCTATGCAAATAAACTAGAAAATCTAGAAGAAATGGATAAATTCCTTGACACATACACCCTCCCAAGACTAAACCAGGAAGAAGTTGAATCTCTGAATAGACCAATAACAGGAGCTGAAATTGTGGCAATAATCAATAGCTTACCAACCAAGAAGAGTCCAGGACCAGATGGATTCACAGCCGAATTCTACCAGAGGTACAAGGAGGAACTGGTACCATTCCTTCTGAAACTATTCCAATCAATAGAAAAAGAGGGAAACCTCCCTAACTCATTTTATGAGGCCAGCATCATCCTGATACCAAAGCCGGGCAGAGACACAACCAAAAAAGAGAATTTTAGACCAATATCCTTGATGAACATTGATGCAAAAATCCTCAATAAAATACTGGCAAACCGAATCCAGCAGCACATCAAAAAGCTTATCCACCATGATCAAGTGGGCTTCATCCCTGGGATGCAAGGCTGGTTCAATATACACAAATCAATAAATGTAATCCAGCATATAAACAGAACCAAAGACAAAAACCACATGATTATCTCAATAGATGGAGAAAAGGCCTTTGACAAAATTCAACAACCCTTCATGCTAAAAACTCTCAATAAATTAGGTATTGATAGGACGTATCTCAAAATAATAAGAGCTATCTATGACAGACCCACAGCCAATATCATACTGAATGGGCAAAAACTGGAAGCATTCCCTTTGAAAACTGGCACAAGACAGGGATGCCCTCTCTCACCACTCCTATTCAACATAGTGTGGAAGTTCTGGCCAGGGCAATCAGGTGAGAAAAATAAATAAAGGGTATTCAATTAGGAAAAGAGGAAGTCAATTTGTCCCTGTTTGCAGATGACATGATTGTATATTTAGAAAACTCCACAGTCTCAGCCCAAAATCTCCTTAAGCTGATAAGCAACTTCAGCAAAGTCTTAGGACACAAAATCAATGTGCAAAAATCACAAGCATTCTTATATACCAATAACAGACAGAGAGCCAAATCATCAGTGACATCCCATTCACAATTGCTACAAAGAGAATAAAATACCTAGGAATCCAACTTACAAGGGATGTGAAGGACCTGTTCAAGGAGAACTACAAACCACTGCTCAATGAAATAAAAGAGGATACAAACAAATGGAAGAACATTCCATGCTCATGGATAGGAAGAATCAATATCGTGAAAATGGCCATACTGCCCAAGGTAATTTATAGATTGAATGCCATCCCCATCAAGCTACCAATGACTTTCTTCACAGAATTGGAAAAAACTACTTTAAAGTTCATATGGATCCAAAAAAGAGCCCGCATCGCCAAGTCAATCCTAAGTCAAAAGAACAAAGCTGGAGGCATCATGCTACCTGACTTCAAACTATACCACAAGGCTACAGTAACCAAAACAGCACGGTACTGGTACCAAAACAGAGATATAGATCAATGGAACAGAACAGAGCCCTCAGAAATAACGCCGCATATCTACAACTATCTGATCTTTGACAAACCTGAGAAAAACAAGCAATGGGGAAAGGATTCCCTATTTAATAAATGGTGCTGGGAAAACTGGCTAGTCATATGTAGAAAGCTGAAACTGGATCCCTTCCTTACACCTTATACAAAAATCAATTCAAGAAGGATTAAAGACTTAAACGTTCGACCTAAAACTATAAAAACCCTAGAAGAAAACCTAGGCATTACCATTCAGGACATAGGCATGGGCAAGGACTTCATGTCTAAAACAACAAAAGCAATGGCAACAAAAGACAAAATTGACAAATGGGATCTAATTAAACTAAAGAGCTTCTGCACAGCAAAAGAAACTACCATCAGAGTGAACAGGCAACCTACAAAATGGGAGAAAATTTTTGCAACCTACTCATCTGACAAAGGGCTAATATCCAGAATCTACAATCAATTTAAACAAATTTACAAGAAGAAAACAAACAACCCCATCAAAAAGTGGGTGAAGGACATGAACAGACACTTCTCAAAAGAAGACATTTATGCAGCCAAAAAACACGTGAAAAAATGCTCACCATCACTGGCCATCAGAGAAATGCAAATCAAAACCACAATGAGATACCATCTCACACCAGTTAGAATGGCAATCATTAAAAAGTCAGGAAACAAGAGGTGCTGGAGAGGATGTGGAGAAATAGGAACACTTTTACACTGTTGGTGGGACTGTAAACTAGTTCAACCATTGTGGAAGTCAGTGTGGCGATTCCTCAGGGATCTAGAACTAGAAATACCATTTGACCCAGCCATCCCATTACTGGGTATCTACCCAAAGGACTATAAATCATGCTGCTATAAAGACACATGCACATGTATGTTTATTGCAGCACTATTCACAATAGCAAAGACTTAGAACCAACCCAAATGTCCAACAATGACAGACTAGATTAAGAAAATGTGGCACATATACACCATGGAATACTATGCAGCCATAAAAAATGATGAGTTCATGTCCTTTGTAGGGACATGGATGAAATTGGAAATCATCATTTTCAGTAAACTATCACAAGGACAAAAAACCAAACACCGCATGTTCTCACTCATAGGTGGGAATTGAACAATGAGAACACATGGACACAGGAAGGGGAACATCACACTCTGGGGACTGTTGTGGGGTGGGGGGGCAGGGATAGCTTTAGGAGATATACCTAATGCTAAATGACGAGTTAATGGGTGTAGCACACCAGCATGGCAGATGTATACATATGTAACTAACCTGTACATTGTGCACATGTACCCTAAAACTTAAAGTATAATAATAAAATTTAAAAAAAGAAAAAAAAATCACAATCACTGCCAAGAAACAAATAAATTTTTATAGTAAAGAAAAAAAAAAAAGGAAGAAGAAGAATCTTGGTGGGCCTGGAGTTAGGGTAGAGCAGTCAGTGTTGGGGACAGACGAATGCTGTTGTTTTGTGACCCTGTTTTTATTCTCAAGCTGTGTGTACTGAGCAATACAGGTTATACAATTACAACCCCAAGCCAAGAAGCACATAAAACTAGTAAGAGCTCAAATCCAGATCTTTCAAAATGAACTAGAAAACAAAAAAACAAGCAGTTTATTTGCAGAGAACAAGGAGAGTGTCAATCTAAATAACAAAAGAAAGAGGTTCTCTACAAGAAAATTATATTTATTTCGGGAATAAGACATTGCAATGCGCATACATATGCCAAAATAAACTATCTGCATATTCAGGGAGGTAAAGGAAGAACAATGGCTTTTAAAGGAAAAGTGAGAAGGATTACATAGTTGTTTTGAGATAATTATCCTTGGCTACAAGGATCAGTAACAAGGATGATACCACTATGGGCTTGGACAGACAATTGCTGGCAGATGTCCTTGCAGAAGTGTGTTTTGTGTAAAGTTGTAAGGGCCTTTGTGCAAAGTCATGGTTTTTGTGAAGTTTTTCATGATAGGTTTTGTTATCAGGCATTTATGCCTGAAAATCCTCTCCTCATGGCATTCTCTGGTTCCATTTGTCAGGGTTTTGTTTTAACAAGTGACTTCATTTTGATTCTGGCAACTGTCAGAAAAGTAACCAATAAGACGACAAAGATGTCCCAAGGAGAAGGTAAATGTCATGGCTGAGCCGGGGAAACAGAACTCAGGAGATCTGAATTCTACACCCTGCTCTGTCCCAAATGTTTTGCTTCACTGAGAGGCCATCAATCATCAATCTGGGCTGACTTCGTTTCCTATGGCATGAGAAGGCTGGGCTAGATAAATGGCCCACCCTTATGTCCGAGCACCTCACGAATGCTGTGATTCTGCAAACACTGATGTGGACATTTTAATAACCAGCTGGCCTTTAAAATAGCTTTGCAGGGGGTTCAGCCAGCATGGATGCTGCATAAAAACAGCAGCACTGTGTATCCTTCTGGGCTCTGAAAATCTCAATGGTAAAGCAACAGAAAAATTAAATGTGCATTGCATGTAGCGTCAACTGGTTTACCCCAGCAGTTTCAGTTGGGGTAAATAGTCTCCACTTTTGGAAGTTAATGAGTGCCTCTGGCTGAGCATGTTTTTGGTCAAGCTAATTGCACATCTGGAAAAATCATCAGAGAATGTAGATTTCTTAGCTCTTATTCCCACAGAGTGTTTACTAATGGATTTAGTAGCCACAGGTAAAATAATGTCACATTTTAAAAGGGCCCCCATTGAGAGCAACATTTTCAAAGCTTACTGCCTGATTAACATCTGGCTAAACTTCCTCTGTCTCTCTAAGTTTTCTTACTTGCTTGAGTCTTCGTTGCATTATGATTTCACAAAGTTGGATGGGAAATTGATTTTCATTAGCGAATGTCACAGGACTTTCTGGGCTAAGGAGTTGGCACAGGCTACCCTCTATGCGTTCCATTTTATAATTGACAGCTCAGCTGCCTTCCAAGCCTGTTTTATAGCTCTCTTCTAGTATCCATCACTCACCATTCAAACTACACCGAACTATGGACAAAACACACCCTGGGTTTTCCTGCCTCATGCCATTCCTTCTGATATGACTCCCTCCTTACTCCTTTCATTGCTCTCTGGCTATCATATTTCACACACCTTTCAATACCTTAAAGCTTTCAATACTCACCTAAGTCATCTATACAATTAATGCAATTTGATAAAAATCTTGACAGTATTTTTTATGAATCTTGATTCTGAGATTTACATCAGACTATAAATAGCCACATCAATTCTGAGAAAGAATGAGATGGCAGAAATGCCATATCAGATGTAAAGGCATCTATAAAGATATTATATACAAGACAGGGAATGTTTGATTCAAAGACAGACCAACAGTCCAATGGAAGAGAAAAGAAAACTCAGAAACAGGCCCACACTTATGTGGAACTTTGATATATGACAAAGATGGTACTGTAACCCAAAGGACTTTGTTTTAGTAAATGGTGTAGAGACAATGGAGTACCCACACAGAAAAAGAAACAAAATTAGATATCTATTTGACCCTATACACAAAATTCCACATGGATTAAGACATAAATATGGAAGCAAATAATAGCCATTTCAATAATAACCCACTTTTCTAATTTTCATAACAATCATAGGAAATGGATATTATTAGCCAACTCTTAGTAGAGAGTGAAGCTCAGATAAATTATTTACCTACAGTCAAACAGCTAATAAGGAACTGGGTGCCAGTTCCCAAATATCCCAAAGCTTTAATTTTGCCACTGCACATTACCTCTCCCTCTTTTGAATAGTCGTTCAATTATTTGATTGATTTTGAACAGTGGATTTCAGTAAGCAATACTCTATCACTTACCTATCTATCAAGCTATCTATTTACCTACCTACCAACTCATTTTTGTCTTCTGCTTGTATGTACCTTATCTGTTTATCTTCTTGAAGTCAGAAACCATGTCTTGCTCTGTGGCATTTCTGACAGGGGCCTGACATGGGGTCTTAGAAGCAGATCTGACATTCTAATGATCATCTTGATCACACAAAAGACAGATCTAAAAAGTTATCAAAGAAAGAAGAGCAAAATGCTTTCTAGTTCTTACTCTCTTTTCATTCCTTTTCTAGTCTACCACCTGTGATTGACACCTTAAAGATTTGAAGAAATTAATTGGAAAATGCTGATTCAGAGAAATATTTGTAATAAAAAGTTGTCCATCCTTCACACTGACAAAACCAGAAGAATGATGCTTGTCTCTGTCTGTTCAGTTCTCTCACACCCTTCCTTGCATCAGACTTTGATCTAAGTCACAATACAAAAGACCTATTTCACCTCTAACATTTCCCCTTTCTCATGTTAATTAGATTACAGGTATAGCTGTGGCAATCAAAGTCAAATTAAATAAGATAGAAGTTTATTTCTCTCTCACAAAAGAGTCTAAGTATAAACGACGCAGGGTTGCTGTATTAGCTCCAGGTGCTGGAGATCCATGCTCTCTCTTGTTAATTTGCCATCTTCAACATCGGTTACTAACTCAAAGTCAAAGATAGCTGTTCCAACTCCTGCCATCACATTTACATTCCAACCAGCATGAAGGGGAAAAAATTGGCAGATGATATGCATCCATGTGCCCATTAAATTTGGGAGGTTCTCTTAGTAAAATAAGAGTAGAGAAACAAATATTTAAGAAGCAACTAATATCTTACTACATATATGCATGGAATTCATTTAGATTTTGGTGACTACCACTTATTTATGTGTGCCTTTGGTCATGCTTTCTTTCTCCATCTCTCATAGAATAGGGGATTGGAGTTTCACCTTGTCCAGCACTTGAAGCACTCATAAATATAAAGGGAAAGAGAGAAATGTAAGTAACAAATGGCAATGCAGCATGGTAAATGTTAGTGTAGACAGGAAGAAACAACTGATTTGGCCTGATAGCTGGTACTGCCATGATCAGTAAGACGCCACAGAGGAGAGACAACTGCACTGACAGCAAAGCATAGTCATAGCAAAAGGAGCAGCCCATACTAAACCCATGAAGGCATGAAGACACATGACATGATTCACGAACTATAAGAGGTGCCCCTGAAGCTGCAGGGAGAACTTAAGGAGGTGGATAGCAAGAGGTGAAGCTGGAAATGAGGCTTCAGACCATGAAAGGCCATAGGACACACTAAGAAGTTGGGACTTTATCTTTCGTAAGGAAGCAAGAGCAGATTTTCAAGGGTATAGAAGGATATCTGGTAGAAAGTGAGCTTTACTCAACTTCAAACTATACTGGCTACAGTAACCATAACAGCATGGTATGGTACTGGTACAAAAACAGACACATAGACCAATGGAACAGAATAGAGAACCCAGAAATAGGATTGCACCTCTACAACTATATGATTTTCAACAGACCTCACAAAAATAAGCAATGGGGAAAGGATTCCCTATTCAATAAATGGTGCTGGGATAACTGGCTAGCCATATGCAGAAGATTAAAACTGGACATCTACCTCTTACTATATACCAAAATTAACTCAAGACGGATTAAAGACTTACACGTAAAACCAAAAACTATAAAAACCCTGGAAGACAACCTAGGCAATACCATTCAGAACATAGGCAAGGGTAAAGATTTCATGATGAAGATGCCAAAAGCAATTGCAACAAAAGCAAAAATTGACAAATGGGATCTAATTAAATTAAAGAGCTTCTGTACAGCAAAAGAAACTGGTCAACAGAGTAAACAGACAACCTGCAGAATGAGAGAAAATTTTTGCAAACTATGTATCCAACAAAGGTCTAATATCCAGCAGCTATAAGGAACTTAAACACATTTACAAGAAAAAAAAAACCCCATAAAAAAAGTGGGCAAAGGACGCACACAGACACTTTTCAAAAGAAGACATACATGTGGCCAACAATCATGAAAAAAAGCTCAACATTACTAATCATTAGAGAAATGCAAATCAAAATCACAATGAGCTACCATCTAACACCAGTCAGAATGGCCATTATTAAAAAGTCAAAAAATAACAGATGCTGGCGAGGTTGTGGAGAAAAAGGAATTCCTATATACTGTTGGTGGGAGTGTAAATTAGTTCAACCATTGTGGAAGACAGTGTGATGATTCCTCAAAGACCTTAAGACAAGAAATACCATTCGACCCAGCAATCCCATTACTAGGTATATGCCCAAAGGAATAAAAATTATTCTATTATAAAGACACATGCAGGCATATGTTCACTGCACCACTACTTACAATAGCAAAGACATTGAATCAACCTAAATGCCCATCAATGATAGACTGGATAAAGAAAACATGGTACATATACCCCACAGAATACTATGCAGCCATAAAAAAGAACAAGACCATGTCCTTTGCAGGGACATGGATGGAGCTAGAAATCATTATTTTTAGTAAACTAAGACAGGAACAGAAAACCAAATACCACATGTACTCACTTGTAAGTTGGAGCGAAATGATGAGAACACATGGACATATAGAGGGGAACAACACACTTTGGGTCCTATCAGAGAGTGGAGGGTCGGAGGAGGCAGGGGATCAGCAAAAATAACTAATGGGCATTAGACTTAATACCTGGGTAATGACATCATCTGTACAACAAACCCCTATGACACAAGTTTATGTAACAAACCTGCACATGTACCCCTGAACTTAAAAGTTAAAAAATAAAGTGAGCTTTACCTTAACTCAGAACACACAATGCATTATAACTGGGGAGACTGGATACAGAGAAACAGTGTATGAAGATATTTATTAATTTTTGTCCCCCAAACTGTGAACCCTCTTGCTACAGTTGGGGACTCCCATACCTTATGAATTGAAACCCAACTTCCATCAGAAAAGCTGAAAAATGCCAGATACTTTCTCAATCTCCTTTGCTATATGATTGACTCTCAGTCAATCTGATTCACCTGCCCCAGACTTTGACTTGAAAGATAGTTAACAGATAGTGTGACCAACTGTCCCAGTTTGCCTGGAACTGTCCTATTTTAAAACTGAAAGGTTTACAAAGTCCTGCATCCCAGGAAACTCCTCAGTTTGGACTGAGGTCAAACTGGGATGGTTGGTCACCCTAGCAGGAAGCACACAGAAAATATAGTAAGAACTTTAAGAGATACACAAGTTACAAAGCCACTGTAAATGCTGAGGTGAGAAAACACAAGAGTGATCACTGGGACAGCTGTGGGGTGGCAGAGGAAACAGCTTCAACCAATAAAAGGAACAATCAGCTGAACATGATGTTGTGATAATATGGAGAGAGGCTGATGGAAGAAAGGCATGAACCAGGGAAGACTAAGTTTCTGGTTTGAATGTCTGAATGAAAAGGCACCATTAATAAAGACAGTGAAATGGTAAGTTCCATCTTGGACATGCCAAACTGAGGGGTCTATGAACAATATCTACGGGAAATTTTTCACAGGCATTTATCAGTGTTGCTCTGGAGCTCAGAAGATTGATGGAGAAAAATATAGAACATCTAGCGCAGTCCCTGGTACACAGTCTATGAATTTTTGTTAAATATTGTTGAGTATTGAGTTCCCCTCATCAGCACAGACAAAACATGCAGTTCTTTGCACACAATAGACTCTCAAGAAACTTGTGGTAAGTGATTGAGTGATTCATTCCTTAGCTCAGCACACCGGAGGTATCTAGCCTCCAAATACCTTTTTCACTCACTAGTTCATTTGTCAATCGTGAAACACAGAAGTGTTTTCAGAAGAAAAAATGTTCTTCCATTAGTGGGGTCCCACTTTAAATTCTGACCTTTAGGACACTGTGTCTATTTCATGAGTCAAGTAAATATGCGTGACTTCAAGATCTTCAAGATGAATTCTAGTTCAAATCAAAATTCTTATTTTTTACTCTTCAGAAACATTACTTCCCCTAGAGACAGAAGGATTATATTCCAAGCAGATTGGTTGAAATGACAACATTATTATTTTTAAAAGTAAGCCAAGGGTGGACAAAATCAGAATAAAGAAAGCTAGGATGCCTTTTTTAAATTATTATTTTCAATCATGGCTAGTTTGGAGAAATTGCTTAGCGGAGAATAAAAGAATATAATTGGGAATGGAAAACATTTTCTTTTATTTAATCCCATTTTTATAAGTAAATACCAGTAGAGGGAAAAAACTAGTCATGCATTGGTATGGGTGAAGAGTTAATAAAATAAGCGGAGATTTTTTTGAAAGTAGTAAATTTAATAGCTGATATTTATTGTATACCCAGGACAGTGGCACTGTGTTAAACACACAAAAACTGAAACTTGTAAGTTTTAAAATGTGTTATTTACTGAATGTTATAAAATATCCGTAAATGGGTACATGCAGCAATCAAGGGCAGTCAAGATTAAAGCAAAAAAAAGCAGGGAGATGGAAATGAGCAGATAAAGTTTTTAGTCCCGTCCTTCACAACTTGACTCTGTCACGTCCTTCTGGACCTACATGATTGTAGTAATAGACTCCAAAAATAAGCCCAGAGGACTAGAAGTATAAGGGGTCAGACAAATGCCATGTTTCTCTCCTTTCGAAAAAATAGTACTTGTAGTTGGTAATTGTATTCGTTCATTCTCACACTGCTATAAAGAACGGCCTGAGACTGGGTAAATTTATGAAGGAAAGAGGTTTAATTGACTCACAGTTCTGCATTGCTGGGGAAGCCTCGGGAAACTTACCATCAGGGTGGAAGGCAAAGAAGAAACACGCGCCTTCTTCACAGGGCGGCAGGACCCAGTGAGCGAGGGCCAGCAGGAGAAAAGCCAGACGCTTATAAAACCATCAGATCTCGTGAGACGCACTCACTATCACGAGAACAGCACGGGGGAACCGCGCGCATGATCCAATCACCTCCACCTGGTCCCGCCCTTGACATGTGGAGATTATTGGGATTATAATTCAAGATGAGATTTTGGGCGGGGACACAGCTAAACCATATCAGTAATTTAGAAAATGAGCCACCCCAAAATCCCCAAAGGGTGAAAGAGAATGGATATGTCTTCTTTCCCTGTGAGGCTTTCCCCCAAAAAGCAGTCCTAGCAATATCCAAACTTACAGTCCTAGGAAGTTTTACCCTGTCTTTTGAAATAAAGAAAATAACTGAAAGCAAAAGACAAAGGGTGAAGAAAAGACTGGGTACAAAGTTTTCTCCCCTCCTGTCTCTGAGAGCAGCAGGGCTTCCCCCTAGCGAATGCTGACGCAGAGGTGGATTGAGAAAAGGGCAGAAGCCCTGGCCTCATCTTCATGCTGAGGAGGAGTTGCAGGTACCTGAGGGCCCTATGAAGGCACAAACTGGACGATGGTAGAGCAGTTGACTGGCAAAGAGGGCCCCTGGGTGGTGCGATGCAGGCCAGTCCTCTGGCCTGGGAAGCCTCATTAGCATCTCCTAACGCCTGCGCTGAGCGCTGCGCCCGTGTAGCCTGGGGCCTGCCCTGGGGATCAGTCCCAGGCAAAGCCTAACAGCTGTCCCGGAGACTTGAGGGCTGTGTGGCCTTTGCACTCAGTGGGACACTTCAGCTTGGGAGGAAAACAATACTGATGGGTCAGCAGCGGTGAGAAAGAATAGAGGAGGGTGGGGGAAAG
This sequence comes from Homo sapiens, assembly GCF_000001405.40. Taxonomy (NCBI): domain Eukaryota; kingdom Metazoa; phylum Chordata; class Mammalia; order Primates; family Hominidae; genus Homo; species Homo sapiens. The sequence goes on from NC_000013.11 coordinate 97,622,000, forward strand.
GAAGAAAAAACTATGGTAGAAGACGAGGAAAAGGAGCACAGAAGAGCACTGTGCGCAGGACCCAGGTGAGAAGAGCGAGAGCGGCTGCCGTGGGCTCAGAGGAGAGGCGAAAGTGGAATGGAGGGGAGACAGGATTCCGTGGGTCTGTTCCTCTGTCTTGAGCCTTCGCATCATGCTCTCAAAGCTCTTACTCCACATTTTTATTCACAAAAGCCAATGTGAAAATATTGAAATGTGGCAGAATTAGACCTCAGGACTTTTTTCTTAATACTTGCTCCTTTTTTTCTCTGTAGACCACAAGAATCTTACAAACAAAGGTAAATAAAAAACTAGGAGGCTGCAATGAACCCCAAAACGGCCCCTGAGCATTGCCGGTTTAATACTCCGGAGAGCCGATGGCTGCACCACTCATAGAATGGCACGCAGGGAGAGCTAGCTAGTCCCAGCTCAAGTGAGGACTACCACCCTTCACTAGCAGAAGCTACTAACTCTCTCTCCCTGCACGCAGCAGAACGCATGACCGTTCTGTCCTACTGAACTGAGCCACAAAAATCTCATTGGGCTCAGAAGCTGCTGATTACATCGAGACTACAGTGATGCAAATGTTATTGCTATTTTCAGCACCGTGCTAATGAATTATATTTAACTACATTAAAAAACAATGATTTGGAAAGGCTACAATTATGAAATTTAAAATATAAATTGTACCCAAAGGATATTAAACGTGGGCTTTACATTTTTTTCTCTTGCATTCAGAGCCTAACAAATACCCTTTTATCCTCTGAAAAAAATGGGCAAACAGACTGATCAAATAGCTCACTCCAAGCAATTAAAACTTTCCATTACCATACAGAAAGATGTATGAATTGATCCAAAACACTTGTCCCTAATAAGGATATATTAACATCTGCCAACTGGAGTTCAGGAGTTAAATGAGATAGCAGTGGAGGGATTAGGAAGTAATGAAAGAAATGTTTTTCCAATAAGGCAGAAAAAGCCTTATTCATCCTGGAAAAGAAAGTCATGAATACATAACTGTGTGTGTGTGTGTGTGTGTGAGTGTGTACACTTATATAGGTGTGTATGTCTCTGTGTGTGTGAGTACACTTAACTATATATTACATGTATTCATGTATGTTGGTATATACTTACATATATGTATGAATGTATTTGTCTTTGTCCATTTGTGTTGCTATAAGGAATACCTGAGGCTAGGTAATTAGAAAGAAAGGTTTTTGTGTGTCTCGCGGTTCTGCAGGCTGTACAAGAAGCATGGATCCAGCATCTGCTTCTGGTGAGGCCTCAGGAAGCTTCCAATCATGGCAGAAGGTGGAGCAGAGCCAGCATCACATGGCAAGAGAGAAAAAAAGAGAGAGAAGAGGAGCTGCCAGGCTTTTTTCAACAAGCAGTTATTGCGGGAACTAACAGTGAGAACTCTGTCACTTCCAGGAGAAGGGCACCAAGCCATTCATGAGGGTCCACTCCCATGATCCAAACATCTCCCACCTCACCCCGCCTCCAACACTGGGGATCAAATTTCAACATAAGACTTGGTGGGGCCAAGCAAACCTTCTCCAAACCATAGCAGCATTCATCGAAATTCCCATCACACCTCCACAAGGGCAGATTCACCATCAGGGTGATTGCCTTAGTCAGCTCAGGCTGCTGTCACAAAATACCATGGCCTGGGGGGCTTAAACAATAGAAATTTATTTCCCACAGTTCTGGGGGCTGAAAGGTCCAAGATCAAGGTGTCTGGTAGGGCTCTCTTCCTGGCTTGCAGGTAGCTGCCTTCTCCCTGTGTGTCCACATGGCCTTTCCTCTGAGTTCACTGGAGGAAAAAGAGACAGAAAGGTAGAGATAGAAAGAAAAAGAGAGAGAGAGAGAGATCTTCCTCTTCTTATAAAGCCACCAGCCTGATTGGATCAGGGTACTACCCTTATGACCTCATTTAACCTTAATTACTTCCTAAACCACCTATTTTTAAATATAGTCACATTGCCAGTTAGGGCTTTAACAAATGAACTTGAGGGTTTATTTGTATATACCCAGAATGAAGACCATGCAGGCCAGCCTCTTTCTTGCACCCTTCTAAATTTCTGACTTGTATTTGTCATAGTAGCTTTGGGTTTCTCTTAAATAGGGATCTTTCCATATCTCAGGTTGCCAAGTTTTTAAGGTGGTTCCAGATGTATATAAGAAACAGAACATGTGTTAGGGCTACGTTATCATCTACAATATTCAATGTATGCGAGGATATTGAGTGGGGCTTCTCCTGTTACCCTAAAGTTGTTATTAAGGTTCAAAACTGAGAACAAAATAAACTAGCTGCCCCGCATGCTAGATAAGTTGGCAGCAGTCCGCTTCCAGGCCGGAGGGGAAGCACCAAAATGCAGACCAAGTCCCTTTCCTTCCACCTCTCACCCTAGGCAGCTACAAGAGAGGGCAGGGAGGCGAGAGGGTGGGTGCCCCTCCAGGTACCTTCTTCCTGGAGGAAAATGGGAATATTTCCTCCCCCTGGAACCAAGGGACATACATTTCACCAGTTGGACACTATAATGGGTAATTTTGTGTGTCAACTTGGCTAGGCTATGGTGACCAGTTGTTTGGTCAAGCACCAGTCTAGATGTTGCTGAGAGGGTACTTTTTAGATGTGATGAGCATTTAAATCAGACTTTGAGTAAAGCAGATTACCCTTCCAATTATCTGAAGGCCTTAAGAGGTAGATAGAGGTCCCCAGAGTGGAAAGAATTCCACCTCCAGTCTGCCTTGGGACTTAAGGCAGGTTTCAGATTTTCCAGCTCCCACAATCATGTGAGCCAATTCCTTAAAATAAATGCCTCTCCATAGATAGGTAGGTAGATAGGTAGACTGATGAATAGGTTTATAGATACTATACACATACATACATATACACACATACATAAGCACATAGACATCTTATTCCTGTTGGTTCTGGTTCTGTTTATCTGGATGAACGCTGGCTAATGCACGTATCTATTTACCCAGCACAAGTCCTGGTCTGACACCTGAGCAGGGAAAAGGGGAGTTAGAGCTAGATGGAGTGGTGGATTTGGGGGATATGGAGAGAGCAGTTATAGGGGTGCCTCCTGCACTGCAACCTTTGGTGTGGCAGGAGAGTGTGGGTTTCCTTGGGGTGGAGCAGGCACTCTGGAAGACAGCTGGGCTTCCAGTATCTTACTGAGCCCCACACCTGTGCCTCCGGAGAGAACCAGCACTCAGAAGCCTTCCAGAGCTGGGCGGCCACAGTGACCAGCCAAGAAGACAACCGCTCCACTTCCATTAAACAGAACAACTAGCCCTTTCCCTCCTCCTTCTTGCCATGTACCCTGAAAGAGCTGAAGGGAAGTTGTGGGGACCAGCACGATGTACCTCCTCCTCTCACCCATCCACCAGTGCTGCTTCCCAGCAGCGGTGCTCAACCTTGGCCGCACATTAGAATCACTGAGAGGTCAGAAAGAAATACTCCCACTCAAACCCCACCCCAGAATCACTCAGCCTAAGAGAGAACTAGAAGCTCCCAGTTGGAGCCAGGGCTGAGATGAGAACTCTCTTGTTAGTGCTGCAGACAGGACAGCTTCTGCTAAGACAAAGGGAGAAAAGCAGCTTTGAGGTTGGACATCTTAGAGTGAACAAGACTGTGTCTTCAAGTGTAGAATTAGACTGTCCTAGTAACAGTGAATAGAAAGTTATGGAATCTGTGGATTTTCAAGTGTATAGAAACTTATGGAATCTGGCTAAGATGACACCACAGGACTCATTACCCGAAAGAATAGTATCCTTGGGCTGAAGTTAATGGTGAAAATTCAACTGAGCAAGGAGGTTTCGTGTGCATATTCTAGTGAGTTGAGGTGCCTCTGTGAACAGGCTCCAAATGAATCATTTCATGAACTGAGCCAGGCCTCAGGCTGTGCCATTTTTTTCTACAAATGATCTTCTAGAAATCAGATAATCTGATAGTTTGCTCCCTAATAGAGAAGGAGGATTATAAATGCAAAGTTATATGAGTGTTATTCAAGCCAGAAATTGACATTTTCTCCAAAGCCTGTACCCCTAGCACTGCTCTTCTCTAGACAGGCAACTGCTGGGGCCCAGGAATTAAAGCAGGATGTCAGCTCACCCTCCACTCCTCCATCTCCTGCCCCTGCTCCTCACAGCTCCACACCTGCCATGAGAGGATGTTCACCAAATGCCTGTGGGTTCTTCCCACTGCTCACCTGCAGATGCAAAGCTTGGGGTGGGCTCTTCTGCATTTTGCTTTTTTTTCTGCTGAAAATTTCTCCTTCAGATGCAGAGATAAGGAAAAATCTTAAGGGATGGAGAAGGATGGGAACAGCATGGCTTTGCATTGCCTTCTCTAACTTTATCCTTCCTATTTATTTTCTACACATTTTTCCCCTTCCCCAATTTCCTTGTGATTTTTCTTGGCCTTACTGTAATGACAGTGAGTACAGTGATGGACGTGAGAGGAAGGCAGTAAGCTCAACCTTACTTACCAAAATAAATGAGTAATCCGATTGCCCGCCACCAAAAGGCCCCCAAGCACAAGTTTGGTGAGACTATGTCGTGTGTGTATGGTGTGTGTTGTGTGTGTGTAAGGTGTGTGTGGTGCGTGTATGTGTGGTATGTGTGTATGTGTGTGTGTGCACATCCCATGTGCATGTTTTATACTGCATCTTCATGGGAAAAAAGAGCCCTTTAGGACTGAAACTGTATGTGAATCTATATTTGAAGTGGGATAATATTTTTAATATTACATAAATTATGGTGTGATCACTTATATGTAAATAGAGCATTGTTACTTTTGAAATAATATGATGATACAAAGCAAACATTCATATTGGGTAACACTTTATTACTTATCATTTGTAACAATGTGCTGTAACTATAAAGTGCTTCAAACACACTATTAGACTTTGTTTTCACACCCACAAAAAATCCTTTGAGGTAAGAGATAATCTTTCCTTTTTACAAATAAGAAACTGAGACCAAAGAGAGGAGTTACTTGCTATGAAGAGAAGATGCCATAGCAAAGAGAGGACCCAAGAGAAAACCTGTTGATTCCATGAACCAGGACTTTTCCCCGTGCCTTCCAACAAAGTAAGTACTAAGCAAGTATTAGAAGTGTATCTTCAGAAGCATTGCAGAGAAGGCAGCTGCAGGAAAATCAAAGACAAGTTTAGCTAATGCCTTTTCGCATTAGTGTTAGGTCCTCATCCACCTGGAGCAAATCATAATCTCAAGGATATATTCCAGGTGAGAGTCATAGAACTTGTCTCTACCTAGAAATCTAAGAAATAATTTCATCATCCCTGTGACCTCTAGATAAAGCCACACATATGTGCATTGTAGTATAAATGTGCAATCCGCTTTTCTAAAGACCATCAGAAGAGACCCCCTAACTTCTTTCATTGATCAATTCCGATATTTAACATCACTCACTACTGAGCAATTTTTACATCAAAACCTATTTCTTCACCTACTCAATGTGCACTAAAAAGAAGTTGGTCACCATCTTTCTTTATAATTACTTTTCACAGATTTTTAAGGCAGCTACAAAATTTCTCTTCATTCATAAATCATCTTAGCTCTTTTAGTTTTGCTTTTAAGCCTTCACATTTCCAAGCTCTGATTAACTTTGATGGCTCTGTGCCCTGAGTCTCCTCCAAGCGTTTCAGATTACTGCAAAAGCCACAGAAGCCAGAGCAGAAGACGGAAAGATTCAGGCTCCATATGCGCCAGTGGGGAGGGAGCCCGCTGCTGAGGGAGAGCCTATCAGGTTTCCTCCTCTACCCAGAGCCTCTCACTGCTGAGTCATGATGCTCCCAGATACTCTCCAAATGTCACCTACAGCCAGGTCAAGGTCCTTTCTTCCCAGTATTCTCATCAAATTACAGTCTCAAAGTGCCTACTGTAAGAAATGTTGATGGTTAAGACTTGATAAAACCTTATGATTTTAGTGCAAATAAATATAACATTTATGATTCTAATGAGAGTGGTCACATAATAAATGTTCAAAATATGAACAAATGGATGAATAAATTAACAAATAGGCTCATTTAACTTTATGAAAATAACTTATTTGCACCCTTATTTTTGGTGTTTAGTGTTTGTGATGAGCAAATGAATGGACAAATGCATATTCAGGAATAAATTGTTATAGGATAGTTTTTAAAATAGAATGTATTCAGGGCTGTCCTGCAAATATAAAATAAATTTGTCTAAAAAGACTGAGATCATGTCCTTTGCAGGGATATGGATGGAGCTAGAGGTCATTATCCTTAATAAACTAAAACAGGAACAGAAAACCAAATACTACATGTTCCCACTTATAAGTGGGAGCTAAATGATGAGCATATATGGACACATAGAGAGGAACAACACACACTGGGACTTATCAGAAGGTGGAGGGTGGGAGGAGGGAGAGGATCAGGAAAAATAACTAATGAGTATTAGGCTTAATACCCGGGTGATGAAATAATCTTTATAACAAACCCCCATGGCAAAAGTTTACCTATGTAACAAACCTGCACATGTACCCCGACCTTAAAACTTAAAAAATAATAAAAACAAATGTGTCAAAGATTTTATTTAATTCATTAATTAATGAGGAAACCAGTAAGATGCTAAAACTGGTTCAGAGGAGAATTCCAGGGCTGACACATCTATAGACAGAAAATGATGCTTAAATGAATTCACAAATAAGATGTAAAACTGGTTTGTTTAGGAGAGGGGAGGAAAGAAAATCAATTGCATGTATGATATCATGATGAATAAGTGGGGTCTTGTACTCAAGATGCTCACAAAGAATTATGAAACCATTATAATTCAAGATCATGGACACGTGCCATGTGAAGGGAGAATTGGGAAAGGGAGATGTTCTGTTTGCTTGGAAGAAGATGGGAGGATTCATGAAGGAAGTTTTCAGTGATATGTGTCTTGGAGGATTCCAGCTTTCAAAGACACTGTGAGGATATTGTGAGTAAATGCCTGGCTCCATCTGGAAGAATCTAGTGTATGAAGTCAAGGGGTAGGAGACAAACCTTGAAAGGAAAGTCAGGTATGATCATGGAGAACCTTGAGGACCATGCGGAAGGCAGAAAGGAGCTACTGAAGGTTCCTGAGCAGGAGAGTACAACAGGCAAGCAACAGAATAATGACCTCCCCCCACCCGAATGACAAATAAGTTGATAAAGAAGACAATTGACTCCAGGGAGAAGATTAGGCGTTAACTGCAATAGTCCAGGGAAAAGCAATAATACAGACCTAGACAGGGACTACAGTATGGAAAAGGGGAAGAAAGAGACCCAGATGTGTGCTGTCTTCTCACCATTCTCATCATTCTGGCCTTCTAACACCACACCAACAAAACACTGAGATTTCTGCAATTTTATCTCTCCACTGGAGGCTTTCAAACACCAGCAAAGCTATGTTCTTTATGACTCCTCTGTGTCCACACCAACCCTTCAGCTACTTGCTGTCTGACCTCCCTGTCCACAGAGCAAGGTTTCCATGTCCCTGTGCTCCCTCTGAGATCTGATGCCCCCCTGCTTCTCAGCCAATGCTTTTAAATGACATTGAACTACCTGCTAAAGTGCATCCATAAAGTGTTCCTATTTGACCTATGGAGACATCACAGACATTCCAGGTCTGCAGAATGTTCTCCTGTGCTGTTAATGCATGACTAACTACTTTAATCACAAAAATAAGCTCTCCGTCAGTGGTATTTTGCAGGTACAGGTGCAGAGATTTCGGCAGTGGCAGAGTGCACTCAGGCACCATGGCAACCAGTGCGTCAGCCTGGGTACACTTAGCAGCAGCGGAATAGTCAGCTTTCCATTCATTTGAGCTGACAACAAAAACTAGAGATGTTTTGTCCTGCCTTTCCCTCTCAAAGTCGGCTGTCTGGTGAAGAAGGAAATGTTTGGCAGGTCCCAGAGCAGCAGGGATACTGGCCTTTATACCCAGGCAAAGTTAGGATGGAAATTGCAGCCCAAATTGGCTCAAATGCTTTTCTAGTGTATCTGCAGAGGCTGCCATCTGCGGGAGTTCCAGGCAGGGCTGGCTAGGTGTGTGTGCTGCCTGCTGGTGTGTCACTTAATGTTGCTTTAACTTGATTTAAAATCACTTGCCAGAGACTGTCCTTCATCTCTGCCCTGCCACATTTTATGGGCTTATGAAATAATATGCATTTTGTGGTTACTACTGTAGCCCTTGTGTAAGAAATGCCTAAGGTACCAAGATTTTCTTATTTTCAGGGTTGTTCTGGAGGAGATTAAAACTCAACTAAAACTATCTTGAGCAAAACTGGGCCTGTAAAGCCTTATATAACTAGGCAGTCCAAGGGACTCAAATAATATGTTTCCATCTCCCTACACCTTTCTCTCTCAACACTTGGCCTAATGTCCTCCTAATCCTTGTGGTTTGTATAAGCGCAGGGCTTGGCCATAGAAAATTCTGGGCTTAGAGTTCCACATTTGCAAACCCATAGCAAAAGGGGTGCATCTTTCTGCTGGTGCATGCATAGAAAATCCCAGGGAAGGGCTCTGATTAGCCTGTCCTGGGTCACATGTTTATCCCCAATGAGAACTATGAGGAGCGAAGCAGGTAGGGTTCCTCACACTGTGGTCAGAGGAGTGAATACTGTGATCTGCATCCCCAGAGATACAACAAGAAGGAGAGAGGAAAAGATGGTCACCACATCAAAACAGTAGCTGAAGCCGAAAACGTAGAAGATTTCTCAACTAGCTAGCACTTCAGGATTCACAGAGTGCCCCACTTGCAAATACACTGATCATAACACTGTGGGGTTTCCCATGTCCAGGGTGCACCATTCACACTGTATGCTATGTCATGGCCTGCCAGGCCTGCCCTGCACATTGAATGCTGGGGGAAGTTACCCCTGAAGTTGTGCAATCTCAGGGCTATGTCTGGTCACTCCCAGAGGAATGAGAAGAAAAGTGGTGTCAGGAGCTGAAATTAGATCAGAGACCAGTGCATCCACAGAACTACAGAGATGAAAGAAACCAAAGGTCTAAGAGATGGGAAGTCGTCAGGCAGTGTGCTGGCCTCGGAGGCAGGGTAACAGCAACAAGAGTGTGAAAGGCAGCCTGGCTAGGACAGTCACTGTCTGCTCTCTGGCATCCCCTTTATTTCTGGATGGACATCAATGTCTCTGAATGAACAGGACGTAACTCCAGCTAGAGGAATTGTGCCTGCAGGGGGGCTTGTGTCCCAGCTGAGGCAGGAATAGAAGAGGGAGAACAGGTGTTCTTGCCCTTGTCAGGGTAGCTGTCCCAGTAGAGGTTATGATATGACTCCTGGCAGCCTTGAGCCTGGCAGGCAGAGCTGCATGGTGGTGAGTAGGCTGCGTCCCCTAGCGGAAGGCAGGCTGATATTCAGCTGGGACACAATACCATGGCCCTGCCAGTTATTGACTCCTGCCATGTCCATTCTGATTGATCAGTGCCTGTCCCAACCACTTACCAAATATTTTTCCTGTCTCCCTGATTCTGGGTGCCTTTGTCCACTACCTCTTCTTATTTGCTTCTACCAGAAGCTCTCTCTTCTTTTTCTAGGATTCCAATTGCACTTATGTTAGACCTTATTACCGCATCTCAAGTATCTCTTACACTCGTTTCTATCTTTCGATTCTTTTTCAGTGTTTCAGTCTGAGTATTTTCTTCCAATCTTTCCCTTAGTTCAGAGGTTATTACCTCTGAAAACAATGTCCAATTTTCTGTTAAACCTATTACCCTCTCTTTTTGTGGTAAAATATATATAACGTAAAATTGACATTTTAACCATTTTTAAATGTACAAATCCATTACTCTTTTAGTTATTGTATTTTTTAATTCTATAATTTTTATTCAGTTATTAAAAAATAATTTTCATTTCTCTTTCTCAATCTTGTCTTTTAAATCCCTAAAAATATTAAGCATAGTTATTCTAAAGTCCATGTATAATATCTTTACTTGTTAGATTCCTCATAAGTCTATTCAATTTTGTCACATTTCTCTGGGTTTATGGATCAATACTTGTCTCCAAATGCCAGATTATCTGTTTTATACTAGGAAATACATACTAAAAATGGTAAAATAATTTGAGGCTCTGGTTGATTTCATCTTCCTCCAAAACAGACTTACCTTTGCTTCTGGCAGGCAACCAAGAAGTCTGACAATAACAATGTTGGTAAAGATAATAAGTGTTAGTGAAGCAATAAGAATACATACATTTGCAAAACAATTGGCATTTCTAGAAATGTTGACTTTTGACCCCTCATACAAATCCATTTTATAAATGAGAATACCAAGGCCCAAAAGGGTTAAATAATTGGCCCAAGACAACATTGCTTTACAGGCCAGGACCCAGAGACAGACCTTTACCTATTTTTTTTAATTTGTATTTTTATTTTAAGTTTTCTGGTACGTGTGCAAATTAGTTACATAAGTAAACATGTGCCATGGTGGTTTGCTGTACCTATCAACTCAACACCTAGGTATTAAGCCCAGCATCCATTAGCTATTTATTCCTAATGTTCTCCCTCTCCCCAACCCACCCCCAACAGCCCCCAGTGTGTGTTGTTCCCCTCGCATGTGGTCCTATTATTCAGCTCCCACTTATAAGTAAGAACACGCAGTGTTTGATTTTCTGTTCCTGCAATAGTTTGCTGATAATGGCTTCCAGCTCCATCCATGTTCCTGCAAAGAACATGATCTCATTCTTTTTATGGCTGCATAATATTCCATGGTGTATATGTACCACATTTTGTTTATCCAGTGTGTCACTTAGGGGCATTTGGGTTAATTCCATGTCTTTGCTATTGTGAATAGTGCTGCAATGAACATATACATGCATGTAATGCATCTTTGTAACAGAATGATTTATATTCCTTTTGGTATATACCCAGGAATGGGATTGCTGGATTAAATGTTATTTCTCGTTCTAGATCTTTGTGGAATCACCACACCATCTTCCACAATGGTTAAACTAATTTACATTCCCACCAACAGTGTAAAAACGTTCCTTTTTCTCTGCAACCTCACCAGCATCTGTTGTTTCTTGACTTTTTAATAATCGCCATTCTGACTGGGTATGAGATTGTATCTCATTGTGGTTTTGATTTGCGCTTCTCTAATTATTATTGATGTTGAGCATTTTTCATATGTTTCTTGGCCACATGAATGTCTTCTTTTGAGAAGTGTCTGTTCATATGTTTTGCCCACTTTTTAATGGGGTTGTTTGATTTTTCTTGTAAATTTGTTTAAGTTTCTTGTAGATTCTGGATATTAGCCCTTTGTCAGATGGATAGATTGCAAAAATTTTCTCCCACTCTGTAGGTTTCCTGTTCATTCTGATGATAGTTTCTTTTGCTGCGCAGAAGCTCTTTAGTTTAATTCAATTCCATTTGTCAATTTTTGCTTTTGTTGCAAGTGCTTTTGGTGATGTTTTTCATGAAATTTTTGCCCGCGCCTATGTCCTGAATGGTACTGCCTAGATTTTCTTCTAGGGTTTTTACAGTTTTTGGCTTTACATTTAAGTCTTCAATCTGTATTGAGTTAATTTTTGTATACAGTGTAAAGAACTTCACCCATTTGATAGCAAGGCCTATGCTCTTTTCCTTACTACCTTGTCTCCAAAGTTTGACTGCAAACAATCCAGGTTAAATCACATCATGACTTTCTTTTCTCCTCATCTTTTAGAAAGTCCATATCCCACTAGACCAATTCCTTGGGGCCACTATTTATAGTAATGTACTACCTATCCATTATTTGCTACCCTATCCTCATTGTCTGGAACGGGGCCTGAAACATAATAAAAAATTATTGGTTGAGTCTATTGCCCAAGGATCCCTGTAATTCTCAAGAACCAGAGGCATCTACAACCATCTGTCTGAATTATCCAATCAGACCAGGCTCCTCACCATAAGGTTCACTGGCCAACTACTTTGTAGGATGAGGGGTCTTTTTTGCCCAGTACTCATGAGTCATAGATAAGGGTCTGGCTGAGAGTAGCAAAGTTCCTGACAAGTGGGGTGAAATTATTTTTCTCTTGATAGCCCTCTACAGCAACAGGAAGGTCCTGGCCTGGGGCTTTAGCAACCAGAAAGGATGGGCATAATACCATACAAATCTATCCAAACTTTCCTTTTCAATAGGGCCTCACTGATCAATGTCACCATCAACCTTCTCAAATCTAGTTATTTCCCTCCAGTTCATACTAACAAGGAAGTTCATTTTATTTATTTATTTTTCAAATCCTACTTCCAAGCAATAAATTTCAGAGTGATTTTTAAAGAGCACTATCTTTCACTCCACCTCTAGTACAAGCAAAATGCAGCCATTGGGCATTTATGGCAGCTCCCAAGCCCATCTCTCAGTTGGCTCTCTGTTGTCCAGGTGGCTTCCATCTTTCCCCCAGTGCTGTGAAGAGCTGCCCAAGCCTTAAGTCTCCCACAGTGGGTGTGGGAAGCTGGGATGGAGCTAGAACAGGAACCCATATGGGAAACAGGAAACTGACTCCCCCATTTTCTCCCTAGCTTCAGCAAGAACTTACCAGGGATGGGTACATTCCTCCAGCAGGGCTGGACTATCTGATACTTTCTGAAAGTCTGTTCTCCCAAGGCCTCTGCTACCCACCACCCACCCCCAACCACAAGAGGATGTATTAGTCCATTCTTGCATTGCTATAAGAAATGCCTGAGACTGGGTAATTTATAAAGAAAAGAGGTTTAATTGACTCACGATTATGCAAATTGTACAGAAAGCATGGTGCTGGCATCTGCTCAGCTTCTGGGGAGGCCTTAGGAAACTTACAATCATGGCAGAAGGTGAAGTGGGAGCAGGAGCAAGAGAGAGAGCAAGGGGGAAGGTACTACACACTTTTAAACAACTAGATCTTGCCAGAACTCACTGACTATCACAAGAACAGCAGCAACGGGATGGTGTTAACCATTCATGAGAAATCTGCTCCCATGATCCAATCACCTCCCGCCACACCCCACCTCCAACATTAGGGATTAAAATTCAATGTGAGATTTAGTGAGGACACAGATCCAAACCCTATCAGAGAATATTTCGGAAGAGCCAATCACTCACTGGCAAACTTCAGTTCTAAATAGGAATCAAAGATTTTTTCAGTAAAATAAATAATAAGAAAATGTTTTACTTTAATATAACTTGATAAATAGGTAAAAGACAGGAGCAGGAAGAGGGCCTTATAATTCCACTACCACCTACTAAAACGTAACAACCGTGACAGATATGACCGATTCCTTCTATTTCTTACTATGCATTGTACATACTCAAGATCATCCTGTGTATACGGTTTTATAATTACTTTTTTGGCATAATATTATTCATTAGTATTTTCCAGGCCATTAAAGAATGTTTATTAATACCTCTTTAATGCCTTTATAGTACTGTAGAGGTAGTGTAATTTTCTTAATGGTTCCTAATATTTGATAGTTTCAAATTTTTATCCCTATAGTAATCTTTATTAACTACTTGGCACTCTGTTCTCATGCCTCATAGCTCAATAATTTTTTAAAGACTTTGAAGTGCCAGTATCATCCTTTCAGCAGAGCTGAGGAATCTGATTACAGTTTTCTCATGGAGAAGGAGTCTCACACTTTTTTTTCGTTATAACACATTTTTCCTGCTTTACATATTTCCCCTCTTGCAATTTTTCAAGATCAGCCTTGAACTGATTTTAAATACGTTTCTCTGTGGCCAGGTATTCTTGTGCTATATTCTAATCATCTTTATGGACATTTTGGAATTATATCAGATTTTAAACAAGAGCTATTTAGGAGATTTATGAAGAGCTGGTACTCCTGCATGGACAACTTTACTTGGTAATTATAAGAAGAAACTTTAATTTTGGAAAATGTAGTTAGTGTTCCTTCCCACCCCCACAGCCAGATCTATCTTAGCATGTCACTTTGAAGCACAATGAAAATATTCTTAACTGCTGTAGAATGGACTTGAGCATGCTGGACACAGTAAATTGGGCATCTGTCAGGTGAAAGGTACAGGCCCAGAAACTGTCTTCCCTTGCACACTGAGATGTGGCTCTTATGTTGAATCCAGCACATAGAAATTTGCTGAGAGGTGCTTTCTAGGGGATGGGGATATCAGCTGCAGACATTTGCAACGTCTTCCTGTGGGCAGATGCACAGGGACCATCTTACACGGCTGTGCAACTGAAATGCATCTGACCTGCAATGTCGAATGATGAGAACCCAATACCCACTCTCATATATGAGCGCCAGGCTGGGAAGGCATCAAGCAGCTGGGGATTCCTAATCCTAACCCATCCAATAAAAGTCAAGTAAGGGTCTTACCATGTGCTAAGCTCTGTGCTAAGTGGGAGCTACAGAGATGACTGGGGCATGGTACCTGCCGTCACTGAGCTTACAGTCTTATGGCAAAGAAAAATATGCAAGCAAATAACTGCAAAGGGTGTACCTCATGATGTGAGTGGTAGGTTCTTAGTGCAGTAGGAGACAACAGAAGCAATGATCTCTACTCAGCAGAGGCAAGTAAACACTGAACAGAGAGGAGGCACTTGATTTGCCTCTCGAAAGATAAGCACAGACCTGACAGATTAAAATGGAAAATAAAGAAGTTCAGGAAGAGGGAATAATAGTAATAGAATTTGTTGAGCATTTTACTATGTGCCAGACTTCTCTGTAAGTCTTTTTTGCATATTATCTCATTTAATCCTCACAACACTACAACAAGGCAGATTCTATTCTCACCTTCACCTCTAAATGAGCCAAAACAGAGAGGAGATAAGCACCTTGCCCAAAGTCATACCTGTAGAATCTTAAACAGCAAGATGCATTCAGGTAACTGTCATTATTTCAATATTGGTGGAGCGTGGAGTCCAGTAGGCATGGAGCCAGACCTCAAAGAGCCTTGAATATTATGCTAAGAGGTTGGATTTTAATCCTGCAGGCTATAAAGAACTAAACATTTAAAGCTTCCAAAAGACAGATCTGATAGGAAACCAATTTGGAGTCAGGAAGCCAATTTAGAGTCAGGAAGCCGATTTGGAGACTATTAAAATAGTCCTAGCAGAAAGAGATGAGCTCTTCAGCTAAGGCTGAGAAAGAGAGGGCAGAAGTCAGAGCAGTTAAGGAGATGGGGAGCTGCCTTTCTGGTTCCTGTTCCTCAGGGTATGTGGTTTCCTCTGCAAGGTCCACATGCAGCCAATAAAATCTGCATGTGACCTATTTCCCAAGGAATTGGGACAGGAAACGGGGAGGTGTGGCATCTGCAATGTCCGCACTCCCTGACTCAGGTGTCTCCTAAGCGTGTGCAACCCGCAGCAAGGACTTTCCACTGCTGAGGATGACGGTCCCATTCTCTAGGAGCCCAAAGGATGAACCAGGCAGAAGATGCCACTCTCAGGCCTAGGATCCCCCATGCCTCTGTCACAGCCACCCAGACACACTCAAGTTGGTCCAAGACTGGGATGTGGCTTTGGAAACATCCTCCCACTTTTTCTCTTCTGTCCTTCAAGACCTGCCAAATAATAGGGACATAAAATGGCATAGGATGAGAAACAGACCTCGTCCTATTTCTGTTTCTTCTCGGTTTATTGTAACTACTGCATGGAACTGTAGCCTACATTCCGTGATTGTTCCTTCAAGAAAAACTAAAACTCAGCTGTGTTAGAGAATTCTAGGGTGTGTATCATTTGTCTTTCTTTTGCTGAGTATATACAAGAGAGCTTTATGATTAACTGATTATAAAAAGGAGAAAGTTTCATAATTGGGTTTTATAGAGCTGTGGATTTTGCATTAAGTGGTTTACTGAAAAAAGTTGGAAACATTGATTCGAGACATTAGACCACTCTGATTAAATTTATGGTACATGGGGGAAGATTGGAGCCAATTACAGGATTAAGAGTCCACACTGGTGATGTAATTCTACCTAAAATATGGCCTATCTGGTGATTACTTTAAAACTCTTGACCCTGGTTTTTCTACTATATACTCATTTCTTCAAAAATTGTCCCCACTGGGAGTAATTGGCACACTTAGCTTTCTAGAACAGAAGTGAGATTCAAGAACTCCTTTAACTATCCATTTTTGGACAAGTTCATGGAATACTGTATCATTTTAAATCTTATTATTTGTAACATTTAACTATGTGAACGTTTTTAATGTCTGGCAGTAGATAATTTTAAAAGGTGATTGGCATATTTATAGAATGGAATATTATACAAACATATAATTGCATTGTTTCAAGTCTGCTAGATTACTTATGAAATGCTCATAACATAATGTTAAATGGAAACAAAACAAGTTACATAACACCATATTCAGTGTGATCCCAAATATATGAGATTGTGTAAGTGTACGTGTGGATATTTGGGGGCCAAGCATTCTGGAATAAACTCTTACAAAATGTTTGTAGTGGTTATCTCTGGAGATGGTTTGATAGTACATTTCTGGGTTTTTTTAATTAATTTATAATTTCCCAAAATTTTGGAATTTTCTACGATGAATTAACATGTCTTTGTTCTTTTATAATTCAGAAAAAACATAATTTTGTAAATGACTTTTGTCCTTCAAAGTGGTTCTGTTGGAGACTGCACAATTATCACAAAGATGCTGTCCTTTGTTCATTTTTGTAAATTACTCCCAAATCCAATCCAAAGCAATGTTTTTACTTTATAACTACATTTCATTGTTTTTTCTTACTTTTAAAAATGTTCTTATGCTGTTCACTCATCCACTTTGTTCTATATCCTTGGCTTCAAATATTTAGTGGATTCCAAATATAAAATGTGCCTTCTTAAGACAAAAATTTACTATTCTGAGGATATTTGAAAGACTGTATAAGGGCTCTGTATTAGTCAGTTGAGCCACCATAACAAGATACCATAGACTAGGAGTGTGAAACACAAGAAATGTTACTGGAGAGAGTCTCGAATGGGATCCGGCATGGCTGGATCTGGTGAGGACTCCTTTCCTGGCTTGCAGAAGGCCACCTTCTCACCATGTCCTTACATGGCAGAGACACTGAGAGAGTAACAGAGAGATAGAGAGCACTCTGGTGTCTCTCCTTCTGAGAACACTAATCCTATCAGAATGGGGACCTACATTGGCCTCGATTGGATCTCCTAGAGAAAGCCCTGGAGATGACCTCATTTAACCTTAATTTCTTCCATAAAGACTGTATCTCTAAATACAGTCACATTGGAGGTTAGTGCTTCAACACATGAATTTGGGAGGAACACTATTCAGCCCACAGCATGTTCTGAAAGTATTTCCAAATGAAGAGTTTCCAAAAGTTTTTGAGCATTTGTTGCCATAAAGCATATTATTTGTCCATTTTCACACTGTGCAGACAACACCACTTATTTTGATGAACAAGTTTCCAGGGACTTTGTTTTGTGGAATGATTTATGATCAATTCTGCTGCAATGCTTACTTCTTAAACACAAATTAGCTCATATCTGATTGTGAAATGAAAGAATGATGTTTGTGTCCAGAAATTTTGTGACTGCTTCTGTCATTTTCCTGAGCACATTTTTTTTTCATGCAATCAAGTGCAAGCTTTCTCCAAAATAAGGAAAAGGCCTTAGAAATATATGAAGACGTAAAGACAAAAGCTTAAAATCCTACAGAAGTTACTTTAGTGCAAATCTGGCTGCTTTAGAGACTTCATAAACAACCACATTTATTTTAAACCTATTTGGGGAAGCTACAACTACAGATGAAAAGGCTGCAAATATATTTTCTCCATGTTAAGAAAGAAAAGGATGAAGAAAACTTTGCCCTGAATTAAATTTTAATGTTGATGAAAATTGTCACTATTAGAAATGAACCACACATAAGTTCCAGGGCTTTGGGCTGCAAAGGACCAATACTAGGTGCACAGGCCAGCATGCAGTTTTCACCAGGCTAGTGTTTTATTGGATTATTATTGCTTTTATCTATCTTTGGTTACAAAGTGCTATTGATTTTGAGGGATCCTCCTAATCCCATTTTCCTCATAAATCCTATTATTTTTAATCTGCAATTTTGCAGAAGACATGGTTTTTTGCAACATATATGGAGTTTTTGCAGAAGTGCCAATACGTCAAACATTTTATGCTAATAAAAAAACTGATTAATTACATCACTGTATAATCCTCCCTCCTGACTCCTTTCAAAACTCAACTCTTTTGAAAGATTTCCTAATCACCTGTCTGCATCCCCACCAGTTCAATTGCTAACACCCCCCACCGTGTCTTTTACTTCTATTTTATGGTGCCCTCCACAGTTTATTAGATTTCTTTCTCAGTGAATTCTGAGTTCCATGAAAGAAAAAAAAAAAACCTATTCTATCTTTTAATCCCAGCACTTGATTGTGCAGAGCTACTGACATTCATTGAGTGACATTAGCCAGATGGCAGGAGTCCAGCTCTGAGTGTAGGGACCCTGCAGGTTGTACTAACCACTGCATTCCTAGCATATAGCATATAGGACGCTCAATAGACACGTGTCCACTGAAATGGGTGCCATGAATGAATGAAGTGACAGCCTCTGTACTGTTTATACCATCTTCCCACAGACCTGCTTTCCATATGTTAACTTGGTGTTTTTCACCACACCTAAGAGCTGGCAAGATCAAGAAATATTTCCATCTTGGATATAAGAAAATTGCCCTGTATACAGTTAAAGGGGCTAGAGAAGCCCACAGTCAGAGCAGTCACAGACAGGGCCTGGACGAAGGTCTGCCAACTTTCAGGCCATGACTCTTTTTGTTCAGGCTGAGTTCTCACCTTATTTTTTTTTTTTTTTAACTTTTGCATCAAGTTCCTATACCCCAGATTCAGCTTCCTGCTAGACTATATAAATGATTTCTGGCACTGGCATACCTATACACACACACACGCCATCATCCTACTTTTTCTCATGCTATTTTTAGACGGGATATCATTCATATGTGATGTCTAAATTTTTCTAAATCTGCCTAGGGGTTTAAAGAAAATGTCTGCGACACACAGACTGCCTAGTTCCTAAGTATTAACTAGCAGTTCCTTCCAACCTCTTAATGAAACCCATCCTCTTTTGACAATCTCTCTCATAGACTCAAGATTTCGGGGTTCCAGGTTTTGGCAGTTGTTCATACTCACCACGCTGCTTCCATCTCAGAACTTTTGCACATACTGTTCCCTCTGCCTGGAAAGCATCCTCACTCAACTCTTAGATCTTCCTCAAGCCCCTCCTCTGGAAAGCTTTCTGTGACCTCTACAATCACACTGATTTCCCCTATGTTAGGTTCTCATAGCACAATATACCTCTACCTTGGGTCCCTTGTCATAGATGCAATTTTACAAGGATGTTTGTGAGTCATTGATGGATATCTGCAAGGTAGCAGACTCTATGCTGGTTTTTTCCCAAGTACAGAGCTTGGCACATTACTGCCAGGTCCATCCTGGCCTCATCTTCTTGTTCACTTCACTGTGGCATCCCAGCCACCACCTGAGTGCCCTTTCTGGTGCTAGCCTCAGTACCTGGATCCGTTTTGTCCAAACTGTTCTTAAATAATGTCTGAGCTGCATGCTTTTTTCTGTTGTAATCCTCTATTATGCCACAGGAGCCCTATTAATGTGATGATGAGATGTGGGGAAGGAGAAGTGCTCAATAGTCCTATAATTAGGGCCCGGTTTTCAGATGAGCTTGTGTTCTCGGGCTGTAACCTTCCCAAGCACTTCTCAGTTTTGCTTCTTTTGTTTCCTACTGCCTTTTCCCACCTCCCACCATGAAAACCAGAGGGTGCTGAAGGTGGGTATTTCCTTTCCCCATGTCAATCAGTCTTTTGTGAAACCCCCATAGTTGAAGCACTGGTAAAGTATAATAGTTTCTCTTGAGAGCAGATCTCTTTAAAACAACAGCAACAACAACAACAAAAACCACAGAATTTTCTGGATATAATTCAAAAAGGTTATTTTTTTTTTCTCACCTGCTGGAAAGACAAAGGGATTTTTTTTTCTTCTGATTTTCACTATGAGAACCTTGTAGGGCTTTTGGAGGTAAAACTCACGGAAGAGTAGGACCCCACCTCACCCTACACCTGGACCCCAAGGCGTTTTTAACTCTCAGGCTTGTTCACAAGGAGCCTTGAGAAATTCATCAGTTTGAGTTTAGCTTTTTCTACCCTGGTCCTGGTTCCTGAAGAGTTTTCTGCTCTGGGGCTTCTGATCTGGTAAGCTGTGATTCTCTCCATCTGCCTTTGTCTCTTCAATCTTAGGGACAGCATTTTGCCCTGTGACCTCACTTCTCTGATGGATAGTGTCAGGCCTCTGAGCCCAAGCTAAGCCATCCCCTGTGACCTGCACGTACACATCCAGATGGCCGGTTCCTGCCTTAACTGATGACATTCCACCACAAAAGAAGTGAAAATGGCCTGTTCCTGCCTTAACTGATGACATTGTCTTGTGAAATTCCTTCTCCTGGCTCATCCTGGCTCAAAAGCTCCCCCACTGAGAAACTTGTGACCCCCACTCCTGCCTGCCAGAGAACAACCCCCCTTTTTCCTTTACCTACCCAAATTCTATAAAACAGCCCCACCCCATCTCCCTTAGCTGACTCTCTTTTCAGACTCAGCCCACCTGCACTCAAGTGAAATAAACAGCTTTATTGCTCACACAAAGCCTGTTTGGTGGTCTCTTCACACGGACGCACATGACATTTGGTGCTATGACTCAGATGGGGGGACCTCCCTTGGGAAATCAATCCCCTGTCCTCTTGTTCTTTGCTCCATGAGAAAGATCCACCTACGACCTCAGGTCCTCAGACCGACCAGCCCAAGAAACATCTCACCAATTTCAAATCCGATCAGCAGCCTCTTTTTACTCTCTTCTCCAACCTCCCTCACTATCCCTCAACCTCTTTCTCCTTTCAATCTTGGCACCACACTTCAATCTCTCCCTTCTCTTAATTTCAATTCCTTTCATTTTCTGGTAGAGACAAAGGAGACACGTTTTGTCCATGGACCCAAAACTCCAGCACCGGTCACGGACTGGGAAGGCAGCCTTCCTTTGGTGTTTAATCATTGCAGGGATGCCTCTGTGATTATTCACCCACGTTTCAGAGGTGTCAGACCACGCAGGGACGCCTGCCTTGGTCCTTCACCCTTAGCGGCAAGTCCTGCTTTTCTGGGGGAGGGGCAAGTGCCCCAATCCCTTCTCTCCCTGTCTCTACCCATTCTCTGCTTTTCTGGGGGAGAGGCAAGAACCCCTCAACCCCTTCTCCTTCACCGTTAGTGGCAAGTCCTGCTTTTCTGGAGGAGGGGCAAGTACCCCAACCTCATATCTCTGCGCCCAGATCCCTTATTTCCGTGCCCCAATGTCTTATATCTCTGCGCCCCAATCCCTTATTTCTGCGCCTCAACCTCCTATATCTCTGCACCCTGATCCCTTATTTCCATGCCCCGACCTTGTATCTCTGCGCCCCGACCCCTTTCCTGCTTTTCTGGAGGGTAAGAACCCCCGAACCACTTCCCTCCGTGTGTCTGCTCTCCCTTTTCTTTAAACTTGCCTCCTTCACTATAGGCAACTTTCTACCCCCCATTCCTCCTTCTTCTCCCTTAGCCTGTGTTCTCAAAAACTTAAAACCTCTTCAACTCACACCTGACCTATAACTTAAATGCCTTATTTTCTTCTGCAATGCCATTTGACCCCAATACAAACTCGACAATAGTTCCAAATAGCCAGAAAACGGCACTTTCAATTTTTCCATCCTGCAAGATCTAAATAATTCTTGTCGTAAAATAGGCAAACGGTCTGAAGTGCCTGATGTCCAGGCATTCTTTTACACATTGGTCCCTTCCTAGTCTCTGTGCCCAATGCAACTCGTACCAAATCTTCCTCCTTTCCCTCCCGCCTGTCCCCTCAGTCCGAACCCCAAGTGTTGCTGAGTCTTTCTAATCTTCCTTTTCTACAGACCCATCTGACCTCTCCCCTCCTCGCCAGGCTGAGCTAGGTCCCAATTCTTCCTCAGCCTCCACTCCTCCACCCTATAATCCTTTTATCACCTCCCCTCCTCACACCTGGTCCGGCTTATAGTTTCATTCCTCGACTAGCTCTCCCCCACCTGCCCAGCAATTTCCTCTTAAAAATGTGGCTGGAGCTAAAGGCATAGTGAAGGTTAATGCTCCTTTTTCTTTAACCGACCTCTCCCAAATCAGTTAGCGTTTAGACTCTTTTTCATCAAATATAAAAAACCCAGCCCAGTTCATGGCTCGTTCGGCAGCAACCTTGAGACGCTTTACAGCCCTAGACCCTAAAAGGTCAAAAGGCCGTCTTATTCTCAATATACATTTTATTACCCAATCTGCTCCCGATATTAAATAAAACTCCAAAAATTAAATTCCGGCCCTCAAACCCCACAACAGGATTTAATTAACCTCGCCTTCAAGGTGTACAATAATAGAAAAAAGTTGCAATTCCTTGCCTTCACTGTGAGACAAACCCCAGCCATATCTCCAGCACACAAGAACTTCCAAACGCCTGACTGCAGCGGCCAGGCATTCCTCCAGAACCTCCTCCCCCAGGAGCTTGCTACAAGTGCCGGAAATCTGGCCACTGGGCCAAGGAATGCCCACAGCCCGGGATTCCTCCTAAGCCGCATCCCATCTGTGTGGGACCCCACTGGAAATCGGACTGTTCAACTCACCTGGCAGCCACTCCCAGAGCCCCTGGAACTCTGGCCCAAGGCTCTCTGACTGACTCCTTCTCAGATCTTCTCAGCTTAGCAGATGAAGACTGACACTGCCTGATCGCCTTGGAAGCCTGCAGGACCATCACAGACGCTCTAGGTAACTCTCACAGTGGAGGGTAAGTCCGTCCCCTTCTTAATCAATACGGAGGCTACCCAGTCCACATTACCTTCTTTTCAAGGGCCTGTTTCCCTTGCCTCCATAACTGCTGTGGGTATTGATGGCCAGGCTTCTAAACCTCTTAAAACTCCCCAACTCTGGTGCCAACTTAGACAATATTCTTTTAAGCACTCCTTTTTAGTTATCCCCACCTGCCCAGTTCCCTTATTAGGCCAAGACACCTTAACTAGATTATCTGCTTCCCTGACTATTCCTGGACTACAGCTACATCTCATTGCCACCCTTCTTCCCAATCCAAAGCCTCCTTTGTGTCCTCCTCTTGTATCCCCCCACCTTAACCCACGAGAATAAGATACCTCTACTCCCTCCTTGGCGACCGATCATGCACCCCTTACCATCTCATTAAAACCTAATCACTCTTACCCCACTCAATGCCAAGATCCCATCCCACAGCACGCTTTAAAAGGATTAAAGCCTGTTATCACTCGCCTGCTGCAGCATGGCCTTTTAAAGCCTATAAACTCTCCTTACAATTTCCCCATTTTACCTGTCCTAGAACCAGACAAGCCTTACAGGTTAGTTCAGGATCCGCACCTTATCAACCAAATTGTTTTGCCTATCCACCCCGTGGTGCTGAACCCATATACTCTCCTATCCTCAATACCTCCCTCTACAACGCATTATTCTGTTCTAGATCTCAAACATGCTTTCTTTACTATTCCTTTGCACCCTTCATCCCAGCCTCTCTTTGCTTTCACTTGGACTGACCCTGACACCCATCAGGCTCAGCAAATTACCTGGGCTGTACTGCCTCAAGGCTTCACAGTCATCCCCCATTACTTCAGTTAAGCCCAAATTTCTTCCTTATCTGTTACCTGTCTCGGCGTAATTCTTATAAAAACACACGTGCTCTCCCTGCCAATCGTGTCTGACTGATCTCTCAAATCCCAACACCTTCTACATCCTAGGCATGGTTAGATACTTTCGACTTTAGATACCTGGTTTTGCCATCCTAACAAAACCATTATATAAACTTACAAAAAGAAACCTAGCTGACCCCATAAATCCTAAATCCTTTCCCTACTCCTTTTTCCGTTCCTTGAAGACACCTTTAGAGGCTGCCCCCACCCGAGCTCTCCCTGACTCATCCCAACCCTTTTCATTATACACAGCCGAAGTGCAGGGCTGTGCAGTCAGAATTCTTACACAAGGACCGGGATCGCGTCCTGTAGCCTTTTTGTCCAAACAACGTGACCTTACTGTTTTAGGCTGGCCATCATGTCTCCGTGCTGCGGCTGCTGCCGCCCTAATACTTTTAAAGGCCCTCAAAATCACAAACTATGCTCAACTCACTCTCTACAGCTCTCATAATTTCCAAAATCTATTTTCTTCCTCATACCCGACGCATATACTTTCTGCTCCCCGGCTCCTTCAGCTGTACTCACTCTTTGTTGAGTCTCCCACAATTACCATTGTTCCTGGCCCGGACTTCAATCTGGCCTCCCACATTATTCCTGATACCACACCTGACCCTCATGACTGCATCTCTCTGATCCACCTGACGTTCACCCCATTTCCCCACATTTTCTTCTTCCCTGTTTCTCACCCTGATCACACTTGGTTTATTGATGGCAGTTCCAACAGGCCTAATCACCACACACCAGAAAGGCAGGCTATGCTATAGTACAAGCCACTAGCCCACCTCTTAAAACCTCTCATTTCCTTTCCATCGTAGAAATCTATCCTCAAGGAAATAACTTCTCAGTGTTCCATCTGCTATTCTACTACTTCTCAGGGATTATTCAGGCCCCCTCCCTTCCCTACACATCAAGCTTGAGGATTTGCCCCCACCCAGGACTGGCAAATTAGCTTTACTCAACATGCCCCGAGTCAGATAACTAAAATACCTCTTAGTCTAGGTAGACACTTTCACTAGATAAGTAGAGGTCTTTCCCACAGGGTCTGAGAAGGCCACCACGGTCATTTCTTCCCTTCTGTCAGACATAATTCCTTAGTTTGGACTTCCCACCTCTATACAGTCTGATAATGGACCAGCCTTTACTAGTCAAATCACCCAAGCATTTTTTCAGGTTCTTAGTATTCAGTGAAACCTTTATATCCCTTACGGTCCTCAGTCTTCAGGAAAAGTAGAATAGACTAATGGTCTTTTAAAAACACACCTCACCAAGCTCAGCCACCAACTTAAAAAGGACTGGACAATACTTTTACCACTTTCCATTCTCAGAAGTCAGACCTGTCCTCAGAATGCTACAGGGTACAGCCCATTTGAGCTCCTGTATAGACACTCCTTTTTATTAGGCCCAAGTCTCATTCCAGACACCAGACCAACATAGACTGTGCCCCCAAAAAACTTGTCATCCCTACTATCTTCTGTCTAGTCATACTCCTATTCACCATTCTCAACTACTCATACATACCCTGCTCTTGTTTACACTGCCGGTTTACACTGTTTCTCCAAGCCATCACAGCTGTTATCTCCTGGTGCTATCCCCAGACTGCCACTCTTAACTCTTGAAGTAAATAAATAATCTTTGCTGGCAGGACTGTGCTGAATCTCCTTAGGCACTCTCTAATCAGATGTCCTGAGTCGTCCCAATTCTTAGACCTTTTATACCTGTTTTTCTCCTTCTCTTATACCATTTAGTTTTTCAATTCATATAAAACTGTATCCAGGCCATCACCAATAATTCTAAATGACAAATGTTTCTTCTAACAACCCCACAATGTCATCCCTTACCACAAAAGCTTCCTTCAACTTAATCTCTCCCACTCTAGGTTCCCACGCTGCCCCTAATCCCGCTCGAAGCAGCCCTGAGAAACATCGCCCTTTATCTCTCCATACCGCCCCCCAAAACTTTCACTGTCCCAACACTTTACCACTATTTCATTTTATTGTTCTTATTAATATAAGAAGACAGGAATGTCAGGCCTCTGAGCCCAAGCTAAGCCATCATATCCCCTGTGACCTGCATGTACACATCCAGATGGCTGGTTCCTGCCTTAACTGATGACATTCCACCACAAAAGAAGTGAAAATGGCCTGTTCCTGCCTTAACTGATGACATTGTCTTGTGAAATTCCTTCTCCTGGCTCATCCTGGCTCAAAAGCTCCCCCACTGAGTACCTTGTGACCCCTACTCCTGCCCGCCAGGGAACAACCCCCTTTTTTCCTTTACCTACCCAAATCCTATAAAATGGTCCCACCCCATCTTCCTTCGCTGACTGTCTTTTTGGACTCAGCCCACCTGCACCCAGGTGAAATAAACAGATTTATTGCTCACACAAAGCCTGTTTGGTGGTCTCTTCACACGGACGCGCATGACAGATAGAAGAAGAGTTGTTGATTTTTCAGTTTGTTCAGTTTTTTCCTCATTGTTCCAAGTCCCTCTTATACTTGACCAGAAACCAGAAGTCTAGTTTCCCTCAACAACCCCCGCCCCCGCCCACAACACGAGCAATGGCTTTCTGCTCAGTCCTGGTTGACTTCCCTTCCTGCGTCTCTACGGAGGTCCCACCATGCTACACATTCTGTCCCTCCTGGGCTCCATAAGGATAAACATCAAGTGACTCAGGAAGAAATATTTTGTGGTTGATATATTTTAAAACGGGCTATCTGACTTTCTAGATAAGCAATCACTCAAAGTTCATATTTTAAGAGGCCTACATTTCTTTTGTGGATTTTTGTCATACGTCACGTAAGTAATTTGAGATAATTATTTATATAGAAATAGCCTCAGGTGATAACAAGGACTTAGAAACGTTTATAAGAGCCTCTTTGTTAACGAGGACAAATGAAAAGAAAATGAAGACAGACAGCAGTGTATGTGTCCGCACCTCTGTGTGTGAGTCAGTCAACAGTCTTTGGAACATTCACTGCCTGAGAACACAGATAGGCTCTGTAGGAAATTACTAATGAGTTTGCCATCTAATCAGAAAGGCAAAGCCTACAGGAACAATTGCATGCAAAGCTTTCATCACACAGAGAATGAGAATACCCACAGAATTAGCAAAGTGAAAGATTAAGAACACAAGAAGGATGAAAGGCAAAAACAGGGTCTTACCTGAACCTCTGGGGAGAATGAAGCCAAGAGGAGCTGAGATGGGTGGATGCCTCTCAAACACCAGCCCATGGTTTCCCTTGCACATCTATTTCCCCCTGTTGGTTCCCTCTCCCCTCCACCCACATCCTAATTAAGCCATTTTCTGCTCCTGGCCTCAGAGGAAAGGTGTGACTTTGAGCAAAGGAGAGGGTAAAAAAGAATCCTTTGTCTTTTGGGTTCCAAAGGCAGATGCCTCTAGAGAAATATAAAGCTTGGACAAATTGCCCACAGGGAGTCAGAGAGGACATTTTCTCCTTCTCAGGCTAGAAAAAGATTCTCTAGACTTGTGGAAGATAAAAGAGAGAGACAGACAGTGAGTATATATGTCAGCATGTCTGTGTTGCATGGAGTCTGTCAACAACAGGAAGAGAATATTGGCAGTTCCCAGAGGGAAGTTCTTGGGTCCTGCCTCCTGGTTAGGGTCTCATGGGGACAGCAAAACCCACGAGAGGATTGGTGAGACCCAGTGGTAGAAGAAACTGATCTCTTGGCCCAGATTGAGACCCAAGAAAGAAGCAAGGCTCTTGAAAGGGAATGGATCTGCACAGGAATCAACAGAAGACCCAATGAATAATCGATGTTTCTGTGGACTGATGCCATGAAGGAGCAGATGTTCCCCTTCCTATCGTGCCTTGCACTACTTAAGCCCACCTATATACCCACCTGGAAAGGGAAGGAAAGACTCACACTGAGTATTTCCACTCTTCCCAGAAGAAAGGGGATCTATATTAGAATTAAGTTGAATTACAGAAAGGTACAAAATGTGTTTGTCTATTTAGGTCCAGAGTCACCCTACTAGAGAATATTTGGAAGAGTTTGGATTATCTAAAATTTATTGCATGTCTATTATGTGTGAGGAACTCAGCTAAGTACTTTCCTCTACTTAATGTTCACCACAATCCACCATGTAAAAAGAAATCAAGGCTCAGGAAATTCAGGTAGTTTGACAAGATTACCAAGTTATTGAGTGGCAGGCTAAAACCCCAGCCATCGCCAGATAACAAAGCCTGTAGAATTAATCTTTGGTCTATTCTAACTCCTACTGGAGAGCGAGATATGCAGTTGGTCCTCTGTATCCATGGGTCTCACATCCATGGATCCTCATGATGCCACTTTATGTGAAGGACTTGGATTTTAGTATTTTGAGGTGGTGGGGGCTCCTAAAACCAATCCCCAGTGGATCCCAAGCGTCAGCGGCAATGGTTAAATACTCCATCCCTGCCTTCACTGAGTTTACAATCTAGAATGAATAGGAGGAGGAGAGTCCCCGAAGATATTAACCCAGTCCTTGTCAAGAAGACACAGGAGCAGTATGGATTGTCTTTTATCTTCATGAGAAGGGAATCTCAGCTAGAGATGGGGGACAATCAGATGTAAATTCTCTCCTTCAAAACAGGTAGTATTGGTTTTGGAGTCAGTCAGAGTTTAGTGCAAACCTGGGCTATGTCATGTATTAACTCTGTGGCCTCAGGCAGTTAAGTAATCTAGCTGATCTTCACTTTCTTTATCCTTAAAACAGGAACAATAATATTCATTTCACAGTCAATGATATCATACAGATAAAATATTCTGCCTAATAGATGGTTGGTGATCAATACACATTAGCTCCTTTCCCCTCCCTCCAGCACAAAGCATCCTCAAGAACTACGACCCCATCCTGAGTCATTCCCAGTTCAAGAATTCCCAGTTTGAGATGCCAGGTGAAACTTCCAAGATGAAGTCAAACCCAAGCTTCTCCTGTTCTCTGTCAGAGAGACATAGCCTGCCTTTGAACCAAAGATGACTTGGACTGTGCAGAATTTTTTGAATTTACTTCAGATTAAAAGAGTCACTCCATGCTGGATGCACTGTCTGGCTATGACTGAGGAGGCCTCTGAACCCAAAGCCCTGGCCATCATCTATCTCTTACAGACACTGTTCTCAGCTCCCCTATACAGAGACAGAGGGAGGGGGGATTCGAACAAAGAGAAAACCCCCTGTGTGGCGGAAAAGTGGCTGCTTATATGAGGAGGCTGGAGGTTGTGGTGTTTGATTTGCATAGGGCTCAGGGGTTTGGTTTGACCAGGCTTGTCACTCACGTAGCCCATGAAAAAATTGGCCATCCCACCCTAGCCTTTTAATATGCAAATGCAGTGTGCCATGATGCTCTACACACGTGGGGCTATGTGGGGGTGGCCATGTTGCCAGGCACATGTGGGGGCAAGGGCAAGAAGAAGAGGGCAGGAATCGCCATGTTTGGGTGGACCCAGTTTCTAATGACTGTCATTTGCATATCAAAGCTTGCCACTGGCTCCAGGAGCCAGGGCTTTCCTGCTAGACAAGAAACACGTTTCTGGGGCTGCTTTAAAAGAAATGAAAAGGACCCCTTTTCCTCTCTATCTGCCTAAAATAATTTCTTAGTAACTCCTATAACACCAGGAGGGATAGAAAGAGAAATGAGAGGTGGTCTTTGTCCTCTAGAAGGTCACAATCTGAAGCAGGAAAAGGATATTCATAAAAATAACTGACAAAAGTAGACTGATAAATTATACAAGAGAGAGAGAAGGTATGATAAAACATGGATTCATACTCACTAGAAAGGGTGTAAGGGAAGGTTTCTTAGAATAACTGAAATTGGAAGTAGGCCATGAAGGATGGCTGTGACCAAATATTATGAGGAATCGGAGAAGAAGGCAGAGTAGAAGGACATTGCAGAGCAGATGGACTAGTTTAAGCCAAAGCAGGTGATTGGATAGCTCATAGTGTGCCCAGGGATAAGATGGGGCCAAAATTCATGTGCAGTAGTGTCTTAGTCCATTTGTGTTGCTATAAAGGAATACCTGAGGCCAGGTAACTTATAAAGAAAAGAAGTTTATTTGGTTCACAGTTCTGCAGGGTGTACAAGCAGCATGGCACCAGCATCTGCTTTTGATGAGGGCCTCAGATGGCTTCCACTCATGGTGGAATGGAAGAGGAGCCAGCGTGTGCAGACCACATGCTGAGAGAGAAAGCAAGAGAGAGGGCAAGGAGGCAACCAGGCTCTTTTTAACAACCAGCTCTTGCAGGAACTAATAGAGCAACACTCACTGACTGCAATCCCCCAGTCTCAGGGAGGACATTAATCTATTCATGAGGGATCTACCCCCAGAACGAAAACACCTCCTGTTAAGCCTCATCCCCAACACTGAGGATCAAATTTCAGCATGGGATTTGGAGGGGACAAACAAACCAAACTATAGCAAGCAGGAAATGGCCACAGATGGACGAAATATGGAGGACTTCTAATGCCAAACAAGGAGCCGAGAGTGTATGTTACCTGGAATGGAGAGCCATCACGGATTGTTCTGTAAAATGGTAAAAACTAAATGGCTGAGTGGAGGAAAACACCATTACTACTATATGTTATAACTAGTGCAAGTAAGTGCATCTTTCTAATACATGCTAAGGAAGTTTTCACTCGTGTCCATGTGAAGAGACCACCAAACAGGCTTTGTGTGAGCAATAAAGCTTTTTAATCACCTGGGTGCAGGCGGGCTGAGTCTGAAAAGACAGTCAGCGAAGGGAGATAGGTGTGGGGCTGTTTTATAAGATTTGGGTAGGTAAAGGAAAATTGCAGTCAAAGGGGGGTGTTCTCTGGTGGGCAGGGGTGGGGGTAACAAGGTGCTCAGTGGGGGAGCTTTTGAGCCAGGATGAGCCAGGAAAAGGAATTTCACAAGGTAATGTCATCAGTTAAGGCAGGAACAGGCCATTTTCACTTCTTTTGTGGTGGAATGTCATCAGTTAAGGCAGGAACCGGCCATCTGGATGTGTACGTGCAGGTCACAGGGGATATGATGGCTTAGCTTGGGCTCAGAGGCCTGACAGAAGTAGTATAATTAGGATAGAACTTTGGCTTATGTCTCTGAATTTAATACTTTTTCCCGCTAATCCAAATCTAATGGTTATCAACTCTGGTTCCAAAACAAAACTACCTGAAGAATGTTACACACACACACAAATTACCTATGTCTGGATCCCACTCCTGTAAACTCTGAGTTATTGGGTCTGGAATGGAGCATGGGCATTGGTAATTTTTTAATTCCCCATGGTGGTTCTCATGTTCAGGCAAAGTTAAAACCCATAAAGTGTGGTCCTTGGACTCGTAGCATCAGAATCATCTGGGAGCTTTTTGAAAATGCTGAATCTCAGGTGCCCACCCAAACCTACTGAATCAGAATTTGCATTTTTAACAAACCCCCAGGTGGCTTGCAAGCATATCGAAATTTGAGAAGTGCTTCTGTACACAACTACCTACCCATTCCCCAACATTGCCAAGCCCATTTCAGCCCGAAAAGGGCAGAAGGAGAAGCCCCAAAGATCCAGACATGAAATTGTCACTGAATCACATAAGAAAAACATTAAACTTATCTCAAATTTGCCAGGTCAGAGCTTCACTACATGATACCAAATGACTGATGAGAGAGAAAAAGGGGAGTAGGAAGGAGCATTTGTTTAGGTGGGAGAAATTCCTGACAGAAGCACTAAACCCCAAAATAATTCTGAGGCAGTTGGGGTCCACAGAAGCCTTTGATGGTCGAGAAACGCTCCCAGAGAGGTGGCTGTGACTTAGCGCATGTCCCTGACACAGCAGCGTAGGCTCGCAGGACAGGAAGCCAACACCCAGAGGCTGCTCCTGCTTCAGCCTCAGCCACGTGCTCCTCTGCAAAGGGCTCAGGGCTTTCCCCTTCACCTCCGTCCACTCAAGGGACCTTTTATCTGTTGTCATTTTTCCTTGAAGTCATTAAGCTGCAAGCCCCCAATTGCACTCAAGTTCAAAGTGAAGGCTCAGGACCAGCCCTCCATCTGGGTTGGCGGCACTGGAGACCAGTACACAGATGCAGAATCAAACCTTTAACGGTTGGAAACCATCACTACGCACCACCCTGGCTTCAGAAAATGATGATGAAATTGCAAAATTGTGCTTTGTGTTTAAAGAAGATGCCTGGTAAGGAGCCAAAAGTGCTCCAGGGCATGAGAGCCAGGGAGAGCTGGAAGAGAACACTGCAGCAAGAAAAGCTCGCCTCCGAGTGAAGCCAACCAGCCGGAGCATCACTGCTCACTCCTCAGCGGCTTTCCAACTCATTCCCCGAGAACCATCTTGAGATGCAGAATCTCGGGCTCCGCAAGGAAAAACAGATGTCATTGGGGTCTTCAAAGTTAGCCTGTAACCAAGTCTCAGTGAATTAGGAAATAATTTAGAAGTTTTAAAGTGACAGTTTGCAACAGGGTCCCTTCTCTATTTTATTGACAATAGCAAATCCCCAGGTTACTCCAACAGTGCAATGCCAAGCAAGGGACTATCTCTCAGAGACCCACTTTCCCCATTTACAAATGGAAACAAAATTAGTACCTTCCTCAAAAGATTATTGGGAAGATTAAATAAAATAGTCCAAGTAAAATGCTTTGCATCATATCTGGCACGTAGTCAGGGCTTGATAAGTGGTTGTTGGTCTAGGAAATATCGCTATGCGCCAGTTACAATGCCTGGTGACCTGTAGCCAGTCGATGAATGGAAGCTATTATAACGCCATAGCTTTGGCAGCTGTCTAAAGCCAGACACAATCTCTACTCCCTCTCTCTTTCAGCTGAAATTTTCCAAATATATAAAGACAGTTGTGTAAGCTTCCTGAAATAGAGTACCTGATCAATAAATGTTGTTTCCTTTATTCCCCTAGTGTTCTCTTGTCCAAGTAAAAATTCCGCATTGCAGGTCATCTTCTTCCAGATGCCCTCTACCAGGTGTATAAATGCCTCTGCAAACAAACTCCCCACACTGAAGAGAGTTTCACAGATGTGACGAAATGTGCAATAAATACACAAGAACCATAATCCAGCTTGACCTAGAAACAGTAGTTTCCTAATTTGGTGGATCCCTTTTTTTCAAATATAAAATCAGAACTTCACATTGATCATTTACCTTTCCATTCATGGTTCTCCAATTTAATCTGAGATTATTTGACATTTTTATTCTATCATCCATCATGTTTGCTATGTTTTCAGCTTTTTCATCTAGACATTTGAGAGTCTGGTTCTGAAGTCTTCATCACCATTTGGTATTAATTTTGTTCCCATGTCTGAATTCCCTAATAGATTTTAAGATATTTACGAACAATAATTTCTAGATTTTGTAACATCCTCTAGAGTAGTATATTTTAAATTTTTATGACTGCAACTCAAAGTGAGAAATACATTTAACATTGCAGCCCAACTCATTCACACCCACAATCTGAAATAAATGTTTAATAAAATAATACTTGTCTTTATTAGTCAGGGTTATCTAGAGGGACAGAACTAATAATATAGATGTATATATGAAGGGGAGTTCATTAAGGAGTATTGACTCACACCGTCAGAAGGTGAAGTCCCACAGTAGGCCGTCTGCAAGCTGAGGAGCAAGGAAGCCAGTCCGAGTCCCAAAATCTCAAAAGTAGGGAAGCCAACAGTGCAGCCTCCAGTCTGTGGCCAAAGGCCCGAGAGCCCCTGGCAAACCACTGGTATAAGTCCAAGAGTCCAAAAACTGAACAACCTGGAGTCTGATGTTCGAGGGCAGAAAGCATCCAGCATGGGAGAGAGATGAAGGCCAGAAGACTCAGCAAGTCAGTTTCTCCCACCTTCTCAGGCCTCCTTTATTCTAGCTGTGCTGGCAATTGACTAGATGCTGCCCACTCAAATTGAGGGTGGGTCTGCCTCTCCCAGTCCACTGACTCAAATGTTCATCTCCTTTGGCAACACCCTCACAGACGCACCCAATACTTTGCATCCTTCAGTCCAATCAAGTTGACACTTAATATTAACCATCACAGATGCCCTCTGATATTGTCCATTCTATAATATTTTAAATTACTATTAATTGTTGGCCAGACTCACCTGGATGATTTTACAACCCATTACCAGGTTATGATCCATAGTTTGCAAAACACTGTTCTATAAAACAGCTTAAAATTTTTCCACTACAGCAGGAAGACAAAGTTCATCTATGCTCTGGGACAGGGGAGAGGTAGCAGTACTGCCCAAAGAAATCTTTTCTTTATCTTTAAAATCCTTGAGAATGTGCACTCACTGCATAATATATTTACATGTATTTTAATAAAAGTTAATAGGCTTTTCTCCATTTTTTTCTAGTAAAAATTGTGATCCAGGGAGATGTTCCGTTTTTAACCCCAGGGGTTTTTTTCCCTATGGCACTCCACCAGGAACCTACTAACAAACAGGTATCCTGGTTTGGGAAGAAAAGCTCCACAGTTCTAGAAACAGGGCTACTCACACAGCCATTCCAGTAAGAATGAGTCCATTTATTGACAAGTTATCTCCCTAAAGAAAGAAATGTGAGGTAGGATGCAGTAAGTGTTCCATTAAACAAACATTGTTTGAGCTTTTCTTGGGGTAGGAAGGAGAGATGGGATAAAGGAATGATTAAAGATAGACCAGGAAGACGGGCTTTGTTAGGAGGCACTTCTCCATGGGTCTCTCACATTTCTGTATATCTTGCCAACAGAGTGGACTGTCTTTTCAAAGATGTTTTTATACAATCAAACACCCTTAAAAAGAATATGCTTGAATATAGAGATTGTGTCTTCCTCTGGGGCAAAGAGCAGGTTTGTCTACTGTCCAGTATAATTAAAGATAATGTCTCCCTCCAGGAAAGGAGTCAGGCGGGCTTACTTCCTGTTATAAACTGTTTGGGTTTCCTAAGCTCAGAGTTCTTCTCCTATAATGTACCCACTCAAGTTGCCCTCTCTATGTTTTCCTATGGAAATTCAGGCTTAGAGCCTAAACTGCAGCAACTCCTGATGCTCTGGCTCTTGCTATGACAGGAATCTCCTATCTTCTTGCAGTATATCTGAAATTGTGGCAGACTAGCTCATTAGCTTGCAGGTAAAATAAAATCTCAGCTCCTTCCCTGTTCTTGATGGCCTCATGTTACTGATTCCAACAGACAAGCTCATGCCTTGAAGTAATAAGTTTATATTTGATTCTTTACTTCATTTATTCATACTATAAAAAATATTGAGTATCTAATCAATTGACATGGTTTGGGTCTGTGTCCCTGCCCAAATCTCATGTCGAATTGTAATCCCTAATGTTGGAGGTGGGGTCTGGTGGGAGGTATTGGATCACAGGTGGGAGTTCTCGTGAATGGTTTAGCAACATCCCCTCAGTGCTACTCTAGTGATAGTGAGAGAGTTCTCATAAGGTCTGGTTGTTTAACAGTGGGTGGCACCTTCTCCCTCTCTCTTTTCCTCCTGCTCTGGCCATGTGAGATGTGCCTGCATCCCCTTTGCCTTCCACCATTATTGTAAGTTTCCTGAGGCCTCCTGTATTAGTCAGTTCTCATGCTGCTCATAAAGACGTACCCGAGACTGGGTAATTTAATAAGGAAAGAGGCTTAATTGACTCACAGTTCCACATGACTGGGGAGGCCTCAGGAAACTTACAATCATGGCAGAAGGGGAAGCAAACACATCCTTCTTCAAATGACAGCAGCAAGAAGATGTGCAGAGCAAAAGGGGTAAAAGCCCCTTATGAAACCATCAGATCTTGTGAGAACTCACTCATTATCATGAGAACAGCATGAGGGTAGCCACCCCCATGATTAAATTACTTCCCATCGGCTCCCTCCCATGACACATGGGAATTATGGGGATTACAATTCAAGATGAGATTTGGGTGGGGACACAGAAAAACCATATCACCTTCTCAGAAGAAGAAGCCACTATGCTTCCTGCACGGTCTGCAGAATCATGAGCCAATTAAACCTCTTTTCTAAATAAATTACCCAGCCTCAGGTATTTATCTATAGCAATGTGAGAACAGACTAACACATCAATGGTAGGTAATTCCAAGAGGATGTGGATAAAAGGGTCCAGCATTAGGCAAAACATAATCTTTTAACAAAAGACACATAATAAAACAAAGGTCAGTAAGGAAACACAGTAAATAGCCAAGTAGTCAACCGAATAAAGAAGATAATTTCAACATGGAAGCACTAGGAATAAAGCAATCCAGGAGAGCATAATAGAGAGTGATCGGGGTAGACACGGAAGAAGGATGACTTGAGGCTGGTGATTAATGCGGGCCTCTCAGAGACAGAAATATTGGAGCTATTGGAGACATTAATAATAAGGTGAACCAGTCATGAGAAGGTCTTGGAGAAGAATATTCCAGAAGTAGCCACCATAGATGCCCTAAGGCAGGGAAGAGGATGGTGTGTCCACAAAGAGAAAGGCCAAGAAGCCAAGATGTGAATGGTGGGAGCTGAGGTTGGACAGGTGGGCAGGCCCAGGTCCTAGAGGGCCGTGGGGGTCATGGATGGAGTCTGGTTACTGTCATCTCTGCTCTCAGTGCCCTTCCTCCACCCCAGGACCCCCACACATGCCTCCCCTCTGAAAGTGTCTGCCTGGGCACATTCTTGACAGAGCTCCTGGGTGGCTTTCTCAGTGGGAAAGTGAGTGGTAACTGATCCAAGGCTTTAATTTATGGCCTGCAGAAATATTTGCATTAGTATGAGTGAATCTTTAAAGACTGAGAGTCTATCGGGGTCATCTCTAAAAGTGGAATTTCAGATGCCTGGCATCATGGAGGAGGGACTTCAGGGCAGATGCCCTCCTGGGACCCTTTCTGTCACACCAGCAGATGGGACAAAGTCCTTCTGGCCCAAGTTTAACTCCAGGATATAGGCACTCAGCTCTGTCAGCAAAGAAATGAAAAGTGGCTTCCAGCAGCTTATTTAAAGAGCTCCTGATGCTTCCTAAGGAGCTTTATTTGGCACTCACCAATAGGTATTTCCTGAAAAAGAAAAAGAGGAAATTGACCCAATATCTTGTGATGAGGAAAGTCATTAGATAATTATGTCAATTTCTTGCTTCTATATGAAGCTCAAAAACAGAGTAAAACTCATTTAGTCAAACTAGCCAAATTACTTAGATCTCCAAATAGAGTAAAACTAATTTAGTCAATCTATTAATTTAAAGAAACTGGACTACTATAAGTGTAAAGTCCATAATATGATTTAAATGTCTGAAGAAAGGCTGCCTTCTTCTTTCTAGTAAATGGAGTGACTCAAGATTACCGCTAACTCAAAATTTCCAGAGTTTCTTCAGAACTTGATTCTACGAATGGAATGTACTTTGATACCACTTCATCTAGACAATGGTATAATTCATGCAATGTATGATTGAATATATGATTTTTGGCTCCCTTTAAGTCAACAGGATTCCCATAATCTCATCTTTAGGGGTTGTTTTCTTGGCAAACAAGTTTTTTTTATAGATAATTCAGAGGTAAATTTGTCAGCCATTATTATCACAAATATCATATTGTTGGTGTCTTCACTGACAGGGTTATATTAAAGTCCTGCAATCATTTCATCACAACTGATGATATCTTGGGAGATTGAGAATTCCTGGAGGAAGGCATAGCTATTTGAATTCTCTGAGTTAGCTATACAAGAAGGCAGCCATTCAGGTGAGCAGTGGCAGCCCATTTCAGGGACCTGGCGCAGGTGGGTGAGACCTGAGAGAGTGCTAAGCAGGCACGACATCCACGGACAAGGGGGAGTTGATGGTAAAACACAGCAGCTATGGATCTGAGTCCCCATAAGATTCTTCCCAAAGTTCAACAAAGACAAGCTAATAAGAGTTTCTCGAAATGCCTCAATCACAACATTTATGTCTTCAGGTTTGGATAATGCATTGCTTTTAGGGCCAGAAAGCTCTGAAAAGGTTGGTGATGGGTATTTCCACGGCACGTGGATTTGTGAAACCCACTTGAGCCCAGGCACACAGTGTGTGCAAAGCCAGACTGCCACCTACTGACATGCAGCAGGGGTGGTCCGGCATCCTTTTGTTGTTGGGTATAATACAGGTTCTGTCTATTACCAGTGGTCTACTGACCCCTCTGTGCTACTTGTTAAAACACAATAGAAAAGGAGTAATCATTGCCTTGAGACTTGAATTACATTTTTTTAATGGTTGAGAAAAAAAACACTCATCCTAAACATATCAAATGTCTGCTAGTGGATCCAAAATAGAAGAGCAACTATATCATGATGAGATTGAGTGGGACAAATATGATTTTATTTCAAACAACTCCCATATTTCTTCAATATGAGAGGTGAGAGACAACAGACTTGTTTCACTTAATGGAAAACTTCTTGAAGGCAGGAATTATTCTTACTTCTGTTTTCCCCCTGAACTTGACATCTTTCCCAGTGAATACTAAAGACTTAAAAATGTTTTGTTAATTCAGTGTTTACAATTTTAATAATTATAATTATTAAAATGAAAAACCAAATCAGATGCTCACGAAAATGCATCAAGAGAACCCTGGGCTTAAATCCTGTCTCTAATAGCTGTGTACCTTGGGCACCTTACTTAACCTCTCTGATTCTGTTTATTATTTTTAAAATGTAGGTGATGCAAACTATCTCATTGGGTTGATCTATGAGGATTAAATGACATCACGTAGATGGCATGCTTAGCATAGTGTTTGGCACACAGTAATCTTTCAGTGAACAGGAGATCATTTTTAAAGTAAAGCAGGCCTGAGGTCCTGCCTGCTACCCGTTGTGACCTGGCTTGGAATCCTCCAGCCTCCGCTTTCCTTAGCAGTTTAAAAAGACTCTGCAACTGGCCAGCACCTTGCCCGACCTAACATGTG
The DNA here is from genome assembly GCF_000001405.40 of Homo sapiens. Taxonomy (NCBI): domain Eukaryota; kingdom Metazoa; phylum Chordata; class Mammalia; order Primates; family Hominidae; genus Homo; species Homo sapiens. Next base: position 97,660,662 of record NC_000013.11, read on the forward strand.
AGCACAACCCAGAGAGCCGGTGCAAGGCAGGCTGGGGAAGCAAGAGATTAATTGAACATTTTTCTTATTGTTATTTTTAGTTACAAAACTGCAGGCAAACAGTTTCTCTTCCTGTCGGATAGTGCATCTCTGGCTGGAAGGCAGGAACGCAGGTGGGAGGAGGCCTGACCATTAATCATAAGGAAGCAGGGAAGGAAATTGAGACAGGAAATGTCAGCATCAAAATGTCCTTACTCTGGGTCAGTCTTAAGGTGCATCCCCAGACCAGCATGTTAAAAGCTGGGGCCTGACTACAAACAACACCAGCGAAGAGGAAACGCCCGGCAGTAGAATGTCAAACCAAAAATAAATTGGGCATGTTTCCCTTCTAAGGCAGAGGGACTAGCTCCTCTTATACTTGGCTCTCAAATTCTTGCTAAAATTCCGGGAAGCCGTCTTGAAAGAAAATGCTTTCATATGGATAAACGTCATGGTAAATGCCAAAATAGTGGAGGATGGAGCATAGATGGCTTCATGTAACTTTTCTGGGCCTCTGTTTTCTAATCTGTGAAATGGAGATAGAATCCCTGTCTTTCTCTCCTCACAGGGCTGTTAGGAAGACCACAAGGATAACGACGGTGAAGGTGGGGTTGTTGTGACTCTGACAGTTCTTTTGCCCACTGTCCTGATAGAAAATGACAGCCAAAACCTTTACCATGCATCTTGTGTCTCAGTCAACTGAGGCAGGACAAACCCCACCTGCGCGGGGGGACCTCAATCTCCATTTATGATGGTAAGTCATCGGTTTTCACCAGTTCCCAGGGGCACCCACACTGGTGCATTTGGTAAGCTCCAGGAGAAAACTTACACCCCTTTCCATTTGATTTTGTTAATAATTGGCTTTTCTAAACACATGTTTCATTTTTGGAGTGAATAAAATGTGTTAATATTGTAAATTAAGCCCTCAGAGATCAATTAATTACACAAATGCTTGCCTTGTAATAGTTTCTAGCCCTAAATCTTTTATTCCCAATATTGTTTTTATCTTCAGATCTTACAGTGTTGCGAGGAGTGATTAAGAACACATGAGTACTAATTCTGTACTATTTGGCAAGTTAGTCTATCTGTGTCTTTGTCTGCCCATCTGCAACACCTCCAGAATAGGTGCCTCTGCCACCAAGCCTTGCAGAGTGAGGAGGAGTTGACCTGCCAATAAAGGTGTGGAGGGTGCTTCAGGCAGATTTGGAGTCAGACTTGAGTTCAAGCACCATGAGCACTAATTCTGTACTATTTAGCAAGTTAGTCTATCTGTGTCTTGGTCTGCCCCTCTGTAAAGTGGTGAAAACAATGGTCTTAGAGTTTTCAGTGAAGATAGACAAATGATAACTCCTCAGCAAATTCTAGCTAGTAAGTTGATATTGCAACCAGACTTCACAGTTTAACCCAGTTATTTTTTAGTAAATCAGCAGATTTATACTCATTCATTTAGCACTTATTCAGACCTACAGGTCCCAGGCCCCACGGGAAACAATTAGTTTGCCAAAGCAAATAAAGCTGGACCACTCAGTCTAGCTGGTGAAAGAAACATGCAAACAAATCATTGCAAGCCCATGTGATGAATGCTATCTCAGAAGAAAGTTCCAAATCCATTTGTTCTCCATGGAAGAAAGTGATGAGTTCATCACTGCTTGGGTAGATCTGAAATTTTGTAGAAGTAGAAACTCATCCTGAATCTCAAAGAATGAAGAGTTGCCAGGAAGAACATTCCAGAAAGCCGAATATTTGACTCTGAAGCAGTCATATCACAGCATAGTAAATTGGGGTAATTTACTGATTTGGCAGGTTGAAGCCTCAACTTCATCTAAGCAAGTTACAGGAGATGGGGTTTAGGGAAAACTGGGGCCAGGTCATGAAGAACATTGCATTCCATTCCAAGAACCCTGGATATTATCTTGTAGGAAAAAGATCAGTTTTGAAAGGTTTTAACCAAGGGATGAAATGATCAGGTAGTATTTTTAAAAGATAAGTCCAACAGTCTGGTTGGATTGGAGAGAGGCCCAGAAGCAGAGCTATAGGTTAAAAGCCCATTCTCATAGTTCAGGTGGGAAAAAAAAAGTGCAAAATTACAGGCAGGAGAAGAGATGACAGGAAAGAAAAATATGAGGAAGTTATAATTGATAAGACATAGAAACCCCTTGGAATTGTCTGAGAACGAGAAAGATATGAGAAATCTTATATCTTTCTTGTTAAAATAGAAAATAGAGAAAATTCCAACTAAATTAACCTTTAACAAAGTTTTTTAAATTTACCTGAGTAATTTACTGGGTGCTGGGAATACAGAAGTAAAGGGCATAGCCCCAGCATTCAAATAACATGCTGAGTCTTACGGAGAACATGACACTAAGCTCAACAAGGGTTTTGCGTGTTAGCAATATGTGCCAGACTTTTCTATCCATGACCACATTTACATTCACTCTAGAGTGACTCTCAAGGTTCACCCTGAAAGTGACTCCAGGGCAAGAACTTTTCTCTGTTTTTTGTTTTTGTTTTGTTTTGAGATACAGTTTTACTCTGTTGCCCAGGCTGTAGTGCGGTGGTGCGATCTCTGCTCATTACAATCTCTGTCTCCTGGGTCAAGCGATTCTGGTGCCTCAGCCTCCCGAGTAACTGGGATTACAGGCACATGCCAACCCCAGCTAATTTTTGGATTATTAGTAGAGATGGGGTTTCACCATGTTGGCCAGGCTGGTCTCAAACTCTTGACCTCATGTAATCTGCCCACCTCAGCCTCCCAAAGTGCTGGGGTTACAGGCATGAGCCACAGTGCCCTGCCTTCTCTGTCTTTAACAGCTGAGAAAATGGATTCTTGCAAGATGGAACTAAGTAGAGAAGGCTCTGAATGCTCAGAGCCAAGGGGTTTAGCTCACTCCACAGTGCAGAAACACCTCCAGAAAAGGTGCCTCTGCCACCAAGCCTTGCAGAGTGAGGAGTTGATCTGCCAATAAAGGTGTGGAGGGTGCTTCAGGCAGAGAGGGTAATGGGTGTGCTCAGGCATGGGGGAGGTATGTGCAGATTGGAGAGGCTGGAGTCCACCATGCAGACTGAAACAGGCAAGAACTGAGGCTGCAGGAGGGACTAAAAATCAGATTGGGGATCTCGACAGGCAATGCTGAGGGGCATGGACACGACTAAGCCTGTGTGTGTGATGATAATTGATTTTCCTGAGTATTTAAACTGCAGGCAAGGCCTCCCCTTCCCTGGTGTACAAGAAGTGTACTCAAGAAGAAATCCTTTCGAGGAATGAAAACTACCATTTATTGAGTGCCTGACGTGTACCTTCTCTAAGGATGATCTCACCTACCTCCCAAACAGCCCTAAACAGTAGATATTGGTAACCTGATTGCACTAGTGTAAAGACCCATATAACCAAGGTCACATTGATAACTAGCAGAGCCAGGATTTGAACCCACGCCAGCTTGGTTCCAAAGTCTATGCTTTTCCCTTTAAACTGGGTTTTCTCAACCTCTGCATTATTGACAGTTTGGGGCCAGATCATTCTTTGTCGTGGGGACCTATCCTGTGCATAGTAGGATGTTTAGCAGCATCCTGACCTCTACCCACTACACACCAGTAGAACCTCTCCCCCAAGTGTGACAATCGAATATATCTCTAGACAGTGTCAGATGTTACCCAGGGGATGCAAAATCGCTCTGGTTAAAAACCACTCCTTTAAACCATGCTCCCCCTTAAGATGTAAGGAGAGAAAAGACAAATAGGCACATAATTGTAGCTATGTGAGAGCCCCTGAATATCCTTGGTGAAGTAGAACAAATTCAAAATATATGATATATTTGTGAAAAAGTGAGAAAGACCCAAAATAAACAGGGTTTAATCAAGAGGGAATGTTGCTTCTCATTCATGTTAAAGTACAGAGGGGGAGCATCTGGGGTGGGTGTGGCAGCTCTTTCACAAGCTCCTTGGGGAACCCAAGTGCCTTCCAGCTTTCTTCTCTGCCATTCCCAGGGTGTGGCCTCCATCCAAATCATCCAAGATGGCTCATCAACTATCACAACTGTATTCCAAGCAATAGGATTGAATAGGTAAGAAGGAGGCAAACCACACCTCTTAAATGTACTAGAAGCTATCACATGACTGCAGTTAGCTGCAAGGGGGACTTGGAAATCAAATCTTTGTTCTGGTGGCTGTGGTACAGCTAATAATGCACTATGATGCAAAAAGTCAAGAATTGGATTTAGGGGATCACCAGCAGCCTCTGCTCCATATGGTCATCTTTAGCTAGACAAGAATTTGTAATTTCATCAAACCACCTTTTGACTCCAAGCACCAATTTCCTATCCCTTGGAGTTCAGCTTTATTTTCATTGTTCATTGAGCAAATGCTATGGGTTGAAGTGTGTCCAGCAAAAACATATTGAAGTCCTAACCCCCAGTACCTGTGAATGTGACGTTATTCGGAAATAGGATCTTTGCATATGATCAAGTTATGATGTGGTCATTAGCGTGACCCCTAACCTAATCTAATCGTGTCCTTGTAAAACAGGAAATTTGGACAGGGATGACACAAGATGGGATCAACTCCTCTTTCACCTATGTGAAGATGAAGGCAGGGATCTGGGTGATGCCAAGGAACACCAAAGATTGCCATAAAACCACCAGAAGCTAGAGGAGAAGCAGGAAACAGATTCTTCCTCAGAGCCTTAGAAGGAACCAACCCTGCTGACAGCCTGACCTTGGACTTCCAGCCTCCAGAACTGTGTAAATATATTTCTGTGGTTTAAGCCGTGTAATTCACAGTACTTTGTTACTGCAGCCCTAGTAAACTAATACAGCATACTTATGAGAAAAGAATATGAAGACTTCAAATGATTTTCCACAATCATTTGCACTAAAAATAAAGTGTTTCTAATCCCATTTTGTCTTCACAATCAAAAGAAAGACACCTTTACAGTCTCTACACCCTGAGAGGTGGATGTCAGGGAGCTCTGGTGAGCTGCTAAGGAGAAAGGACCTGGAGAACAAGAGTGAAGAGGGCTTTCCTTCCAGGCCAGCAGTGACTGTCTCCTTCTCTCCATCTCATTTGAGGAAACCACCTCTGTCTTAACAGCCTGTCTCCTGCTAGAAGCTTCAATGATGGGCTTATACTCAGTGGCATTACAGTAAATACATGTACAGTAAACTGGCACTCCAAAATAAATACGTGTAAATATATATGTTTGTCATAAATTTCAATAATATAAAGGATGTGTAGTGTACAATTTATAAAAAATATTATTTATTGTCAACTTCATAGAGCTAATTTATTCTCACAGAATGTTTCTATTGATTTTTGCCAAATCCTTATGTATTAGGGCTCTCCAGAGAAAGAGAACTAATAGGATATTACTTCTCTATCTATCTAGATACTCCGAGCTATCTGTCTACCTAGATAGAAACTCTAGATGGATAAAAAGATGATAGAGATAGATGATAGATAGATAGATTAGATAGATAGATAGATAGATAGATAGATAGATAGATAGATAGATAGATAGACGGACTCATTATAATGCAGTGGCTCACATGATTATGGAGGCTGAGAGGTCCCATGATCTGCCACCTGCAAGCTGAAGACCCAGGAAAGATGGTGGTGTCATTTGAAGGCCTGGAAGTCAAAGAGTTGATGGTGTAGATTCCAGTCCAAGTCTGAAGGCCTGAGACCCAGAAGCAGTGAGGGCAGGAGAAGATCAATGTCCCAGCTGAGGCAGTCAGGCAGAGTTCCTCCAGCTTTCCTCTACCTTTTTGTTCTGTTCCAATCCTCAACAGATCAGATGAGGCCCACCCACAGAGGAAGGGCCATCTTCTCTCTCAGTCTACTGTTTCAAATGCCAATCTCTTCCAGTAACACCCTCGCTGACATACCCGGAAGTAATGTTTTACCAGCTATCTGGGCATCCCATGGCCCAGTCAAGCTGACACATAAAATTAACCATCACACCACAGCCAACATAGAACTGCAATTCGACTGTGACTTGACAAGTGGAATTTTATTCCAATCCAGTTTTTCTCTAATAAATCTACTGTCATTAAACCTGATATGTGATCTTCTGTCAAACTATTTTTTTACCCTTGTATTAATTGTACTCGTTAAACTAAATTTTTTTCGGCTTTGGTAGTAAATCAAGCCCTAATTTGTGGTGTCTGCTGATTTCCATGGTGTAGATACTACATGACAGCCAATTTCAAACTACAATGGTGCCATCACTGAATGCAGAGTTGAGAAGAGATGTGCAGTAGCACAGCATTATATGACATTTCCACCACTCAGATGCAGGCGATGTGGATTACCTTAAGAGCACGGATAAAAGTAAAATGCACTAAAATGTTTAAGAAGAGATGAATTTTAAATATTACTGTCTTTGTCTTTAGTATAATTTATTTAATTGTAAGTTTATATAATTTAATTTTTATATTGGCTATGTTTACCAACTGGCTCACAACGTTGCTGAAAATCTAACAATTGGCTCTTGTGGGCTGGTGCAAACTGGCTGCAGCACACCACTGCCTGTGGCTGTTACCAACAATTAGATTTTACCACGATGTTAATGCAAGCAGAGTTTCCCAGCTGCACTCAAAGAGAAAATAGTTGCACCTAATGCATTATTTCTTTTTTCTTTTATCACTCTTACCCTAAGATTCAACCCATGTAATTCGGCATCATCAATCATCAGTCATGAATATTTATTATATTCCTTTTTTTTTTTTTTTAATGTTTTTTTTTTTATTATACTCTAAGTTTTAGGGTACATGTGCACATTGTGCAGGTTAGTTACATATGTATACATGTGCCATGCTGGTGCGCTGCACCCACTAACGTGTCATCTAGCATTAGGTATATCTCCCAATGCTATCCCTCCCCCCTCCCCCGACCCCACCACAGTCCCCAGAGTGTGATATTCCCCTTCCTGTGTCCATGTGATCTCATTGTTCAATTCCCACCTATGAGTGAGAATATGCGGTGTTTGGTTTTTTGTTCTTGCGATAGTTTACTGAGAATGATGGTTTCCAATTTCATCCATGTCCCTACAAAGGACATGAACTCATCATTTTTTATGGCTGCATAGTATTCCATGGTGTATATGTGCCACATTTTCTTAATCCAGTCTATCATTGTTGGACATTTGGGTTGGTTCCAAGCCTTTGCTATTGTGAATAGTGCCGCAACAAACATACGTGTGCATGTGTCTTTATAGCAGCATGATTTATAGTCCTTTGGGTATATACCCAATAATGGGATGCCTGGGTCAAATGGTATTTCTAGTTCTAGATCCCTGAGGAATCGCCACACTGACTTCCACAATGGTTGAACTAGTTTACAGTCCCACCAACAGTGTAAAAGTGTTCCTATTTCTCCACATCCTCTCCAGCACCTGTTGTTTCCTGACTTTTTAATGATTGCCATTCTAACTGGTGTGAGATGATATCTCATAGTGGTTTTGATTTGCATTTCTCTGATGGCCAGTGATGATGAGCATTTCTTCATGTGTTTTTTGGCTGCATAAATGTCTTCTTTTGAGAAGTGTCTGTTCATGTCCTTCGCCCACTTTTTGATGGGGTTGTTTGTTTTTTTCTTGTAAATTTGTTTCCGAGTTCATTGTAGATTCTGGATATTAGCCCTTTGTCAGATGAGTAGGTTGCGAAAATTTTCTCCCATGTTGTAGGTTGCCTGTTCACTCTGATGGTAGTTTCTTTTGCTGTGCAGAAGCTCTTTAGTTTAATTAGATCCCATTTGTCAATTTTGGCTTATGTTGCCATTGCTTTTGGTGTTTTGGACATGAAGTCCTTGCCCACGCCTATGTCCTGAATGGTAATGCCTAGGTTTCCTTCTAGGGTTTTTATGGTTTTAGGTCTAACGTTTAAATCTTTAATCCATCTTGAATTGATTTTTGTATAAGGTGTAAGGAAGGGATCCAGTTTCAGCTTTCTACATATGGCTAGCCAGTTTTCCCAGCACCATTTATTAAATAGGGAATCCTTTCCCCATTGCTTGTTTTTCTCAGGTTTGTCAAAGATCAGATAGTTGTAGATATGCGGCATTATTTCTGAGGGCTCTGTTCTGTTCCATTGATCTATATCTCTGTTTTGGTACCAGTACCATGCTGTTTTGGTTACTGTAGCCTTGTAGTATAGTTTGAAGTCAGGTAGTGTGATGCCTCCAGCTTTGTTCTTTTGGCTTAGGATTGACTTGGCGATGCGGGCTCTTTTTTGGTTCCATATGAACTTTAAAGTAGTTTTTTCCAATTCTGTGAAGAAAGTCATTGGTAGCTTGATGGGGATGGCATTGAATCTGTAAATTACCTTGGGCAGTATGGCCATTTTCACGATATTGATTCTTCCTACCCATGAGCATGGAATGTTCTTCCATTTGTTTGTGTCCTCTTTTATTTCCTTGAGCAGTGGTTTGTAGTTCTCCTTGAAGAGGTCCTTCACATCCCTTGTAAGTTGGATTCCTAGGTATTTTATTCTCTTTGAAGCAATTGTGAATGGGAGTTGACTCATGATTTGGCTCTCTGTTTGTCTGTTATTGGTGTATAAGAATGCTTGTGATTTTTGTACATTGATTTTGTATCCTGAGACTTTGCTGAAGTTGCTTATCAGCTTAAGGAGATTTTGGGCTGAGACGATGGGGTTTTCTAGATAAACAATCATGTCGTCTGCAAACAGGGACAATTTGACTTCCTCTTTTCCTAATTGAATACCCTTTATTTCCTTCTCCTGCCTGATTGCCCTGGCCAGAACTTCCAACACTATGTTGAATAGGAGCGGTGAGAGAGGGCATCCCTGTCTTGTGCCAGTTTTCAAAGGGAATGCTTCCAGTTTTTGCCCTTTCAGTATGATATTGTCTGTGGGTTTGTCATAGATAGCTCTTATTATTCTGAAATACGTCCCATCAATACCTAATTTATTGAGAGTTTTTAGCATGAAGGGCTGTTGAATTTTGTCAAAGGCTTTTTCTGCATCTATTGAGATAATCTTGTGGTTTTTGTCTTTGGCTCTGTTTATATGCTGGATTACATTTATTGATTTGCGTATATTGAACCAGCCTTGCATCGCAGGGATGAAGCCCACTTGATCATGGTGGATAAGCTTTTTGATGTGCTGCTGGATTCGGTTTGCCAGTATTTTATTGAGGATTTTTGCATCAATGTTCATCAAGGATATTGGTCTAAAATTCTCTTTTTTGGTTGTGTCTCTGCCCGGCTTTGGTATCAGAATGATGCTGGCCTCATAAAATGAGTTAGGGAGGTTTCCCTCTTTTTCTATTGATTGGAATAGTTTCAGAAGGAATGGTACCAGTTCCTCCTTGTACCTCTGGTAGAATTCGGCTGTGAATCCATCTGGTCCTGGACTCTTTTTGGTTGGTAAACTATTGATTATTGCCACAATTTCAGAGCCTGTTATTGGTCTATTCAGAGATTCAACTTCTTCCTGGTTTAGTCTTGGGAGAGTGTATGCGTCGAGGAATGTATCCATTTCTTCTAGATTTTCTAGTTTATTTGCGTAGACGTGTTTGTAGTATTCTCTGATGGTAGTTTGTATTTCTGTGGGATCAGTGGTGATATCCCCTTTATCATTTTTTATTGTGTCTATTTGATTCTTCTCTCTTTTTTTCTTTATTAGTCTTGCTAGCGGTCTATCAATTTTGTTGATCCTTTCAAAAAACCAGCTCCTGGATTCATTGATTTTTTGAAGGGTTTTTTGTGTCTCTATTTCCTTCAGTTCTGCTCTGATTTTAGTTATTTCTTGCCTTCTGCCAGCTTTTGAATGTGTTTGCTCTTGCTTTTCTAGTTCTTTTAATTGTGATGTTAGGGTGTCAATTTTGGATCTTTCCTGCTTTCTCTTGTAGGCGTTTAGTGCTATAAATTTCCCTCTACACACTGCTTTGAATGCGTCCCAGAGATTCTGGTATGTGGTGTCTTTGTTCTCGTTGGTTTCAAAGAACATCTTTATTTCTGCCTTCATTTCGTTATGTACCCAGTAGTCATTCAGGAGCAGGTTGTTCAGTTTCCATGTAGTTGAGCGGCTTTGAGTGAGATTCTTAATCCTGAGTTCTAGTTTGATTGCACTGCGGTCTGAGAGATAGTTTGTTATAATTTCTGTTCTTTTACATTTGCTGAGGAGAGCTTTACTTCCAACTATGTGGTCAATTTTGGAATAGGTGTGGTGTGGTGCTGAAAAAAATGTATATTCTGTTGATTTGGGGTGGAGAGTTCTGTAGATGTCTATTAGGTCCGCTTGGTGCAGAGCTGAGTTCAATTCCTGGGTATCCTTGTTGACTTTCTGTCTCGTTGATCTGTCTAATGTTGACAGTGGGGTGTTAAAGTCTCCCATTATTAATGTGTGGGAGTCTAAGTCTCTTTGTAGGTCACTCAGGACTTGCTTTATGAATCTGGGTGCTCCTGTATTGGGTGCATAAATATTTAGGATAGTTAGCTCCTCTTGTTGAATTGATCCCTTTACCATTATGTAATGGCCTTCTTTGTCTCTTTTGATCTTTGTTGGTTTAAAGTCTGTTTTATCAGAGACTAGGATTGCAACCCCTGCCTTTTTTTTGTTTTCCATTGGCTTGGTAGATCTTCCTCCATCCTTTTATTTTGAGCCTATGTGTGTCTCTGCACGTGAGATGGGTTTCCTGAATACAGCACACTGATGGGTCTTGACTCTTTATCCAACTTGCCAGTCTGTGTCTTTTAATTGCAGAATTTAGTCCATTTATATTTAAAGTTAATATTGTTATGTGTGAATTTGATCCTGTCATTATGATGTTAGCTGGTGATTTTGCTCATTAGTTGATGCAGTTTCTTCCTAGTCTTGATGGTCTTTACATTTTGGCATGATTTTGCAGCGGCTGGTACCGGTTGTTCCTTTCCATGTTTAGCGCTTCCTTCAGGAGCTCTTTTAGGGCAGGCCTGGTGGTGAGAAAATCTCTCAGCATTTGCTTGTCTATAAAGTATTTTATTTCTCCTTCACTTATGAAGCTTAGTTTGGCTGGATATGAAATTCTGGGTTGAAAATTCTTTTCTTTAAGAATGTTGAATATTGGCCCCCACTCTCTTCTGGCTTGTAGGGTTTCTGCCGAGAGATCCGCTGTTAGTCTGATGGGCTTTCCTTTGAGGGTAACCCGACCTTTCTCTCTGGCTGCCCTTAACATTTTTTCCTTCATTTCAACTTTGGTGAATCTGACAATTATGTGTCTTGGAGTTGCTCTTCTTGAGGAGTATCTTTGTGGCGTTCTCTGTATTTCCTGAATCTGAATGTTGGCCTGCCTTGCTAGATTGGGGAAGTTCTCCTGGATAATATCCTGCAGAGTGTTTTCCAACTTGGTTCCATTCTCCACATCACTTTCAGGTACACCAATCAGACGTAGATTTGGTCTTTTCACATAGTCCCATATTTCTTGGAGGCTTTGCTCATTTCTTTTTATTCTTTTTTCTCTAAACTTCCCTTCTTGCTTCATTTCATTCATTTCATCTCCATTGCTGATACCCTTTCTTCCAGTTGATCGCATCGGCTCCTGAGGCTTCTGCATTCTTCACGTAGTTCTCGAGCCTTGGTTTTCAGCTCCATCAGCTCCTTTAAGCACTTCTCTGTATTGGTTATTCTAGTTATACATTCTTCTAAATTTTTTTCAAAGTTTTCAACTTCTTTGCCTTTGGTTTGAATGTCCTCCCGTAGCTCAGAGTAATTTGATCGTCTGAAGCCTTCTTCTCTCAGCTCGTCAAAATCATTCTCCATCCAGCTTTGTTCCGTTGCTGGTGAGGAACTGCGTTCCTTTGGAGGAGGAGACGCGCTCTGCGTTTTAGAGTTTCCAGTTTTTCTGTTCTGTTTTTTCCCCATCTTTGTGGTTTTATCTACTTTTGGTCTTTGATGATGGTGATGTACAGATGGGTTTTCGGTGTAGATGTCCTTTCTGGTTGTTAGTTTTCCTTCTAACAGACAGGACCTTCAGCTGCAGGTCTGTTGGAATACCCTGCCGTGTGAGGTGTCAGTGTGCCCCTGCTGGGGGGTGCCTCCCAGTTAGGCTGCTCGGGGGTCAGGGGTCAGGGACCCACTTGAGGAGGCAGTCTGCCCGTTCTCAGATCTCCAGCTGCGTGCTGGGAGAACCACTGCTCTCTTCAAAGCTGTCAGACAGGGACACTTAAGTCTGCAGAGGTTACTGCTGTCTTTTTGTTTGTCTGTGCCCTGCCCCCAGAGGTGGAGCCTACAGAGGCAGGCAGGCCTCCTTGAGTTGTGGTGGGCTCCACCCAGTTGGAGCTTCCGGGCTGCTTTGTTTACCTAAGCAAGCCTGGGCAATGGCGGGCGCCCCTCCCCCAGCCTCGTTGCCGCCTTGCAGTTTGATCTCAGACTGCTGTGCTAGCAATCAGCGAGATTCCGTGGGCGTAGGACCCTCTGAGCCAGGTGTGGGATATAGTCTCGTGGTGCGCCGTTTTTTAAGCCGGTCTGAAAAGCGCAATATTCGGGTGGGAGTGACCCGATTTTCCAGGTGCGTCCGTCACCCCTTTCTTTGACTCGGAAAGGGAACTCCCTGACCCCTTGCGCTTCCCAGGTGAGTCAATGCCTCGCCCTGCTTCGGCTCGCGCACGGTGCGCGCACACACTGGCCTGCGCCCACTGTCTGGCACTCCCTAGTGAGATGAACCCGGTACCTCAGATGGAAATGCAGAAATCACCCGTCTTCTGCGTCGCTCACGCTGGGAGCTGTAGACCAGAGCTGTGCCTATTCGGCCATCTTGGCTCCTCCACCGATAATCCTTCTTAAGAGGAGTCTATTTATTATATTCCTATGGGGTATACTGGACCATGGGTTCTTAAGATCAGAGGCTATGTCACCCCAATACCTAGCACAGTGTTAGACACATAGTAGTTGCTCGTTAAATGTTCGCAGAGCCATTGATCTAAAATTATTACATAGTATTCCAGGTGATCACAAGTCTGCTTAGGGTGCTTGAATATTTTTCTTTCCTTCAGTGTTTCTTTTCTGCTCAATTAGTAGTCAAAATGGCATAAAACTAGATGGATATATTTAACTGGGACCAAAGTAATTCTTTTCTTTCTGTCCTACTCTTTGTTGTTAAACCATGGTTATATGGCCCTGTGGGGTGATTACCAGAATCATCTGAGTGTAGCCCTAGGAACTCTCTCTGGGTGGCCTGAACAAGTCAGCTGGAATCAGCAGATGGGGCTGCATGCAAGGAATTAGCTTCCAATAGGATAAGTAATGTCCTCCTTCTAGAAGTGGGGTGTATAACTTCCTTCAGCCCCAATGTCTCGAGGTCTGGGCAGCTAACATTCCCAGACAACTCCTACCTACAGTTGGCAGCCCAAATCCAGACTGCCAGCTGCCAGATAATGAGTGTGTTTTCCTCCACTGACATGGGTACTTTCTTTTAAATGCCCTGTGTAAAATGGAATCCCCTAGAGTGTGGGGTCCAAACACTGGAATGGTGCCCTGGCCTCACACACGTCCCTGGGATAATGAAGGAATCAGGAAACCAGTGCCTTCTCTCTCTCAACAACCGTTGGCCTATGTTAGTTTTTCATCTTCCCAGTACAGCCTGTATTATAACCCAAACTGTGTGACACTGTAGAATTTACATCAAACCCAGACGGGACTCACCTGGTTGCACAGGTGGCATCCCAGAAGGAACCCACCTTCAGGATAGACACCCACCGTGTTCCACATTAGCTGAGACTATAAGCATGGAGTTCCAGTGGTGGGGGGAGCCTGAGACAAGCAATCAGGCCACCTGGAGCTCGGCAGCCCCTAAAATAGATGCGTCATCTGATGACAAGTTTTCTAGATCCCTGGTTCACAAATGGCTTATCTCTGAATTTCCAATGAACACACACGCTGAAAAACAAAAGACAGTCCAACAAAACAAAAGCCTAAGTTCCCCTGAGTGTCATGAAGTCCATGGAGCTACTGCACTTGATGTCATTCAATCTTCACTGCGAGGGTTTCTTGTTGATGCCCAGGAGAGAACTGAGGGTGCTCTTGAGAATGCCTATTGTTCACATATCCAGACCCTAAACATGGCACTTTGTTCTGGGATCCTTTCAGTTACAAAGAAGGAAGTATACTAGGCTCAATTCTGCCAGATGTTGTGGCTAATGTGCATGTAATAAACAAATTGTAGAAGGTGAGCTAGTTCACTGAAGGCTCTAAAGATGATCCAGTGAAAAGAACAAAGTTCCCAAAAGACACTCAATATATTCACCAGCATATTTTGCCTCTTTTACCCTCTCTCAAGCATCATTGTGAACATTCAGGGTCATCATCAGAAAGATGCCGCTGGTGGACACCTTAACAGGTATATGGCACATGGTAACTTTAGACAGGAAACCTCTGCCTGATATTTTGAAGTATATTTGGAGATAACTTCTGGGGCACCACATGGTCAGAGCCCACTAAGAGAATAGCAGGTTCTTGATACTTCTGTTTCAAGAGTTCAAGGGCTACAGTGAAGCAAACTAATCCAAGCACAAAAAACATCAGAATCCATTTCATATTATTTTCTGTATGCCTAGTGCATGTTGCTAGAATAATTGTTTGCAAAGAGGCAGGGAAATAAAACTGAGCTTGGCTCCTCATGCAGTACAACCCAGCAGCGCTGAGCACGATGGAGCAGTTGTCCTCATATCAGCCCATCATCCAGCCAACCCTGCAACTGGGTCCATGAGGTCAGGTCTCTAATGGCTGATCTGACTGATCAGGCTTTCAGAGTACATCAGACAGCAGTAGCTGCTGTTTTGCTGAACTTGACAGCAGGACCATGCCCATTTAAAACACTAAGGTCAAATCACGTCTCTTCCTGAAATTCTTCATGATGGCACTAAGCAAAGAACACACAATTTTTGATTGTCCAAATACAAGTCTGGTTGTCAAGAACCATGCGAGCTATAAAAACACCTTCCTACCGTCAAATGAACAAAGAATTCACTCAGGTTATCCTAAACATCACTGGGAAAGCACTGAATAACTTTATGAGGCTCTTAAAGCAGTCATTGCAAACACATGGGTGAAAAGCTTTCGAGTCACACAAGGAAGAGTCATAATCCATATTTGGCATCATTATTTTTATAACCAGCAAAGTGATCTCTCTTGAAATTGCTTAGGGATCATTAGCATTGAATGATTAGGAATCTAAGACACCAATATCATGATTACTTATTTCTATAAATGATAATGTTTTAGTGTTGGAAATCATATTGCCGGTTGAAACAATTGAGTAATTACCAGTAGCACAAAGGACACCAGCACAAACACAATAACATAAAACACACTCTCTACTGACTCTAGCTCTGCTGAGAAGATTCTTTTCAAACAGGGAAAAAGGCAGGGATAATAGCAGCCATGGCCACAGAAGCTGGCTACAATATACATTGTCAAGAACATGTATGCAATATCGACATTAATTGTGATTGAAGTAGCATGCCTATGGTTTCTGTCTATAGGTGTTTTCTCTGTGCTACCTGAACCCCAAAGCCTTGTTTCATAGACTAAAGGTCACTGCCAAACCCAAACGTTAATAGCTTGGTTTTGATGGAAACATTTTGCTGCAGTATATTTTCCATAACCTATTTTTCATTACCCATCCACCTTCTACCTGGCACTGTTGTTTCCATATACAACATTATAACATGGATGTTTTATGATAAAATATTAAGCAAACAAAGAAGGCAACCTGTATACACACAAGGCATACCCTTGTATAGCTCACATCTGTTCAGTAAATACCTATAGCTTTTGTATTTAGCAATTTCTGTCATTATTTGGAGCACTGGAACTAATCCTATTTTTTCCTTAAAAAAAAACTTCCAGCATATTTTTTTAAGGTTGGTATAGTTGGTAAGCCTGAGATCAGGGCACCAGCGTGGTTAGGTTTTGGGGAAGGCCCCCTTCTGGGTTGCAGACTGCAGTCTCCTCATTGTATCCTCAGATGGTGGGAAGAGAGTGAGCTAGCCCTCTGGCCTCTTCTTATAAGGGCACTGGTCCCATTCATGAAGGCTCCACCCACATGATGTAATTACCTCTCAAGGCTGCATCATGATCACATTGGGGGTTAGATTTTAACATATGAATTTTGGAGGGATACAAATAGTCCATAACGGTTGTTTTGTGTTTTTCGTCTAACACGTAATAACTGAAAACCATGTGTATCCTTAGGGATATAACATAATTCTTAGGAGACCTGAAACTCACCAAGAGATCTCATCTGAGATCTTCAAATGTCTTCATGTTGTGGGTTCTTAGTATTTAAACCTACAGCACAAGAAAATGATTTTTTTTTTTGAAATGGAGTTTCACTCTTGTTGCCCAGGCTGGAGTGCATTGGCACAGTCTCGGCTCACTACCACCTCTGCCTCCCGGGTTCAAGCAATCCTCCTGCCTCAGCCTCCTGAGTAGCTGGGATTACAGGCACCTACCACCATGCCCGGCTAATTTTTGTATTTTTAGTAGAGACGGGGTTTCCATGTTGGCCAGGCTAGTCTTAAACTCCTGACCTCAGGTGATCCGCCTGCCTCGGCCACCCAAAGTGCTGGGATTACAGGCATGAGCCACCATGCCTGACCTAAGAAAATGATTTCTAAGATGGACAATATATTACATTGATTACCAAACTCCAAATTAACATTCACATTCCACTTCTAAGGCGACACACCTGCTTTGCTTACCTGTGAGTTCATGTTTTTAATAACTACAAATTGGCAGATGATACCTTGCATAGTCATTGAATTTCAGTGTTTTTAAGCCAGCCTATCTGTGTTTCAACAATCTTGTCAATGTTTCTAGATCTAATCATCACACCATAGGGGCAAATGCAAAAAAAAAAAAAAAAAAAAAAAGCAAAGCACGTAATTTAGCAGTTTATAATCTAGTGGGCATAATAAAACAGATGTACATGAGAAGTTGTTACAAGAAATTACTTATAATTTTCTTTAACATTTTAAGGCAATACCAAAAGAAATGTCAATACTTAATGCATGATTGATTATAAGGATTAAAACTCAGATTTGCCTGCCTCTAAATTCTGTTTTCTCTGCTACATAAACAATTCCAGAGAGGTCTGCCAATCTTACTATATCCACTAACCTCAGAACTTGCCATTAGTAGAATGTCTCTGAAAGTCCCAGCAGCTTTTCAATAGAGGAGACACAAGGTAGCTGTGAGATGCAGAGGCCTTGATACAAATCTCAGGAGCTGGTTTGCCAATGGGATCATCAAGTTTTTCTCCCCAGCAGGGACATCTCGTGTCATCTGTTGTTCTGAAAC
The DNA here is from genome assembly GCF_000001405.40 of Homo sapiens. Classification (NCBI taxonomy): domain Eukaryota; kingdom Metazoa; phylum Chordata; class Mammalia; order Primates; family Hominidae; genus Homo; species Homo sapiens. Next base: position 97,677,971 of record NC_000013.11, read on the forward strand.
ATTAGGGGACTCATTTAACTGATAATGAAAATGACAGCAATTACGGGATTTTCTAAATGCCTGCGTCTTAGGGCTTGGAGGACATTTGTGGGAGAAACTGCTCCTTTCAAGACAACCTGTCCTGGTTTTGACCTTGTACTGCAGCTATGTGAGATGCACCAGCTGGGGGAAGTTGGGTGAAATTACTGTGAATTCTATAATTATTTCAAAATTTAACATTACAAACAATGAAAAGATAACCTGAGTAGTTCAACAGGCGAGACACACAGTGTCCAAAGTGAGACGTGGAAGAGGTGCTCCCCATAACTCCTGAGCACGTGGTGTCTCCCCATGGTCCCCTTTGTCCCTTTGTCCTGGAGCCAGGGTTCCCAGAGGGGACTGCAGGCAGCTAGTTTGAACATGGAATTCGGAGTTAAAGGACTTGGTCATGGTCCTGACTCTCCCACTAACTGACTCTGGTCACGCCGCTTAGCCTCTGAGTCTGTTTCTTTACCTGTAAAGCATTTCTTTCTTTTTTAGAAAAGGCCACTTACAGATTCGCAAATATTGGGTATTCTGACCATCCTTTCTATCAGTTGTGGCCCCAGAGACCTGTGTAAGGCCAGCGGCCCTTTCAATGTGGTGCTCAAGTCCCTCGGCTGCCATGGCAGAGCTCTTGAGGTGGCCCACATGTGACCCAGCCTCAGCCTCACCACAAATCCAGGCCTTTGCTTACAAGAAGCAACTTTGTTCTTATTTATCCACAGCTGCTTGTGGTCACCCCCATCCAAGGCAACAGCCACTGGATGTCACATTGCCTGCTGCCAGCCATACATGTCCCCGCCATCACAGTAGACCTATTATCAGCTGTGACTCAGGGCAACTCCCTGGGCTGTTGAGATGGCTTGGATGTGTGTCCCCTCCAAATCCCATGTTGAAATGTCACCCCCAATGTTTGAGGTAGGGTCTGGTGGGAAGTGTTTGAGTAATGGGGCAGATCCCTCATGAATGACTTCGTGCCATCCTTGTGATAATGAGAGAGTTCTCTCTCTGAGTTCACACAAGATCTGGTTGTTTAGAGAGTCTGGGACCTCCCTCTTCTCTGTCTTGCTCCTGTCTTGCCATGTGATATGCCTTCCCCCATTTCACCTTCCACCATGATCGGAAGCTTCCTGAGGTCTCACCAGAAGCAGGTGCTGGAGCCATGCTTCCTGTACAGCCTGCAGAACCAGGAGACAATTAAATCTCTTTTCTTTATAAATTACCCAGCCTCAGGTATTTCTTTATGACAGTGCAAATGGACTGACACAGCTATCTTCCAGGGCCAGTAGTTGGAGGCTTTGTCCTGCCCTGGCATGTTCCATAGAGCTGGGGAGTGTCAATGAGCAAAGAGTCAAAAGTGCCGGGTGCAAGAGGCCCAAGTGTCCCTTCCCCACAGGAAGCTGAAGACCAGCATGGCAGCAGGGGCCTTGCCTCATGGAGATCGAAACCACATAGGTCCTGGAAGCAATGCCAGCCTGCCTGATTCCCTTCTGTAAACTTAAGCATTCTTACCATATGATTCAGTAATCATCCTTCTTGGGGAGACTCAAGTACTCTGGAAAGCTCTGTGCGTTCATGCACTGAACACTGGTCAAGTTTACTCTGGAAAACAGGGGCCATGCTATGTGTTCTCTACATCATGAGTCTTAATTCAAGGAAATGGAAGCATTGAAGCAGTTATTTTTCTAAAGCTGTGATTTTCTAAGTGGGTATGGGAACCAGCAGCATCAACCTCACCTTGGAAATTGCTAGAAATGTAAATCTGAGGCCCTGCCCTAGGCCTACTGAATCATGCACTCCAAGGATGGGCTCCAACAGTCTGTGCTTTATCAAGCTGTCTGGGTGCTTCTGATCCAGCACAAGTTTGAGAACCACTATTCTAGAGCTTTCTAGAGCCTTGCTCTGGACCTTACCACTGCCTACAGCAGCCTCCCCAGTCTCACCCGCTTGCCTTTCTTTGGGAAACTCTAACCCAAGACCATTCAGGGGAAGAAGATTCTGAGAAATATATTTCCCAGCTTTTCCTCTGCAGAGATCTTAGGGGTAGTGGTGATACCAAGGAGACAGATAACACAGCTAATAAATACAAAAGTGATGGAAACATCTCAGGTGGTTCTGGACATATGTGGAAGCGGCCACCCCCCAGGCTCCAGGGGAGCTTCTCTAGCCTCAAGAATCTTCCCCAATAACCCCCCTATATCATGACAGAGCCTCAAGTCCCTCATTAGAAATCTCTCCTCTGGGGCATTAGATCCTTTTGCCTTGCTTTAGTAAAATATTTATAGTCCAACCCTTTTTCTTAAGAGACTTTATTTTAAAGAGCACTTTTAGTTTCACAGCAAAATTTTTGTTTTTGTTTTTGTTTTTGTTTTGAGACAGAATCTGTCTCAAACAGACTGTGTCTCCCAGGCTGCAGTGCACTGGTGTGATCTCAGCCCACTGCCACCTCCGCCTCCCAGGTTCAAGGGATTCTCTTGCCTCAGCCTCCCCAGTAGCTGGGATTACAGGCACACACCACCAAAGCCCGGCGAATTTTTGTATTTTTAGTAGAGACGGAGTTTCACCATGTTGGCCAGGCTTGTCTCGGACTCCTGACTTCAAGTGATTTGCCTGCCTCAGCCTCCCAAAGTGCTAGGATTACAGGTGTGAGCCACCATGTCCGGCCAGCAAAATTGAGCAGAAAGTACCAAGATTTTCTATATATTCCTTGCCCCTACATAGGCATAGCCTCCCCCATTATCAACATCTCCCACCACAGAGGTACATTATTACATTTGATGAACCTGCATTGACACACCATCATTACCCACAGCCCATAGTTTACATTAGGGCTCAACTTTGGTGTTGTACATTCTATGGATGTGGACAAATGTATAATGACATATACTCACCATTAGAGTATCATGCATAGTAGTTTTACTGCCTTAAAAATCCCCTGGGCTCCTATTCATTTCTCCCTCCCGCTAACCCCATGGCAACCACTGATCTTTTTATTTTCTCCACAGATCTGCCTTTTCCAGAATGTCATGTATTCAGAATTATAGAGTAAGTAGCCTTTTCAGACAAGCTTTTTTCACTTAGTAATAACTGTTTAAGTTTCCTCCATGTCTTTTCATGGTGTGATCGCTCATTTCTTTTTAGTGTTGAACAACATTCCATCATCTGGATGTATCACAGTTTAACCATTAACCTACTGAGGGACATCTTGATTGCTCCCAAGTTTTGGCAATTATGAATAAAGCTGCTATAAATATGCATGTGCAGGTTTTTGCGTGGACATAAGTTTTCCACTCCTTTGGGTAAATACCAAGAAGCACGATTACTGAATCATAAGGTAAGAGTATGTTTCATTTTGTAAGAAATCACCAAACTGTCTTCCAAAGTGGCTGTACCATTTTGCATTTCCACCTGCAGTGAATGAGGGTTCCTACTGACCCACATCCTCACCAGAAATTGGTGGTGTCAGTGCTCTGAATTTTGGCAATTCTAATAGGTGCATCATGGTATCTCATTGTTTTAAACAAACAGTTTTGGTAAATAATGTAGACATAAAGAGAAGTTTAGGAGTTGAAGATATCAAGATATTTAAAAATGTTATCACACAGACACATATATATATTTATTTATATATTTCTTATTTTATATATTTGGAACTTGAACTGATACTGGCCAAAATACAGAACAGGTGTTTTATGGAAATACATGTGATACCTTTGCTGGTGATAGAGTAATCCCTTTTTTATATAGAATTTACAGATAATTTCAACAAGGAACATGAAGAAAATGCATATTTGAAGTCTGAAATAATAGACTGGAGCTTCATGAAGCACCAGAAAAAGCACAGGCAAATCTTCATCATTTCTCAGGTTTTTACATTTTATTTAATTTTGTTCAATTAAAGAACCAAAGCCCAAGGCTATTAAGGGCTGGACTATGTGCCCAAGAAACTTCCTTCTACAACTGGATGGCCACTGCCCTTCCCCTTCACATGGGCACTTCACATCAAGATGTCTTTGAGGCACAAGTATGGAGTACCCAAGTCATATCAAGGGGAGATAGAACTTGAGCCAAAATAGTTAACAGAGAACTCAGAGGAGTGACATGGGGGTTATTAAGTAATGGGCTGCTAACACTCCAGCTCATCTTTCCTTTTTTAAAATTAAAAATAGTTATATGCAAATACTCTAGGATTTAACAGTCACTAACATCTGATGTATGCATTCGCATATTAGGTCAATTTTCTAATTGACGCAAAGGTATTTTGACAGCACTGGGCCACTGCAGGGAAGATGAAGGGGGTGGAGAAAGATGAAGGAGAGTCCACATCACTGACTGTAGACCATCAAGAGGATGCTAGTAGATTTCATTTATTCAAGACTTCAGACTGGAGGCAGAGCAAGGCGGTGAACTAGAAGGTTCCACCAATGGTCTCCCTGGCAAGGACACCAATTTAACAACTATCTACACAGATAAAGCACCTTTAAAAGAACCAAAATTCAGATCCCAGAGCTTCACAAGTCCTATAACATTCTTTAAAAGTGCTAGCGAGATGATGAACATTTTAAGAGCAACTAATAATACAACTATTTCAAAAATAATTTTAGTCATCACACAATTCTTTCTAGAAAGACTATTCACTACTGAAAATGTTAATACTAATAAAGTATTTCTGAACTTTGAAACGTGTTATCCAGAGAATGTGAAAAAATAACTCAGAAACAGAATTGAATACAAAATCAGTAAGGTAGGGCTATACAATAAAAATGTAATAATATATTATAATATAATAACATGTACCACACATATAATGTTAAATTTTACAACCAAATTTAAATAATTTAAAATAAATAGGTAAAATTGATTTTAATATTGTATTTTATATAACTCAGTATATTTAGAATATCATTTCAACATGTAATCAATATAATAAATTATGAAAGAGATATTTTTAAAAATAAAAAGATAAAAACTTCAAGTATTTGGGGGAACCATCATAAGCCTGGCACTGTGTAAACACCAAAGACATAAGAAAGAATAAGACAGTTCTCCTCTTCAAGGAGGTTACATTCCAGAGAGACAGATAAACAACAAATTTTAAGCAATATAATTGGTGCTGCAGTCAAGATATGGGTAATTTATTATGTGATCAGATTAGAGAAGGTGTGCTCCTACTTAGGGGTGTGCTGGATGTCTTCTGTCTGCATTTCTATATCTACTTTCAACCGTCTGCATCCTGCAGGTAGGCTGGTTGTGATAATCAGCCTCCAAGGTGGCCCCTAGTGATCTCTGCCCTCTGGTTTTCCTGTTCCTGAATAACACCCTCCCATGTTATATGAGGGCTGGTCTGTGTCAGATGTGATGGTATGTGACTCTCAAGGCTAGGTCATCATACATACCACAACTTCTCAGTTGCTCTCTCTTAGATCACCTGCTCTGGGGGAAGCAAGCTGCCATGTCATGAGGACACCCATGTAACCTTATAGAGGAGCCCCCTGTGATAATGGAACTAAAAAGCCTCCAGCTAAAAGCCAGGTGAGTGAGGGATCTTGGAAGCAAATTCTCTAGCCTTCAGATGACTGTAGCCTCAGCTGACTTCTTAAAGGCAACCTCTTAAGAGACATTGAGCCAAAATCTAGCTATCCAAATTCCTGCTCCACAGAGACTATGAGGTGAAGTTTGCTATTTTAAGCTACTAAGTTTTGGAATCATTTGTTATAAAGCAATAGATAAATAATACACTAACCTCTTTGGACTGCATCAGCAGGCTCCCTTGCCCAACTCTTACTTCCAGCTGGGTTCAGCTAATGAGGGTTATGATGGGAGAAAGGTTGTGGAGCAGAGTTAGGATATTCAATTCCCCAGCTTCCCCCGTATTGGCCACGGTGTCTTGGCCATAAAGGTGTCAGTTTCTGTTTAGTGGTTGCCCCCTTACAGTTACTGGCACCAGGTCCTAGTGACTGCACTATTCCTTTGCCTTTTTAGGCCCCGACGTTTTACAAGCTCAAAGGTCCCGCAGTTGATCCTTTGTAATTTCCATATGCCCTGCCTATACCTTTGTAAATAGCCCCTTTGTAAACTGTCCTCAAATTACCCAATTTGTGTATGCATCTGTTTCCTGCTGAAACCATGACCCATACAAACAGTGGAAATAGGAAGGCTCGGGAGAAATGATGTTCAATCTGAGTCATGAAGAATGGCTGCAATCTTGTCAACTAAAAGAGCAAGAGCCACACATCGTCTAGCACCCATTACTCAGGCAAGTAAATATTGAATTCCAATAGCATTATACCTACACTGGCTCAAGTCTAATGGGACACCATTCACACTGTACTCTACACGAATGGCATCCAGAGTTATGTGATAAGGGCATGATTGTAGGATTCGATTTCAATCCACGTCCAAAGCTTCATATGAAATATTATTTTCTAGAATTTCTATGATGTAATTTCTATTTCAAACAACCCATTCTGTAGATTACAGAAACTTCTTAATTTAGATTCCTGCTCTCTTCCTGTCCTCTCGGATGAAATGGGTAACTCAGGACTTTCTTTTTTTCTGTATAGACAGGGTCTTGCTATGTTGCCCAGGCTGGTCTCAAACTCCTAGGTTCAAGTGATTCTCCTGCCTCAGCCTCCCAAAGTGCTGGGATTACAGATGTAAGCCACTGCACCTGGCCCCAGGAGATTTTTTTTTTTTTTTTTTTTTTGAGACAGAGTCTGTTACCCAGGCTGGAGTGCTGTGGCTCAATCTTGGCTCACTGCAACTTCCACCTCCTGGGTTCAAGCGATTCTCATGTCTCAGCCTCCCTAGTAGCAGGGATTACAGGCACGCACCAACATGGCCAGCTAATTTTTGTATTTTTAGTAGAGATGGGGTTTCACCTTGTTGGCCAGGCTGGTCTTGAACTCCTGACCTCAAGTGATCCACCCACCTCAGCCACCCAAAGTGCAGGGATTACAAGCATAAGCCACCATGCCCCATCCCCTGGAGATTATTTTTAAAACTCAATTACTATTTCAAAAACACCTGGATTCATTCAGTAACATTTTATTTCTTCAGAATGTATGAACTCAGTCTTTGTTATACTTCTGTGTAGGTTAGACTGGAGTTCAATGTGGCCAATGCAAAGATGTTCTGCAAAGCAGCTGATTAGAGTGTGCACGATTGCAGAAGCACATTCAATCTCTGGAAGAGAGCAAATCGTTTTTAAGGACTTTAACCCATTAACTATTTGTATGCAAACAGGGTTGCTAATTATAAATGAGTTTTATCTCGTCAATACAGCAGCTCAGCAGGACTTCTACTTGGAAGCCTTCTGTCAGAACTTTGTGAAAATTTAGTTTGAGTTTCTGTTTGCATTTAAAATGTATTTCTTTAAAAATTGACTTTAATTCAGCCTAGTATCTGATTTACATTGACCTTCCAGCCAGTTAGTACCCATCAGTGAGGCTTAAACACAGCAGACAGGAGTGGATGGCAAGAAAATGAGCCAAAAGCATTAGAATATGAAAGCTAGAATCAATAAGGCACAATAAAATATTTTCAAATCCAAATTATGAAAAACCCTTGAAATAACTCATCAAAATAAGAAATGACCACCCATTCAACAATCTGAGCTGAAGAATTTACCTAATCAGGTTATTGGCTATAACATTGTAGACAAGGGGGCAAATGAAAAAGATCTCCAGATTGCAAAGGGCCAACTGAAGCCAAAATTAAATAGGCTGAACCTTGCTTTAGACCTGAGATAAGATGTAGAAATGTCAGCACTCACCATTGATTAAGCATCTGCTTGGAATTTCTTTATTTCTTGCCCTGCTTTCACAGAACACCTGCTAGAGAAGTGCAAATAATTGCAAGATCATTTGAAACATGAACATGAACTTATCTTTACGTCTGGTATACTAACCCTAAGTCTCTATCATAAAGGCCAAACAGAGTTGAGCCACAGGAGATTTTCTTCCTGGCCAGTACTAAGAAAAGCAACCATGGTGCTTTGCATCCAAGGGACAAGGACGGTCAGGTTTAAAACATTTGTTTCTATTGTTGTCACTGATGGGCTGGGAGCTCTCTGCAGCTCCACTGATTGGATGGAGAAGGAGGAAGCCATTCTCCATGCTTGACCATTCCGCCCTGCCCAGTTTCTTAGGAGATGAAAATGATAACATGCTCGAGGTACAGATACATCCTCATGTCTCACAAACCAGATGCCCATTCATTTGTTTTGAACATAGAGTATGTGACATATCAGTCAGATTCGACTAGATGCACCTTGGAACAAACATCCTTCAAATCCCGGTGGCTTCAAACAACAGATTGCTTTCTCACTTGCGTGTCATGTTTTTCATTATTGTCTTGAGGCTCTGCTCATACTGGGACACAAGTTGATGGAGCAGTCAGCCATCTGACTGCTCTAAGACTCAGACTTTATACCAAATAACACACTAATTCTTCAATCTTCTGCTCATATTTCCCTGGCCAAAGCACACCACTGGAAAATGCCTGAGTTTAATCCTGCTCTGTGCATAAAGGAATAAAAATCAGAGTATTGGTGAAGAGTCCTATAGCCACTACATTCTTGCGAAAAGTTCTACATACCCCTGCTGCGACGAGGTTATCAGAAAGGTAGAAAAATTAAAGGAAACATGAGTGAAGGGGCTATGAGCAGATTAGAGATGCAGATCGCAGAAAATGTGCTAAGGAGGGATGGAATTTGTGGAGATGAGTTTTAGTCAGTCACATGACCTATATTTAGATTTTTGACAGTTTCATACGCACCAGCAATCTCTCTTCTCACCTTCTCCCTACTTTGGCTCATCAACTGATAAAGAGTGACAGGCAGAGAAGGTGATAAGCTGACAAGATAGCACCATGCTTGTGCGTGTGTGAATGCATGTGTTGGTATGAAAGAGCTGCCATGTGAAGCAGATTGTTTTATTAATCCTACAAGAAAGTGACCAGGGTTGAGGTGTCTGAGTATCGGTGGCTACTGCAAATAGCTCCCATTATGGCACTTGTAGGTGTCCATACCCCGTTCCCACCTGCAGCTCTTTGGCCAAGGAAGAGGGAAGTGCTGGCGATTCATCAGTGCACTGAGATGTGTAAGTCCAAAAATACCTCAGGCCTGAGAACAGATGCTCAGCTTAGACCTGGGAAACAGAATGGTTGCTACAGACATAGATCCTCCTGCTACACAGGAACCCAAGGTGTATTAAATAATTTTTTTAAAAAACTCCAGTGAGCAAAGGATAAGCTATTCCACAAAAGGTGTTGGGAAAACAAGTTGTTATTTGTGGGGTGGGGGAGGGGGAAATCCATGAAGATACTCATTTCAGCTCTCCATTCACTGATAAATTCTATCTGGACTGGAGCGATAAGAATTTTAATTAAACCATTAAAAGAAAAACTCAGAAGAAAATATATTTATTTAATGTCTGAATGGGAAGGACTTTTTAAATATAAAACCTGCAGGAATAGGATTACAAAAGAAAAGATTAACGGATTTGACTACATAAAAATTTCAACTTATTTGTAAAAAAAATCTAAATTAAAAGGTAAGTGTCAAACTGAGTGGAGGGGGGGAATTGCCTCTAATGTGATAGACAAAGGATTAATATCTTCAATATATTAAGAGCTCATATAATTCAATAACAAAGAATATGGCTAGCTGGATGTGGTGGCTCACACCTATAATCCCAGCAATATGGGAGGCCAAGGTGGATGGATCACTTGAGGCCAGGAGTTTGAGACCAGCCTGGCCAACCCCATCTCTACTGAAAATACAAAACTTAGCAAGGCGTGGTGGCACACACCTATAGTCCTAGCTACTTGGGAGGCTGAGGTACGAGGGTCACTCAAACCCTGGTTGCAGTGAGCTGAGATCATGCCACTACACTCCAGCCTGGGCAATTGAGCAAGACCTTTAAAAAAAAAAAAAGAATATGACTAAAAAAAAATTCAACCTCAACTAGTAAAAAATGAGACAAAAGTTTTAAATAAAATATAAACACCGTTTTTATCTACCAAATGAAAAACACATTTGAAACCCATGGTGGATAACAGAATACAAAGGATACCAATAATCGCTGAGAGGCAGGAAACAAACAAGGTGGGCCCCACGATTTTCCAAGTTACTGCCCTGGGAGAGTTTCCAGGTTGTAGCCCAGGGAGAGTGGATGCAAGAGGAGACCAGCAGACTCCTTAAATCAAAAAGATTAAGTTGGGAATCTTGGGGGACCAAGCAGCTAGAATTTGCAGAATAGAATAGCAGAGAGGTGAGATATTCATAGGGTCCCCCGATGCATTCAGTAGAGTCCTGGTCAGCATATGAATGTAAGGAAACCCCCTGAGGCTGGGGAAAGACTCGCCCTAAAGGATTAGAGGGAGCAAGTACCCAGCACGCACACAGCACTAGCAATAATGCTCAATTCCACCAATCAGGCTGCAAAGCCTCACCAGGAATTGAATAGAATATTCAGAAAGATCTTGCTACAGTGGTGGGCAAAATTAATCCTACATAATTCATTCTCAACCTGGGGACATTTTGCCCCCAGGGGACATTTGACAATGTCTAGAGACATTTTTTTATTGTCAACACTGAAGGGAGCTTCTAGTGGCATCTAGTGGGTAGAGGCCAGGGATGCTGTTAAATATCCTACAGAAAAGTATTATCTCATACAAAATGGCAAAAGTACTGAGGTTGGAAAATCCTGTCCTAGTCTAAATGCTGTTTAGGTCATGCCCAAGAGCAAGACCTGAAAAGCTTAAACTGTTTCCAAGTTACTGAACTATATCCTAAAACAAAGCTCAAGAATATATGTAGGAATTGTTAAAAGGTGCTATCTATAATGTTTGGGATCTAATAAAAAATTACCAGGTGTGCAAAGAAGTAGAAAAATATAAGCCATAGTGAAGGGAAAAATTAATCTATCAAAACTGAACCAGAATTGATACAGATATTATATTTAGGAAAGACGAACATAACACAGCTATTATAACTGTATTCCATATGTTTAAAAAGTCAAGTAGAGACATGGATAATATGAGAAAGAAACTCACCCAGGCATGGTGGCTCATATGTGTAATCCCAGCACTTTGGGAGACCAAGGCAGGAGGATCGGTTGAGCTTAGGAGTTTGAAACCAGCCTGAGCAACATAGCAAGACCTTGTCTCTACTAAAAATCCCCTAAAAAATAACCAGGCATGGTGGCACACACTTGTAGTCCCAGCTACTAGGGAGGCTGAGGCAAGAGGATTGCTTGAGCCAAGGAAATCAAGGCTGCAGTGAACTACAGTCATGCCTAAGCACTCCAGCAAATGAGTGAGATCCTGTCTCAAAAAAATAAGTAAATAAAATAAAACAAAAATTTAAAAATTAAAAAGAGAGACGGGCAGATCACCTGAGGTCAGGAGTTCAAGACCAGCCTGGCCAACATGGTGAAACCCTGTCTCTACTAAAAATACAAAAATTAGCCAGGAGTGGTGGCAGGTACCTGTAATCCCAGCTACACAGGAGGTTGAGGCAGGAGAATCACTTGAACCCAGAAGGTGAAGTTTACAGTGAGCTGAAATCATGTGGCTACACTCCAGCCTGGGTGACAGAGAAGGACTCTGTAAAAAAAAAAAAAAAAAAATTAAATTAAAAAGAAACTCAAATTGAACTTCTACAAGTGAAAAATGTGGTGTCTTAGATGAAAACTATACTGGATGGGATTAAAAGCAAAGTGACTTTGCTGAAAAAAGATTAATGAAGTTGAAGCAAGTAGCCATGTACGCTAGCCAAAACAAAACGTAAAGAAAAAGCCAACCCTTAAAAAATACCCTTAGTATTAGTGAGCTGTAATACAATTTCAAGTGGCCTAATATGTCTTTAATTGGTGTCTCCAAAGGGGGCAAGAACAGGGAAAAAAAAAAAAAAACTAGAAGAAACAGGCTAAGAATTTTCCAAATTTGATAAAAGCTATAAATCCACAGATTTAAAAAGTTTAATGAGTCCCAGGCAAAATAAACATGAAGAAAACTACACCATAGCAAATCAAAATCAACTTGCTTTAAAAAAGTAATAAATAAAATTATAAAAGCAGCCTTTAGGGGAAAAAGGCAGGTAAAATACAGAGAAACAAAGATGCTAAGGACAGATTTCTCATCAGGAAAAATGCATGCAAGAAGAGTATGGAGTAACATCGCTAATGTACCCCCACTCCAACCTTCACCCCCCAAAACTTGTCAACCTAAAATTCTATAACCAGTGAAAGTATCTTTCAAACATGAACATTAAACATAGACTCTTTAAAACATATAAGGGCTGATGAATTTATCACCAGCAGACTTACACAACAACAAATGTCAAATGAAGTCCCTCAGGCAGAAGAAATGATACCAGATAGAAATGTGGATTTATACAAAGGAATAAACAGCACTGAAACTGGTAACTGCATAGTGTTCTATAACTCATCTCCAATGTCTAAAGATGCCAGCCTTCCAGTTCTCCATGAACTGCAAAGTCTGTGTTATGACCATTTGCCAGAGATGCTGGAGAAACACACGTGTCAGTATCATTCAATGTCAAGTCAATTCCTGACCATTCCAATGTGTTAGAAAAAGGAAACATACATACTACAGGTGCCATGATATGATAGTAATAACTGTTGAATAGTACATTTTTTGTATAGCAGATGAGCAATATGTTTCATTCAATTTATCATCCTCATCCTTGTTCAAGAGATTCTTTTTGTAAAAATGAGAATAAAAGTATTTTTCAATCTTGAGGCTATAACCAGTCAAAATTTTAAGATTCCTTAATGGCCAACCAATCAAAATACTCATCTAGGTTGGATGAATTTAATGTAAATCTACAATGTAAGTCTTCATTGAGTAATTCATCAAATAATTCATTCACTTGGCCAATATTTATTGAGTACCTGTTATGTACTAGGGATTGTGCCAGTACTGTAGATATAACAGTAAATAAGAAAGATGTAATCTCTGACCTTTTGGAGTTTGTTTACTTAAGATCCTATTGATTTCAGATTTACTACAATTTTAAAAACAAGTAAGATGGGCAAATTGTATAGCATCTTTAAATGGCTCCCATAGATCCCCTCTTTCCTCAAAATTTCTCACTACCCTAAATTATTCATGCCTAAACATCCACCACCTCTTTGTCTTCTGGCTTTTTGCCTAGATTAGGGTAGGGAACACACTTTAGGGAAGGAGGTCCATATAAAACCCAGTCATTTTCACCTTCATCTGTAAGAATTTATCTGATCTTTGCTGTGATGAAATTCTGAAGAGCAGATGTCTGGGTTGAGAGATCCAAAGGACACTAGGATACTGGAGATAGATAGACAGAGGGGAGAGCCAACAGACAGGAGTGCAGAACTAAAGAGAGCCAAGCAATACTATTCAGGACATAGACACAGGCAAAGATTTCATGACAAAAATGCCAAAAGCAATAGCAACAAAAGCAAAATTTGACTAATGACATCTAATTAAAATAAAGAGCTTCTTCACAGCAAAAGAAACTATCATCAGGGTGAACAGACAACCTACAGAATGGGAGAAAATTTTTGCAATCTGTCCATCTAACAAAGATCTAATATCCAGAGTCTGCAGGGAATTTAAACAAATTTACAAGAAAAACAAAACCTAACAACCCCATTAAAAAGTGGGCAAAGGACATGAACAGATACTTCTCAAAAGAAGACATTCATGCAGCCAACAAACATATGAAAAAAAGCTCAATATCACTGATCATTAGAGAAATCCAAATCAAAATCACAATGAGATACCATCTCACACCAGTCAGAATGGTGATTATTAGAAAGTCAAGAAACAGCAGTTGCTGGTGAGGTTGTGGAGAAAAAGGAACATTTTTACACTGTTGGTGAGAATGTTTTAGTTCAACCATTGTGGAAGACAGTGTGGCAAATTCTCAAAAACCTAGAGACAGAAATACCATTTGACCCAGCAATCCCATTACTGGCTATATACCAAAAGGAATATAAAGCATTCCATTATAAAGATTATTTATTGCAGCACTATTCACAATAACAAAGACATGGATTCAACCTAAATGCCCATCAATGATAGACTGGATAAAGAAAATGTGGTACATCTACACCACGGAATACTATGCAGCCATAAAAAGGATTGAGATCATGTCCTTTGCAGGGACATGGATGGAGCTGGAAGCCGTTATCCTCAGCAAACTAACACAGGAACAGAAAACCAAACACTACATGTTCTCACTTATAAATGGAAGCTGAACAATGAGAACACGTGGACACATGGTAGGGAACAACACATACTGGGATCTGTCAGTGGAGGTGGGGGCCAAGGGAGGGAGAATGCTGGGCTTAATACCTAGGTGATGGGTTGATCTGTACAGCAGGTCCTGTGCCTTCTCAAACAGGTTTAGGGCAATCTTACTGTATCTCCTGAAATAATCCCCCCAAAATCAGAATTTCAGAGTTTACATTTACAGTTGAAGAGTCAGAAGTCCAGAGAGGGGGCATGGCTTGCTTTTGACAGAGGTTGGTGAAATTCTAGCTCTCCTGAGTCCCTGTCGCACTTATTTAGTCCTAACACTGTGGCACGTGTTACATGTTATGTAACAAACCTGCACATCCTCCACATTTATTCCAGAACTCAAAATAAAAGTTGAAGAAAAAAAAGAGCCATAATTCCATTCAACGGCTAGATATGTCCCATGTGCAGACTAGTAATGGACCAGTACCCACAGCAGCCCACAGCAGCCCAGTGGGTGATCACTAGGTAGCAGCCAACCTCTCCCCCAACACCCCTCTACTGCAGCACTTCCACAGCAATTGCTGAGTCACAGTTCTGCCTAGAATTAGTTGCAAATATCTAAGCATTGCTAGCACTATTGTATCAGACACTTATCTATCCCATGTCATTTTCATTTGTTGAGTTTTTGGCTACCCTCACAAATAACAGGGCTCTTGAGTACATGAGCTCTGTTTTCCTAGTCTTTATGGGAGGCAGTTTAATGAAGCGAAAATGGCAATGAATTGATCCAAATTTGTCCTCTCTCCCCTTTTTAGGTGTGTAATCCTAGGTAGGCTTCCATTCCTATCTGTAAAATGGAAATGAGAATGCCTTCTTTGCCAGGTTGTTATAGGAATCCAATGACATGATAAAAGTAAAGCGTTTTCATAAAATTTCATAAAATCCCAAGAAGCTTACCACCACTTTTTATATATAATAAAAACAATAATAATTAACATTTTTGGTATGGTGCCAGCTAGTCTGCTAAATGCCTTATTTTAACAACCCTATAAGGTCAATAGTGTCATTATCCTTTTCATTTTGAACTGGGAAATCTGAGAGACAGAGAGGTTGAGTAACTTGCCCAAGGAAGATCATACAGTGGGTAAATGGTAAATTATTCTGTTGTTACTTCTCCTGGTGTTTTCCTTTGTGCCCAGCAGAGTGTATGGCACACAATGCCTGCAGTAAGCACTGATTATGTGGTTAAGCCTATTTATAACATTCACATAGGAAACGGGACTATCTTTCTTTGTATGAGTTCCCCTGTTGTCACAGGCTTTTACTATGTGCTTAAGTCTACAGAACATGACTTACCCTGAGGTTTATCAAAATCCTGCAATATTCTGCTCTGTGGCAGAGTGTGACCATGCTTACAGCCAGGTGGCATTCACTTGGGGCCAACCTGGAAATCCTTGGGGCCAAGCTGACTCAGTCTGGATTCACAGAGTGGGGCCTGCATAGACCCCCTGCACTGGACAGTGCTGGACAGTTCACGGGGGCCCTGAAGTGCTCCCTTCACTACAGTGACAGCAGACACTGTTCATCCCAAGCATAGCTCCTTGAGGGTTCTATCTCCACTTCACCCTGGAAGACAGATTCGTGGTTTCCAAGTTGCAGTGTTTCTATTTATCTACAGGTAAAGGCTGTGGTTCAAAGTCAAATATGAAATGTGCTTCTCATAATTGTGTGCAAACTGAGGACAAACCCAGTTTGTGTTTCTCTCTTCATCTTCCTGTGCCTTCTCAAACAGGTTTAGGGTAATCTTACTCTATCTCCTGAAATAATCCCCCTCAAAATCAGAATTTCAGAGTTTACATTTACAGTTGAAGAGTCAGAAGTCCAGAGAGGGGGCGTGGCTTGCTTTTGACAGAGGTTGGTGAAATTCTAGCTCTCCTGAGTCCCTGTCACACTTATTTAGTCCTAACTCATTATCCCCAGTGTCTGGTGGACCCAAGTTCTTAAGGACTCCATCTCTTAAAAGGCTGGTGGGGTGCAAGTTTACTTGCCCTCACCCACACCCACCAAGGATTGCAGGTGACCCTGAGGGGAGAAAGGGGAGTGTATTAGTCCCTTCTCATGCTCCTACTAAAGGCATACCCGAGACTGGGTAATTTATAAAGGAAAGAGGTTTAATTGACTCAAGGCTCCAGAGGCCTCACAATCATGGCAGAAGGTGAAGAAGGAACAAAGGCATATCTTACATGGCAGCAGGCAAAGAGAGCATGTGCAGAGGAACTCCCCTTTATAAAACCATCAGATCTCATGAGACCAGCACGGGAAAGACCTGCCCCTGTGATTTAATTACCTCCCACCAGGTCTGTCCCACAACATGTGGGGATTATGGGAGCTACAAGTCAAGATCAGATTTGGGTGGGGACACAGACAAACCATATCGGGGGCTTCTTGAAATTCTAGTTTTTATTCCCCTGACATCTTCAACCACGTCTATATAATGAGAATTTGAATATTACACAGAGCTCAAGAGCCCAAGATCTCCTTCCCAGCAAATTACACCACTCTGAGTAAGGAGAGCACTGGAGAAGCAAGGGCACCAATGATTCCGCTTGTGTAGAGCTGGTGGTGTCTTCTCACTTACCTCAGGCTAGGGAGGCTTGGTCGCCTCTTGCCTGTTGTGTCCCCATTTTGAAAGTACTGTAGGAAACTAAAGTAAAGGCATCACCAGCTTCAGGCTTCACTTGGTACTTGGTAAAACTGTCCGCAAGGGCCCCTGGGAATCCTGCTGGGTAGTTGGACTGTGAGTTCTGCCTGCTATAATCCCCTCCATCCTGGATTCTTGAGAGAAAGCATTTATTTGCATCAAGTCTTTCAGTATCGGCTTTTGGAGTGCAGCAAGGTGCCTTTATTTCTTTTTTAGGCAGGATGTCACACTGTCACCCAACCTGGAGTACTTTGGCGCGATCTCTGCTCACTGCAGCCTCAACCTCCCCAGGCTCAGATGATCCTCCCACCTCAGCCTCCCGAGTACCTGGAACTACAGGCATGTGCCCCCACACCCAGCTAATTTTTCTACATTTTGTAGAGACGGGGTCTCACTATGTTGTTCAGGCTGGTCTCGAACTCCAGGGCTCTAGCAATCCTCCCACATCTACCTCCCAAGTGCTAGGATTACAGGCATGAGCCACCAAGCCCCGCCACAAGGAGCCTTTTAAGGCACACACAACCAAGCCTGTGTCTCACTATTTGTGCTAGGAAGTCCTCCTATTTGTGCTACGAAGTTCTCAGTGATGCCTGAAATTCCCAGGAAGTTCCGGTGTTCTTGGAGTTTCTGAAGAACAAGGAGCAAACAGAAAATAAAAAACACTGGTAGTCAATGAGCCAAGTGAAGAGTGTGCAGTTGAAGATGCTGATAAATCTCTCTCTGGGACCCCCAGCTGTCAACCTCATCTATTCCAACAGCCTCTGCATCTTGCTGGTGGATTTGATTGGATTTGCAGAGCAGACTGCACTGGCTCCATTGCAAAGGAGCTAGTAAAATCATCATGACAGGTGGCATGTTACTTGAGAAGAGACAATGAAGTTAGACCAGTGAATCTCTTGCAATTATTAACTCGAACGTAATAACTTTGAGCACTGGGCAGGAGGAAGACAGTGAAGAGCGGGGATGAGTCAGTCGTCAGAGGGAGGAGGAGAAGGACGTTATCTGCTTTCCCAGGCTTTTACCTCCTGACTTTATGGCTGCCTCCTTGGTTCTACTCCACAGGTTTCTGTTTTAAATTAGCGCTAAATGAAATAGAATTAAAATATGATGAAGTAGTCTTTGGGTGTCTCTGCTTCTCATTTAAATACTTGAAAAACATTGCATTTCCAAATTCTGAACACTTTCTGGTTCAAAGCACAATTTGAGTTTGAGGATAAGAGTGATTTTTAGAGCTCCTTTTCAGAAAAGAAGAAAGGGTTGCTAAAATTGGCAAGAAAGAATGAGGGGAGGTAAAGAGGAAAGTCGACTGCATCTAAGAGAATAGCGGCTGGCCCCTTGCCTCTGACTCCATACGTGGTAAGGGAGGAATTTGGAGCAGGAATATGACCTTCCCTAGGGGTTGAAGGAGTTTAACAACATAGCTACAGCCTTTAGGTTGGGCTTTTCTGGTACCTTCCAAGTCTATGATATGTGACCATAAGACCAATTCAAATTAGATGTGGAGCCAGAAGGGTCCTCAGGGATTGAGGAACCACGGTGTCTAATTTTCTTATTCATTCCACTAACCATTTTTATTGGCGCTCAGAAATGTCAAGAAACTTGTCCAAGAATGCACCACCGGATTGCGGCATGGGGACTAGTACCGCCAGCCAGCACCCCCAAGGTCTCTCCACTCTCTCACACGGACTAGTATAATGTTCAAGGCTCCAGGTTGAAAAGCCAAAGCCCCTAAGATAAAAACCATGAGAACTCTAAGAATTGGAGACTATGTGATTCAACTGAGCAAAAGAAGGCCCTTGACTCAGCCCAAGATAGACATTTTTGAGAGATCTGTCATCAAGTATCGAATTTAGAAGTATCACTTGAGGTAATCAATCTTTCTGAGGATGCAAATTTCTTTGTATAGGTTGAAAGAAGAAACATCTCCAATGCACACAGATACATCAGTTAACAAATTAAAAACCCATATAAAACCCTCACTCCATCTGAAGAGTCCTGAGACTGTATCTAGAAAAGTGATCACATCAGAAGAATCTTCAAATATCAACAGCACTTTGAAGAGAAATATAAAAACAACTGCTGTAATTCCTTAGTAATTATAGTTATGGAGGAACTAAATCCTGCATCTGTGAGCAGAGAAGAGCCTCAGCCTGGATTCTTGGAGATTAGTCAGGGGGAAAGGCAAATCCCTCTGCACTCCTTCCATCCAGAAAGCAAGATCCCTCGGGAAGTTCCACAAAGCAAGTATATTCAGTATTCCTAATTACAGGGGAAGGTCATTGACTTGCTACAAATGAAGCATCGGATTTCCAGTTCAGCTGAACAGTTACAGATGGAAAACAAAGCTTACACTAAAAAAAAAAAAAAGATAAATAAAATAAAATAAATAAATAGGCCAGGTGTCGTAGCTCACGCCTGTAATCCCAGCACTTTGGGAGGCTGAAGCGGGTGGATCACCTGAGGTCAGGAGTTTGAGATCAGCCTGACCAACACGGAGAAACCCCGTCTCTACTAAAAAAAAAAAAAAAAAAAAAAAAAAAAAAATACAAAATTAGCCAGGCATGGTGGTGCATGCCTGTAATCCTAGCTACTCGGGAGGCTGAGGCAGGAGAATCACTTGAACCTGGGAGGCGGAGATTGCAGTGTGCCCTGATCATGCCATTGCACTCCAGACCGGGCAACAAGAGCAAAACTCCATCTCAAAAAAAAAAAAAAAAAAAAGTAAGGGATATGAGATAATGAAAGAATGAAGAGACACAAATGGTGAAAAAAAACTCAACCTCACATAACAGACCTTTTTTTTGATCGGTCAAATTGAAAAAACATTTTAAATCATGATTTTCAGTCTTTTGAGGCTTCTCATTTAGTTCTGGTGAAGTTTACATTTTTCAGAGGGTAACTTGAAATAGTATGGGCCTTAAAAAAGTTCGCACTCTTTACTTCAGAGATTTAACTATCTATAGAAATGTCCCATAATGAAATGATCAGCGTGCACAAAGATTAATATATAAGAATGTTATTGACCATGGTATCTATAGCAGTCCAATAATAGGCCATTGTCCAATAAGGAACAATTGGCTAAGCATTTGTCAATAGGCAGTTGTCTAAGTAAATTATGGGCCATTGAGCCATGAATATTAGTCAACCATTAAAAAAATATGCTAGAGGTTGCCTAATAATATTTCCTGGTGTAATAGAAGAAAGAAAAATAAATAAATAAAAAATATGCTAGTGGGTCAAGGCACGTCTGCTCACACCTGTAGCCTGAGCACTTTGGGAGGCCGACACACGTGGATCACCTGAGCTCAGAAGTTTGAGACCATCCTTGGCAACATGGCAAAACCCTGTCTCTATAAAAAACACAAAAAATTAGACTGATGTGGTGGTGCATGCCTATAGTGTCAGCTACTTGGGAGGCTGAGGTAAGACAATCACTTGAACCTGGGGAGGTCAAGGCTACAATGAGCCATGATAGCACCACTCCAGCCTGGGCAACAGAGCCAGACCCTGTCTCAAATATATATAAACATATATTATATATTAGCAATAGCTACCTTTGATTGTGCCCTTACTCTAAGATAGGATGGAATGGAGAATGTGACAAAAGAATCCAATGATATTACAAACGTTATGAAACAATCTCACTTAAGGGAATAGGGGAATAAGGTACTGACTTAAATAACTTTGGAAATAAGTAGCGTCTATAAGACTAAAGGTAAAAGGCAATATGCATGAGCGCCACAGTCTAGTTGCTAAAGTTGGTTCCCGTAAGAGCAGAGGATAACAATTCTGAAAATGCTCTCCGTGTACATGGGACTTGAGCAATAGAGTGAATGGATGGAGGATGGTGGGAGCCAGGTTTCTCACTGAAGTGTGAGATTACAAATAAGCAAAAGAGGAGCCTGGAATGATCCCTGTGGTAATGGATTAGAATTGGAGACAGCAGTATAAACTCATGCTCAACTCCATACAGATACAGATGGTTACATATAGAAATGTTTATAGATGTGTGTAAACACTGGTTAGAATACACAAATATCCTCACTCTGTCAGCTGAGAGGAGCTAGAAGCAAAAACACACCAGGAGCAACAAGCACACCTACTGCCCTGTTCTTTGTTTCTAATATGACCTCCAATAAAAGGAACCCGGGCTTCTCAGATAAATGGCTCATTCTAGAAGGGGGGCATATACAAGATGAGCCTGGAGTATCTTTTAATGCCATAGAGTAAAAGAGTATTAAAAAAATTATAAAAACTGAAAAAAGAAAGAGAAAGAAAACCACACCACAATGATGGGGGTACATCAAAGAGCTCCCAATACTTAGAAGGAGGGACAATTTGAGCATCAAAATAACATAGTATTGGATTATGACCCAATGTATAAAATCAGTATCAAGTCCATACTGATATAAGTGATTAAATGAATGTTGAACAAGAGACAAATCTCCCATGCAGTAAAATTTGAACAAATTTATAAAGATACTCAGATCTCAAGAAAGTGGATTATAACTCCTGCTTATTAAGTGTGGTCTGCACAAAGGGACTTCCTTCTGGAGAGCACAGTATAAAAAAAGTAATGTACATGGACATAAATTTAAAAAGAAAAGAAAAGAAAGAAATTAACTTTGGCCAGTGACTCACACCTATAATTCCAGCACTTTGGGAGGCTGAGGCAGATCACTTGAGCCCAAGAGTTCAAGACAAGCCTGGGCAACATAGCAAAACCCTATCTCTACAAAAACTTAGCTGGGCATAGTGGCTCATGCATGCAGTCCCAGTGACTTGAGAGGATGAAGTGGGAGGATCACTTGAGCCCAGGGAGGTCACAGCTACAGTAAGCTGTGATCATGCCACTGCACTCCAGCCTGGGCAACAGAGTGAGACCCTATCTCAAAAAATAAGAAAAAGAAAATTAAAAAATAGTATAGAAAGAGGAGAAAAAAGAATAACTTGACAGTAGAGAAACCTGACAAACACAATCTCAGGTGATCAAGGTCAACATCAATGGCAATGAGTCATGTTAACAATATATACCCTTGATATGCTGTGATGAGAATGTCACTTTGTTTCTGTGGTCTTCCCCAAAAAACCCATAACCCCTGTCTATCATCAGAAAAACATAAGAGGAAGGGACATTCTACAAAATACCTGACCAGTATTTCAATCCTCAAAGCTATCAAGGTCATCAAAACCAAAGAAAGTCTAAGAAACTGTCACAACCAATAGGAACCAAAGGAGACAGGACTGCTAGATGTACT
Source organism: Homo sapiens (assembly GCF_000001405.40). Taxonomy (NCBI): domain Eukaryota; kingdom Metazoa; phylum Chordata; class Mammalia; order Primates; family Hominidae; genus Homo; species Homo sapiens. The sequence continues at coordinate 97,700,201 of NC_000013.11, forward strand.
GCGATGTACTGGATGTGATCTGAGAACTGAAAATGGACATCAGAGACAAAAATCATGAAATATAAATGAAGGCATGGGCTTTAGTTAATAACAACATACCAATATTGGCTCATTAATTGTAACAAATATACCACGCTAATGTTAACATGTTAGGAGTAGGGGAAACTGGATGTAGGGACATAGGAGCTATACTATCTTCACAATAATTCTGTAAATCTAAAACTATTCTAAAATAAAAAGTGTATTAGCAACAACAACAAAAGAAACATCAGTGATAAGTAACGTTCAGGAAGAATGATGAATAAGCATTTAATCTGCTATTGTTTCATTTTTTGTTGAAAAAAATTTTTATAAGAGTCACATCCAGGTTAGAACAAGTGTCGCCTCATAAAGGCAGCAATAAACTTACTTGGCCTGAATTCTACCACTTTTCTAGAATCCCCAGAGGGTGAGATAATTCGTTCTGACCACTTCCCTTCTCTATTTCTACATTACAATCATCTCATGAAGCTTGAAAGTAGGGCACCCTCTCCAATGGGCGGTTTCTCCTCTCTGTCTCCCCTATCCCTCCAGCGTTTGATTTAGTACACCTGAACCACCTCATTCTCCATCATTATTTCAGCTTAGCCAAGAGGAAATTAGTACTAAAACCATCAAATCTTAATTGAGTATCTTTTATTAAACAGAAAATGGGAATTAGCAGGTACTTATCTGTACCCTAATAGAGTACCTCTTAACAGCTATGCAAAATAGCCTCTATGAATCTCTCATCCTTCTTGTTCCATGACATTTTCCACCAAAGAGTCTGAGCATAAAAGAATTAGGTGTGGTAATAATATTGAAGATGACAATAATAACACATAATGTTTACTGAGTACTTGCTATGTGCCAGGCACTAGATGTTTTATTTGATTTTTATGGATTTTTTTTTGTTGGGTCAGGTCAGTTGGTTTTTTAATAAAAAATAGTCCAGACTCAGAAGGTACAAGCAGGTAAAACAATTTTATTTTTCTCCTGCCCATGATTTCAGTTATACAGTCCCATCACACACCTGGCCAATATGTCAGGCAGATGATATTTTGCAAGTCACCTTGAGATATTAACAAACACCCTCACTTTGATGTATTCAAAAGTCCAGTACAGCTTAGAACGCTCAAGCAACTTGAAGCTTCCCCTCCTTCTGAATCCCAACCCTTACTCAATCTGAAGAAACCTGTGACAGGCAATAGTTGAAGTTCTGTAATTTTTTTTTTTTTAACTTTGTCTCCTTCTCCATTACCACCTGCTTCTAACTGGTTGGAGAAAAGGGCAGGGAGGGAGCAGATAAAAGTTCACCCAACATGTGCTGATGTCAGCTGCTGTTGTCACATGTCACATGGTGAAACCCCGTCTCTACTAAAAATGCAAAAGATTAGCCGGGCATGGTGGCAGGCGCCTGTAATCCCAGCTGCTCGGGAGGCTGAGGCAGGAGAATCGCTTGAACCCAGGAGGTGTCTGGGGATGGCATATACACAAAGGCTGACTCTTGTTCTGTAGAGCACCTGGGTGGGTCCCTTACTGGGGACTCACTAGTGACCAGTACCTAGCACTCCTCCCCTTAGCAGCCCCACGGAATCTCTCCTCAACAAAATATCCCACAGGACTCTTCCCCATTAGGATTACTTTAGCCCCCTTGGGCAGATCTCTAGAGGTGGGGTCCTCTTAAAATGACTCAAACTCAACTATTTTCCATGGGGCACACTCTAGAAAAACACTCCAGGAAGCCCTCATTCCCTGCGATTGGTGGGTGCTGCCTTGCTCCATGGTAGCCTTCTCTCCCTGCTCGGCCATCAGGAGCAGAGCTCTGATCAGGAAAGACTCTGACCTTTCCTGCCAATCCTCCCTCCACTGGGCTTAACCCTGGAGGGGCCAGAAAGGGCAACTAGAAAGTGGGGAGAAAGCACAAAGAAAACAAGGAAGTGTCTCAGTCTGTTCAAACTGCTATCACAGAATATACTGGGTGGCTTGTAAAAAACAGAAATCTCTCTCTCACAGTTCTGGAGGCTGGTAAGTCCAAGATCAAGACATCTGCAGATTCAGTGTCAGGTAAGTGTCCACAACCTAATCCCATCTTGCCATCTCACTGCATCCTCATATGGTGGAAGAGGCAAGGGTTTATCTCAGGCCTCTTCTGTAAATGCACTAATCCCATTCACAACCATCTACATGGGCTCCATCCTCATGACCAAATCACCCCTCAAAGGCCCCACTTCCTAATACCATCACCTTGAGGGTGAGGATCTTGACATATGAATTTGGGGGTGAGGACAGAAACATTTGGACCATAGCAGGAAGCAAATGAACCAACCATGCCCTTATCTTCCCAGTAACAGGTTTCCAGGCATGTGTCAAAACCGGACTGAGGTGGGGAAGCAAGAACCTTTAAATTGAATGAGCATTTCAAGTTTCAACATTTACTGATTGGGCTCAACATTTTAATAGTTAAAATAAAACTGAAATTTTTACTATGTGAAAATAAAACCTGAAAGTGACCAGGAACACACTAGTATGAGTATTAACAACAACAAAGGAAATCATCAGTGATAAGTAGGGTCCAGGAAGAATGATGAATAAGCATTTAATCTGCTATTGTTTCATTTTTAGTTGAAACTGAAGTGCAGCTAAAGGATAGAAGAGGGGGATTTAACTAGCACTTTTAAAGACACTGTTGAAAGACAGTAGTAGTATGAGAAAATAAAGCTTCTTCATGATTTACTCCCACAAAAGACAGCATGTTTCATAAACTAACTACATATACTAATTTATACTCATAACAGTTTTATGAGGTGATGTGTTAAGATAAATTCTCTGAAGAAATAAACTGTTCTTAAATGATACATTTTGATCTTTCATCAAAATAAACCAATTTTCACTTGCTATCATCTGAATAGATCTTTTTGGAACACACCTGCCTTCTAGTGACTGTTGAGATAAAATTCGAAATGGTATAATTCAAGTAGAGGAGATATTTGGGGGAAGAACCTTTCTAGCTCCTACCAAGGCATTCAAAAGTAATCAGTTAGGTTGAGGGCGGTGACTCACACCTGTAATCCCAACACTTTGGGAGGCTGAGGTGGGTGGATTACCTGAGGTCAAGAGTTTGAGACCAGACTGGGCAGCATGGTGAAACCCCATCCCTACTAAAAATACAAAAAATTAGCCAGGTATGGTGGCAGGCACCTGTAATCCCAGCTACTTGGGAGGCTGAGGCATAAGAATCACTTGAACCCAAGAGGCAGAGCCTGCAATGAGCCAAGATCATATCATTGCACTCCAGCCTGGGCAACAAGAGCGAAACTCTCTCTCAAAAATAATAATAATAATAATAATAATAATAATAATAATCAACTGGTCTCTAAGTGGAGATGAGGTAGAAGGAATTGTTTGATCACTGAACACTCATCACCCTAACCTAACTCCATCTGGCAGAAAATAGGTTTAGAATTTAGTTGGTGTATAAATCTAGCAAAGCACCAGTTATAAGTACCTGCCTTAGCCCCTGTCACTTTGTAAGGCAACCACTGATAATGCTGCCTATACATGGCTGTTTATTTCTCATTTTCCTGTGCCATTGTCTCCAGTTCTGAGCTTGCCCTTTGTCTTCTTTATCAGGTTTTGGCTATTATTTCATAATTAGCCTCAAGTCCTTCTCCTTTTATGGCCTATATGGAATAGTAGGGGAGATAAAAGGGTTGGTTATTGTTGTTGTTTTCTATTTACTAGCAGCATTTTTAGGAAGTGAGGCTCAGAGAAGTCTTAATTTCAATCACTCCTTTTCTAGAAATTCTTGCCAAAAGCCACTTAGGCATCTGATATGCTTATTTGAACAAGAGGTCTGCTTCAATTGGCAAAAATGTTAAGTCTTTTTTGACTTAATTGAATCCAAAAAAAAATTTGGAAGCTTTCATATTTTTCTTTATTATTCATTCGACTGTTAAAGAGATGTAGGTATAGCAAGATCTTTGAAAACAGAACCAAGAAACTAAAATGTAAGCAGACAAGTGCTGGGTATTAAGCGGGTTGCTGTGTACTCCAGGGACTACAGGTTGGTGTGTCCTTGCGGAGAGAGTGAAATTGGCCACATGAAATGTTTTGGCTATATGTTGCTATATAACAAATTATCCAAAACCATATTCACTTAAAACAACTGAATTAGCTAACAGTTTCTGTAGGTCAGGAATTCAGTTGTGGCTTACCTGGATGGCTTTGGCTCAAGGTCTTTCTTGAGGTTGCAGTCAAGACACTGAAGCTGCTGTCATCTCAAGACCACCAGGGACCGGAGCACCTGCTTCCAGTATGGCTCACTTAATGGCTTTGGATGAAGGCCTCAGTTCCTTGCCGTTGCCAGGGCACCTCAGTACCTTGCCATTTGAACACTCTGTGAGACTGCTTGAGTGTTTTCACAGCATGGCAGCTGGCCTCCCCTCAGAGTGAGTGATCCAAAAGAGGGATCAAGAGAAAAAACACAATGATTTTTTTAGGTATTCTCAAAATCCACACACTATCACATTCACCATATTCTGTTAGAAGTAAGTCACTAAGTCTAGCCTCCATCAAGAGGAGGGCATTAGGCTCCACCCTTTGAAAATAGGTGTATCAAAGAATTTATATACATATTTTCAAACCACAACATTAAGATTTGGAGATGGTGGCTGCTGCTTTCTTTGTGTATTTGTTTTGGACTTATGCTTACAGTAAGCAGAAGTATTCTGAAGTGAAAAAAATATAAATCTCAATTGCAGAGAATTATTTTAATAAAGTGTTATGTAATACCCTTTATTTTCGCCACAATAATTATTTTAATAAAATATAATGCAATATGTTTTATTTTCAGCTAAAGGACTTTTATCCTTTGAAGAGTGAGAAACAGAGAAACTCCCAAAAACCTGCACCCCAAAATTATAAGAATGAGAACATTTTAAGATAAAAATTCCTTTAATGTTTTTCTCTTTCACCAGTACAAAAAGTGATATTTTAATAAAGCAGCATCAATTAGAGAAACTGCTAATGTTTATACAGAGTTACATTCTTACATTCAAAATTACTCAGGCCCAATCTTACTTTCTCCCTAATAACAATAGTTTAATCAAGGAGGTAATATTTAATGCAATCTAATATCTATCCTTTCTTTAAAAATTGCCACAAACTTCTCACTTAATCAACTAGCATTCACAGTACAAAACTGAGAACTAAAAATAAAATCCTAAGCCCCCAACCAACTGAATGGACGCCCCTCTTGGCCAAGAGGACCCAGAGAAACCTTAAAAATGGAGTTCCTGGCCACGACAGGACAGGAGGTTGGACACACATTGGTATATCTCCTCTTTGTGTGGTTTAGACACAACTGATCAGCATTAGTGTTAAAATAGAGTTCATAAGACTGATAAAATGGACTCTGTAGCAGTAAGATACCAAATTACAAACAGGACCTAAGGCCACCCAGTCAAGGATTAAGCCACATACCCCTACACTTAAAGAATAAACTGTGTTCTAACTGCCACAGGTTTTTCTTCTTCTACAGAAGCTAAATAAGCAAAGGCCTTAAGAGAAGCAATATTGAAATAATTGCAGCTCCTCTACCACCAGATGCTGACTCACTGGTCCCCTGTTCCACAAGCCATAACTATAACTTTGATTGGACAAGACTGATTTCAGTAACTCTCCTGATAAAAGACCAGAGACCATGGACTGGTCCCAGCCCATTTAAAGAGACTGCACACTTGAGTGTCTTCATCTCCCTGCTTCACCTTTTGACATATAAGGCCTAACTGTAACGCGTTTAAATATTACGGCTCCACACCAAAGTGAACATGGGATGCATGAAACATGCATGTTTGTTTATGTATCAGGCCCCACTTCAGGAATATCTGTAGCTCCTCCTATAACCTGTTGAATATGTGTACTGGGCCAACCTGTTTAGCATAAATCCCAGCCCCACACTCCCCTCCCTCAAAGTGCCCCCTTCAAGTCCCTGCCAGAGGCTACACTTCCAAATCTGTCAGGATGATGGCCACCCTAGAAGCTGTAACCCTTTTTATAATAAATAAAGTCTCCTTTCCAAATTTATAGAACTTGGGATTTTTCAATTGACAAAACTTTTGAAATCTACATAGGTTGATAAAACAAGGCAAACAAGGACCCATGCTTATTAATTGGCTTCAATTTACTTCAATATTATGGAAGTTCTTCCACATATTATTTATATTATCTTCCTTTTATATAATACATTTTAAAAATCACAAGATGAATGAGCATTTGAATCATGATTAAGGACATCAGAAAAACTTCTTTGGGGATATGCCATATACAACTTTGATATTATCTGAAGCTTTTTGGAAAACTCATTCAAAAAAATTGTTTTGATGCCCTCTTTTTTCTAAGTAAAATCAAAATACTGGTCATTATGGTGCTCTTAAAAATGTCTTTGTTATCAAAACTAGCATCAACACATTGCAATACAATGTCATAAAAGCCCACCTGTCTTTACAATTCATTAATTGAACTTCTAGTTTAACGATGTGGTTTAAATCAGAATATCTTCCTTATTTTCTTGGGAGTGTTCTGAAAGCCACAAAGATAATGAGAAATAAGAAATACAAACTTATCTATGTTAAAACTAGGCAAGAGAAAACCCCCACGCCATCAAATAAGTGGAAAGGCCGCCAAAAGCAGAGATCAAGTGGAGATATACGTGGCAGAAAGTGAAGGGGGGAAAAAGACTGTGACCCTGGATCATGCATGAGCCAGCAAAGTATATTTCTTGGCAGTGAGAGACAAGGGCAAAATAAAAATCATTCATTTGCAGCAGTAGGATGAGTGCACAAACTAGCATCAAGAGCTTCCCCAGAACTAGGAAGCAGAGAGTGTTGGACTGCATGAGAAATCACATAGACAGCATATTTAAAAGAAGCACCTTGTCCCTTTAGCAATGAGAGAATAGCAGAGATAGAACTCGGTGAAAAGTTTATGGGAGCTATCTCTAAGGGCTGGGAAGAAGTAAAGGCTAATTAACCTGACACAAGAATCCTGGGTCATGAGGGAAATTCCAGCTAGCCCAGAACATAGCCCTAGTTCCTCCCCAACATGAAACTTCTGAAAATTGCTGGTCCAAGAAAAATTCACTTCAATCAACTGAGTAATCAACAGGAGGCATCACAAGAACTATTCCAAATAGATCTGATGGGAGTAGGGAGAGAGAAAAGGGAAAAGAAAATAAATGGTAGACGATGAACAGTCACTGACAAGTAGTAGATGAAAAGAGTGACCAAACACTACAGTCAATTTAAAATTCTTAAATCAATTGCCCTTCTGAAGCAACTGCAGTGAAAACATAGTGAAAAGTTAGTCAAAAGACTGAAGAAAATAAAGCATGAACTAGCAAATATCAGAACAGAATTGAAAGAAAAATCATCACAGAAATAAAAGTTAAAATGACAGAAGCACAAAGTAGGATAGATATTGCGTAGGATATTGAAGATAAAACTGGGGAAAACAACAAGAAATGGAAATTAACGCCCAAACATATTTAAAATATTAAGAAGAAAATTATGGGTACCTGAAGGAGATCAAGTCTACAGCCATGCCACCCTGAACGTGCCTGATCTTGTTTAAAAGAGATCAAGATGGGCCAGGAGCGGTGGCTCACGCCTGTAATCCCAGCACTTTGGGAGGCCGAGGCAGGCGGATCACGAGGTCAGGAGATCGAGACCATCCTGGCTAACATGGTGAAACCTCATCTCTACTAAAAATACAAAAAATTAGCCGGGCGTGGTGGCGGGCACCTGTAGTCCCAGTTGCTGGGGAGGCTGAGGTAAGAGAATGGCGTGAACCCGGGAGGCGGAGCTTGCAGTGAGCCGAGATTGCGCCACTGCACTCCAGCCTGGGCAAAAGAGCAAGACTCCGTCTCTAAAAATAAAAAATAAATAATAAATAAATAAACAAATAAATAAAGATCCAAATGAAGGCAATGAAAAAATTGGAGTAAAGCAAATTATTTCCAAAAATAAAAGATATGTTAAATTTACATATTAAATGGACATCATATCCCAGCAGAAACTGACCCAGCGTGTTCAATGGCAAGATATACTCTGAACTTACTGCACTTAAAAAATAATGAAATAATACTTTAGAAAACAAAGTAAGTCATCAAATCATTTATATGAGAAAAATATTCCAACTATCCTTGGACTTCTTCACAGCAATATTCAATTCTCGGAAACACTGGAAGAACTTCAAAATCCTCAAAAAAAAAAAGAATGTGACCCATGAATTTTGTAGACAGGCTGTCAAACATAAAGGCAACAGTCACAGAGCTATTATATGCAATGAACTTGGGGAATACTGTTTTTATAATAAGCCTTCTTGGAGAGTATATTTTAGAAAAAAGCTTTAATCATGAGATGAGTGGTTAAACAGCCAAAGATGTAAGAACTAATGGTAGAATTATAACTAAAAAATAAAATAAAATAAAAAACAGAGGTAGAACAAAACCTAAATGCCATAAGCCCTGACAATGTAAACATATATTTTACAGAAATTGAAAGAGGAAAGAAAAAGAATGTGAGAGGCAGTGCAAGTTCATAGATTCAAAAAAAGAATAACAGATATAAAGACTGCGTTTGATGGGCTTGTAAGAACAAAGAAATAGCCAGAATATCCTCAAGTATTTGGAAGTTAAACAACATACATGTAAATAACTCATGAGTCAAAGAGGAAATTATAAGAGAGAAAGTACATTTAATTGGACAAAAATGAAGGCACAACTTATCGAAGTTTGTGGGATGCAGCTAAAATAAAAGAACTGAGACTAAATAGATCTGCCATATTAGTAAATATGAATGGAAAAACTCACCTTTTAAAAGAAGCTGTTCAAGTCCGGGCCTGGTGGCTCACACATGTAATCCCAGTACCTTGGAAGGCCAAGGCAGGAGGATCACTTGAGCCTAAGAGTTCCAGACCAACCTGAGCAACATGGTGAGACCCTTTTGCTACAAGAAATGTAAAAATTAGCCAGGCATGTGGTGGCATGCATCTGTGGTCCCAGCTACTTGGGAGGCTGAGGTGAAAAGGTTGTTTGTGCCCGGGAGGTCGAGACTGCAGTAAGCTATGATCATGCCACTGTACTCCAGCCTGGATAACAGAGCAAGCCTTGTCTCAAAAAACAAAAAACAAAACAAAAAGAAAAGAAAAAGAAATCCATAGCAAACCTCAACTCTATGTCCTATACAAACACACCTAAAGAAACTGATTCTGAAAATTAAAGGATAAACAAATAACCAAGAAAATACAAAAGTAGACGACAACTTCAATTTTTCAATTTTGTACAAGACTGAAAGCAAGATTAAATTTGCGGCAAAAGTCCTAACAGAATAAGACAGCAATCTGAAAAGAAGATACAATAGTTTTTATTATTTACATACCAAAAAAATTTATAGAGCTTATATATTATATATATTATAAATATATTTATTCATAGAACAAATATTCATAAAGTATAAACCAATATCCTAGTCTCTCAAAAGTTTCATGGGTTTTCTAAATATTTGATCCCTGTTATGCTCACAGACATACCCATACTTCTCTTTGAAATATGCTTCCCTATCTAGAATTAATTACAGGTGCTATGAGAAAATCAGAAGATCATATCAATAGACTTTTTAGGAGCCATTATACGCAGATGAAAGGATCTGCTGTCTCTCCTTTAGATGAAATTTGTACGTTCTTACGTATAGTATTTTTATCATTTGTTTAGATATTCTAAAATTTTGGTTTTGATTTCAAAGATTTCAGCCAAAAGTTCTTTAAGAGATCATTTAAATTTTCTGATTGATGGAGGCTTTTTATTTTCAGCCTTTATTTTAATTACATGCCAGAATTATTGCATTGTGATAAGTAGATGTTTTGTACTATTTCTTCTTATAGAACTTATGAAATAAATCATTAAAAGTGCTGCCAGTCAGGATTAAGACTATAATTATTTAAGATGTCAAAGACTTTTGGCCTCCTCTGATTTCTACTGGTAGGAAGTAAGCTAAAATAGCATATTCTTTAATGATTACTTCAGAAGTGGCTAAGGAATGTGAGGATAAAGGAAGAACTTCCCAGCCAGCAGAGTCAAGAGCCATGGGGAACAATGAAATGAGGACATACTCCCAGGGAACAAAATGTAAGCTAATAAGGAAAAATACTCTGCTCCCAAGATAAGGTAATCAGGCAATATTTGCCCATAGGATTTGAGTATTGATTGCTACAGACCAGTGATGACCGTATACTTCCTCAGCATCCTCTTTTGAATGGGTATACTTGTGGAGGTTAGCCTATCCCTGCTCCATCACTGCATGTTGGATAAGTAAGGGGAAGTAATTTCTTTAAATTCATAGTTCTTTCAGTCAAGTGAACCAAATTCAAAATTAATATAAATGAAATCCCAGATATAATAATTGGATGAGACTTTGGCATGACTTTTATAAGACTAAGTGTATTTTGTATGTAGGAGGTATGTGAACATAAATAAATAAAAGAGTGGACTGTGGCAGAATAAATTGTTGTCTTTCATTCTTTATGCCCACTCAGTATTAGAATTATATAGCCACTCCCATTGCCATGTGACTTTACAGTTATACCAACTATAGTGGGCAGACTGTATTTTCTCACATTGTTAATGTTGGTTTTAACCATATAACTTGTCATGGCCAATGAAATGTGGACATAAATGACAGCATGCAACTACCAGGATGGATGACTCAAGAGGTATCACGTGTCCATTTGTCCTCTTGTGCTACTGCCATTCATCTTGTGCAATGGGACTCCAGGTAGCTACTAAACTGAAGACAATGAGAAACACATGGAACATGGAACATGGAACCTGGAAGCCAGAGCCCAGCCTAACCTAGATGAGTTGCCACCAGCCTGTAGATCCACAAGCAAGAAATAAATGTTTGATGTTTTAAGCCACTGAGATTTTGAGTGGCTTGTTATATAGCAACAAATGACGGGAAAAACTGAAATAAACCACAAATACGCAAAACTTTTTTAAAAGAAGGAAATAACTATAACTACAGAAAATTACAATAACCATATAGATTTCCCTGCTCAACTCTGTGCAAATAAATTTGAGAAGCCAGATAACATATATAATTTCCTAGAAAAATGCAATTAGCCCAGACCAGCTCCAGACAAAACAGTAAATCTGAACAAACTAGTATCTACAGAAAAAAATAGGGGAAACTGCAAAAAAGCTCTCTCTCACCAACTTCCCATTTAAAAAAGCAATGGGCTCAGATAGTTTCACAGGGAAATTTGGCAAATCTTAAAAGAATACATATTTTCAACATTATTTGAATTGTTGTAGAGTATGAAAAAAGAAGAAAAACTTCTGAATATTTTTAATGAAGTAATATGGACACCAAAATTTAGCAAAGATTAAACAGAAAAGTATAGATCAAACTTTTGTATAAATATGAATAGAAAAATCTTTAACAAAATATTAACAAATAATATCCAGCTATAATAGGATAACACATCTGATTTAGTGGACTTTATCCTAGAAATAAAAGAATTATCAATAATAAAATTAATTTATTAATGCTTTACCATATCATATTCTATGAATAAAAATTAATATAATCATATAATTATAATATAATTTCCATGAGTGATACTGAAATTGTGTTTAATAAATTCAATATATATTCTTAGTCAAGATTCTTAATAAAATAGAAACAGATAAATACTCCTTTAATATGATTAAATAAATCTGTCTCAATCCAAATCTAACCTCATGCTTAAGAAACACATTTAAAGCCAGGAATAAAACTAGAATGTCTATTATCAATGCCTTTGTTGTTGTTGTTCTTCCAAATATGACATGTATGAACATTATTATACATATTTCATCATAATGGGGATGAATATGAATTACACTTGGATACATACTTAGAAGTGGAATTTCTGCATCACAGAGTTATTGATGGTTCAATTGCTTAAGACAATGACAGACAGTTTTCCAAAAATATTACACCAAATTACTCCCCTATAACAGTTAGTTGATGGGAGATCTTATTGACATATATTCTCATATACATTTGATGACCTCAAATGTCTTCATTCCTACTACAGGCTGTTGTTATTTCAGTACAAAAGAAAATAGCATTAATTAGACACTATGTACCAGGCAGTTTCACATGTACTATCCCATTCTAACCCTATATTATAATCATTCTCATTTTACAGATGAATTTTGTTCAAAGTCATAAAGCTTCCCCAAAAGGCAGCCCTTCCTCCAAATCTAGTAGAGAAGTGAAAGTTTACAATGGCTGTGGAACCGCCCATCAAGGAAAGCAGAGGGTAATAAAGAGACACTCCCAGGTCACATACAAAATGTGTTCTATTAAAGCAAAATAAGTAGGAGGCCATTAGCCTGACTGTGTATTTTGAATTCGTATATAACACCACAGCCTAACTTGTACAGAGGCAAACCAAAACCTAACTTAGTTTATTTTTTGGAACACATAGCTGGATTTTATCCAGTCACAAACAGCTGAGCTTCAGCCAATCACAGGCAGCCAGCTGATTAGATCATGCCCACATAAGGCAAATGCCTCCTAAGGCAAATGTCTAACTATAGCCAGTCAGGTGATTTCTCTACTTTGCTACCATGTTCAGCCTGTAAAAGTCAACTGCTCATGCTTCTGTGCAGAACTCTCTGAACCTCTTCTGGTTCTGAATGCTGCCCAATTCATGAACCACTCTTTGCTCAAATAAACTACTAAATTTAATTTCTCTAAAGTTTTTCTTTTAACACTTTGATGTCAGAAGCAGAATACGAAAGAGACCTCCAGTGACCCCCCAGGAGCATTGAGTGATGAAGCAAAGGTACTCCCCAGGCCTACTGCTCCCATTACTCTCTCTTCATAACTGGAAGTTGTAAGTGAGTCTCCTCCAAATTCAAGCTCATGAATTTGCATTTTGAGCTCTTCAACTTTTTTGAGTAATTATTTTACCAGAGTTTGGAATAGGATTCGCTCCAATAAATAATTGTACTGGGTCCAGTTAGAAGCCTCAGGTAGGTACCTTTTGAAAATGGATTCTTCCAAATGTAAGGAATCTGGAAATCCAGGAGTCTGGGACTCTACTTTCTGAGACACCAGTTAATTTTATGTACTAAATTTGTAGACCCAGAACCAATGCCTTTCTAAAAGACTCCTTATAAAAGGCAAATGAGAAATATTAGAAATCTTTTGCACAAATGTTAGTAAAAAACTTCAGCCATCAGGGTGAATAATCTTGTTCCATTGGCCAGAGAAAAACAATTTGGATACAGGTATTTTTTAATAAATTAGTAAACTTTGTATTTTAGTGCCTGGCATATGGCTACAATTTTAAAATAAAAGCTTTAAGATCTGCCTTGATCTGCATGATTATTTATGTCTGTCTATGGGAATGTATGTGTGACATTTTTCTACCTCTGGAGAGTATTGACAAAATTAATTTGTAAAAGAGCCATATTTAATTGGTTAATGGAAAAATAAGCTCTTATATTGATTAACTATTCCTTAAATTATTCAGGAAGGTTGAAACTAAACTAAAATGTTTTTCAAGTTCATGTGACCTGGGAGAATTTTCGGTAAATAAAAGTTTGTTAAAGCTTGTCAATTTGATAAAAATAGGCATGTCTTCAGAGTCAGCATTAAATATAATACAGATGTACAACTTTTTCAACCTAAGTTTACTAGTAAAATAAGCTCAAGTTATCGCTATATTAAAAGATATATAACTTGGCCAGGTGTGGTGGCTCAAACCTGTAATCCCAGCACTTCAGGAGGCCAAGGCAGGCAGATTGCCTGAGGTCAGGAGTTTGAGACCATCCTGGCTAACATAGTGAAACCCCCATCTCTACTAAAAATACAAAAATGAGCCAGGTGTGGTGGTACACACCTGTAGTCCCAGCTACTCAGGAGGCTGAGGCAAGAGAATCATTTGAACCTGGGAGACAGAGGTTGCAGTGAGCCAAGATCACACCACTGCACTCCAGCCTGGGTGACAGAGCAAGACACCGTCTCCAAAAAAAAAAAAAAAGAAAAAAGAAAAATAAGATGATGACTGTTTATGATCTCATTTTCATAACATTCAAGCATAATTGTTTTTTAAGTGAGTTAAACAGGTATAAATGAGATAAAATTCCTATATAAAAGATGTCCTCTCTGTACAGGGAGGTTTTAACATTCTTGCCATCAATTAAATGGAGGCTGAGGGAAATCTATACAAATAATGATTTAATTCTCAGGCCTAGCCAAAAGCTATAAGACAGATAAAATTTTGCCTCCCTGTATCTTCTTATTACAGAGAAACTATAGATAGCTAGGTCTGTTAATAAACATGTCCTGTGCCACCTTCAAAAATTGTACCATGAGGAAGCAGATGCTTCTAGAATTATAAAATGATGTTAAATTACAAAATGCTGGTATGTTGCAGGCAGTTCACAATTGCTTGCTTCCTTATTTTCATTGGAAATTAGCAGTTAAAAATTCTAATTAATATATGTAATTAAAATTCCTAGAAATAATAAGGGAAACAACATCATATGCCAGCATACAAGGAAGATAAGATGTGGTTTTTGCAAGGAAAGCTATGATGTATGTGTTCTGTTTCATAAAGGGAAAAGGAGACAAATTTTTATCCCAAAGTAGAGTGACTGGTTGTTCCACAAGGAGAAAGACTTTGAAAAGTATAGGACAAAAACTAAATGGATATAAGAAAGTTGTAGGTTTGTGAAAGAGGAATCTTGGTAAAGGAATTTTATGTGTGATCAACTGGCTAAAATTTGAAGGGAATTATAAGGTTTTTTTAAACTGAGCATTAATACCAAAAGTACACTGATGCAAATGGAGAATTTGGTCCTTTCTGTTAAAACAATAAGCTTTTCTTGGAGTCTTGGTCTGTTCTTTATAAAAAATTATGACAAGTTTTTCTTTACTTATTAAGTAATTAGCCTAGAAAACAAAGATTATGTGTTTTATCAAGATAATTTCCTGTCTTTGATTACTAAGAAAACTGAATCCTCTATATTAAAAGAGCTAAGTTTTTTCTACAACTATATGGCATTCTGTATTTACCTTTGAAGACTTTAATTCACACTCTAGTTAAATGAATAAATATTGTTTCACAATGACTTGTGATCCTATTTTAATTAAATATTTCAAACCATTTGATATTCCTGACAACTTTCTAATACCAAATCCTAAATTAAGATCTTTCTACCTCAAACTAACTCTGGGAGCTTCCAGACAGGTCGCTAGAGTATTTCAAAAAAATTTGTTCTCTTTTCATAAGAAGAGAGATATGAAACTACCTAGGCTTATTTGATATGTTAAATTGTTTGGGAAGTATTGTCTAATAAGTGATGCTGAACCTTCTTTAAGCCATATATTATTAATATGTGTTTAATATGTGTTTCATAAATTATACAGAATGCCCAGAAATCTGATAGATTTGGTATGATGCTACCAGTCATAATTTTAGTTATTATCTTAAAATAGTGTATGTCACAGAAATAAAATTTCCTTGTCAACTGTGGTATAATGAACCCTCATCAGATTTTCACCATGGCCATTTTAAATTTTGTCATCCACAAACAGTTAATTGGTTTACTCTGGTACTTTCCTGAAAACTATTACAAGCAACTACAAACCTAGTGTTTGTCTTTGAGGTGACTCATGGAAAGGACTCTGACAAGTACAGGGTTTTGATAACTTTAAGATCATACCATTGAACTGGATAACAATTCCCAGAACTCTAATGAAGGAACTGATTGGTTAATAGAATTGCTAACCCAACATCAAGCAGAACAAGAAATAACTGAATACCAAGCAAATTCCTCAGCAGATTTTCATGCTAAGTTAGCTAGTATTGAAAATGTTAGAATATGCTATTTGAATGAACTCCATAAGATTGATCCAAGTGAAACCACCTATAATAACCTATTTAATAAGCAGTGTTATATGTATCTGACTTGGAAAAACAAAATTTGTATCTAAAAGGATACAAATTTAATGTTAAGCATGGACTCACAGAGGGTTTGGATGGCTGCCTGGTCTTTTGAGTCCTTAAAGATTCCATTACTAAAAACTCTGCAGCCCAAGACTTATCATAGAGTAGATTAAATTGTGTAAATTCCTCTAAATGGGCATCTTTTGGTAGAATGTTACTTTATTGGCTTGGCACAAATGTAAATAAGGTTATGGTTAAAAATCTGTCTCAAATATCAGCTACTATAGTTAAGTTTACTGCAAAGGCTATAGGTGCCTAAGAAACTTCTCTAAACTCCCCTGCTAAATTTTTTGTAGATAATCAAATTGCCTTGGACCGTCTGTTGGATGAACAAGGGGCACTGTGTACATTAGCTAACACTCCCTCCTGAACTTGGATAAACACATCTGGTATTGTAAAACCTCGGTTATCACTGAATGACCTGTTGCAGTATTCTCATTCAAGCATTCTTCATTGTCTTGGCCATATGATTGTAATGACTGACGGAGGGAACCCGTGCCACTCTTTCCACCACCATCTTCACCAAAACCAAAGCATGGTCTTCATGATGTATGGAGACTCCTCACATGCATTGCAGTGGACATTCCTTGGAGATCAGAAAAACTTAACTGAGAAAGCTCATTTTTGAAGTGACCTAAAGAGTGTCATTGAAGTAGATCTTAAGTAGTCATGGTGATTGTTTACATGGTTGTCATTGGACTCAATCTCAGGAGCTGGAATGACAGACATTCTTGAACAAAGAAGCCAGGATAGTGGAATTAAAAGGGTTTCATCTCAGTGCTCCCATAAGTATGAAGTGTATACATTTATAATTTTCACTTATCACAGGGTAAATATAAAACTGATCCATTTAAAGAATTATCTTTTTCGAGAATTCAAAGAACATAGAATTTTGTGAAATCTTTTTACTTACATGCCATTTTTCTTTCTAACTCTACCCCCCCCCATCTATTATTTTATAAACCAGTTGGTACGTAAGTAGTTTCTCGGGGGATGACATATTAGCTAAAGATTTTCTATGTAGTGAACCTGCTTATATATTTACATATATATATATATATATATATATATATATATAAAAATTCATCCAACTACTTTGTTGGAATGATCCCCATGAACTGGAACTGCTGGAGCAAAGTATATGCAAAATCTATACTTTGTGTAAATTTCCTATAACCAGAGTAAATTTTCCCAGTATTTGAAGATTTCCCACTTCCTAAAACTATACAAACATTAGATATCAATATTTGTAAACACTGATAATGTAATTTATAGTGAAATTGCTTTTTCATCTATTAATTTTAAGCTATATCATCTTCACATAGCCTTGTAAGTCATTTGTGTTATTTCATTTTCCTCTGTTTTTTTCACTTCCCTTGTAATGTTAGTCTCTTTGTTACTGATTTCTAAGAGCTCGTTTATCATTAAAGATATTAACATTTTGTCAAGCTTTGCAAATAAAATATTATGTTTTTTCCCATTTATTTTACTGTGGTGTTTTATTTTGGGGTTGTATAGAAGTTATATATTGAAAAACAACCTTGTTCTGTTTTTTTTTTAAGAAATCAACAAACTCGATAATTGGTTAAAACAAGTACATTTCTATTCTGTATCATTCTTTGATTTACTTAATTATAATTGGTTTGGTTCACAAGGGCCTTGGTTAAGAAGCATATTTCAGTCTTTTTGTGTGATCCTCCTGATAGTCATCATAGTAGTCTCCCTGGTATGCTGTATCCTTTAAAAAGCCTTAACTGCTTGTATGCAGTCATCTACTGTATGTCAGATGGTCTCACTCCAGGTATAGCAACAATAACACAAAGAGAACATGAAGAATTATTCAGCTGACTTAATATCATGACTGTGAATTCCATACAGACACCAAAGAAGTCTGTTATGATGGTGACAGAGAATAACATCAATGCCCAAGGTTTTAGTGAATCTCTCAAAATTGAGAGGCTGGCTGAAACGGAGGGATTGTTAAGGCAAAATAAGGAGGCCATTTGCCTGAGGCTGTCTCCATACTTTGAATTCTTATGTAACAAACCACAATCTAACTTAGTATATAAACAGACCAAAACCTAACTTTTTAGTATATTTTTTGTAAATAAAAATTGCTGGATTTCAGCCAATCACAGGCATCCAACTGATCAGACCAAATAAGGCAAATGCCTCATCACACCATGCCCATAAGGCAAATGCCTAGCTATAGACAACCAGGTAACTTTTTTATTTTGCTTCTGTGTTTGGCCTATAAAAAGCTCACTGCTCATGCTTCTGGATAGAGGTCTCTGAACATCTTCTTGTCCTGAGAGTGCTACCCAATTCATGAATCTTTCTTTGCACAAATGAACTCTGTTAAATTTAATCTGTCTAAAGATTGTTTATTTATTTAGAGACAGAGTCTCACTCTGTCGCCCAGGCTGGAGTGCAGTGGCGTGATCTCAGCTCACTGCAACCTCCACCTCCCAGGTTCAAGCGATTCTTCTGCCTCAGCCTCCCAAGGACCTGGGATTACAGGCATGCACTACCACACCCAACTAATTTTTGTATTTTTAATAAAAACAGTTTCACCATGTTGCCCAGGCTGGTCTTGAACTCCTGGCCTCAAGTGATCTGCCTGCCTTGGCCTCCCAAAGTGCTGGGCTTACAGGCGTGAGCCACCATGCCCGGCCAAGATTTTTCTTTTAACAGTTCTTATCAGCTTCCAGATTATGTAGTGCTGAGACAGCTTTCAGGTACTAAGAAACAAATTCAGGCCTGGGATAAAATCTATGCCCCACTGCTTACTAGTTTAGCAAACAAACAGGATAACTACAAATAAGTTTTTTGGGGTTTTTTTGTTTTATTTTAGAGACATTTAATACATATGTCTCACTGTGTTGTTCAAGCTGGCCTCAAACTCCTGAGCTCAAGTGATCCTTCTGTCTCAGCCTCCCAAGTAACTGGAACTGCAGACGTTCACCACTGGGGCTGGCTAAATAGGATTTTTATAGAAATCATAAATCAATATTCTAGATAATTTTGCATAGTTATTTTGCTATAAGCAAAAGATGTACAATTTTTCCCCAAAATATGTTTTCTAAGATAGCATAAAAATACATAGACATAATACTTACTTAGGACAAGTAAAGGTTAAAATACAGTAGGCCCCCTTATCCACAGGGGATACATTCCAAGACCCCCAGTGGATGCCTGAAACCACAGAGAGTTCCAAGACCTACACATACTATTTTTTCTTATACACACCTTTAATAAAGTTTAATTTATAAACTAGGAACAATAAGAGATTAGCGATAATAGCTAACAGTAAAATAGAACAATTATAACAATATGCTATAATAAAGGTTACCACAAACTATGGCCATAACTTTTGCAGTTTCAGGTGTGACAGCAAAACTAGCATGAATTTTTTTCCCTCTTCACAATTTTATTCTTACTATATATCTTAGCAACCTCAGCGTGCAATTTTGTTCTTTCATTAAGTCAAGAACTTTAACTTTTCACTTAAAGGAAGCACTTTATGGCTCTCTTTGACATATCTGAATTGCCAGCATCACTATTCCTGCACTTTGAAGCCATTATGAAGTAAGATAAGGGTGACTTGAACACAAGCACTCCAATACCATGACAGTCAGTCCAATAACCAAGACAGCCACTGAATGACTCACAGGTGTGTAATGCACACAACATGAATACATCGGACAAAGGGATGATTCCTGTCTTGGGTAGGACAGAATGGGACAGTGTGAGATTTCATCACACTACTTGAACTGGTACTCAACTGAAAACTTAGGAATTGTTTATTTCTGGAATTTTCCATTTAATACGTTTGGACTACTGTTGACTGCCGTTGAAAACGTATGAATTGTTTATATCTGGAATTATCCATTTAATACATTTGGACTACTGTTACTGCCGGTAGCTGAAACCATGCAATGCAAAACCATGGATGAGGAGAAACTAATATATAAGCAAATATTTTAAAACTTACTCACTAATAGTGTTTTTTCATATCTTTTCTATAAAATTTTCTGTTCTTCCCAATATCTTCATTTCAACCAATGTGGCAATATCATTCTCCAGATAATCTGATCTCCCTGACCTGAGCGAACTTTCATTCTGTCCCTTTTCCTCCCCAGTTCCCATCAGCCAATATATGCTATAGATTTCTTATATCATACCTGTTTCATCCATTTTTTCATTTCTACCTCTTCTCCTCCAAATATATTTTTGGATACTTTGTTTTTTTGAAAGTTTATTCTAACTCTCATACTTTAAATCCATCTAATACATACCATTCACGCCACATTCACGCCATTTTCTCTGTTCAGATGTTTAAATAGAACCCAGTTGCCTAGGATAAAGCTGAAATCATTATCCTGATATTCTAGACTCTCCACAAGCTGATTCTATTGCTGAAAGGAAGTGATCCTTCCTTCCTTCTTCCCTCCTTCAGTAAATGTTTATGGTGCACCTAGTATATGCCAGGCACTGTGCTAGTCAGTGGAGATTCATTAATAAACAAACAAGACATGGACCAGTCCTCAAGAATCTGTGGTCTCCTGGGGAAGAGGTTTAAATCAAATATTGACACAACAATACAAATTGTAATAAGCACTATATAGAAAAAGTTGTGTTAAGAAAATGTATAGCAAGGTTCTTGAGCTAATTAAGAGGAACATTATAACTTTGTCCCAGTCCAGAGGCAGCATTCACACATGGAGTTGCACAGCATGGCAGCCCTGCTCTAGGCAGTCAGACAAGTCCTGAGTAAGAGACACTTGAGTTTCCAGCCAAAGGGCATATTGGCTAAGCGGAGAGGCAGATCATTCCAAGTCCAGAGATTCATACGCACAAGGTGCTGGGGGCAAAAAGGAGCTTGACATGTTCATGAAACCAAGAGGACGCTGTGTGACTGGTGTACAGGGAGCACCCAGCCTCCAAGTTTCACCCACACCAGTCAGCTCGCTGGGCCCAGACCACACCTTGGACCCAGCAGTCTTAACAGTTTTGCTTTCATATATTTTATTACTCTCCTATTCTCTCTTTAAATTTAGTTCATAACTCAAAATGGATCATAGCTCTTTATGTAAAATCAAAAAATATAAAACTTATAAGTGAAAACATAGGAGAAAGACCTTGTGAACTTGGGTTAGCAGCTATTTTAGGCACAATACCAAAAGCATGATATACAAGATAGAAAACTTTATAAACTGGGCTTCAACAAAATTTTGTTCTTCCAAAGGCACTTTAATAGAATGAAAAGATAAAATAGAGAGAAAATATATGCAAATTACATATCTAATAAAGCACTTGGATCCAGAATATATAAAGAACTCTCAAAATTCAATAATAAGAAAGCAAACAACCCAGTAAAAGGTAGACAAAATATTTGAATAGACATTTCTTGAAAGAAGTTATTTGGATTGTAATTAAACACAATAAAGGATGGTCGACATCATTAGTCTTTTGGGAAATGCAAATTAAACCGTGAGATACTGCTGACACTTATTGGAATGACTAAAATCAGAAAGACCAGCCAAACCAAGTGTTGCTATGGATACAGAGCCAGTGGAATTCTCATACACTGCTGGTGGGGACGTAAAATGGTACAATCATTTTAGAAAGAGAAAACAGTTGGACAGTTTCTTAAATGGACACTGATCAGAAGACCTGACAATTGCACTGCTAGATAGTTGCCCAAAAGAAATAAAATCATATGTTCATCGAAGACTTGAACCTGAATGTTCATGGCATCTCTATTAATAACAGCCAAAAATGAAAACAACCCAAATGCCCAACAAGAGGTATATGGATATAAACAAATTGTGGTATATTCATATAAAGAGTTACTACTCAACAATAAAAAAGAATGAGCTATTGATACTTGCAACAACTTGGCAGAATTTCAAGATAATTGTACTATGTGAAAGAAGCCAGACAAAAAATTCTAGCAAGCAGTCCCAGTGACTGCCTGGAGGCAGAAAGGTGTGGAGAGAGGAATTATAAAAGGGCATGAAGAAACTTTGGGGGTTCACGAATGTGTTCATTGTCTTGATTTTAATGATGGTTTCAAGGACGTGTACGTATGCCAAAATGGGTCAGATGTTTCACTTTAAATATGTATAGTTCATTTATGCTAACTCTAACTCAATAAAGCTGCTAAAATATAAAAAGTATGTTTTAAATGCAGGTCATAACTCAAATCTTCTAGGAGCTATCTCCGATCACTCTAGTTCAATGTCTCCCCTGAGATCTATAAGTACTTAGTGATCTATGATTCATTTGACTCTTAACATTTACGGCCTTTTGTTATTAATTATCATTTATTGGGCACGTTTACCACCTCAGAAACAGAATCAGCACTTCTGCTCCTCCCTCAGTCTCTAGAATGGTTCTTTGCACGTAGTAGGCCTTCAATGAATATCCTGTTGAAAGATTCATATTAAACCCCTAGAGAAAAACATTGTGTTATTTTTCAAAAGATAAAATATAGGACCTCCTCCAGCACTCGATCGAGTTGATAGAAACAAATTCCTAATTTATGCTTAAGCAGCTCATTGCCAAACACAGCAATTTCAAATGTGAAAGATATTTACGAATCTAAAGCTACAATAAATCATGTGTGACAAAATTAGTGTGATTGGCCAAGGATCAGATAAATTCACATTACAAACCATACAATTAACCAACACTGCCAAAGTAAATGTTTCAAAAAGAAGCTAATTTGTAAATGTTCTTATTTGTTTGTTCATTCATTTATTTACTCACCTCATTCCAAAATATGCACGAGCAGAATAAAGCAAAAAATGCTACCAAAAAACTAATTGTGTGTTCCAAAACAATTTGGTATCTCAGTGTGAGAAAATCTGCCATTTGTGTCACGGTTTTCATTTTATCCTATATATTTCACATACGTAATTATTATTTACACAAGGCACCAGCATGGAATAGGTGGAACTGTGTGACAAATTCTTTATTTCTAGTTAAATTCTGGATATTGGCTGTAAGAACCACTTCCCCCCACCAATATCTGGATAAAATTGCTGTGAACCTTCATTCCAGGTTAAAGTTTAAATCTCCTGCCAAGGTTTTAGCAAATTCCAGGGAAGCTCACATTCTGGTATCCACCTTTGTCTGAGGACCCTTCACTTGTGAATCAGCTCCATTTTGAAACTTCTTAACCACTTGCTCATGCTCTGTCTGCTGCAGCACAAAGATCCAGCCATAGAATGCAGCTCTTAGTTTTCAACAAAATTATCACCCACACAAAGCACTTGTGTGTGTGTGTGTGTGCGTGTGTGTGTGTGTGTGTGTGTGTGTTAGGTTTAATGAAGCTCTGGGAAGACCCAGGTTACATCTCAACAATGCAGGCAACTTCAAATAGAATATTAAACAACGATGCCTTACATTCATTAAACAAACAACCATGCCTGACATTTCAGACCACTCAAGTAGTAAGGAGTCTTTCCACTCGCCACTTGAGGCCACTTTAGCCCACTCTCCATTCTCTAACTGGCTTCTCACTTCCTCTTATCCCTCTTACGGCTCTTTCCCATTACTTCCTCTGGCTCTCAACTCTTCTCCCTCTACTGTGCAAAGCAATTCTGTCTCCCCACTTCCATTCCCACGCACTGCTTCAGACCCATCCTGGCACATTCACACTCAGGCAGGTACTCAACAACACATTCCTTTCACATTAAACACATCAACCCCCTTTAAATGTAGTCATATCAGTAAACAGCAACTTCTGTTCTGCATCCTATTTACCGGGCTTTGATTTTAATCCAAAAATTCACTAATATTATGTTGGAGGCCATTTTAATGGACAATAAAATCTTTAAAACCCTCAGATGCCAACTCTGAACTGTGTTTTTCCCTGTGAAGATTTCCTCGGCTGCCCAGGTAGTTAGCTGCTTCTTCTACCTTTGCTCAGAATTTATCTTGTCATGGTGCTAATGATGTTTTCTCTTCCACCAGCCTGAGGATGGGAACTATACCTTATTCATCTCTGTAGCTACATCTGCCTCTATCATATACTAAGCATTTGGTAAATATTTGTCAAATCAATTATTTGATGCCAATCACGTCTGGTTGATGTTGGGTAGCAAATCATTTGGTCCCAGACAGCAAATGCACAAATCCCTACAGAAGTGAAGCCGAAAGGCCAAAAGTTAGAAAGCCATATAGATAGAAAAAAAAGAAAAACATATAGACAGAAAAAACAGAGCTATTCAATGCAGAAAGGTACACCATGTACTTTTGATCATTCAGCTTATTCTGGAGGCAGGCTTCCTTCCAACCTTGACTTTCATAAATTTTGTTCTAGCTGTGCTGCCTCTGGAATTCACAGTGCCCACTTCACTAGACGATGACTCATGCTCACCATGTTCCACATTATTTCCATTTTGATATCATTTGGAGGCACTAGACAAAAAGACTATAAACCAATTCTACAACAAAAGATGGTCTCTCAGTAAAGAGTTTTCACCCACCTCCTCTCTCAGTTGGTTTTCCAAAGAATAATTATAGAGCAAAACTGTAAGCTCACTGAGAATAATAGCTGTATCTAAGTTTCCTTTATATAACATCTTGCACCAACTTGAGCTTAGTAGGTATTCGATACATATTGAATTGCATGGGAATAACCATGAATTCAATTCAGCATGGCAATGACTTCAACAAAATATGTTTACGTGAGTACATATGTATATATGTGTATGTGTGCATATATTCACACATATATACAGAGAGCAAGTGAGACAGCACCTGCATTGTAGGCAATCGTGAGTAGTTGCACTTGATTATTTATTGTCCTACATACACCACACTGTGCCATCTGTTATTCTTTCATTTAATCAACATTTATTAAGTTCCGACACATCAGGAAAAACTATGAATAGAGGAAAAGAGGATGTCTTGTCTCTTTACAGCTGCCTCTAATTTTTCTCTCTGTTGGAGCAGAGAAGAGCAGGAGCAGGTGGAGAAGGTAATACAGCCGCATGACTGTTGGATAATACAGTGTTATTAAAGGGAAGAAGGGATAAATCCCATGCAGCCTCCAGCATCGGGAAGTGCCGAGTGTTGAATGACTAAATGAACACCAAGTCCATGTGCTTTAGGGAGGCTATCAGGCAACCCATCTCAATCTGAGAAAAAGTAATCAATGAGGTAGGAAAACATCCAAAGAATGTGATTTATAAGAAAGACATGCAAGCACCACATATGCGTGATGTAAGTTAACAGCCATAGCCAGCAGGCGATGATGAGTATAATTGAGATGGAGGCGTTTATCAAAACTTGTAAACCTATAATAATTTAGAGCTAAAAGGGCCTCAGCAGTTTTCAGGTGCAACATTTCCCAGTCCTTTTTGGGTCATACACACATAGAAAATGACAATATTTATAAGGCACGCTGAGATAAATGAAGGAGGTTGCTTAGGGTAGAAGGCTATCGGCTCAAGGCCCAGATCAGCTCCCCGAGGGCTGTCAGGAGACAGTAGTTGAAAAGGCCTACTTTAGGCCAGTCTCCTCATTTTGCATGGGAAGAAACTGAATCTTTGCTCAAGATTACTCAGCTAGAAAATCGAAAAAGAGGCAGGAGTAGAGCTTTAAGTTTCTCTCTTAATTGATGCTTTTGCTGCAGCTGACCCTTGAACAACACAGGGGTTAGGGGCACCAACCTCTATGCAGTCAAAAGTCCACGTATAACTTTTGACCCCTTCAAAAACTTAACTATTAATAGCCTACTGTTGGCCAGAAGCCTTACTGATAACACAAACTGTCAATGAACGTATATTTTGTGTGCTATATGAATTATATACTGTATTCTTACAATAAAGCCAGAGGAAAGAAAATGTTATTAAGAAAATCATAAGAAGGATGTATTAGTTGGGGTTCTCTAGAGGGACAGAACTAATAGGATAAATGTATATATAAAGGGGAGTTTATTAAGGAATACTGACTCACATTATCACAAGGTTCCACAACAGGCCATCTGCAGGCTGAGGAACAAGGAAGCCAGTCCAAGTCCCAAAGCTGAAGAACTTGGAGTCTGATGTTCAAGGGCAGGAAGCATCCAGCGTGGGAGAAAGATGTAGGCTGGGAGGCTAGGCTAGTCTACTCTTCACATTATTGTGCCTGCTTTTATTCTTGCTGCACTGGCAGCCGATTAGATTGCATCCACCCAGATTAAGGGTGGGTCTGCCTTTCCCAGTCCACGGACTCAAATGTTAATCTCCTTTGGCAATATCTCACAGACACGCATAGGAACATACTTCACGTCCTTCCATCCAATCAAGTTGACACTCAGTATTAACCATCACAAAGGAGAAACTATATTTACAATTCATTAAGTAGAAATGGAACATCATCATCCTCGTCGTCCTTATGTTGAGTAGGAAGAAGAGGAGGAGTTGATCTTGCTGTCTCAGAAGTGGCAGAGGCAGAAGAAAATCCAGATATAGGTGGACCTGCACAGTTCCAACCCATGTTAAGGGTCAGCTGTACTCCAGTGCTTCTCCAAGTATTGTCCCCAGACCAGCAGCATCGACATCACCTGGGAACATGTCCAAGTGCAAATTATCAGACCCCACCCTCGACCCTACTGAATCAGACACTGGGGGATGGGGTCCCACTCTCTGTGCTTGAACAAGCCCTTAACAAATTATTCATTCTGATGCTCACTCAAGTTTGAGAACTACTGTTGTCATCTGTACTGACTCTCAATGCTGCTATAAGCTACCAGGTTAACATTTAGATTGCCTAACTCAGGGGTTGCACAATGTTTTCTGAAAAGGGCCTGAGAGTTTTGTAGAACAAAAACAGTTATTGGCACCACATAAATGAGTGTGGCTGTGTGCCAATAAAACTTTATTTATTTGCCAAGCTGCCAGAAGTCCCACTTTTCAAAGGATAAGGATGGAATTAAAAGTATTTATTTATAGATTTTCAGGGACATATCTTTCAAAAAGAGAAGTAAACTTTAATTGTACTTCCCTTGTGTCTGTTCTTCACTTAAAATTGCTTACTTCTCTGAGAAATTCAGTACCAATTTAGATATCACTTTATAATCATGTAATACACAAACTCAAATCATTATTTTCACTGGTAAAAAATGAGTTGTGTCTGCATACTGTACATTTTCTACAGCATCTGATTAAGAAGTAGTTAGGACAATAAATAACTAGAGTTTTCTTAAGTCCTTCCAGCTGAAGAATTTGTTGATTTGGGGTTGTTTTGTTTTTGAGATAGAGTCTCACTCTGTCGCCCAGGCTGGAGTGCAGTGGCACAATCTCGACCTACTGCAACCTCCACCTCCCCGGTTCAAACAATTCTCCCTGCCTCAGCCTCCCGAGTAGCTGGGATTACAGGCTGGCACCACCATGCCTGGCTAATGTTTGTATATTTTAGTAGAGACGGGGTTTTGCCATGTTGGCCAGGCTGGTCTCAAACTCCTGACCTCAGGTGGTCCACCCACCTTGGCCTCCCAAAGTGCTGGGATTACAGGCATGAGCCACGGTGCCCAGCCTGAAGAATTTGTTTTGAAAGAGGGTTAGCCTATAAAAATACTTTATTTTGTCTGATTTTTCTTTTTAAAAGGAAGAGTTTTACGGTAAAAGAAGTGAGACTATTCAATTCAGGACAATAAAGCGAGTGGGTGAAGATAATGCTAATCTATTCCTCTTAAAAATAGAACTATGCTTAGAGGAGAAGTTTAAATACTTAATCTGGAATCATGGTGGTTTGGTTAGTCATACCTCCTAGATCTTTACAGCTATAAAAGGGCCCTTAGGAATTATCTAGTCCAACCCTGTCATTTTGCAGATGACTAGGCTGAAACTCAAAGATGCCAAGAGTGACAGCGGTGGCTGCTGTTCCCCAAATATTTGAGATGTTCTTCATTTTCCAGCCTGTCCTCCCACTAACCACACCTTGCCTCCACAGTTAGGTGACAGCCATGTGACCCGTCCCGGCCCATACACTGTGAACAGATGTGACATGCTACTTCCTGGCTGAAATTGTGGCAAGCCAATGTGTCCCTCTCTCTCTCCTTCCCCTCGGTGGCTCCCATGTTGAGATGCTGTAACCACAGCATGAAAGCCACCTGAATTTCCAGATCACCCCATGGAAGGCAGCTGCTCTAGAGGATGGTCCAGCACTCATCAGGTTTTTGTCTTTGTGGTTCACAGCCACAGAGATTTCAAGATGTCCTTGTTCCTGCAGCATAGTTTAGCCTATTCTAACAAACACACTAAGCAACTCACTCAAGTTCAGTCAGCAAGTTAATGGCAGAGCTAGGATTAGAATCCAAATCCCCTGACTGACGAGTCGAGGGCCATACTTCATCACTCACCGAAGAGTCAGGATAGGCTCCACCAAACCGAATCTTAAGCAAAGGAACCAGACAGTTGAAAACGGAAACAGACAAAATGTGGACTGGTAAAGAGGCAGTACCCATGCCTTGAAGTCCAGAATTAGGAGGGGAATGGTCAGGAAGGAAAGAAGCCCCAGTGTTCAACTTTCAACAGAGGACTAGGGAGGCCGAGAGGACAGAGGTGCGATATTGTCCTTGATGGTCTCTTGTTTCCCAATTTATACATTTCCCTCAAGTTGATGACAAGTGCTCCTAGACTCTGTAACCCAGTTAGGGAGTTAAATACCCCAAAAAAGTGCCACCATCTTTTTATTTGTGCACAGCAGCCATCAAATAAACAGGAACCTTGTGCCTCAGACCCAGATTAATTAATTTTTTTTTTAATACGGAGTCTCGCTCTGTCACCCAGGCTGGAGTGAAGTGGCACTATCTCAGCTCACTGCAAGCTCCATCTCCTGGGTTCAAGTGATTCTCCTGCCTCAGCCTCCCAAGCAGCTGAGATTACAGGCGTGCACCACCATGCCCAGCTAATTTTTGTATTTTTAGTAGAAAAAGAGTTTCACTATATTGGCCAGGCTGGTCTTGAGCTCTGGACCTCAAATCATCTGCCTGCCTCAGCCTCCCAAACTGCTGGGATTACAGGCATGAGCCACCGCACCTGGCCCCAGATTAATTTAACACGACATAGTAGAAATTTTTAAAAACAACAAATTGAAAAACAAAATGAGTAATTGGTTGCTAAGCAACATCAGTGCAAAGCTCTTTCTTTCCCTTCAAGAGCATTTGCTGCATCTTTATGAACAAAAGTTAGAGTACTTAGAGCAGGCATATATTTGGTGGTGCCATCAACAGATACCAAACGAATTTTTCCTAAACACAGCATACTGCACTGCGTCAAGCACTTCAGAGTTCTGAACGGCTACCCCCTGTCCATAGGATGACGTTGCCTGTTCTGAATACTCATTTTTCTTTGTACAAACAGGTTAGATGGCCATCTTTTGGAAGTAATCAAAATAAAACAGGAGATTTTGCAAAGTCATGCAAGGACTAGAGGGGGTTAGCTGTGACCTGTCTAGTGTGAGACCCTTTGTCTGGATGCCAAGCAGCTCAAGCTAAAGGTTAGCCCCTCTTTCTCTTATCCCTTCCTGGAAAATGGATGTTTTGCTCCTGAACTGGCCTCTCTAGATGCAGACACTCACTCAAATGTGAACCAAAAGCAAAGCTAACAATGAGCTGAGGGACCACATTTCCAGGTCTGTCTAGACGACTGTCTGCTGACTCACTGGGGCACATGGCCTCCTGCATTGCCCTGCCTTGTTGCCCCTTTCCCCTCCTGCTTTCAGTTTGGCCTCACCCACTGGCCCTGACATGTACCACCACATCTCTTACCTAACATCTATTTTAGACTCAATTCCCCTAATCAAGCTTACCAAAATCCTTAGAACTCATTTCTTGCTGTTTTCTCCCAGCTCCAAACAACAGGGCACCTTTCCTAGCAGCAGGACACCGACGCACTCTAGGAAGTATCATCCAATGTGCAGCTGCCCGACGGACGCCACTTGACCCAAAAGGAAGCAGACAGCAGAATGGACTCTGTAAGCATTTCCATCAGGGATACAGAAAGTTGCTCATCCCAGAGCTCTTAAAGCACCTGTTATGTGTAAGACACTGTTCAGAGCTGTGGATATTAAAACAAAAGAAACAGTTTGATTTTTGAGGAAATAAGACTAACACAAAAGAAGGCAGTGGGGAGGAGCCAAGATGGCCGAATAGGAACAGCTCCGGTCTACAGCTCCCAGCATAAGCGGCGCAGAAGCCGGGTGATTTCTGCATTTCCATCTGAGGTACCGGGTTCATCTCACTAGGGAGTGCCAGACAGTTGGTGCAGGTCAGTGGGTGCGCGCACCATGCACAAGCCGAAGCAGGTCGAGGCATTGCCTCACTCGGGAAGCGCAAGGGGTCAAGGAGTTCACTTTCCTAGTCAAAGAAAGTGGTGACAGACGGCACCTGGAAAATCGGGTCACTCCCACCCGAATACTGCGCTTTTCCGACGGGCTTAAAAAACGGCGCACCAGGAGATTATATCCCGCACATGGCTCGGAGGGTCCTATGCCCACGGAGTCTCCCTGATTGCTAGCAGAGCAGTCTCAGATCAAACTGCAAGGCGGCCTCGAGGCTGGGGTAGGGGCGCCCGCCATTGCCCAGGCTTGCTTAGGTAAACAAAGCAGCCGGGAAGCTCCAACTGGGTGGAGCCCACCACAGCTCAAGGAGGCCTGCCTGCCTCTGTAGGCTCCACCTCTGGGGGCAGGGCACAGAAAAACAAAAAGACAGCAGTAACCTCTGCAGACTTAAATGTCCCTGTCTGACAGCTTTGAAGAGAGCAGTGGTTCTCCTAGCACACAGCTGGAGATCTGAGAACAGGCAGACTGCCTCCTCAAGTGGGTCCCTGACCCCTGACCCCCGAGCAGCCTAACTGGGAGGCACCCCCCAGCAGGGGCACACTGACACCTCACACGGTCCGGTACTCCAACAGACCTGCAGCTGAGGGTCCTGTCTGTTAGAAGGAAAACTAACAAACAGAAAGGACATCCACACCAAAAATCCATCTGTACATCACCATCATCAAAGACCAAAAGTAGATAAAACCACAAAGATGGGGAAAAAAACAGAGGAAAAAAACTGGAAACTCTAAAAAGCAGAGTGCCTCTCCTCCTCCAAAGGAACGCAGTTCCTCACCAGCAATGGAACAAAGCTGGATGGAGAATGACTTTGACGAGTTGAGAGAAGAAGGCTTCAGACGATCAAATTACTCCGAGCTACGGGAGGACATTCAAACCAAAGGCAAAGAAGTTGAAAACTTTGAAAAAAATTTAGAAGAATGTATAACTAGAATAACCAGTACAGAGAAGTGCTTAAAGGAGCTGATGGAGCTGAAAACCAAGGCTCAAGAACTACATGAAGAATGCGGAAGCCTCAGGAGCTGATGTGATCAACTGGAAGGAAGGGTATCAGCAATGGAAGATGAAATGAATGAAATGAAGCGAAAAGGGAAGTTTAGAGAAAAAAGAATAAAAAGAAATGAGCAAAGCCTCCAAGAAATATGGGACTATGTGAAAAGACCAAATCTACGTCTGATTGGTGTACCTGAAAGTGACGGCAAGAATGGAACCAAGTTGGAAAACACTCTGCAGGATATTATCCAGGAGAACTTCCCCAATCTAGCAAGGCAGGCCAATGTTCAGATTCAGGAAATACAGAGAATGCCACAAAGATACTCCTCGAGAAGAGCAACACCAAGACACATAATTGTCAGATTCACCAAAGTTGAAATGAAGGAAAAAATGTTAAGGGCAGCCAGAGAGAAAGGTCAGGTTACCCTCAAAGCGAAGCCCATCAGACTAACAGCAGATCTCTCAGCAGAAACCCTACAAGCCAGAAGAGAGTGGGGGCCAATATTCAACATTCTTAAAGAAAAGAATTTTCAACCCAGAATTTCATATCCAACCAAACTAAGCTTCATAAGTGAAGGAGAAATAAAATACTTTACAGACAAGCAAATGCTGAGAGATTTTGTCACCACCAGGCCTGCCCTAAAAGAGCCATGAAGGAAGCGCTAAACATGGAAAGGAACAACCAGTACCAGCCACTGCAAAATCATGCCAAATTGTAAAGACCATCGAGACTACGAAGAAACTGCATCAACTAATGAGCAAAATAACCAGCTAACATCATAATGACAGGATCAAATTCACACATAACAATATTAACTTTAAATGTAAATGGACTAAATGCTCCAATTAAAAGACACAGACTGGCAAATTGGATAAAGAGTCAAGACCCATCAGTGTGCTATATTCAGGAAACCCATCTCATGGGCAGAGACACACATAGGCTCAAAATAAAAGGATGGAGGAAGATCTACCAAGCAAATGGAAAACAAAA
This sequence comes from Homo sapiens, assembly GCF_000001405.40. Lineage (NCBI taxonomy): Eukaryota > Metazoa > Chordata > Mammalia > Primates > Hominidae > Homo > Homo sapiens. The sequence goes on from NC_000013.11 coordinate 97,732,608, forward strand.
AAAGGCAGGGGTTGCAATCCTAGTCTCTGATAAAACAGACTTTAAACCAACAAAGATCAAAAGACACAAAGAAGCCCATTACTTAATGGTAAAGGGATCAATTCAACAAGAAGAGCTAACTATCCTAAATATATATGCACCCAATACAGGAACACCCAGATTCATAAAGCAAGTCCTGAGTGACCTACAAAGAGACTTAGACTCCCACACATTAATAATGGGAGACTTTAACACCCCACTGTCAACATTAGACAGATCAATGAGACAGAAAGTCAACAAGGATACCCAGGAATTGAACTCAGCTCTGCACCAAGCGGACCTAATAGACATCTACAGAACTCTCCACCCCAAATCAACAGAATATACATTTTTTTCAGCACCACACCACACCTATTCCAAAATTGACCACATAGTTGGAAGTAAAGCTCTCCTCAGCAAATGTAAAAGAACAGAAATTATAACAAACTGTCTCTCAGACCATAGTGCAATCAAACTAGGACTCAGGATTAAGAAACTCACTCAAAACCACTCAACTACATGGAAACTGAACAACCTGCTCCTGAATGACTACTGGGTACATAATGAAATGAAGGCAGAAATAAAGATGTTCTTTGAAACCAACAAGAACAAAGACACAACATACCAGAATCTCTGGGACACATTCAAAGCAGTGTGTAGAGGGACATTTATAGCACTAAATGCCCACAAGAGAAAGCAGGAAAGATCCAAAATTGACATCCTAACATCACAATTAAAAGAACTAGATAAGCAAGAGCAAACACATTCAAAAGCTAGCAGAAGGCAAGAAATAACTAAGATCAGAGCAGAACTGAAGGAAATAGAGACACAAAAAACCCTTCAAAAAATTAACGAATCCAGGATCTGGTTTTTTGAAAGGATCAACAAAATTCATAGACCACTAGCAAGACTAATAAAGAAAAAAAGACAGAAGAATCAAATAGACACAATAAAAAATGATAAAGGGGATATCACCACCGATCCCACAGAAATACAAACTACCATCAGAGAATACTACAAACACGTCTACGCAAATAAACTAGAAAATCTAGAAGAAATGGATAAATTCCTTGACATATACACTCTCCCAAGACTAAACCAGGAAGAAGTTGAATCTCTGAATAGACCAATAACAGGCTCTGAAATTGTGGCAATAATCAATAGCTTACCAATGAAAAAGAGTCCAGGACCAGATGGATTCACAGCCGATTCTACCAGAGGTACAAGGAGGAACTGGTACCATTCCTTCTGAAACTATTCCAATCAATAGAAAAAGAGGGAAACCTCCCTAACTCATTTTATGAGGCCAGCATCATCCTGATACCAAAGCCGGGCAGAGACACAACCAAAAAAGAGAATTTTAGACCAATATCCTGGATGAACATTGATGCAAAAATCCTCAATAAAATACTGGCAAACCGAATCCAGCAGCACATCAAAAAGCTTATCCAACATGATCAAGTGGGCTTCATCCCTGGGATGCAAGGCTGGTTCAATATACACAAATCAATAAATGTAATCCAGCATATAAACAGAACCAAAGACAAAAACCACATGATTATCTCAATAGATGCAGAAAAGGCCTTTGACAAAATTCAACAACCCTTCATGCTAAAAACTCTCAATAAATTAGGTATTGATGGGATGTATCTCAAAATAATAAGAGCTATCTATGACAGACCCACAGCCAATATCATACTGAATGGGCAAAAACTGGAAGCATTCCCTTTGAAAACTGGCACAAGACAGGGATGCCCTCTCTCACCACTCCTATTCAACATAGTGTTGGAAGTTCTGGCCAGGGCAATTAGGCAGGAGAAGGAAATAAAGGGTATTCAATTAGGAAAAGAGGAAGTCAAATTGTCCCTGTTTGCAGATGACATGATTGTATATCTAGAAAACCCCATTGTCTCAGCCCAAAATCTCCTTAAGCTGATAAGCAACTTCAGCAAAGTCTCAGGATACAAAATCAATGTACAAAAATCACAAGCATTCTTATACACCAACAACAGACAAACAGAGAGCCAAATCATGAGTGAACTCCCATTCACAATTGCTTCAAAGAGAATAAAATACCTAGGAATCCAACTTACAAGGGATGTGAAGGACCTCTTCAAGGAGAACTACAAACCACTGCTCAAGGAAATAAAAGAGGATACAAACAAATGGAAGAACATTCCATGCTCATGGATAGGAAGAATCAATATCGTGAAAATGGCCATACTATCCAAGGTATTTTACAGATTCAATGCCATCCCCATCAAGCTACCAATGACTTTCTTCACAGAATTGGAAAAAACTACTTTAAACTTCATATGGAACCAAAAAAGAGCCCGCATCACCAAGTCAATCCTGAGCCAAAAGAACAAAGCTGGAGGCATCACACTACCTGACTTCAAACTATACTACAAGGCTACAGTAACCAAAACAGCATGGTACTGGTACCAAAACAGAGATATAGATCAATGGAACAGAACAGAGCCCTCAGAAATAACACCACATATCTACAGCTATCTGATCTTTGACAAACCTGAGAAAAACAAGCAATGGAGAAAGGATTCCCTATTTAATAAATGGTGCTGGGAAAACTGGCTAGCCATATGTAGAAAGCTGAAACTGGATCCCTTCCTTACACCTTATACAAAAGTCCATTCAAGATGGATTAAAGACTTAAACGTTAGACCCAAAACCATAAAAACCCTAGAAGAAAACCTAGGCATTACCATTCAGGACATAGGCATGGGCAAGGACTTCATGTCTAAAACACCAAAAGCAATGGCAACAAAAGCAAAATTGACAAATGGGATCTAATTAAACTAAAGAGCTTCTGCACAGCAAAAGAAACTACCATCAGAGTGAACAGGCAACCTACAACATGGGAGAAAATTTTTGCAACCTACTCATCTGACAAAGGGCTAATATCCAGAATCTACAATGAACTCAAACAAATTTACAAGAAAAAAGCAAACAACCCCATCAAAAAGTGGGCAAAGGACATGAACAGACACTTCGCAAAAGAAGACATTTATGCGGCCAAAAAACACATGAAAAAATGCTCACCATCACTGGCCATCAGAGAAATGCAAATCAAAACCACAATGAGATACCATCTCACACCAGTTACAATGGCGATCATAAAAAGGTCAGGAAACAACAGGTGCTGGAGAGGATGTGGAGAAATAGGAACACTTTTACACTGTTGGTGGGACTGTAAACTAGTTCAACCATTGTGGAAGTCAGTGTGGCGATTCCTCAGGGATCTAGAACTAGAAATAACATTTGACCCAGCCATCCCATTACTGGGTATATACCCAAAGGACTATAAATCATGCTGCTATAAAGACACATGCACACGTATGTTTATTGCGGCATTATTCACGATAGCAAAGACTTGGAACCAACCCAAATGTCCAACAATGATAGACTGGATTAAGAAAATGTGGCACATATACACCATGGAATACTATGCAGCCATACAAAATGATGAGTTCACGTCCTTTGTAGGGACATGGATGAAATTGGAAATCAGCATTCTCAGTAAACTATCCCAAGAACAAAAAACCAAACACTGCATATTCTCACTCATAGGTGGGAATTGAACAATGAGAACACATGGACACAGGAAGGGGAACATCACACTCTGGGGACTGTTGTGGGGTGGGGGGAGCGGGGAGGGATAGCATTAGGAGATATACCTAATGCTAGATGATGAGTTAGTGGGTGCAGCGCACCAGCATGGCACATGTATACATATGTAACTAACCTGCACATTGTGCACATGTACCCTAAAACTTGAAGTATAATAATAAATAAATAAATAAATAAAAAGAAGGCAGCACAGGCTATTCATTTCATCCGATTCTGCCTTTATGAACATATTACAAGAGATAAGGAGGCCAGGGAAAGGGGGCAGAAGATAACTTTAGACTTGGTTAACAGCAGATTCCAAAGGGCAGTCTTGTTGATCAGGAGGAGGGGCAGGGCCACTTTCAGAAGAGCCTCCTAGAGGCCCGTTCAAGGTCATTGGCAGAAACCGGGACCTGCTTACCCTCCTCCTTCGCATGTCCTCTGTGCTACTCCCTCCCAGTCAGGATCGCAGAATGTTTTTTGAGATTGAATTCTTACTCCCATTACTCTCACCCCTGCTAGAATCTGCCTGTTTATTGCCAACACCTGAGCCCCACCTGCCACAATTCCTTTCCCTCTGCCACATCTAGCTTTGGAGCTGGCTGGCCCACTTTAGCTTCATGACCTGAGCACATTGCCTCCCTCCCCGCCTCATGTTCTCGCCCCCAAAACTTTTCCTGAGCCCATACTATTTGTTAGGAACCAAGCTTGGAAACTCTGGAAACACAAAGACAGAAGAAAACATTGTCCTTTTCCTTAAGGGATGTACCATCCAAAACAGGCAACCAACATAGAAAGTTCTAGGTCCAACTGAGGCGAATTTCGGTAATTTGAGTTCTCCAGGGTGGGCACTACATGAATGGCAACAGGTGAGTTTCTTCAGTTCATCTCAATTGAATCTGGTGCAGGGATTTGCCTATGAAGCAAAAAGCTTCCCACTGAGCAAGTTCAGTTACTATAACATGCTTCAAAAGGACAGTGCTTGAACTTCTTTGCTTAATCCAGTCTTCTTTGCATAGAGCATTGCTAGGCACTGAAAACAAGCTCATTAAAGATGTAAGAGTTGAAAGGTAATTAATTCGAAGGACCAGTGCTGCTTCTGCCTCTCCTCATGCCCCCTACACACACACACACACACACACACACACACACACCTTCCAATTTCCATTTTTCATGCAATGTGCTTTGTAAATGTCAAGAGCAATGCACAAACAACAAGTATTGCTATTATGTCCTGCTCCCCTCCTATTCCTTGTAGAAGAAGATGCCCTGGTCATTATAGCAACCTGTGCTGCATAGCTCTTCTCCTTCACCTCCCCACACTGTCATGGAAGTGAGATCAACTAACATCCCTGGCAAAAATAAAGCCAGAGCTCAGTGAAAGAGCTGTGCCTTCATCTCAGTACTGCAAACTTATGTGCCCCTGAAGCAGCTTATTTTCTGTTTCTGATGGGTGTGCTTGTGAGTATAAACCTAAAATGTTCACAAAGTCAAGGCAGATTACATCCTTGGCTTCCTCTCCATCAATCAGGCTTGCCACAATGTCCCTGAAAAATTAAATTGGTCTGCCAGGATTTATACTTTATGAGGTCTCATATTATTGCCCTAGAATCTGTTCTTCTCAAGGGACTTCCAGATGCATATGATTTTCTTCAACACTTCTCCAGGTATAGAGGTGCATCTTTTAGGATCTTCTCTTCCATGCTGAAATCTTGCAGAAACCAGAGTTCCCTTTTGACTGATTTAGTAGGATAGGTTCAGGCATGAAGGCACTGCCTGCATTGTATAGGATAGTGGTCATACAACAGGAAGTCATGACAAGTGGCATGCATTTGGGATAATGAGTTAATTGTTGAATCTGAGCTTTTAATTCTAAAGTTGATAACTAATAAATAGAAAGTTTGCTCTATTAAAACAAGTCCAATTCTGAGGGCAGCCATCTCCTTAGGCAGTCAAGTAGATGGCCTGGATGATTCTAAGAGCCCACCCAGTCACACAATAAAGACTGCTGAAATAAATGCCACTTGAAGAACAGCAAACAGTATGCCCTTTTGTTTTTAGAATCCTAGAACCAATCACAGTTTCTAATAGCATCTAGCTCTGCTAATGTTCCTTCTTAGAACTTCTAAGTTCTAAATACTTTCATGTGAGCACTTTCAGCAAGAGGAAAGTGCTTTTCAAATGGCTTTTTTTGGCAATTGATGTCAAATATAAATAAATTCCTTATTGACAACTCTAGAGTTTTGTTTTGTGGTTGGTCTCTAGACTCACAACGAAGTTCAAAAATATTTTTGAAACAATTGAGAATTCTAAAATTCTAATAGTTTCCTGATTGCTGCTTTCCTGTTGCACTCTAAGTTTTCCTACATTAAAACATATTATCCAAGCAGCAAAAGTTCCTGTATCAATCAATAAGCATTTGCTGAGAAGTTTCTATGTACTAACACTGTGAGATTAGCAGGGGAAAATACAAAAGAATTCTATGACATATCTGTCCCTAATAAGTTTACTGTCTACTTGAGAAACAAAATTGACCAATGGACAAATTTAAGAACATTTAACATTTAAACTCTGCATCCCAGTCACAGACATAGTAAAAGGTGAAAATGGACAGTACATTGAAAGCCAGACAGGACTTGGAACAGACAATGAATTTCTGCATTTCAGGGCCTTGGTCTTGCAGTTTCTTTCACCAGAGAAACCATCCTTGGCACACTCTCAAAATCAAGTTCAAATGCCCCCTCATCCATGAAGCCTTCGCCAGTGTTCTTAGTTGGCATTAATTGTTCCCTTTGCCAAACTCCGAAGTTGCACTTTGCTTGTAATTCTGTTAACATCATTACTTAATTCTGCTTTAATTTATAGTTAACTAGCAAATATCAGCCTTCCTTAATGAGCTTCTTGAAGGCGTAGATTGAGACCTCACCCTTGGATGCTCCCCCAAATCAGCACCTTGTTGCTGTTTTATCTGTGTTTAAAAACATTTGTTGACATTATTTAATTTTGCCATCATATCGAGATTATACTTTCATATAATAATTTATGTGCTGTTTTCATGTTAGTTTGGTATCTTCCATGGGAGTTTTCAAGTTGAACTAAGATATATATAGTTTAATATACCATCTATCATTAAATTATATCATACCCAGATTTTTCATAATGCATTCCTTTTCTCTACGTGTTATACATCAGATTTTTTTCTGTAAAATAGAAATTAACTCAGTCCAAAAACTATAATATCATTTCAATAAGTTAACTTTTTTGTCTTCATTAACATTCTCATTTGGAACAAGAACTTGGTGAAGCACAAGGAAGCTCTTAAATCATATGCAACATATTTAGAATATTTTTAAAGTGCTTTCAGTTGTTATATTAATATTAGCTAACATTTATTATATACGTATTGGGTGTCAGGCACTGTTAAGCTCTTATATAAATTAATAATTTCTTACAAAAATCTAATTTCCAATATTTTGTTGCTGTCATTAGCTATGTTATCCTCCTTGTCCTTGTGAGCTTGTCTTTCTTTTAAAATTCCTTTCATTTAATTTTAGTGTGGTTTCAGAAAGGACAAAAATTGATGTTTGTGCTTAATTGGCCTTAGCCTGGCTAGAACCCAGTGTTTATTTCAAAGAAGGCATTTTAGTACAATGGTCAAGAGAGCAGGCTCTGGGGTCAGACTGCCTGATTTTAAATCTTAGTTCTAAAAATTATTAGCTGTGAGACACTGTGTAGAAATAAAAAGAATTTAAAATAGCTTTAATCTCCTCAGAGAGATAAGAGAAGTTTGCAAGAGATAAGAGAAGTTTGCAACCCGAAACAATAAAAAGATGCCATTTTTAGAAGAAGAGAGAAGAAGGAAGAGGAAGAGGAGGAGATTCAGAAAACAAACAAAAACAAAAATGGTTCGTGGAAATTAAAAACATGATTGCACAGATTAAAAACTCATTGAAGTGTTGAGAGATAGGAGTAAGGAAGTTTCCTAGACAATGATGTAGAAAATATAAAAGAAAAACCAGAAAAATTAGAAGACCAGAAGTTTAATCTCAAATAAAAGAAATTTCAGAAAAAAAGAATAAAATAGATGAGTAGCTGGGCACAGTGGTTCACATCTGTAATCCCAGCACTTTGGAGGCTAAGGTGGGTGGATCACTTGAGCCCCAAAAGTTTGAGACCAGCCTGGGCAACATGGTGAAACCCTATCTCTACAAATACAGAAATTAACCAGGTGTGTGGTGGTGCACACCTGTAGTCCTAGTTACATGAGAGGCTAAAATCAGGCAATCACTTGAGCCCGGGGAGGTCCAGGCTGCAGTGAGCTGAGATCAGGCTATTGTACTCCAGGCTGGGTGACAGAATAAGACCCTGTCAAAAAAAAAAAAAAAAAGAAGGAAGGAGAGAAAGAAGGGAAGGAGGGAGGGAGGGAGGGAGGAGAAGAAAATCGTCAATGACCTACTACAAGAAAATAAGCAGATCCAAAGGGTGTGAATTTTCTGATGCAGAACCCACCCAGCAAGTACCCAGAACAACAAAGATAGATCTACCACAAGGCACATCACTGGGAAATTTCAGAACATAAGAGTAATAGTAGATTCTGAAAGTCTGCAGAGAGAAAAGAATAGATCACATGCAAAAGATCTGGAATCAAATGGCTTCAGAACTCTCTACAGTAATATTGGAAGCAAGAAAACAATGGAGCAATGCCTTCAAAATTCTAAAAGAAAATAATTACTATGATATCTAATTTAGAAGGCTATATGAGGCAAATTATCAATGGAAATACATTCTTAGAAATGCAAAATCTTTACCTCCCATGTACTTATAGGGTCTCAGGAAACCATGTCTCAAAATAAAGGCCTTGGAAGCAACTCTCTGACCTTCTCCTACCCTTCAGTCTCTGGCCTTTTATTTTCCCCCGAGGCTAGCCATAAAAACTAGAATCCCTCTTCCCCAAGGCAGGTCATAGAAACCAGAACCTCTTTTCCCCAAAGCTAGCCACAAAACCTAAAAATATTAGTCTTACTTTCCCTACATCTTTCTGTGTAAAATGTGGCCATAAAGAATTATCTGGGCTGAAAATGGTGGCTCATGCCTGTACTCACAGCACTTTCAGAGGCCGAGGCAGGTGAATCCCTTGAGTCCAGGAGTTTGAGACCAGCCTGGGAAACATGGTGAAACCCTGTCTCTACAAAAAAAAAAAAAAAAAAAATATATATATATATATATATACACACACACACACACACACACACACACACACACACACACACACATACACACACACACACACACAAATTAGCCTGGTTTGACGACATGCGCCTTGTAGTCCCAGCTTCTCAGGAGTCTGAGGCAGAAGGATCGCTTGAGCCCAGAAGGCAGAGATTGCAGTGAGCCAAGATCGTGCCACTGCACTCCAGCCTGAACACTGTGAGATTCTATCTAAACAATAAAAAATTAAAAAAGAATTATCTGACCTACCTTCTTTGATCATAGATCATAAGAACCCCTTTCCAGAGAGGGTCCTATCTCATACCCAGAAGGAAGGAATGAATGCTCAGAGAGGCCAAGAAGAATCTTGGCTGGGTTTCCCCACTCAATCTATTAGTAATAGATCATATCCTCTTTGCCCAGTGATATTTCTACACAGCTATCCATACCTTGTTGAACCTAAGCATAAAATGAGCAGTGTCCCCTGTATTTTTGGATTTTCATTCTGAAGGCTTCAGGGTCACATAAAACTATGATTAAATACATTTGTATGGATTTTCTGCTACTAATCTGGCCCTTGTCAGTGATGTCAGTGAAACGCTCAGTGGGCAAAGAGGGAGTTTTCCCTTGGCCTCTACACACTCTTTCTAGAAAGCTCCAGGAGGATGTGTTCCAGTAAAATGAGGAAATAAATTCAGAAGAAGGAAGACATGCAGGTAAGGGGGAGCCGGCAGAAGGATGATAAACACAGAACCCTGATTATCATTAAGTGCCAGTCACAAGTCAGTCCATATTGAAGCAGTGAGACACAGGAGCCAGGCTCACTGAGAGCTGTCATCACCAAGATGCCACTGCTTTCTACCCTGAGCCCAGAATAGCTAGGTGAGCCTAGCACAGATTGACCAATTAAACACACACACACACACACGTGTACATGCACACACCTATTTATGTAGCATGTCCTATGTGTAAGGCAATGTTCTAAGTTCTTTACAAATATTAACTAATTTATCCTTTAACTAACCCTACTAAGTAGGTATTATTATTGTCCTCATTTTACAGACAAGGAAAATGAGGTACAGAGTAGTCAAATAGCCCAATGGTCATGGAGAGGCCAAATTTCAAAAGCAGACAGGCTGGCTCCAGAAGCTCTTAACCACAGATTCTTATTGGGTACTCGGATGATGAAGGTTCTGCTCTTCCTTTGAAAACTGCTGCCTGGATTAGCTGGGGAGGCTCATTCACCACTCCTAGGAGTCTGAGAGAGCCCACAATGAGCTTAGAAGCAGAAAATACAGAGCAGCCAATGGCTCCGAGCCTTCTTCTGCCTATCATCCAATACCTGCTCCACACAACAGCCCTGCCAGGTGCCCCGAATGTCCTGAGCCCAGGTCCCCAGGACACACTCAGTGCCTTGCCTTGACTTCCCCAGAGGGCTCTTGTAAGTTCTTAGGCAAGCTGAAGCCCTACTATGACCCAGAGATCAGCTTATTTTCTTCCAGGAGCCTTCATCTGACAGTGGCAATGCTTTCCCTTTCTTATGACACTAGAGGTGTACTTGCTGCTCAGTTTTTCCAAATAAATATCACTAGGGTTACTTACTCATGTGATAACACTATAAAGAAAAGCAAGAGTGTGATCAGCATGAGTCACAGTTTTAGTTACCTCTGGGGGAAGAGAACAACGAACTAAGAGAGGAGCAAACGGGCTTCCACAAGACCAGGACTGGGGATGTCCTGTGTCTTAACCCAAGTGGTGGGTATATGGTGTTCATTTTATCCTCATCCTTTAAACTGCACCTATATATATTTTATACATTCTTCTATGTGAATGGTACATGCCACAGTTTTTAAAAATTAAAAATAAGACACCTGGCTCAGGGGTCTGAATACATGAGGCCTGTCTCTCCTAGAGAGGCTAGGGTTTGTAAGGGTTTGGGAGTGGGCTGAAGTGTGGAGATAGTTGATTGGGTGCAAGGTGAAGTCAGGAGACAGAGAGATGGAGAAAATGTATTTCCATGCTAATTCTCTCCTATTCTTATGACTTTAGACAATTCGCTTCTCCCCATGAGACCCTGTATTAGTCCATTCTCACAGTGCTATGAAGAAATACCCGAGACTCATTTATAAAGAAAAAAAGGTTTAATTGACTCACAGTTCCACATGGCTGGGGAGGCCTCAGGAAACTTACAATCATGGCGGAAGGCAAATGAGAAGCAGGCACCTTCTTCACATGGCAGCAGGACAGAGTGAGTGCAAGCAGGGGAAATACCAGATGCTTATAAAGCCATCAGATCTTGTGAGACTCACTCACTATCTCGAGAACAGCATGGGGGAAACCGCCCCCATGACCCCATCATCTCCACCTGGTTCCACCCTTGACACATGGGGATTATGGGGATTATAATTCAAGATGAGATTTTAAGTGGGGACACAGCCAAACCATATCAGACCCTATTTCCCCAATGGTCAATGAAGACCATTTCTCTTCTGCCCACCTCAGCAGTGATGAGAGATGAAATGAGACCACATATTTGAAAATGATTTGTACGCTGCAAAGTGATTTCTATGCAGCAGTAATGATTATTATGGCAAGAGCCGCTTTGCTAAGGACATCTGCACATACAGGGATCCCCATTTTAGGGTCAATGTGTCACATTCCTCATGTGCTTCCCACATGCTGTTATCTGGCTCTTTGCTATTCTTAGATTCTCTTTGATTGCATCACAAATATTTGTTCTCTCTTGGGAATAACTGAACAAAATGAAATTCTGCCATCAGCTGCTCTCACTGGAGAGAAAGCACAAAATGTATGTCCTTAGGCACACTGCATCCAACAATAACCTTCGCTGCTGCTTCTGATCAGTATGGAAAGAATCGGCCAAAGCACCTGTGAACAGGGTCAGCCTTGTCCACATAGCAACGTACTTGAGTGTCAGCTCTGGGAAGAACTTGGAGCATCACTAAGAACAGGAGATGCCTCCTGAAGCCCGTGTATAGGTCTGGTGCATATGCTGGCCCAGAAAAAAATCATTTTTAGACTATGTTTCAGGTTCAAAGCAAAACTTCATTTTACAAAGAGAAGAAACTTCAATGGTCATCTAAACTGCCAATACCCTTGGTAAAAGTCTCACCGATGAGGCCTTGGCAGAGAGATTCCAATGTATTTTTCTTTTTCAGATGGACTCACCTGTGAAAGGCACTGGTATGTCCCAGACCAAAGTTCTTTGTCACCCAACTGTGGGATGTAGAACCATCTGTTCTGCATCACAAAAGGACACAGCACATTTTATTTTCATGGCACTTATTCATTGAGCTGTTTTCAGCTTCTTAGAGTACAACAGTGCTATGATAACTCCACAGACCAAGATAAATCAAGTTAGCGTCAATCCCACAAACCAAGTAAAAAGGCTAATTAATGTCCAGTAACCCAATCCATCAGCTCTATCATTTGACTATTTTGCCATTACTGATACAGAATAACTCGGCTCCGGGCTAAATCCCACCCTTAGGCCTTGAACCGTGCCCCTAAGTGAAAACAGGTAACCTCATTTTTTTCACCCCCAATGTTGCCTTTTTGGCCTGCCATGCCCCATCCTGTGCCCAGAAAAAGACTTCAGCTGGCAGAGCAACATAAGCAGCTGAGCTGTGGGGATACAAGTGGCTGAGTAGTGAGCAGAGAAGCAACTGAGTGTCAGAGACTATGGATAGACATGGCTAACTTCAGAAGGTGCCGCTTCAGGGAATGATCACCTTCTTCCTGCATCATCCCCTTTCCACCTCCCCATTGCACTGACAGCCACTTCCATCACCCAATAAAATTCTCTGCATACACTTCCCTTCAATCCATTTGTGTGACCTCGTTCTTACTAGATGCTGGACAAGAACACGGGTGCTGAGAGGGCAGGGGCTGGGATGCTGCTGTGGGAACTGCACAGAGCCTGCTCCTGCCAGAGAGGAGCGACTGACTAGTTCCAGCATTTGTTCCCTCTGGTTCCCACATTTGCTTGCTCATAGGCTCCCTCTTACAAGAAGTAACCAGGGGCAGGCTGAGTGAAGTAAGTAACTCCAGTTCCCACCCCTCAAAGAGGGTCGAAGTCAAGGGAACTATCCTGTATCATTACCAGAGTGTTACTCTTCTGATATGCACCAAAAAGAAAGATGGAATGAGAACTATTTTTTAGAGGTTGTTGGCGGTTGATTTATGTCCCCTCCCCAAATTCACATGTTAAAATCCTAACTCCCAGTTCCTCAGAATGTGATCTTATTTTGAAAAAGGGTCATTACAGATATCATTAGTTAATATGAGGTGATAAGGGTGGGCCCTAATCCAATATGATATTCTAAAAAGAGAAACACGAACACAGAAACATGCATCAAAGGTCTAGGCACAGTGGCTCATGCCTATAATCCCAGCACTTTGAGAGGCTCAGGTGGGAGGATCACTTGAGCCCAAGAGTTCAAGGCCAGCCTGGACAACATAGTGAGATCCCCATCTCTACTAAAAAAAAAAAAAAAAATTAGGAGTGGTGGTGCACACCTGTAGTCCCAGCCACTCGGGAGGCTGAGGTGGGAGGATTGCTTGAGCCTGGGGAGTTGAGGATACAGTGAGCCCTAACCGCCACTGCGCTCCAGCATGGGAAACAGAGCAAAATGTCACCTCAAAAATAATAAAATTAAAAAATAAAAAATAAAATAAATATGTATAGAGGGAAGATGATGTGAAGACACAGAGAGAAGACAGCCACCTAAGGCCAAGGAAGAGGGTCCTGGAACAGATTCTTCCTTCCCAGCCTCACAGGGAGCCACCCCTGCTGACATCTTGATCTTGGACTTTTAGCCTCCAGAACTGTGAGTCAATAAGTGTTGTTTAAGCCCCTAGTTTGAAGTATTTTGTTACCATAGCCCTAGCAAACTAATACAAAGGTAAAAAGGAGACTAAAAGAATGTGTGTATTGTATGGCTGGGCAGTGGCTCATGCCTGTAATCCCAGCACTTCGGGAGGCTGAGGCACTTCGGGAGAATCACTTGGGCCCAGGAATTCAAGACCAGCCTGGGAAACAAAATGAGATCCACATCTTTAAAAAATAACAATAATAGATTAAAAGAATGTATGTATTGCCTGTGGAACTGAATCTCCCCTGGTGAAGTTTTTCTGTATTTTCCCTTCTATTTGGCTTTCATTGTCATGGGAATCTCCTGGAGCGTGAAGTTTAAATGTGAACTCCATGGGCAACAGAGGAGGACGGATATGCCTTTCACTCCTTTGCTCATGTAATTATAAAGCCTGGGTCCATCTGCCAAGATCGGCCTCTCCTGCACCAAGGACTTAGTGTGTGGAATAAAGACCCAACCACTTGGTGTCCGGCTCTTCATCATTTATCATCGTTTGCACTGAGGCTACAGACAGCCTGAGTCTGCCCAGCCCAGGCTGACAGGACCCTGGCTTCAGGCATCAGCCTCCTCTCAGCTGCAGGCCTTCAGCACCTAGCACAGGGTCCAGAGATGCCACCCACTCCTCGGGACTCAGCCCCAGGCCACTCCCTCAAGCTTTTCCCAAGCAAGCTCCCTCACAACTGTACCAGCCTCTCTTCCTTCCTTGTCTTCATTCACCAAATTAAATTTAAAGACTGCCTTCTACTGTTTCTCAACACCAGCCAGTTCTCAGCTCTTTTAAGGGTGTTGTTTTTTGTTTGTTTGTTTTTTTGAAACAGAGTCTCACTCTGTTACCCAGGCTGGAGTGCAATGGCACAATCTCGGCTCACTGCAACCTCCGCCTCCCAGGTTCAAGCGATTCTCCTGCCTCAGCTCCCCAGTTGCTAGGACTACAGGTGCCCGCCACCACGCCCGGCTAATTTTTGTATTGTTAGTAGAGACAGTTTCACCATGTTGGTCAGGCTGCTCTTGAACTCCTGACCTCAAATGATCCACCCGCCATGGCCTCCCAAAGTGCTGGGTTAAGGGTGGTTTTTTTAAAAACGCAGATGCCTGGGCCCTTCTCCAGGTCATTTCAAACAGACCATCTGGTTGGCTGTGGTGTAATACAAATATATATTTGCTTTTCGTTCCCAGTTTCTGGCCCAAATTCCTAAGACTCTTGGAATTTCCGTGAGAGGAGTGTCTTCGTTGGAACCCCTGTAGACCACAACTGAGTTGATGTTAATAAGTGGCTCAGGTGGGGCCCCTAGAGGGATTCAGGGTGTAGCTGGTCACCAGAAGGAGCAAACAAACGATTAGGGGGTGGAACTTTCAGCCTCACCCCCAGCACCCAACCCAGGCCTCCGGGGAGGTGAGGGGAGGGAAGCTGGAGACAGAGCTCAATAAAAACTCTTGAAGAATGAGATTTGGAGGGTTTCCGGGCTGGTGAACGCAGCAGTCCTGGGAGGGGGGTGTCCCATTCCATCCCCCACAAGGCATGGACGCTCTGCATGCTCCTCCTCCCACCAATACCATGCCCTCTGTGCCTCTTCCATGGGCTGTCCCTGAGTGGAATCCTTAACAATAAAGCTGGAACCATAAGTACAGCACTTTTCTGAGTCCCTTTGTCACAGCAGGTGGCTAGTCAGGCATGAGCAGGGCAGGGGAGGGCTCCTTCTTCCCTGCCATCAGGAACGTCAGGCAACCATCAGGTGATAGTCAGATGATTATTACAAAGTTTTTCTAAAATAATAATTGGTCACAGCCATTGCCAGGGAAAGGCAGTCTCTCAATAGATAGAAAAAACCTGAAACTCGTGATCAGCAGTTTCCCAATAATATCTCAGGAGTTGGGTGAGTAGACTCAAGCATGCACACTAAGTAGCAAAATAGTGAAGTTTAACTGGTATATGACCTTCCTCTAGGAATGTTAGACTAGTAATGAAGCAGCTACATTGGGGTATATGCCCAGGGTTCGTCATCAGGAAAAGTTAGGACTTGGACACACATGAGGAGTTTAGGAGTGCAGGTTTAATAGGCAGAAGAAAGAGAAAGAAAAATAGCTCTCTCTCTAATGAGAGAGGGGACTCCCAAGAGGAAAGACCACTGGTGGTGGATGAGATGGATCTTACGGTCCACCTTGAGGAGGGAGTTTCTGATTTACGTAGGGTTCACAGATTAGTTCAATCAGTTATGATGTTTACATAGCACGCGGGGAAGGCCGGTCACCCCACACTAATCTTATTATGCAAATGAACTTTCCCCTTGGCCAGGCCATCTTCCTTACTGTACACGTGGCTGGCAGAGAAGGGAGGATGGAGCCACCATCTTGAACATGTCTAGTCCCTAGTTCTTGCAGGCATTCACCCATGCAAGCTCCCAGCTGGCTTGTCTATGTCTACAGCTCAACTTTACAGGCTGCTCTTTGTTAGAAAATGATTTGGAGCTGCTTTGCATTAAAAAGACAATCCCTACCAAGGACTCCCATACCCACACTATCTTTCTAAGTGATTTCTTCTTAGCTCTTATGTCAGTAAGGGAAGAATGCCTCAAGTGAGCATGGATATAACTTCAGTAAGCACACTGCACATGCGGCTCCTTCCAAGCACTAGCAGGCCACTGTGCATAAGGACAGCCCACCCCAAGGGAAGAATCAGGGGAGAAGAGACATAACCCCAGAAGCATGCCAATGTATAAGACCCCAAGTCAAAGGTCAAACTGTGCACTTGACCCCTCAAGTCACCTGCCTGACCGTCTTCCAAGTGTACTTTACTCCTTTTCATTCCTGCTCTAAAGCTTTTTAATAAACTTTCACTCCTGCTCTAAAACCCGCCTTGGTCTCTCACTCTGCCTTATGACCCTCAGTCGAATTATTTCTTCTGAGGAGGCAAGAACTGAGGTTACTGCAGACCTGTACGGATTCACCGCCAGCAACACTGAGTCATTCTAGTGAATCACGGAACCTGAAGAAGGAGTGGTAAGTGTAACCATAATAAGTTCATTGCCTGATGTGCATGGCAGGTCAATACTCCAAGACACCAGGTGGCAGCAGAGAAAGAGGTTTAATCATAGGGCTGCCAAGCAAGGAGATGGGAGGAAACCTCAAATATGTCTCCCCAAGGAGATTGAGGCTAAGGTTTTCAAGGGTTTTGGAGCAGGCTGGAGTGTGGTGATGGTTGATTGAGTGCAGGTGAAGTCATTAGACAGGCAGGTGAAGAATATAGATTCTCATGCTGATTCAGTTCCTCTGAGGGGGTCTTCCAACTGGTTGGCGTCAACTGTTTCAGTGGAATTCAGGGTCGGCTTAAGCAATTCTTAAACAAAATCCTCATGATCCTATGATTCTGTTTAAGCAATTCTTAAAAGTCTTATGATTTTAACATTAGAAATCCTGTCTATAGGAGCAGCGGGCATGCAAATGGTCAGTATCTAGTGTTACGTGGCTTTGGTTATAAGGAAGTGGGTCAAAGCACAGACTAATTAATGCTTAATTATAAATATATTTCTGCCCAGAACTCTTGTTAACCCTGTGAGGATGGCTTCCTAAGCAGGGGAACCCTAAAATTTAGAGTTGGCTGGGCAGAAGCATGGGTTGCCTGGGGATCCCATGGGCAGCTGGCATCTGAAGTGCAGCAGTCTCATGGGACTGAGCCCTTTAACATGTGGAATCTTATGCTAACTCCAGGTAGATAGTTGAGAACTTAATTTAATTATCGGACTCCCACTAGAGTCCAGAGAGTTGGAGAACTGGTTGGTATCACATGGGCAGTGGCAGCACTGAACAGGGGCACTCAGCTCTCCTTCAAAAGAAACTTCTGGGGAAGAATTATCACAGTGGTCTAGTGGCACCAGATGCCACCCTTTTGGTCCCATCTTGCATTTGTGCTGAGGAAACCAACTTGTCCCGGTTTCCTCAGATATTCCCAGTTTTAACAATCAAAGTCCCAGAGCCTGGTAACCCCTTCAGTCCCAGGGAAACTAGGACAGTGTTCAGCTGGTCAGTCAATGGCTTAACACAGCTCCCCCGCAATGACTGAGCATTGTGGAATATGAGTTCTGGCTCACTCCTGCACATACACAAATCCTCTGACAGGCAGTTTTTGCTTGGGGACTTCCCACCAGCCCAGCCTGAACTTTCTCACAACTGTGCTACTGTCTGAGGATCAGCTGACCCAACCCTCCTCTTTCTCCCCTCTCTGTCCACAGGGGTCACGCTTGCCTCGGGGTCTGATGGCTCTCCCTGCCTGCTCCCACTCTTTCCCCGTCATCTTTTCCAGGGACTTCCCGCAATCAATCTCTTACCTGTCTAATTCTGTTTTGGCACCTGATTCTTAGAGGACCAGAATTGACACAGGGACCCATTTATCAATTTTTTTTTTGAGACAGGGTCTCACTTTTTTTTTTCTTTGAGACACTGTCACCCAGGCTGCAGTGCAGTGGCACAATCATGACTCACTGCAGCCTCAACCTCCCAGGCTCAGGCTATCCTCCCACTTCAGCCTGTCAAGTAGCTGGGACCACAGGCACGTGCCACCACACTCGGCTAATTTTTTTTTCTCCTGATAGAAAACAGGGTCTCCCTATGTTGCCCAAGCTGGTCACAAACTCCTGGACTCAAGCAATTCTCCCACCTCATCCTCCAAAAATGCTGGGATCATAGGCATGAGCCACCACATCAAGCTTCTAAGTATTTTTTAAAGCTCCCAAAGCAATTGTGATGTCAGCCACATTTGAGAACCACTGTCCAGCTGTGCTAACTACCAATGTGTCTGCCTGTAGTCTAATGGGGGGAACAACATGGAAAATGCAGCTAGGCATATGTGAGCTGAATGTTCTGGAAGCACTGAGGAAGGAGAGACTAAATTGCCCTGATGAAGTAGGGGGTGGCTTCAGCTTCCTGTGCTGAGAGACGACAAAAGTATCTTAGTCTCTTAGGGGAGAAATCTTACTATTTGTCCCATCATATCACACCAGTATGATAAAATTGTCATGTATTGTGGACATAAATTCATAATACTAAGCCTTGATTTCCAGTGACTTCTATTGAAATTCAATAGAAAGAAAACCAACTTCCTTAAATATCCTGGCAAAAGAACTGGTGTGTGTGTACATTCTGTGTGTGTGTGAGAGTGTGTGTGTGTATAAAATGCTGCATCCATAGAGCTAAACCTGTCATGCTAGCAACACACATGCTTTAGAAATATGCAGATTTTTACATCAACTGTCTCCAATAATTTCTGGTTTTCCTTTTAAAAAATGCATCACCAATTATAGGATAGTTATCCCAGCTGGAAGTCTTTTATCTTTGCTGGATACAGCCATTTTCCAGCAAGGCTAAAAACCAGATAAATGTTATGTGTGGCATTTAAAAAGTCAAATATTATACAAGGTCACATATGAATCACTTTTTTCCCAAATTAACACATTATTTTGATGTTCCAAGAAAAATGTTCTAATGCATATTGCCTTTTAGCTTCAACTATTAAGCAATTTGAAACAGAGGCCTCCATCACCCGCTTTGGACTGCCAATCTCCAAGATGGAAAGAGTCACACGTGCATACCCAAGCAGCTCTCTGCTAATGGGAGATAGGTACAGTGGGAGGGGAAAAAACATACGTTTCCTTCAGCGTTTTTTCTTCTAACTGTGATCTGAGGTTGGAAGAAGGGTGGCCACAAAAATTGTTGTTTTGGGGAGATTTGGTTTTGGTTTTTATTCTGGTAAAATATGCCTAACAAAAAATTGCCATTAACATTTGATCCAACTTATAGAATATAGGTCCCTGGAATTGCACTGTGCATTCACTTCCTGTCCACACACACATACACGCTCATTCAAATGCTTGCACACACATTCACACACTCACACACTTGTACACACATTCAGACACCCTTATATTCTCACACTCAGAGACACACAGTCACACATATGTTCACACTCACTAACACATGCATGCCCCTGACCTCGCTCTGGGAGTTGAGATACTCAGTTAAAGCATGATGCTTGTTAGGAGGATAATAGAAATGAACCAAGGAGGTGAAAACTCTTCAGGGAAAGGGGCAGGGAATTTGCCCTAGTTGGGCAATGAACAGACACCTGAAAGTCTAAAATAATAAGAGATTAACGTGCGTAAAAGGGAAGTATAATTTTCTTTCTTTAGCTGTCTATGGCTCCTTAGCATAAAGGGAGTTTGAGAAAGATAGAAGGGAAAATTACTGTCTCATGTGTGCCTTCCCTCAAGCTACTGTCCCACCTCCCTTACGTTTTCCATAAGCAAAGATCATAAAATCATAGTCTATACTTGCAATGGACTAAACAGTTGTGTCACCCCAAAATTCATATGTTGAGACCCTAATCTCACTGTGACAGTATTAGGAGGCAGGCCCTTTGGGAAGTAATTAGGTCATCCTCATGAATGGGATCAATGTCCTTATAAAAGAGCCCCTAGAGAGTTCTCTCAATCCCTTTTCACCCTGTGAAGACACAATGAGAAGTCGGCCATCTGCAACACCAAAGACGGCCTTTTTTAGAACCTGACCATGCTGGCACCCTGATCTCGAACTTCTAGCCCCCAGTACTGTGAGAAACAAATGTCTGTTGTTTATGAACCTCCCAGTTCGTGGTATTCTGTTACGGCAGCCACAACTGACCAAGACAATACCCATTCTCTGTTCATCCCAAGCATGTTGCAATGCTCTGCAACCTGACTTCACCCCTAGTACTTCACTGGCACGGCTCCAAATAATTATCTCCTAATTACCAGCTCAGTGCTTTATTCTTTGGTCTTCAGCCTACTTGAGCCCTCTGCAGTACAAGACACCATGGATAAATGGCCTGGAAACTCCCTCCCCCGTGGCCTCTAGAGCACCTCTTTCCTGCAACTCTCTCTGGCTGTTCCTCCTGTTTCTCCTGCCTGTAGGTGTCTGGATCCCCCTGTCCTTCCCCGGGCTGCCTTCTTTTATGTGTTCTACATTCTTGCCTTGGGAACCACCCAACTCCTTTGCCTTCTGTTTCATCTGTGCTAAGAACTCCCTAAACTCTCTCCTCACCTGACTGCTCCTTCATTGTTCCTACTCAATAGACCCAGGTGCCTGCTGGACAGCTCCTCCTGTCTTCCTTATCAGCATCTCACACTTGACATGCCCAAAACAGAAAATAAATAAATAAATAATAAATAAAATAAAACGACAACAAACAAATACTGTCCCCTTGGTATTCTTTATCTGAGTTAATGGCACAGTCTTAGTTAGCTCAGGCTGCCTTAATAAAACACCGTGGACTGGGTGACTTAAACAAAATAATTTATCTTCTTACAGTTCCAAAGTCTGAGAAATCCAAGATCATGGTGTCAGCCAGTTCAGTTACTGGTGAGAGCTCTCTTCCTGACTTGCAGATGGCCATCTTCCTGCTAGGTGCTCACAAGAGGAAGAGAAACTTCTCTGATGTCTCTTAGGAAGACACTAGTCCTATCAAATCAGGGTTCCACCCTTATGACCTCATTTTATATTAATTACTTCCTAAAGGCCCTATCTCCAAATGCAGTCACATTGTGGGTTAGGACTTCAATATATGAATATAAGGGTGGGGATACAATTCATTCCATAGCGGCCACCATGTTCCAAGCTAGGTCTCATTCTTGACTCCTCTCCCCCATATACAGCTGGAAACCCCAGTGCTTGAGCTGCTGACCCTATTTCTCTGTGGCCCATTTCTCTGTCTCCATCCCTACCATTGCACCTCCAGTGCAGCGCCCCCTTGTGCCTTGCTTAGACCACTGCCTTTGGCTTTCCTGCTGCCCTTCCTCCCCCAGTCTTTCCACTGTAGTGCTCCCAGGTCAGCATCCAAAATTACAGATCTGATCAGGATGTCTATGCAATGCAATAAACTCTACATAATACAGTTTTTCCCCTGTCCAACCCTCACCTACTTCTCTAGTCTCACTTCCAGCCATTGTCCCCATGTATCATGCTCCAGTCACACTGCCATTTCCAGCTGTCCCAGTGTGTGCTGCCACCCTGGCATCACCTGTCTTCCTTTATCCAGGCTCCTCTTCTACTAAAATGTGCTGCCCTTCCTTCTTTGCTTGGAGCATTATTGGCCATCCTTCAGATCCTGGGGTAAATATGATCACCAAGAAGATTTTTCACACCGCCCCACTCCCCGCCACCTGGAGCTTAGCTGCTCCAGGACCTGATCCATACACCTGTTATAGCCTCTGCTGTGTTCATGCGTCTGTCTCTCCCACTTGACTTGTGGTTCCTCATAAGTAGTGAGTTCATTTGAGTTCATTTGTGCTGCTATAACAAAATACCTGAGACTAGGTAATTTATAAAGAACAAAATTTATTCCTCATGGTTCTAGAGGATAGAAAGTCCAAGATAAGACATCAGCAGGTTCAGTGTCTGGTGGGGGCCGGCTCCTTTACAGCTCTCCTACTGGTAGCATCCCCACCTGGCAGAAGGTGGAGGGGCAAAAGGAATGATCACTAGTTCTCTCCACCCTTTATATTATTTATTTTTTTATTTTATTTTTTTAGAGATAGGGTCTCACTCTCTCACCCAGGCTGAAATGCAGTGGTGTGATCATAGCTCACTGCAATCTCAAACTCCTGGGCTCAAGGGATCCTTCCACCTCAGCCTTCCCAAGTACCTGGAGCTACAGGCACATGCCATCAGACCTGGCTAATTTTGTATTTTTTGTGTACAGATGGGGTCTTGCTATGTTGCCCAAGCTCATCTCAAACTCCTTGTCCCAAGTGGTCCTCTGGGCCTCCCAAAGCTCTGGGATGACAAGCATGAGCCACTGCATTCAGCCTCTCCAGCCCTTTTATAAAGTTGCCAATCTTATTCTTGAGGGCAGAGCCTCCCTCATAAGGTAATCACTTCCCAGAAGGTCTCGCCTCTTAATACAATGGGAATTAAGTTTCAACATGAATTTTAGAGGGGACATGTCCATAGAACCAAGTACCTCTGCTTCCCCTAACAAGTATCTGATCAATGTAAATGTCAGTGTAGTGTGTTGCAGGAATGTCATTTAATTGTCATTAACTTTTCTCTAGTGTACAGGTAAACCTTAATTATCTTAAACTATGTATTTGTATGGACCATTTAATTCTTTTGAACAAAGAATTAGACTTTAAATATACATACATTCTTCATCTGAATATAATCACGTCATTTTTAAAAAAACAAAATTAAGAAGACACTTGGATTATAAGCCAATTCTTCCATTTTCAGAAGAAACATATGGTACTCGTAACCAGGATATTTAATGTATGATTCAAATGTGCTCTGAAATAAATTTTATGAAGGCAAAAACCATTATATTTTAGTGTTTAACATTTTACTTTAGGCTTAATTTTAAATAAATCTAAAAGAAAAAGGTTACAAATACTCCTCAATTTAAAGATCCTCCTGGGGTGAATAACCTCACCTTTGATCCAGAAGCACTAGAATTTTTAAAGATTATATAAAAGTTGGGTTGATATTAAAATAAAAAAACTTCTTAATTAATCAGATTAAATCTCTGTGCATTTCTGGCTATATGCTTCCAGATATTCTTTTCACAAGAGTCTTTTGAAATGTCTACCAGAGGTGGAAACTTTTATACAAAAGCGCCCTGAATCCTGTAAGGAGGACAGAGCACGGAACATCAGGCAGCCTTTACAGGAACAGCTTCTGACCTTTTGAGCTAGATTTTGTAAAGTGTAATGGCTAAGGGAAAGCCTCCTCACTGGCAGTATTCCTGTTGTGAGGAAATTCAGACACAAATGTCCCGGAATCAGGATGTGATCACCTTAAATGATGCTTAAATGTCCTTATAATTAGCATCATCTTGGAGTTTTTGCTTAATGATAAAGGGGAAGAAATCATTTTCTCTGAAAGAAAGGAAACCCCAGATAGAGCAGTGAGACCTTCGAGTACCCAAGAATGGAACTTGAGCAGTCCAGAAATGTGGTGCTTCTTTCATGGCTGAACAAGGACTTTTCCCCATCAAGGCACCAAGTTTGTGGAACTAAGTCACTGGTCCAACCACCAGAGCTCAGTGGTGACTGGGAACAGGAGAGTGACGTGAGGTTAGTTGCTCCACTGTGGCTTCCCAGTGTGGGATGTAAGTGTCCTCTCCACGGGGTCAGGAAACTTGTCTTCGTTGGCCTTGTGCACTGGTGCACATCCCCAAGCCCTGTGCTTGGCGTATCCTGTCTCTTCCTACTTCCTACTTGAGACCACTCTCAAACCTCACCAAATTCCTCACTCACCAGCTGCTTCTCACCTCAATACTTTACTGCCCATGTTGCCTCCCTAGCCACCTGGAATGCCACCTTGACACCCTTCCCCAACCCTTTCACTTGGCAACTTGCTATTCAATCAGCTCTGTCTATTACAGTTCACTCTGTCATCTCCTCCCGGCAGCCTTCTCTGATCCCTTTCCCCAAAGCTGAGTTAAGACCCAGTACTAGTTTCCTAGAGCTGCCATTAAAAGGCACCTAAAACTAGATAGCTTAAACCACAGAAATTTATGTCCCACAGTCCTGGAGGGTACAAGTCAAGGTCAAGGTTGTTGGCAGGGTTGTTTCCTTCTGAGAGCTGTGAAGAAGAATCCGTTCGAAGCTCCTCACCTAGCTTTTGTGATTTGCTGGTGATCCTTAGAGTTCCCAGTTTGTAGAAGCATCACTCCCATCTCTCCTTTCATCTTCTCATGTTCTTCTCCTCAGTGTGTGCCTGTCCCCCAAATTCCCCTTTTTATAAGGAGATCAGCCTTATTGGATAAGGGCCCACCATAATTAACTTCATTTTAACTTGATTACATCTTGAAAAACCCCATTTCCAAATAAGGTGACATTCTGGGGTACTGGGGACTAGGATTTCAACATATGACTTTGAGAGGAGGACACAATTCAACCCATAACAGAGCCCATTATCCGTGTTTCCATAAAGCCCTCCATATGTCCCTATCATTGCTTTATAATTGACTATTCAAATGACTGTTTCCTCCAATGGACTGTGCGATTATTTGCAGAAGGCACTGTGTTGTGTGATCTTTGTACATCCAATGCCCAGCAGAGTGTCTGGAACACCTAAGGACTCAATGAATAAATGAATGAATGGGTCCACTGTGAAGATGTAAAATATTATAAATGAACTATGTACAGATTTACTCTACAGTCAACTTAAACATTTTTGTAAACATACATAAAGCATAAACATATGTATACATGTTTGCATGTACAAGACTATGCATACTCAAAACATTACACACGATATGCAGATATAGTAAGAATGATTTTACTGTCAGTCCCTCCTCAGTTGTATATTTGTAAGTTTTGCCATCTCTGAACCAGATCCTTTCCTTTTCTCATTTTGGTTTTATCTTTTCTGATCCCTTTCTCTGTCCCACTCCAACAAGCGCTTTCCCCGAGTCACAGCCATTTGGAAAATACAGAGAACCTCGAATGGTTCTAGTGCCTAATCCCATTTCCAATCACTGTTTTTGTGCTTTTACACAACTGGATGTACTGAACTTCTCCTTCCACTGGTGCCACCCTCAGGCACTTCCTGCTTTGCTAGGTCCCAGTGGAGGTTTGGGCAGGAGGGGAAGGCTCTCAGGCGGAATGCCGCCCGGAAGACATCCCTCAACTTCACATAACTTAGAAATTGTTTGTTCCATAATTATTTCCCAATTCTTACTGCAAGTATTCACACAGCAAATACAGAGATCTCAGACCCAGCCACTCTGGGGAACAGTGGTTTAACATCTTATCTCAGATGCAGATAATACTCTAAATTCTTTCATTCCCATGATATTTGGGTTACAAATGCTTCCAATATTTTCAAAAGCTCTGGGCAAGTCTCCAAATTAGAGTTTGCTCTGGTCCATGTTTAGTTATTTGTGAAGTCCTTATCTGTGGTCTTTGCATCTCTAGTTTTCTCACCTGTCCATTGGAAGAGCCATCAATGGACATCCCCACACAACAGGGTCAGAAAAGGAGATTAACACACATGTGGTGTGTTTAATTTTTAAAACTAAATACTGGCCTGATTCTCACAAGTATGTTTAATAAATGCACACACTTACATTAACATTCAAGAACAGGCATCATGGGATGAGTGCCAATGTTGCTCTGAGTTCCCCACGAGTAAAGACACTAATGGAACAGCAGTCCATTTGGAAACCCACGCTTGGCCTCCATGAATGGGCCACCTGAATAGTCCTTCAGCAGTTGAATAGTAGCATGCATGTAGTCCCAGCTACTCGGGAGGCTGAGGCAGGAGGGTTACTTAAGCCCAGGAGTTTAAGGTTGCAGTAAGACCACACCACTGTACTCCAGCCTGGGCAAGAGAGTGAGACCCTGTCTCTAAAAAAATAATAATAATAATAATAATAAATTGCAGATAATAAGAGTACCTACCTTAAAATGTTTTATGAGGAGTATGATAATACATTTCAAGGACTTAGCACAGGACCTGAAAAATAATGATATCTTGGCACATGTTAGCCAAAGCTAAGATTTGTACTATTCTTCCCATCTTACAGATAAGAAAACTGACAGGTTGTCACATTATAATACACCCACAAAGTGATGGAGCTGGGATTTAAACACTGCTCTGTGACTCTAGATCCCACCAAGTAATTACCATGTTCTCACAGTAATTAACTATCTAATTTCCTTATTCACTCATTCAACATATACATATTGATCAAATGCTCAAATGTTGGACATTATGCTAAGAACTAGGAATACAACAGTAATCTAAACAGACAAGACCCTCCCCTAAAGGAGTCTACGCTCTCAGGAGAAAAACTAATATTAATCAAAAACCAATTGGTCACATGAATAACTTATTACTTAATTTTTTTACTATGAGCTATAGTAAATATTATTAAATAAAAATAGGATGAGAGTCAGCAATGTTAGCAAAAACCATGGAGTAAAGAAGGACCTCAACATTTCATCCCTCCACAAAAGCAATGAAAAAAACTGGCAAAAACCTGTCAAAATTAACTTTTCTTATTGAAGTATGATTGACAAATAAAAAATTGTGTATATTTAAGGTGTATAACATGGTGTTTTGATATAAATATACCTTTTGTACTGATTCTCACAATCAAGCTAATTAACATATTCATCACCTGATGAAGGCCTTTTGTGTGAGTGTGTGGTGAGAGCACTAAAGATCTACTGTCATAGTTCAAGTACATAATACGTTATTATTAACTATAGTCTATGAACAATTGTCACAATACTGTATATTAGATCTCCAGAGCTTATTTATCTTACAGCTGAAGGTTTGTGCCTTTTGACCAACATCTCCCTATTTCTCCCAAACCCCAATTTCTGGCAAACACCATTCTACTTACTCTCTGTTACTCTGAGTTTGACTATTTTAGATTCCACATATAAATGATATCATGCAACGTTTGTCTTTCTGTGTCTGATTTACTTCACTTAATGTCATCCACACTGTCACAAATGGCAGCATTTCCTTTTTTAAAGCTGAACAATATTCCATTGTAAATATATGCCATAATGACTTTATCAATTCATCCATTGCTGGATACAGGCTGTTTCCATATCTTGGCTATTGTGAATAGTGTTGCAATGAACCTGAGGGTGCAGATATCTCTTTGAGATAGCAACTTTGTTTCCTTTGAATATAGACCCAGAAGTAGGGTTGCTAGATCATATGTTAATTTTACTTTTTAGATTTTATTTATTTATTTAATTTTTTTTTTTTTTTGAAACAGAGTCTCACTCTGTCACCTAGGCTGGAGTGCAGTGGTGCAATCTCAGCTCACTGCAACCTCCACCTGCTGGGTTCAAACAATTCTCCCGCCTCAGCCTCCCGAGTAGCTGGGACTACAGACGTATACTACCATGCCCAGCTAATTTTTTGTACTTTTAGTAGAGATGGGATTTCACCATGCTGGCCAGGCTGGTCTCATACTCCTGACCTTGTGATCCACCCGCCTAAGCCTCCCAAAGTGCTGGGATTACAGGCGTGAGCCACCACGCCCAGCCCCAGTTTTATTTTTAATATTTAGAGGAATCTCCGTACTGTTTTCCATAACGATTACGCAACTTATATTCCTACCAACAATATAAAAGGGTTTCCTTTTCTCTACATCCTCACCAACACTTTTTATCTATTGTCTTTTGATAATACACAACCTAATAGGTATGAGATGGTATCTCATTACGATTTTGATTTGCATTTCCCTTATGACTGGTGATGGTGAGGACTTTTTCATATATCTATTGGCCATTTGAATGCCTTCTTTAGAAACACATCTATTTAGGTCCTTTGCCTTTGCCTGTTTTAACTGGGTTTCTTTTTTTTTTTTGGCTATTGAGTTGTATGTGTTCCTTACATATTTTGGATACTGATCCCCATTCAGATATATGGTTTGCAAATATTTTCTCCCATTCTGTAGGATGCCTTTTAATTTTCTTTATTGTTTCCTTTGCTGTGCAGAAGCTTTTTAGTTTAATATGGTCCTACTGGTCTATTTTTGCTTTTGTTGCCTATCCTTTTATATCATATCCAAAAAAATCATTGCCCAGATCAATGCCATGGAGCTTATTCCCTAAATTTTCTTCTAGGAGCTTTATAGTTTCAGGTCTTATGTTTAAGCCCTTCATTCATTTTGAGTTGATTTTTGCGTATGGTATATCATAAGGTTCCAAATTTTATTCTTTTGCATGTGACTATCCAGTTTTCCCCCACATCATTTATTGAAGAGATTATTCTTTCCCCAATATGTTTTTTCAGCTCCTTTGTTGAAGATTTCAACCATTATCAATTAATTATTTTTTCAAAAATTGAAAAAAAATGGAATTTTTTTTTTCAGAACTCTGGAAATTAACCAAAGACTTACAGCAACCCAGTGACCATTTATTTGAGAAAAATTGCTGAATCTTGGTAAGAATAGCAAAATTGGGGACATTTTTAACTTGCTGTATTTTCATCCCCTGTTCCTAAGCTTATCAGAAGCCTTGGAAAATAATAGTCCACATTCCCAGGGCTAGAGAGAGCAGAAAGTATCTAGAATTCTTTCAGAGCCTCATTCATACCTGTGTGGTAGGTCCTTGGCACCCCCCTGGGAAGACTTACCTTTATTTAACATAACTTGGAACACACAGTGCTAAACAATCACAGATAAGAGGAAATCTATGCAGAAATTGGAATGTTTATTCCTTCCTTTCAGAAGAAGGGAGGCAGTACAGGATTAGATAAAGTATTTGCCAAAAATACTTAGAGACAATTATTTTAATGTCACTACTGTCTGGGATGATAGATAGCAGTTGAGGCAAACAATAGACTAAACAAAATAAATAAAAGGAAAAACTGAGGAATAAGATATTCACAACACCTTTGAAAATCTCCAACATATTTCTAGGAATGTAGAAGTCCACATGCATGTAAAGCGCTGTGTATGTGCTCCAGGAAGACCTGAGAAGTTATGAAGTTCTTATCTCTGGCTGACCTTGAGGTTCTTTCAATAAATGAAGGCTAAGGTAGAGTTGTAACCTGCCTGGCTGAGCATTAAAGGTTGTTCCAACACATACACAGGCCTCTTCAGCAAAGCCTGGGAGATTTTCTGGTTTCAGGCATTCAAGGAAATCTGTTCAATCATTAGCTAACCACAAAAAAAAGGGAATAGAGATGTGAGTGGCTACAAACGATGAATACATGCTTTACAAAATTAGTTCAGAAAAGCCACTGAATACATGCCTACTACTATAACAAGTAGCAACAACAAAAGAACTTGGGAAGGTAGAAAAATCTGATTCCTAGAGTTAGTACATAATATTTAAAATGTCCATTTTTCAACAACAACAACAAAAAACTAAGAGACATGCAAGGAAACAAGAAAGTATGCCTCATACACAAGGGGGAGGAAAGAAATTGTTTCTTTTAAAAACTCCCTGAGGAAGCTCAGAAATGGGACATGGTAGACAAAGACTTCAAATCAGCTATTTTTAGAAGAGCTAAAGGAAACCATGTCTAGAGAACTAAAGGAAAGTGTATGAGTCAGGGTTCTCCAGAGAAACAAAACCAATGGGCTATATAGAGATATATAAAAGGAGATTTATTATGGGATTCTGCACGATTATGGAAGCCAAGAAATTCTATGATCTGCCATCTATAAGCTAGAGAGCCAGAAAAACTGGTGGGGTAATTCAGTCTGAGGCCAAATGCCTCAGAACAAGGTGGGTGGGCCAGTGGTGTAAGTTCCAGACTTACAAGGCTGCAGGGGGGCGGCAGGAGAAGTGGTGTAAGTCCCAGAATCCCAGGGCTGGAAAACTAGAAGTTCTAATGTCCAAGGGCAGAAGAAGATGGATGTTCTGGCTCATGAAAAGAAAGAGACAGCAAATTTACCCTTTCTCTGCCTTTTTGTTCCATTCATAACCTCAACAGACTGGATAATGCTTAACCACATTAGTGGGGGTGATCTTCTTTGCTCACTCAGTCTACTGATTCAAATGTTAATCTCTTCCAGAAATGCCATCATAGAAAATACTAAAAATATTTTACCAGCTATCTGGGCATCCCTTAGCCCAGTCAAGTTGACACATAAAATCAACCATCACAGAGAAAAGAAAATCTGTGGAGAAGTTGGAAAGTTTATACATTGGTAGTGGAAACGTAAAATACTACAGCTGTGATGGGAAATGGTTTGGCAGTAACTCAAAATGTTAAACATAGAGTTACCATATGATCCAGCAAATGCATTGCTAGGTGTATCCCCAAAAACATTAAAACAAAATTATTTAAACAAAATCTGTACATGAACAGCACTATTCACAATAGCCAAAAGGTGAAAACAACCCAAATGTCTATCAACCAATGACTAGATCAACAAAATGTGGTACATCCATGCAATAGAATGTTATTTGACCATAAGAATGAAGTAGTGACTCATGTTACAACATGGGTAAACCTTGAAAACATTATATACTAAGTGAAAGAAGCCAAACAAAAAAGCCCACATATTTTTTATTCCACTTATGTTCAGAATAGGCAAAACCATAGAGATAGAAAGTAGATAAGTGGTTGCCAGGGAGTGGGGAGATAGGGAATTGGGAGTGACTGTTAATAGGTACAGGATTTCCATTAGGTGGGATAACATTGCGGAGTTAAATAGTGGTGGTGTTTGCACAACTTTTTTAATACAAAAATCCACTGAATTGTACACTTTAATGTGGTGAATTTTATGTACATAAAGTTTTATGTTACGTTAAGCTTTTAAAAGTAGAGTGAGATTTGAAAGTGTAAGACAGGGATACTGATCATGTGGGGAAGTGGGTGGTGGGGTGCAGTTTCCAAGTAATTATATTTGAACAGAAATTTGAGGGTTGAGTATGAGTTATCCAGGTGAAATGGAGAGCATTTCAAAGAGCACCTGCATAGGCAGCACATCCCAGGAAAGTGGTGTAAACATCCAAGAAATACTAGAGTGACTGGAGGACTAAGCATGAGAAGATGAGGCTGGGAGACTGAGTGCCTGTCATTCAGGACCTGCTAGTTTGGAGCTTCCCAGCTGTGCAGTGAGGCATGCTTATGACCATGGCTGCATTATAGGTGAACTGTCATCATAGATTCCATCATCTTTGGGGGTGGCATAAGCCCTCAGGCTGGTTGCCTCTGAACATAAACAACCTTATTCATTTTCTTGTGAAATCATACACATATTCTCATTTTCTATGTGTGCTAACATGTAAAAATCGACTGGGAAGTTTGAACCTATATATTACATAAAGGATTCTGATGGAATACCATTGACATGTGACTTTATTTAAGCACGGGTATTCCATTAAAGCAATTGGCCTTTTTGGAAGATTACCTCTACTGCAGTGTGGAGTAGTGATAGTGAGGAGATCAATTAGGCAGCTGTATCAGCACGGTATTACAATAGCTTGAAATGTGCAGATGGAGAAGTATAGGTGTATTTGAAAGACAATTAGGAGAAAAACTAACTTGCCAATGGGCTGGCAAAAGATTCAAGATCAAGCAGCATGGATATCTTACAGGTTCTCAGCAACATCCCTGAATACACAATAGGGGATTCTCTCAGAAGAACACTGCAGGAGGGATACATTTTAGGGAAAGATTATGAGCTTGGTTTTGGGCATTTTCAATTTGAGTTGATGGTAAGATATTAATAGTAGATGTCTGCAAGCAGTTGGATATATGGATCAGGATTTAGAGATAGAAATTTAGATTTCATAGGTATGTTTTTTATTTTATTTTTTATTTTTTTTAACTTTTTTTTAATTATACTTTAAGTTTTAGGGTACATGTGCACAATGTACAGGTTAGTTACATATGTATACATGTGCCATGCTGGTGCGCTGCACCCACTAACTCATCATCTAGCATCAGGTATATCTCCCAATGCTATCCCTCCCCCCTCCCCACACCCCACAACAGTCCCCAGAGTGTGATGTTCCCCTTCCTGTGTCCATGTGTTCTCATTGTTCAATTCCCACCTATGAGTGAGAATATGTGGTGTATGGTTTTTTGTTCTTGCGATAGTTTACTGAGAATGATGATTTCCAATTTCATCCATGTCCCTACAAAGGACATGAACTCATCATTTTTTATGGCTGCATAGTATTCCATGGTGTATAGGTGCCACATTTTCTTAATCCAGTCTATCATTGTTGGACATTTGGGTTGGTTCCAAGTCTTTGCTATTGTGAATAATGCTGCAATAAACATACGTGTGCATGTGTCTTTATAGCAGCATGATTTATAGTCCTTTGGGTATATACCCAGTAATGGGATGGCTGGGTCAAATGGTATTTCTAGTTCTAGATCCCTGAGGAATCGCCACACTGACTTCCACAATGGTTGAACTAGTTTACAGTCCCACCAACAGTGTAAAAGTGTTCCTATTTCTCCACATCCTCTCCAGCACCTGTTGTTTCCTGACCTTTTTATGATCGCCATTCTAACTGGTGTGAGATGGTATCTCATTGTGGTTTTGATGTGCATTTCTCTGATGGCCAGTGATGGTGAGCATTTTTTCACGTGTTTTTTGGCTGCATAAATGTCTTCTTTTGAGAAGTGTCTGTTCATGTCCTTCGCCCACTTTTTGATGGGGTTGTTTGTTTTTTTCTTGTAAATTTGTTTGAGTTCATTGTAGATTCTGGATATTAGCCCTTTGTCAGATGAGTAGGTTGCAAAAATTTTCTCCCATTTTGTAGGTTGCCTGTTCACTCTGATGGTAGTTTCTTTTGCTGTGCAGAAGCTCTTTAGTTTAATTAGATCCCATTTGTCAATTTTGGCTTTTGTTGCCATTGCTTTTGGTGTTTTAGACATGAAGTCCTTGCCCATGCCTATGTCCTGAATGGTAATGCCTAGGTTTTCTTCTAGGGTTTTTATAGTTTTAGGTTGAACGTTTAAGTCTTTAATCCATCTTGAATTGATTTTTGTATAAGGTGTAAGGAAGGGATCCAGTTTCAGCTTTCTACATATGGCTAGCCAGTTTTCCCAGCACCATTTATTAAATAGGGAATCCTTTCCCCATTGCTTGTTTTTCTCAGGTTTGTCAAAGATCAGATAGTTGTAGATGTGTGGCGTTATTTCTGAGGGCTCTGTTCTGTTCCATTGATCTATATCTCTGTTTTGGTACCAGTACCATGCTGTTTTGGTTACTGTAGCCTTGTAGTATAGTTTGAAGTCAGGTAGTGTGATGCCTCCAGCTTTGTTCTTTTGGCTTAGGATTGACTTGGCGATGCAGGCTCTTTTTTGGTTCCATATGAAGTTTAAAGTAGTTTTTTCCAATTCTGTGAAGAAAGTCATTGGTAGCTTGATGGGGATGGCATTGAATCTGTAAATTACCTTGGGTAGTATGGCCATTTTCACAATATTGATTCTTCCTACCCATGAGCATGGAATGTTCTTCCATTTGTTTGTATCCTCTTTTATTTCCTTGAGCAGTGGTTTGTAGTTCTCCTTGAAGAGGTCCTTCACATCCCTTGTAAGTTGGATTCCTAGGTATTTTATTCTCTTTGAAGCAATTGTGAATGGGAGTTCACTCATGATTTGGCTCTCTGTTTGTCTGTTGTTGGTGTATAAGAATGCTTGTGATTTTTGTACATTGATTTTGTATCCTGAGACTTTGCTGAAGTTGCTTATCAGCTTAAGGAGACTGGGCTGAGACAATGGGGTTTTCTAGATATACAATCATGTCATCTGCAAACAGGGACAATTTGACTTCCTCTTTTGCTAATTGAATACCCTTTATTTCCTTCTCCTGCCTAATTGCCCTGGCCAGAACTTCCAACAGTATGTTGAATAGGAGTGGTGAGAGAGGGCATCCCTGTCTTTCATAGGTATGTTAAAGGTTATTTGATGCTTGGCTGTGGATGATGTCCCCTAGAAAGCCATTGTAGACTGAAGAAAATGGTCTTAACAGCAATATTTACAGTGCAGCTACAATAAAGTAAGTGAAAGACACTAAGAAGGACAGGCTTTAGAAGCAGAAGGAAACATGAAGAGGTTTTAACATGGAAATTGAGGAGAAAACGTGTCTCTAAAGGATGATGCAATAAACAGCAACAAATGTTGCTGACTATGTGGTGATGACTGAAAATTCCCCATAGGATGTAACAAACTGGAGATTGTGTTTGTAAAATAAAGTGAGTGAAAAGCTAGATGGAGTGAATGGGGAAGCCATTGGGAAATAAATAAAGAGATCTCTTTCAAGAAGTTTTGGCTATGATAGGGGAGCAAGAAATAGCTCATAGCTGGAAAAGATAGTGGGGGAGAAACTTCAGCATGATTCAGTAGAGAGGATGTGGTTTGCCATGGGACAGAGTTGGCTAAAAGGGTCAGGAAAATAAGCCCAGGTAAACAGAACTAATCTAGAACACACTGTCTGGAAGGTAAGATCGAGGATCTGGGAGACAAGATATTTAATAAAAGAAGCACTAGCCATCAGAGTTGATGGGCAGAAGCCATTTGTTCTGCTTGCAGTTTACTGCAGGTTTCATCAAAAAGCCACACAGCAGGGACCATCCAGGGGACAGGTAGTCCTGGCATCAAAGGTGAATGTGATCCTTAATTTAGCAGATGTAGAAAGGCTAAGATAACCAAACATTATGGAAGTGACACCTTTGCAAAAGAAAGGAGGCCCAGGGTGAAAGAAAAAACTGAATAAATGGACAGGAGAATACAGTATTAGTCAGAGTTCCCTAGAGGGACAGAATTAATGGAATAGATATACATATATAAAGGGGAGTTTATTAAGTATTAACTCACACAATCACAAGGTCCCACAATAGGCCACCTGCAGGCTGAAGAGCAAGGAGAGTCAGTCTGAGTTCCAAAACTGAAAAACTAGGAGTCTGATGTTCGAGGGCAGGAAGCATCCAGCACAGGAGAAAGATATAGGCTGGGAGGCTAGGCCAGTCTCTCTTTTCACATTTTTCTGCCTGCTTATATTCTAGCTGTGGTGGCAGCTGATTAGATTGTGCCCACCTAGATTAAGGGTAGGTCTGTCTTTTCCATGCCACTGACTCAAATGTTAATCTCCTTTGGTGACACTCTCACAGACACACCCAGGAACAATACTTCGTATTCTTCAATCCAATCAAGGTGACACTCAGTATCAACCATCACACATCTACCCCTTATCAAATTGAACACATACACATCTCCTGAGATTATATATAATCTTCAAATAAAGACAATAATAAGAACATAATTACACCTAAGATAATACAACTATTCTTCATACAACCAGAAACCCACCAATCCCCAACCCAAATGTTATTACATAAAGTTAACAATTTTTAAATGCTGATGTGAAGTCAATAAATCTAATGTCACATAATAAAGGAAAATGAAATAAAATAAATATATTTTCTTAGTACAAGTGTGTACATGCACAAACACGTTTTTTACAAAAGAAGGAGGAAATACTCATAACAATGACAGGCCTCATTTCTGTCATCATGTCGTCATAGTGATGACTACCTTCTTCTACTGCCCATTCTATTTTCCCTTTGCCTTCAACAAGCACCTCAGTAGGTCATGGTTTTTTCCTGGTGGACTGACCCATACCTTCGTTCCTGAAGGGTTTGGGTCATTTGTAGTCCTGTCTGGATTAGGCTGTTGTAGTTTTCCATTGACCTTAATTACCAGGCATGGTAATACTAAGAAACACCCTAATGGATCTCCTATATTCCATGCCTACTCTTCCTTACCCTCCGTTGTGGAGTAGTAGGCTAATTTCATCTTGATAGTCCAGGTCAATCACCCCAGCCAAAACTGTAACTCCCTTCTTAGCCTGTTGACTTAAAGGTAGGAGGAGCCCAAAGTGTCCAAGTTGCAATCTTAACTTCCAGTTTAATAGAATCATTGTTGTGTCTCCTGGTGGCAGCGTTTCTCCCTCTGGAACTAAGACCTCTAGGCCAGTAGAACATAATGTCATGGGAACAGGAAGCAAAAATTTTGCCAGTGGATCACTAGGGGTGATGGTGAGTGGTGCCGCTTCCACTTCCACCCTTGATTTCAGGACCCATGAAACAGTACCATATATTGGACACTGATTCAGAGCATACATGGCCTTCTGGAGAACTTTGCTCCAGCCCTGCAAAGAATTGTCACCTAGTTGGCATTGTAATTGTGACTTCAAAAAGCCATTCCACCATTCTATTAATACAGCTGCTTCAGAAAGATGGGGAACATGGTAAGACCGGTGAATTTCATGAGAATGAGCCCACCGCAGTGCTTTTTTAGCTGGAAAGTGAGTGCCTTGGTCAGAGGCAATGCTGTGTGGAATACCATGACAGTGGATAAGGCATTCTGTGAGTCCACAGATGGTAGTCTTGGCAGAAGCATTGTGTGCAGGATAGGCAAACCTCTATTCCAGTGAGGACAAACCTCTGCCCTTTCCATGATGGAAGAAGTCCAATATAATCAACCTGCCATCAGGTAGCTGGCTGATCACCCCGAGGAATTGTGTCATATGGAGGGCAACTATTGGTCACTGCTGCTGGCAAATTGGGCACTAAGCAGTGGCCATAGCCAGGTCAGCCTTGGTGAGTGGAAGTCCATGTTGCTGAGCCCATGTGTAACCTCCATCCCTGTTACCGTGGTCAATGACAGGGTGGCTGGGGAAAGAGGCTGAGTGGTGTCCACAGAACGGGTCATACTATCCACTTGATTATTAAAATCCTCCTCTGCTGAGGTCACTCATTGGTGAACATTCATATGGGATACAAATATCTTCCCAGTTTTTGACCATTCAGAGAGATCCATCCACATACCTCTTCCCCAAATTTCTTTGTCACTAATTCTCCAATCATGCTTCTTCCAAGTCCCTGACCGTCCAGCCAAACCATTGGCTACAGCCCATGAATCAGTATATAATCACACATCTGGACATTTCTCCTTCCATGCA
Source organism: Homo sapiens (assembly GCF_000001405.40). Taxonomy (NCBI): domain Eukaryota; kingdom Metazoa; phylum Chordata; class Mammalia; order Primates; family Hominidae; genus Homo; species Homo sapiens. The sequence continues at coordinate 97,769,793 of NC_000013.11, forward strand.
GAGTGCACGACCAGGTGCACTGCTCAAAGTTATGCCCACTGGGAAGAGTTCCCTTCACCACTGTCCTTCAGAGATGTCCTGGAAAGGGGCTCTGGTACTACAGCTGTCCACTTTCAGGTGATACCTGCGTATTGTGCAGAGCTATCTGTGAACCAGACCCCAGTCTTCTCTTCCTGTCAACTGATCATAGGGAAGTCCCCATGAGGCCATTGGAGCAGGCTTGGGGAGAGAAGGCAGGGTGACAGGAGTAGAGACTATGGGCATTTGAGCCACTTCCCCATGTAACTTACTTGTGTGTTCAAGACCTGCTCACACCCAATCATGTATATACCACTTCCATTTGATGATGGAATGCTACTGTGCATGACCCACTTTATGGCTAGATGGGTCAGAAAGCACCCAGTTCATGATAGGCAGTTCAGATCACATGGTGAATTGATAACCCATAGTCAAATATTCAGTTTCCACGAAAGCCCAGTAACAGCCCAAGAGCTGTCTCTCAAAAGGAGAGTAATTATCTGCAGAAGATGGCAGGGCCTTGCGCCAAAATCCTAGAGGCCTCTGTGGTGATTCACCTATGGGGTCCTGCCAAAGGCTCCAAACAGCATCCCTATCTGCCACTGAAACCTCAAGCACCATTGGATCTGCTGGGTCATACGGCCCAAGTAGCAGAGCAGCTTGCACAGCGGCCTGGACCTGTTGCAGAGCCTTTTCCTGTTCTGGACCCCATTCGAAACTGGCAGCCTTTCAGGTCACTCAATAAATGGGCAAGTAACACACCCAAAAGAGCAATGTGTTGCCTCCAAAATCCAAATAGGCCCACTAGGCCTTGTGCCTCTCTCTTGGTTGTTTTCTGGACAGGCCCCACACCACTGGATCCCTAGAAATTTTACTGAGGTAGAAGGTCCCTGAATTTTAGTCTGATTTATTTCCCATCCTCTGGCATGCAAATGTCTCACCAATAAGTCCAGTGTGTTTGCTGCTTCTTGCTCACTGGATCCAATCATATAATGTCATCAATGTAATGGGCCAGCGTGATATCTTCTGAAAGTAAAAAGCAATCATGGTCTCTCCGAATAAGATTATGACACAAAGCCAGAGAGTTGATATACCCCTGAGGTAGGACAGTGAAGGTATATTGCTGGCCTTGCCAGCTGAAGGAAAATTGCCTCTGGTGGGCCTTATGGACAGGAATGGAGAAAAAGGCATTTGCCAAGTCAGTGACTGTATACCAGGTACTAGGAGATGTGTTAATTTGCTCAAGCAATGAAACCACATCTTGTAAAGCAGCTGCAATTGGAGTCACCACTTGCTTAAGTTTACGATAATCCACTGTCATTCTCCAAGATTCATCTGTCTTCTACACAGGCCAAATGGGAGAGTTGAATGGGGATGTGGTGGGAATCACCACCCCTTCGTCTTTCAAGTCCTTGATGATGGCACTAATCTCTGCAATCCCTCCAGGGATGCGATATTGTTTTTGATTTACTATTTTTCTAGGTAGAGGCACTTCTAATGGCTTCCATTTGGCCTTTCTCACAATAGCCTTCACCCTACCAGTCAGAGAGCCAATGTGGGGGTTCTGCCAGCTGCTACATATGTCTATGTCAATTATGTATCTGGTACTAGGGAAATGACCACAGGATGTGTCTGGGGACACACTGTACCCACTGTAAATCGGACCAGAGCTAAAATCCCATTAATTACCTGACCTCCATAAGCCCCTACTTTAACTGGAGGACCACAATGCCATTTTGGGTCCCCTGGAATCAATGTCAGCTCAGAGCCAGTGTCCAGTAGTCCCCACAATGTCTGATCATTTCCCTTTCCCCAGTGCACAGTTACCCTGGTAAAAGTCTGGAGGTCTCCTTGGGGAAGGATGGGAGAAAGATTTGCTGCATAAATTGTCAGTAATGTAGTGGGGTCCTTCCTCAAGGGGACTTGGCCTCCCCCTTCATTCAAGGGATTCTGGGTCTGTAAACTGGCTGAAGTCTGGAAATTGATTGAGGGGTCGTGATTATCTGTTTTTATAATTCAGATTAGTCTTTTGTCCATTTAACCTAGTTTTGTGGTTGTATAAATTAAGTAGTAATGCAGTAGGCTTTCTATCAACTTTATTTCTAGGAATGCCATGATTAATTTGCCAATGCCAGAGTTCTACACAAGTCAGACTCTTCTGATTGCCACTTTGCTGTCCATTCCAGTAGTTATGTCCACCTTGCCTTTGACGGTTGAGTGTCACCATTTGCCACCTCAGGATCCACCTATTTACACTGTATTTCAATTTTGTATTTGAGTGACTGGGGTTCTGTTAGATCTGACATACAGAGAAGAGCAATTACAGGGCTCTTCAAAGACGCAGGTACTGCCCTCACAAACCTGTTTCACATGGCTTTGGTCAAGGGTATAGCTTCTGGTCCCCCCGAGGTGGGATGAGTAGGTCTAATGTGACTAATACACTTGACCATCCCAATGTTCATAAGCCTTTAGATCCCTTCCTCTACATTAAACCAAGGGAGATCAGGCATTTCCAGCTTGCTCACAGTGGGCCATCTTTTAATCCATAGTTTAACTAACCAAGCAAATAAACTATTAGAACATTTTTTAACTCCCTGAGCTGGCACCACTAAATGCAGAGTCCCTACTTAGTGGGCCCAGATCAATAAATTCAACCTGAGCCAACTCTATGTTCCTTCCATCCCACACCCTTAATATCCATTCCCATGCCTGTTCTCCAGATTTCTGTTTATATAAATTAGAAAACACAGAATTCTTTTCAAATGTAGTGCACCTCCTGATGGGTCACACTCTCAACCTCACCTCTAGGAGCATGCCAGGACTTGAGTCTAGTTATAGGTCTAGAAGCAAACAGGGGTGTGGGGTGGCAACTGAGGAGAGTCAACATTACCTTGCCTGGCAACTGCCTCAGGGGATGCCATCATTGTTGCCTCAGGCAGTGCAGGGTTTATCTCCTCAGACAAAGGTGAAAACACTGATGGCAGCATGGGTCAGGGAGGGGATGTTGCCACTACTGGGAATGGGGAAGCTGTTTCTTCTGGCAAAAAAGGTTCATCAGAGTTTACAAACTCAGTGTCCCCAGCTTCATCAGGGTCCTTCCATACATCCCCATTCCAAGTTGCAGGGTCCCATTCTTTTCCAGTCAATGCCCTCACTTTAACAGTAGACACCTGGTGAGGCTCTATATGCACCTTTCATTGCAGGTCAGCCACTCACATGATAAGAACTTGTGTCTGTTTTTCCACGATTTCAGCTCTTTCTCTACAGGAGATAAGACTCTCACCCAGGGCAATCTTAGCAGATTTGAGGTTCACCATCTGCTTCTCAAGCCGGGAGACAGAATCCCTGAGTTCATCATTTTCTTTTATCACTTTGTCCACTGAACTTAGGAGCAAACAACCAGCTTCATTATGTTCCTTGATTCTCCACATATGGTCAAAGGTATTATGTATAGAGTTACTAAACTCCTTGCCTCTCATGAGCAATGAATCAGAAATGTCAAATGCATATATTTTGCATAACTCTCTAAACAGTCCATGCCAAAGACTATCAGTGTTCTCCATACTATTAGAAGTAAAGTCCGTAGCATTTGGGGGTCTAATCATGTTAAGCAGCCAACTCCAGAAACCCTGAAACCAATGAAAGAACTCCATCCTTAATATTCTGTTCCTCTAGAACCACTCCTGGTACCAAAATCTGTTCTCTAGAGGGTTCTCTAGAGGGACAGAACTAATGAAATAGATATTTATATAAAGGGGAGTTTATTAAGCATTAACTCACATGATCACAAGGTCCCACAATAGGTCATTTGCAGGCTGAGGAGCAAGGAGAGCCAGTCTGAGTTCCAAAACTGAAGAACTAGGAGTCTGATGTTCGAGGGCAGGAAGGACCCAGCACAAGACAAACATGTAGACTGGGAGACTAGCCCAGTCTCTCTTTTCACATTTTTCTGCCTGCTTATATTCTAGCTGTGCTGGCAGCTGATTAGACTCTGTCCACCCAGATTAAGGGTGGGTCTGCCTTTCCCAGCCCATTGACTCAAATGTTAATCTCCTTTGGCAACACCCTCACAGACACACCTAGGATCAATGCTTTGTATCCTTCAATCCAATCAAGTTGACACTCAGTATCAACCATCACAAACACTAACCTAGTATTTAAATTATTCAGTCCTAAGATGAGATCAAGGAATTTTAAGACAATCAAATTCTGAGAAGTATGTTATTATAAATAGATTTCTAAGATTCTATTATGTAGGACAGGTCCCTATCACACTGTGGCATCTAAAAAGCTACCAAGTCTCAATTTTGTATCAGGCACCTGACTAAGAGCTGGCTATATTTTGATAAACCAATCAGAAATGGCCTCTTATCTAGTAGAGTTTACATTGCAGTAGAAAATAACAAACAAGCACAAATAAATACCAACAGAGGTAAGTGCTCTAAAGAATAAAAGAAAATCTTAGGAAAAATATAGAGGAAGTCCTTTAGAATAAGTAGTCAGGGAAGCCTCTTCTGAGGTGATAACATTTAACTGAAGCCTTAAGTATGAATAAGAGTTAACTCGGTAAAGAGAAGAGGAATGAGTATCCCAGAATTAGGGAACAGCACAATCCAAGTGAAAATAAATATCCTCCCCCTCCCGCTCCCTCTCCCCCTCCCCCTCCCTCTCCTTCTTCCATCTGCCTCTGTTGCCGAGGCTGGACTGTACTGCCTGATCTCAGCTCGCTGCAGCCTCCCTGCCGCCTCCCTGCCTCAGGCTGCCGTGATTCTCCTGCCTCGGCCTGCCGAGTGCCTGGGATTCCAGGCACGCGCCGCCACCCCTGACTGGTTTTTGTATTTTTGGTGGAGACGGGGTTTCGCCGTGTTGACCAGGCTGGTCTCCAGCTCTTGACCTCGAGTGATCTGCCCACCTCCGCCTCCCGAGGTGCTCAGATTGCAGACGGAGTCTCACTCAATGCTCAGTGTTGCCCAGGCTGGAGTGCAGTGGCGTGGTCTCCGCTCGCTACAACCTCCACCTCCCAACCGCCTGCCTTGGCGTCCTAAAGTGCTAAGATCACAGCATCTGCCTGGCCGCCACCCCATCTAGGAAGAGAGGAGCGTCTCTGCCTGGCCGCCCATCGTCTGGGAAGTGAGGAGCGCCCCTGCCCGGCTGCCCCGTCTGGGAGGTGTACCCAACAGCTCCGAAGAGACAGCAACCATCGAGAACGGGCCATGATGACGATGGCGGTTTTGTCAAAAAGAAAAGGGGAAAATGTGGGGAAAAGAAAGAGAGATCAGATTGTTACTGTGTCTGTGTAGAAAGAAGTAGACATAGGAGACTCCATTTTGTTCTGTACTAAGAAAAATTATTCTGCCTTGGGATGCTGTTAATCTATAACCTTACCCCCAACTCCGTGCTCTCTGAAACACGTGCTGTGTCAACTCAGGGTTAAATTGATTAAGGGTGGTACAAGATGTTCTTTGTTAAACAGATGCTTGAAGGCAGCATGCTCGTTAAGAGTCATCACCACTCCCTAATCTCAAGTACCCAGGGACACAAACACTGCTGAAGGCCGCAAGGACCTCTGCCTAGGAAAACCAGAGACCTTTGTTCACGTGTTTATCTGCTGACCTTCTCTCCACTATTATCCTATGACCCTGCCACATCCCCCTGTCCGAGAAACACCCAAGAATGATCAATAAATACTTAAAAAAAAAATTTAAAAAAAAAGAAAATAAATATTCTCACCAGCAATGCAGGGAACTCATTTGTGGTCCCTTTACATGACCCACCATGTGAAATCAGCAAGATATTTCATTTATTTTTCTTCCTCCATCTTCAATCTCAAGCTTTCCTCAGACAGTCCATGTCATCTTTGGGAGGGAGGGGGTTCAACTTTTTTTTCAATAGTTTTGGGGAACAGATGGTTTTTTGTTACGTGGATAAGTTCTTTTGTGGTAATTTCTGAGATTTCGGTGCACCTGTCACCTGAGCAGTGTACACTGTACCCAATGTGTAGTCTTTTATCCTTCACCTCCCTCCCCGAATCGCCAAAGTCCATTATATTATTCTTATGCCTTTGCATCCTCATAGCTTAGCTCCCAGTTATGAGTGAGGACATAGGATGTTTGGTTTTCCATTGCTGAGTTACTTCACTTAGAATAATCGTGTCCAACTCCATCTAGGTTGCTGTGAATACCATTATTATTTCATTCCTTTTATGGCTAAGTAGTATTCCATGGTGGATATATATCACATTTTCTTTATCCACTTATTGGTCAATGGGCATTTAGGCTGGTTCCATATTTTTGCAATTGCAAATTATGCTGTTATAAACATGCATGTGTAAGTGCCTTTTTCATATAATGACTTAATTTCCTCTAGGTAGATACCCAGTAGTGGGATTGCTGGATCAAAAGGTAGTTCTACTTTTAGTTCTTTAAGACATCTCCATACGCTTTTCCATAGCGGTTATACTAGTTTACATTCCCAAAAGCAGTGTAAGAGTTTTCCCTTTTCACCACATCCACACAAACTTCTATTATTTTTTGATTTCTTAATTATGGTCATTCTTGCAGGAGTAAGGTTGTACCTCATTGTGGTTTTAATTTGCATTTCCCTGATAATTAGTGATGTTGAGCATTTTTTCACGTTTGTTGGCCATTTGTATATCTCCTTTTGAGAATTGTCTATTCATGTCTTTTGCCCACTTTGATGGGGCTATTTGTTTTTTTCTTGCTCATTTGTTTGAGTTCCTTGTAGATTCTGGATATTAGTCCTCTGTCAGATGCAGAGTTTACAAATATTTTCTCCCACTCTGTGGGTTGTCTGTTTACTCTGTTGGTTATTTATTTTGCTGTGCAGAAGCTTTTTAGTTTAATTATGTCCCATGTATTTATTTCTGTTTTTGTTGCATTTGCTTTTGGGTTGTTGGTCATTAAGTCTTCACCTAAGCCAACATCTAGAAGAGGTTTACTGATGTTATAGTATAGATTTTTATGGTTTTAAGTCTTAGATTTAAGTCTTTGATACATCTTGAGTTGACTTTTTTTATAAGGTGAGCATTCAAAATCCAGTTTCATCCTTCTGCATGCAGCTTGCCAATTATCCCAGCACCATTTTTTGAATAGGGTGTCCTTTCCCCACTTTATGTTTTTGTTTGCTTTGTTGAAGTTCAGTTGGCTGTAAGTATTTGGCTGTATTTCCAGGTTCTCTATTCTGTTCCAGTGGTCTGTGTGCCTATTTTTATAACAGTACCATGCTGTTTTGGTAACTATAGCCTTGTAGTATAGTTTGAAGTCAGGTAATGTGATGCTTCCAGATTTGTTCTTTCTGCCTAGTCTTGCTTCAGCTATGTGGTGTCTTTTTGGTTTCCATATGAATTTTAGGATTTTTTTTCCCAGCTCTGTGAAGAATGATGATGGTACTTTGATGGGAATTACATTGAACCTGTAGATTCCTTTTGGCAGTATGGTCATTTCACAGTATTGATTCTACCCATCCATAAGCACAGAGTGTGTTTCCATTTGTCTGTGTTGTCAATGACTTCTTTCAGCAGTTTTGTAATTTTCCTTGTAGAAATATTTCACCTTCTTGATTAGATATATTTCTAAGTATTTAAAAAAATTTTTTTTGCAGCTGTTGTAAAAGGGATTGAGTTCTTGATTTGTTTCTCAGATTGGTCATTGTTGGTGTATAGCAATGCTACTGATTTGTATACATTAACTTTGTATCCTAAAACTTCATTGAATTCATTTATCAGATCGAGGAGCTTTTTAGATGAGTCTTTAGGGTTTTCTAGGTATATGATCATATCATCAGCAAGCAGCAACAGTTTGACTTCCTCTTTACTGATTTGGATGCCCTTTCTTTGTCTTGCCTGATTGCTCTGGCTAGGACTTTTGGTACTATGTTAACCAAAAGTTGTGAAAGTGGGCATTCTTGTCTTGTTCCAGTTCTTAGGAGGAATGCTTTCAACTTTTCCCCATTCAGTATAATATTGCCTGTGGGTTTGTCATAGATGGCTTTTATTACCTTGAGGTATGTCCCTTCTATGCCAATTTTCCTGAGGGTTTTCATTGTAAAGGGATGAGGGATTTTGTCGAATGCTTTTTCTGCATTTTTCTATTGAGATGATCATATGATTTTTGTTTTTAATTCTGTTTAAGTGATGTATCACATTTATTGACTTACATATGTTAAACCATACCTGCATCCCTAGTATGAAATCCACTTGATCATGGTGTATTATCTTTTTGATATGCTGTTGGATTCAGTTGGCTAGTATTTTGTTGAGGATTTTTACATCTATGTTCATCAGGGATATTGGTCTGTGGTTTTCTTTTTTTGTTGTTGTTATGTCCTTTTCTGGTTTTGGAATTAGGGTGATACTGGCTTCATAGAATGATTTAGGAAGGATTTCCCCTTTATCTTTCGGAATAGTTTCAGTAAGATTGGTACCAATTATTTGAATGTCTAATAGAATTTAGCTGTGAATCCATCTGGTCGTGGACTTTTTTTGTTGGCAATTTTTTATTACTGTTTCAATGTCACTACTTGTTTTTGGTCTGTTCACAGTTTCTATTTCTTCCTGATTTAATCTGGGAGGATTGTATATTTCAAGCAGTATATTCAGGAATAAATCTTTCTCCTCTAGATTTTCTAGTTTGTGTGCATAAGGTGTTCATAGTAGACTTGAATGATCTTCTGTATTTCTGTGGTATCATTTGTAATATCTCTCGTTTCATTTCTAATTGAGCTTATTTGGATCTTCTTTCTTCTTTTCTTTGTTAATCTCACTAATGGTCTATCAATTTTGTTTATCTTTTCAAAAACCACCTTTTTGTTTCATTTATCTTTTGTAATTTTTTGTTTCAATTTCACTTAGTTCTGTTCTGATATTTGTTATTTCTTGTCTTCTGCTGAGTTTGGGTTTGATTTCTTCTTGTCTCTCTAGTTCCTTGAGGTGTGACCTTAGATTGTCTATTTGTGCTCTTTCAGACTTTTTGATGTAGGCATTTAATGCTATGACCTTTCCTCTTAGCACAGCTTTTGCTGTATCACAGAGGTTTTGATAAATTCTGTCAGTATTATCGTTCAGCTCAAAGAATTTTTAATTTCCATCTTGATTTCACTTTTGACCCAAAGATTATTCAAGAGCAGATTATTGAATTTTCATGTATCTGCATAGTTTTGAGGGTTCCTTTTGTAGTTAATTTCCCATTTTATTCCACTGTGGTCTGAGAGGATACTTGATATAATTTCAGTTTTTTTTAAATTGACTGAGACTTGTTTTGTGACCTATCGTATGGTCTACTTGGAAAATGTCCCATGTGCTGAAGAAAACAATGTATATTCTGCAGTTGCTTGGTAGAATGTCTTGTGAATATCTGTTAATTCCATTTGATGTAGGGTATAGTTTAAGTCCATTGTTTTCTTGTTGACTTTCTGTCATGATGTCCTGTCTAGTGCTGTCAGTGGAGTATTGAAGTCCCCCAATATTATTGTGTTGCTGTCTATCTCATTTCTTAGGTCTAGTAGTAATTGTTTTATAAATTTGAGAACTTCAGTGTTAGGTGCATATATATTTAGGATTATGATATTTTCCTGTTAGACTATTCCTTTTATCATGCCCCTCTTTGTCTTTTTTTAGACCATCCATATCATCTTACCAATGATTTTTAAAGAACAAGAACAAGAAGACCAGAATATATCTGATTGCAACATGCTTAGTCATAATTGCAATAGTCACAATGATCACAATTCTACCTGCAGAGATTTTTTTCTTTCATTTGATTTTAGTCTACCATATTTTAAACACAGAGAACCTGTTTTCTATGTGTGAGCCCAAGTGTTAGACTGTTTGTGGCCCACATGCTCACAGTGTAGTTACCTGATGGACGGGGTAAACCTTCTTCTTAAGGTGAGACAGCCCACAGGCAGGATCACCTCCACAACCACCTTATGCAACTCTGACCATGCTCCCAACTCATTCCACAATCTGGCCTTTGGGGTAGGAGTAATACATGATAAAATTTGGAGTTAGGAAGAGGGTAGATAGGAAAATGAGAAGATGAAAAATGGGTCAGGGCAGGGAGGAGGAAAGAAAAGGGCAGGGGAGGGACCATTCCAGGGAAAATTGTACCTACTCACAATGGGAGGGAAGAAATATTTAAATAAGCAATAGCCAAATTTTTCACTGTTGTTTATTCCCTCTCCCAAGTATACATTTATTCACCTGGGCCCAAAATACACAAACTGCTATTTTAGAATAGCCTATAAAAAGAGTTTTCTGCCAAATTCAAAAACACTGTGCCCATGATCTAGGTTAGACCATGTATCTGCGTATATTGTTTTTATTTTGCCATTTTCAATAACACAAGCCCCAAGACATAATATCTTTTGTACTCCTTCAGAAGTGCATTGGCATATTCTGCCTTTCTAATGTGTCTTAAACACTACCAGAAACTAGACGAGGTTGATTTATTTGAGTCTCTGACTGTGCAAGCTCCAAAGAGTCTTTGATGGAAACAATTTGACTTTGGACTTACGGGGAAACTGACAGGCTCAGTTCCATCCACTGGATTGTAAGTTCCTGTAGAGAATTCTCAAATATATTTTTGATCAGCATCTGCTTTGATGTGATCTTTGCAGGAGTAAAGGAAAAGGAATGGAGGGAGGTTGGGAGGGTAAAAGGGAGAGAGAAAAGGAAGAAGGGAGGGTGTAAGGGAGGTCTTGACAAGAACGTTGATGGCCCACATTGGAGATGAGAATGACGCATGGCCAGCTATGGTTTTGACATCAATCAATAGATTATCATTGGCCCGTTTGTGACAGCTGCTCTATTTACACTGCACCCCCACTCCTTAGCCCACACAGGGCCCAGTGTAATGTTCTGAATGGTGGCTCATTATTTAACCACCCTCCAGGCACAGCACTCAATGAGACACTGTTCCAGCTCTCTCAGAGTTTCTCCTCCAAAGGAAAGAGAAATGAACATTGATACCAGCCCAAAAACACACACAGTTCTATTGAACACACAAATATAAATTCATACACACTCAAATGCTCTCGCTTTTCTGCCGTCATCTCTACTTTCATTATTGAGCCAGCACTGGAGAATTAGAAAAGGGTCTCCATCCCTCTGGATGGACAAGCCCCACAGCCTTGGGAGTCTACACAACTGTTTATGGTGGCCCTATTAATTATAGACATTCTACACATCTAGAATCCAAGAGAAGAGAATTTAGGGTTTATTCTAGATGCTGAAGAGTATGTATGGTAATATCCTTGGATACCTTTTCTGTTATTTTACAAGAAAAAAAAAAAGGAGGGAGGGCTAGAAACTGAACACTCCTTTGTATTTTTTTAAAAAAACATGCTATCGAAGGTTCTCAACGTTAAAAGAATTTTTTGTTAATATTTTAAGTGCCTGTCTAGGCACATGTGTTTGCTAATGGATATTTCTACTTAATCCAAATGACAGAGTTCTACATACCTCATAAAGAAAAGTCATTCTATTTTGATGCTGTATTTACTAACTCAGAAACCTGACATTTCTGGAGGAGCTGTGCCAAGTAATTTCATGATGATAAATTTTATAAGACAAAATACTGTTTTCTACACAGCTCAGGTATAATTTAAAAGGAAGATAAACAGTTCCAACATTTAATGGGTAAACAAATGTGGCAGAATAATTTATTGAGATATTAATTTGTGATTTTTTGGTCTTGCTCCTGCAGGAGTCTGAAAAAATATAAAAGTATTGTCATTTGCCCAGGCAAGAATGTGGGCATGTTATGAGTCCAAATTCCTTCTATTATTTACAGTGTCTCATTTTAAGGCCTGAAAGCAAAGCTGCCAAGCAACCTTCAAAGAGAGAGCTACAGCTCCAGAGAGTAAGTTATCAAGGGCCTATCCTAGAGCAGGGCTGGGTCAGGGGAGGATGGAAGGAGAAGTTCCCCAGGATATCATAAGGGATGGAGTTGGGGTGAATCTATAAGTGGAAGGGATCCGTTTACCAAATGCTCACAGAATTCCAAGAGGTATAGAGGGACCAGGAATATCTGAAAAAAAGTAGTCTTCAGGTTTCCCTAAACAGCTTCATATGGACTACCTTGGTCATGAGTAACCAATGTTGAGAAACCAATGTTGCAATCTCACTCCCACTCCCACTGTTACCCTCAGCCATGAGAATCCGAAACCATTCTTGGTCTAGGTATCACTCCCCAGCGGTATGTTTTGCTAAATAATCTTGGGTTTAATTATAATATTGGTCACAAATTATTTGCTTTGGCCCATGGGACACAAGTGGAAACTTGAATAGTGCTTGCTTATTTTGATTTCATCATTTCTTGCTGCTTCTGGAACACAGTCCCCCAGTAATCTGGGATAGCTGAGTCATACTGGACAGACATAGCCCTATTGCCCACACCACCAGGGCCAACAACCAGACATGTGAGAGAGGTCTGGGACTGACAAACCCCCAGGTGACCCATCCTGCTATGGGCTGAATGTTTGTGTTCCTCCAAAATTCACATGTTGAAACCTAATCTCCAATGTGATTATATCAAAAGATGGGGCCTTTAGAGGTGATTAAGTCGTGGGAGCACAGCCTTCGTGAATGGAATCAGTACCCTTATAAATGAGGCCCCACAGAGCTAACAAGCCCCTTCCACCATATGAAGACACAAAAAGAAATTACCATTTATGAGTAACAGGCCCTCAGCAGGCACCACATATGCCAGAGCTCTGACCTTGGACTTCTCAGCCTCCAAAATTGTGAGAAATAAATTTCTGTTGTTTATAAGCCACCCAGTTTGTGGTATTTTTGTTATAGCAGCCCAAATGAACTAAGACAGAGATTGGTACTGAGGAGTGGGGGTATTGCTACAACAAATATCCAAAAATGTGGAAGCAGCTTTGGAGCTGGTTAATGGGTAGAGACCGAAAGGATTTTGAAATGTATGCTAGAAAAAGCCACATTGCCACGAAGATACCTTAAAGGGAGGTTCTGATGAGAGCTCAAAAGAAGAGGAAGATGTAGAGAAAGCCTCAATCTTCTTAGAGAATATCTAAATATTTATGAGCAAAAAAATTCATAGAAATACGGACAGTAAAGGCCATTCTGAAGAGGTCTCAGATGTAAATCGGGAACATAATATTAGAAACTCATAATATTGGAAGCTCAGCTTTGTTATATAGTGACAAAGAACTTGGCTGAATTGTGTTTGTGCCCTTGTGTTTCATGGAAGATAGAACTTGTGAATGAAATCAGACATTTGGCTGATGAAATATCTAAGCCAAGTATTAAGGAGTAGCATGGCTTCTATTGAGTGCTTATGGTGAAATGCAAGAAGAGAAAAAAAATAAAGTCAATTTCATAATCAAAAAGAAAGCAGAACTTAATGATTTGGGAAATCCTCAGCCTATCTCTATGGGGTAAAAGGAGAAAACGTGCTCTGGAGAGAACACTAAGGTTGTGGCCAGGCAATCTTTTGATAAAGAGATGAGTATGAATTACCCAGGTGATGTTTATCAAAATGATGGAAGTATGACCTCTGGGCATTTTGGAGATTATCAGTGCTGCCTTCCATGACCTGCCAAGAGTGACAAAATGTAGGGACCAGCCAAGAGTGACAAAATGTAGGGGACAGAACAATGTCAAAAGAGGGGCCCTGAGCTTCTACAGAGCCTCACTCAGTGCTTGCTCAAGTTTGCTTGCTTAATGCTTTCACCACCTCAAGTATCTGCTCCCCAGATTCTGGTGTGATGCTCTTTGGCAGCCTCAGGTGTGGCTCCAGGAGGCCAAGGTGTGATTCAAGACACAGTGGCTGTCCCTCTAAAGGGCATGGGCAGTAAAACTGGGCAGCCACCACACAGTGCCATCTCCATAGATGTGCAGAGTGCATGAGCTGTGGGGACATGGCTGTCTCCACCTAGATTTCAAAGGATGCCCTGAAGAGCCTTTGGGCCCCATCAGGGAACCACAACAGAGAGCCCCCAAAAGGGCAATGCCTAGTGGAGCCATGAAAGTAGGGCTACTCATAGCCTTGGATGCTCAACACCTGCCTGGCAATGCTGCAGAGTCTGGACCCCTGTCCCACGGGCTGAGAGGCACAACATTGAATCAAAGATGACTTTGGAATCCTAAGCTTTAATGCTATTTGCCTTGTTGGGTTTTGGACTCACTTGGGACCTGTCATCCCTTCCTTCTTTCCTGTTTCTCCCTTTTGAAATGGGAATGTCTATCCTATGCCTCTCCTACTATTGTATTTTGGAAGCGAATAACATGTTTGATTTCACAGGTTCACAGCTGGAGAACAATTTGTCTCAGAATGAATAGTACTTTGAGCTTCACCTATATCTGATATAGGTGACATTTAAATAAGACTTTGGACTTAAATTTTAAAGTTGATGCTAGAACAAGTTGAGACTTTGGGGGCTACTGGAATAGAACGAATGTATTTTGCATGCAAGAAGGACATTGTTTTAAGTGGTCTAGGAGTGGAATGCTAAAATGTTTGTGTTCCCCAAACTAATATGCTGAAATCTAGTCCCCAGTGCAATAGTATTAAAAGGTTGGGCATTTAGGGAACAATTAGGTCATGGGGGGGACCTAATGTGTCATGAATGAAATTCATGCCCTTATAAGAGAAGCCTCAGAGAACTCCCTTGCCCCTTCCACCATGTGAGGATGAAGCAAAAAAGTCTCCATCTATCATCTAGAGAGTGAGACTTCACCAGATGCCATATATGCTGGTGCCTTCATCATGGACTTTCCAGCCTCTAAAACTGTAGGAAACAAATTTCTGTTGTTTATAAGTCACCTCGTCTGTGGCATTGCTATAGTCACCTGAACAGATTAAGACACATACCCAGGTGACCCAGCTGTACAGCCACATGAGAGAGGTCAGACAAGACCAGTGGAAGAACCATCCTGCTGAACCCAGGCCACACTGACAATCCATGGAATCATGAGCTAAGTTAGGGCATGGTCTGTTATGCAGCAATAACTGATTCAGAGTTTTAGCAAGAGAATGGTGTAGGTACCCTTCTACTCCAATAGCATCACATAACTCATGCTAAGTCCCTCCTACATTAACTGCTACCACGGGAGCAATGCAAAAGCCCAAGTTCCAAATTAGCCAGGGACCTCTTCTGAGTTAACACCTTTTTCAAGTCACAACATGCTTTTGAGCACAGGTTTTCCTTCCAGAAAGCCAGGTCAGAGCACGCATCAGTGCTGACACCTTCAGACTCAAAACCACTGTCCTCTCTTCCTCCCTCCTCACTCTGGCCTGCCTTCATCCCATTGGCCCTATCAATTTCCAAGACTTTCCTGAAAATGGGCCTTGAACAGAACCCATCTGGTCAACCACAATAGCTTTACCTTAATTCTGAGTCTTAGGATTTTATGAATTGACATGTGTTCCCCTAATATTTATATGTTGGCATCCCAACCTCTTGTACCTCCGAATGTAGCCTTATTAGGAAATAGGGTCATTGCAAATATAATTAGTTAAGATGAGGTCATACTATAGTAGGTGGGCCCGTAATCCAATATGACTGGTCTCCCCATAAAAAGGGGAAATGTGGGCACATCAACACAGGAAGAACACCATGTGAAGATAAAAGAGATCAGGGTGACACTCCTATAAGCCAAGGAATGCCAAAGATTGCCAGCAAGCCAATAAAAACTAGGTGAGAGGCATGGAACAGATCTTCCATAGCACCTTCAGAGGTAGGATGGCCCTGCCAACACCTTGATATTGGACTTCTAGCCTCCAGAATTATAAGACAGTAAGTTTCTTTTGTTTAAGATGCCTAGTTTGTAGTACTTTGTTATAGCAGCCCTAGCAAACTAATACACAGAAAGAGGGTTTTAGGGGTCTCAGTTTCTTACCAACCAGGAGATCCCTGAATTATTTATACAAATTACTAGTCTCTTTCCCAGCTCCCTGGTCTGCTAAGTTATGTAAAATAAAAGACCCTGTCAAACACTTTCCCCAGGTCAATGCCTATGGACTAGCCGTGCACATAAGTTATTTTTTTAAAGTAATTCTACTAAAGGTCTCCTATATACAAGGAAATAATGTCATAAATTTTCTCAAATTTTACAGCAACAAATAGATGTCACTTTACATATACTATCAATTTAAGTATATACATTACAAGTTTGCTTTGTTTAACTACAGATTGTTTGATCCCGGAAACATTGGAGGAACAAATCTTAATGGCATTTAACGATGCCAAATTTGAATGCCTCATTTGATAAATCAGAATTTTTCTGAGCAAATTATTTGTTTCAGCATTTGCTTATACTATGCACATATGGATATCTGAAATACATCCCTATGAAACAAGAAAAAATATAAATGGATTAATTAAGGAGTTGACTCAAGAAGTTAAAAAAAGTAACAAAGTAAGCCAAGGGAAAGTAGAAAAAATGAAAACATTAATACATTAAAAAAGAGATCTCATATAATTGATAAGTATACATGAGCTATTATTTTCTTAAGAAAAAATGAAGCTATATTTAGCCTTTTTTTCAATGAGAAAGAAGAAAGAAAAAATAGTAATGGCAAAGAGAAGAGTACCACAGATACAGAATAAATTAAAGACTTAAGGGTCTTAACTCTGTCTATAGCTCTGTAAATACATTTGAAAATATGAGT
Organism: Homo sapiens; assembly: GCF_000001405.40. Lineage (NCBI taxonomy): Eukaryota > Metazoa > Chordata > Mammalia > Primates > Hominidae > Homo > Homo sapiens. The sequence goes on from NC_000013.11 coordinate 97,786,469, forward strand.
AAAATGAGTACCTCTCTTCTTAGAAAATTAAAATTACCAAACTTGATATCATAACAGAAATCTTGTCCTCACAGATCTGTATCCTTAAAAGAAATTAAAATCTTTTGTCAAATGATCTCTTCCTGACAAAAATGCGTCAGTCCTGAAATTTTCCAATGTGAATTCTCACAATCTTCCAGATTTGAATTCCAATACTATGTACACTTTTTCAGAGACTACAGGAAGCAGGAACATTGCTGACTCATCTTTTAAAGAGCAAAAATAAGACTTTCACTTCTGCCCATAGTGGAGTAATAAATAGAAAACAAAGTCACCCTCTCACCTGAACAAAAACAAGAAAAACAAAGCAACAAAATATGTAAAACAATAGCTTTGAAGACACTGGACATCAGGCAATGAAGGAAGGTGATCCCTGGGAGTTGGGCAGTCAATAAAATGAGCCCTGTGGTCGCCTAGCTTACTTCTGCCAGAGTTTCCAGGCTCTAGCAAGGGGTGACCCAGGTGGAGAAGGCCATGGACTCCCTGAATTGAGGAGATAATGCTGAGAGCCCAGGGAGACCCAGGCATTTAGATTTTGCAGGAGTGAGCAGTGGACTGGAGGAGTATAGAAGGAAATTGTATTGATTTATTTTTTTTTTGAGGTGAGTTCTCACTTTGTCACCCAGGCTGGAGTGCAGTGGCGTGATCATGGCTTACTGCAGCCTCTACCTCCCAGGCTCAAGCAAAGGTACATTTTTTCCTCTGAATCACCTTTGCACTATTGTTGCAGACAATTGTCCACATATGCATGGATCTATTTCTGGACTTTCTATTCTATTTCTTTAATATGCCTATCTTTGCACTAATACTACACTGGCTTATTATAATTTTATAACTCTTGAATCAGGTAGTGTTATCCCCCCATCTTCGTTTTTTGTTAAAGTCATTCTGCCTATTTGGGGTCCCTTGCACTTGTAAAAATTTTAGAATCTGGTTGTATATGTCTACAAAAATTAATGCTGTGATTTGTTTGGAATTGTGTTGAATCTAGAGATCAATTTAAGAACTGACATCATAGCAACTTTGATTCTTCTGACCTATAAACATATTTATCTGGGTCTCCTTTGATTTTTCTCAGAACATGTTACAGTTTTCAATGTACAGGCATTACATATCTTTTGTCAGATTTATCCCTAAGTAGTTAACATTTAGGTGCTAATTTGTTTTATAGTTCAGTTTTGGATTGTTCATTCCTAGTTTACAGAAATAGAATTAATTTTTAAGTATTGATCTTGTACCATACAACTTTCCTAAACTTATTTATTAGTTCTAGTTGCTTTTTGTAGATTCCATCTGATTTTCTATTTAACTGATTATGTCATTTGCAAATAAAGACAGTTTCACAATCTGGGTGCCTTTCCTTTTTCTTGCCTCATTGTGCTATCGTAGACCTCCAGAATAATGCTGGATAGAAGTGATGAAAGCAGACATTCACCTTTTCCTGACCTTAAGGACAAACTATAAGTCTTTCACTATCACAAATGTTAGCTGTTGGTTTTTCTTAGATTTCCTTTATCATGTTGAGGAATCTCCTTTCCATTTCTAGTTTGCTGGAAGTTCACATCAGGAATGGGTATTAGATTTCATTAAGTGTTTTTGTACACCTACTGAGATGACCAAAGGGTTTGTCTTTGTTGGGAAAGGCAGTCTCCTACGTGTAGTCTTTTGACCCATACTTGACTGTGTAAGAATGGGCCCTGGGCCTGGAACACTTTCTTACCAAAGTATGAAGAGTCTTCACAGGCTGTGCTGAGCTTGTTGCCTTGTGTGGGAATATCTTTCCCTATTTCAGACCCAGTGTGTGCTTTTATTTCTGCTTAAGTGTGTGTATCACATGGTACTTGGCTAATCCCACTGTTATATCTGTTCTCTGCAGGGAGGGGTCAGGGTCCTTCTGCTGCAGTACAAAAGGCATGTGTGCAGGCCAGCTGCCAGGAGAGACCCACAGGCCATGGAGACTGACACCAACTACTGAAACTGATCTTGCTCTGTCTCTTCTTGTGTGAATAAAGCATTGTTCCATCCAGTGATTGACTGAATTGAATTTTCTTTGGTGGCTCCAATACCAAGAGGCAGTGGGCAGAAATGCTCAGACTTCTACTCCTGATAATAGGCAACAGACATCACCTGTTCAACAGATTAATTTTTGTGTTAATATGGTGAGATACACTGGATGATTTCAAGTGTTAAACCAACCTTGCATTCCTGGTATAAACTCCACTTGCATAAACCCTCTTGTATGTATTGCTGAATTTTATTTGCTAAAAATTTGTCAGGATTTTTTGCATCTATGTTCCTCAGGACATGGACCTATATTTTTTTTCCTTACAATGTCTTTGCCTGGGTTTTTATATGAGAGTAATACTGGCCACAAAGAAACAGTTGAGAAGCATCATAATCCTCTTAAATTTTCTGGAAGAAAATTTGTAGAATTTTAATTATTCCTTAAATTGCAGAATTCACCAGTGAAGTAGCTGGTATGAGAGTTTTCTTTGCTTTAAGGTTTTTAACTACAAATTTAATTTATGTAATAGACAAAAAGCAATTCAGGTTATACATTTCATCCTAAGTAAGATTTGTTAAGTGTATCCTTAAAGAAATTTGACCATTTCATCCAAGTTGTCAAATTTATTACCATAAAGTTGTTCACAGTATTCTCTTATTATCCTTTTAATCCCTGTAGAGACTGTGGTGATGTCACCTCTTTCATTTTCTTTTTCCTGATCAGTCTTGCTAGGGGATTATCAACATTATTGATATTCCCAGAGAACTAACTTTTGGTTTCAGTGATTGATTCATGAAAGGTCCATATATGCAAAATGACACCCAAACATAGAAGGAGCCAAGAAACCAAAGAACAAGGCAGACAAATCCAGTCAGTTGGCAGAAGGTTATTTACTGGGGAACTAACAAACAGGAATGTGGTCTTGGGCAGCCACAAGACAGGTAGAACTCCATGCTGCTGCTCTTCAGGCCTGGGACCTATGTACAATAGGGAAATGTTATACATGCTCCAGGCCTGGGACCCATGTACAATAGGGAAATGTTATACATGCTCCAGAGGGAATGTGCAGGACAATTAAAGTCTTCTTTCTGGGAAAAAAAATACGTGCCTTATAGCCTGTAATTTATGCTATAACATCCAGTTTGTTTTCACCTAAGGGCAAGATTTACAGAAATTATGTGTTCATGCATAAGGAACTGTAGATAAAGTAGAAATCTCAGAGGCATTCCCAAAACTACAGTTAATCAAAAGTCAACATGGAGGACTAGCATCCAAGATGGAGCTACTTTAGCCTTCCTAGTGATTTTTTTTTCAGTTGTTTCATTTATTTCTACTCTTACTCCTATCGTTTCCTTTCTTCTGCTTCTTTTGGATTAAATATACATTTATTTTCCTAGTTTTTAAGGTGGAAGTTGAGGTGATTGATTTGAGTTCCTTATTCTCTTTTACTGACTGCTAAAAATTCCCCTGTAAGTACTGTTTTAACAGCATGCCACAAATATTGGCATGTTAGGTTTTCATTTTCATTCACGTAAAAATATTTTCTAATTTCCTTTTAATGTCTACTTTGACTAATTTATTATTGAAAAGTGCAGTATTTACTTTTTAAATCTTTGAAAACTTTCCAGATATTTTTCTGTTTTGGTGAGAGAACATGCTTTGTATGACTTTAATTCTTATAAATGTATCGAGACTTGTTTTATATTTCAGAATTGGTTTACCATGGTCAGTGTCCCATATGGACATGAAAAAAGAAATGTAATTTCTTTTACATATTCTACTATTATATATTCTAAATAGCATATTCTACTATTATTGGGTAGAGTGTTCTATTAATGTCAATTAGGTCAAGTTGATTGACAGTGTTGTTCAACTCTTCTACATCCTTGAAGATTTTCTGTCTCCTTTTCAAACAAATTATTTAAAGAATGGTATTAAAACCTCTAGCTGTGGATTTGTTGATTTCTTCTTGCAGATCCTGCACCTTTTACTTTATTTTTAAAAATCTCTGTTATTCAGTGCATAAACACTTATGATTTCTTCTGTCCTCTTGATGAATTGACCCTTTTATCATTATGGAATGACTTGTTCTATTTCTGGTTGTCTTCTTTGTTCCGAAATCTACTTTGGCAAATACTATTACAGCCACTTCTGCTTTCTTTTGATTAATGTTAGCACAATATCTTTTTCCATTCTATTACTGTTTTTACTTTTTGAGACAGGGTCTTACTCTATCACCCAGGCTGGAATGCAGTGGCATGATCTCAGCTTACTACAATCTCTGCCTCCCAGGTTCAAGCAATTCTCATGCCTCAGCCTCCCAAGTAGCTGGGATTACTGATGCATACCACCATGCCCACCTAATTTAGGATTTTTTTTTAGTAGAGATGGGGTTTCACCATGTTCCCCAGGCTGGTTTTGAACTCCTGAGTTCAAGCGATCTGCCCACTTCAGCCTCCCAAAGTGCTAGGATTACAGCCATGAACCACTGAGCCCAGCCCCATCCTATTACTTTAAATATAGCTCTGTCTTTATATTTAAAGAGTATTTTTTTGTAAGCAGTATATAGTTGGATTTTTTATCTAATCTGAAAAATCTGCATTTTAATTGGGTATTTAGACATTTACATTTAATATTATATGATTAATGATATGGTTAGACTTCAATCACCCATCTTGCTATTCATTTTCTCTTTGGCCTATTTGTTCTTTGTTTCCTTTTTCCTCTTTATTTACCTTTTTTTTTCAATTCATTTTGATCTCTTTCAGATGTGTCATGAATATAACTCTGTTTTTTTTAGCCATTGCTTTAAGGGTTTATGGCACATATTTTTAACTTATCACAATCGATGTTAATATTATACCAATTCAGCAATAGTGTGAGAACCAGATGCCCCTCAACTTCAATGGGGTGATATCCCAAGAAACCCATCATAAGTTAAAAATATCAGAAGTCACAAATGCATTTAATTACACCCAACCCACCAAACATTATAGCTCAGCCTGCGTTGCCTTAAACGTGCTCAGAACACTTAAACTAACTTACAGTTGGGCAAAATCATCTAACACAAAATCTGCATTATAATAAAGTGTTGAAAATCTCATTTAATTTATTGAATATTATACTGCAAGTGAAAAACAGAAGGATTGTATGGGTACTCAAGTATAGTTTTTACTTCATGTGTACCACTTTTGTACCATGATAAAATAAAAAAACTAAGTCAAATTGTATTAGTCCATTCTCACACTACTATAAAGAAATACCTGAGACTGGGTAATTTATAAAGAAAAGAGGTTTAATTGTTTCATGGTTCTGCAGGCTGTACAGGAAGCATGATGCTGGCATCTGTTCAGCTTCTCAGAAGGCCTCAGGAAACTTACAATCATGGCAAAAGGTGAAAGGGAAACACACATATCATCATGGCTAGAGCAGGAGCAAGAGAGGGTAAGAGGGTAGGTGTTGCACACTTTTAAACAACCATATCTCATGGGAACTCACTATCACAAGAAGAGCAGCAAGTGGATGGTGCTAAACCATTCATGATAAATTTGTCTCCATGATTCAACCACCTCTCACCAGGCCCTACCTCCAACATTGGGGAGTATAATTCAACATGAGATTTGGTGGGAACAGATCCAAATAATACCATTCTGCCCCTGGCCCCCCAAAGCTCATGTCCTTCTCATTTTACAAAACAAAATCATCCTTCTGAACAGTCCTCCAAAGTCTTAACTCATTTCAGCATTAACTCAAAAGTCCACAGTCCAAAGTTGCATCTGAGACAAGACTACTCCCTTTTGCTTACGAGCCTGTAAAATAAAAAATAAGTTAGCTACTTCCAAGACACAATAGGGGTAAATGCATCAGGTAAATACTGCCTTTCCAAAATGGAGAACTCAGCCAAAAGAAAGGGGCTATAGAGCCCATGCAAGTCCAAAACCCAGCAGGGCCATCATTAAATCTTAAAGCTCTAAAATAATCTCCTTTGGCTCCATGTCCTAAATCCAGGTCACAATGATACAAGGAGTGGGCTCCTTGGGAAGTTCCACCTCTGTGACTCTGCAGGGTACAGCCCCTGTAGCTGCTGTCACAGGCTGGTGTTGAGTGTCTTTGGCTTTTCCAGGCACACGGTGCAAGCTGTCAGTAAATCTACCATTCTGGGGTCTGGGAGACAGTGGTCCTCTTCTCACAGCTTTACTAGGCAGTGCCCCAGTGGGGACTCTGTGTGGGGCTCTAGCCCCACATTTCCCCTCTGCACTGCCCTAGTAGTGGTTTTCCCTGAGGGCACCATCCCTGCAGCAGTCTTCTGCCTAAACATCCAAGCTTTTCCATACATCTTCTGAAATCTAGGTGGAGGCTCCCAAGCTTCAACTCTTGTACTCTGTGCACCTGCAGGCTTAACACCACATGGAAGCCACCATGGCTCACAGCTTGCACCCTCTGAAGCAATGTTCTGAGCTGCACCTGGGGCCCTTCTAGCTATGGCTGAAGATGGAGTGACTGGGATGTGAGGAGCAGTGTCCTGAGGCTGCATAGGGCAATGGGGTCCTGTGTCTGGCCCACAAAACATTCTGTCCTCCTAGGTCTCAGGGCCTGTGATAGGAGAGGCTGCCACAAAGATCTCTAAAACATCTTTGAGGCCTTCTCCCCATTGTCTTGGCTATTAGTATTTGGCTCCTTTTCACTTATGCAAATTTCTGCAGTACTGGGGGAACCCACCCCCAATGTTTCAACGTAGGTTCTTTCTATTTTCCCTAAGTGTTGGCCTGTCTGATAAATAAAGAGAAAGAGTACAAAGAGAGGAATTTTACAGCTGGGCCGCTGGGGGTGACATCACATATCAGCAGGTCCGTGATGCCCACCTGAGCTGCAAAACCAGCTAGTTTTTTTTAGGGATTTCAAAAGGGGAGGGAGTGTACATACAGGGAGTAGGTCACATGCTTCAAGGGGCAAAAGGCAGAGCAGAGATCACATGCTTCTGAGGAAACAGTACCAGAGCAAAATCAGAAACTCCTGATAAGGGTCTATATTCAGCAGTGCGCACATTGTCTTGATAAACATCTTAACAGAAAACAGGGTTCGAGAGCAGAGAACGGGTTTGACCTCAAATTTACCAGGGCTGGGGTTTCCCAATTCCAGCAAGCCTGAGGGTACTGCAGGAGACCAGGGTGTATCTCAGTCCTTATCTCAACTGCATAGGACAGACACTCCCAGAGCGGCCATTTATAGACCTCCCCCAAGAAATGCAGTTCTCTTCCTAGGGTCTTAATATTATGTTCCTTACTAGGAAAAGAATTTAGCGATATCTGTCCTACTTGCATGTCCATTTATAGGCTCTCTGCAAGAAGAAAAATATGGCTCTTTTTGCCTGACCCCGCAGGCAGTCAGACCTTATGGTTGTCTTCCCTTGTTCCCTAAAATCGTTGTTATTCTGTTCATTTTCAAGGTACACTGATTTCATATTGTTCAAACACACATGTTTTACAATCAATTTGTACAATAGTGGTCCTGAGGTGACGTACATCCTCAGCTTATGAAGATAACAGGATTAAGATATTAAAGTAAGACAGGCATAAGAAATTATAAGAGTATTATTTGGGAACTGATAAGTGTCCATGAAATCTTCACAATTTATGTTCAGAGATTGAAGTAAAGACAGGCATAAGAAATTATAAGAGTATTATTAGGGAAGTGATAAATGCCCATGAAATCTTCACAATTTATGTTCTTCTGCCGTGGCTCCAGCCAGTCCCTCTCTTCGGGGTCCCTGACTTCCCACAACACTGCAGCCTGCTTTAATTTCTCTCCTAAAGATGAACTTTTCTTCTCTACCACATAGCCAGGCTGCAAATTCTCCAAACTCTTACACTTTGCTTCCCCTTTAAGTATAAGTTCCAACTTTAGGTCATTTTTTTTTGCTCACACATATGAGCCTAGGCTGTTAGAAGCAGCCAGGCCATTTCTTGAAAATTTTACTGCTTAGAAATTTCTTCCCCCAAATACCCTAAGTCATCACTCTCAAGTTCAAAGTTCCACAGATCCCTAAGGCAGGGGCACAATGCAGCCAAGCTCTTTGCTAAGGTGTAGCAAGAGTGACCTTTACTCCATTCCCAGTAAGTTCTTCATTTCTATCTGAGACCTTATCAGCCTGGACTTCACTGTCCATATCACTAATGGCATTTTGGTCATAACCATTCAATCAGTCTCTAGGAAGTTTCAAATTTTCCCTTATCTTCCTGTCTTCTTCTGAGCCCTCCACACTCTTCTGACCTCTGCTCATTACCCAGTCCCAAAGTTGCTTCCACATTTTCAGTTATCTTTACAGCAATGCCATACTCCTTGGTACCAATTTTTTGTATTAGTCCATTCCTCCACTACTGTAAAGAGATACCTGAGACTGGGTAGTTTATAAAGAAAAAGCATTATGCTGTCATCTGCTCAGCTTCTGGGAAAGTCTCAGGAAACTTACAATCATGGCAGAAGGCAAAAGGGGAACACACACATCACATAGCCAGAGCAGGAGCAAGAGTGGGGGAAGTGGGAGGTGCTGCAGACTTTTAAACAGCCATATCTCACAAGAACTCACTATCACAAGAACAGCACCAATGGGATGGTGCTAAACCATTCATAAGAAACCCACTCCTGAGATCCAACCACCTCCCACCAGGCCCCACCTCCAACACTGGGGACTACAGTTCAACATGAGATTTGGTACACAGAGCCAAAACATATCACCAATCACCATAAGTCATGGACCATGTGTACTTCTATTTTTCCCCTCCTGGACTTTGTGCTATTTTTGTCATACATTTTACTTCTACACAGGTTAAAACCACCACACTACATTGTTAATATTTTTATTTAAACAAGCAATTATCTTTTGAAGACATTGAAATAAGAAAATTTTCATACATTTATCCATTTAGTTATCATTTTCAGTGCTATTTATTTCTGTAGGCAGATCTAGGTTTCTGCTATTCCATCTAGTATCATTTTTATTCTGTTTGAAGAAGTTCAATTAACATTTCTCATAGTGTGGAATCTAGCTGATAAATTATTTCAGCATAGCTGACAAACTCAGCTATACTGAGTTTTTGCTTGTCTCAAAAAGTCTTTATTTCTCCTTCATTTATGAAAAAAATCTTTACTGAGTGTAAGTTTCTAGGTTGGAAGGGTTTTTTTTTTTTCAGTACTTTTAATGATGTTGCTCTATGATCTCTTTGTTGCTTTGTTTCCAAAGAAAATATGCTGCTATTCTTATTTTTGTTCTTCTGTAACATAAAATGTCTTCTTTTCTCCTCTGGCTACTTCTAAGATTTTTTCTTTATCACTTGTTTCGTGCATTTTATGATGTCTTAGTATAGATTTCTTCATGTTTCTTGTACATGGGGTTTGTTGAGTATCTTGAACCTATAGATTTATAGTTTTCACCTAACTTGGACATTTTTCAGCCATTGTTTCTCCAAATTTTTTGTGTATCCCTACCACACACACACACACACACACACACACACAGCCCTATTCTTCCTACAGGAACTCCAATTACGTGTACATTCATTTACCTGAAGTTACCTCACAGCTCATTGATGCCCTATTTTTTTAGGTCTTTTTTTGTCTCTACATCTTGTTTAGAATGGGTTCTATCGCTAAATCTTCAAAATTACTACTACATATTTTGGCAATAGATTATCTGATGTTAATCCTATCTAGTGTATGTTTCATCTCAGAGACTGTAATTTTTATCTCTAGATATTCAATTTAGGTCTTTTCATATTTTACATGTCTATTTAACATATTCAGTCTCTCCATTAGCTACTTGAACATATGGGATACAGTTAGAACTATTTTAATGTCCTTGTCTACTGAATTTAACATCTATGTCAGTTCTGGATTGGTATCAATTAATTCCTTTTTTCTCCTCATTCTGGTTCATATTTTCTTGCTTCTTTGTCTTATGAATTTATAATTTTATCACATCTTTATCAAAAGATATTTGCTATATCATTATTTTTAATAGAAAAATAGAAATGACATATCAATAATGAATTCAATAAGTTAGAAATATAAAATACAAATATATTTTGATATATATCATATGAATATGATATATATGAAATACTAGGCAGATGATAAGAATGAGGTTGCTCCATGTTTGCAAATATGCAGATGTCTTCTAAATATACATTACAAAAAGGCAAGGTTTATGGCAGTGTGAAATAAAAATTTAAAAGGTTCTAATGTGTATAATACATATTGTATTGTGTATGCATTTTTTTCTGTTTGAATGCAAACAAATTAACAGTTACTTTTAAGGATAGGACCTTCAGGGACTCCGAGTGGGCTTAGAAATTTTTACTCTTCATTTTCATTGAATGTTGCATTGTCTTAGTGGGTGCATGTATTAATTTAATTTTTACTTCTGTTTGTTGTGTTTTATAACGTTAATGGTGTATTTCTGCTGAAAATGGAGTTGTCAGCCACTTCTGTTTTCTTCCTTTTCTAAATTTAAATACATAGTATTAAAATAATTACCTAACGATAGGGATAGATCCCGATTCTGTGGGGTCTGATGTTTAAAGAGAACCCTCTTTAAGAAAAATAAAAATAAAAAAATCTTACTTTCGCAAATTTCCTGCTATATCACAAAATTTAGTTGTGCATGTGCTCATTGGTCTCCTCTCTACTAGAATGTAAGATCCACACGGGCTGGGTTTTTTTATCTGGTTTATTCACTACATTACTCCCAGTACTAACACATTGTAGACACTCAATATTTGTCGAACAAATGAATTAATCGGGTGGGAGGTTGAACTCTGTGACCTCTAAGTTCCATGACAATGCTAAGATTAGTGAGTCTATATCTGGGGACTTCCTATTCCTCTTACCTTTCCCTACCCCTACCTAAGAAAATCACTTACCCAATTTCCACTTCCCATAATTCTTAGAAGGAAAAGGATGTCCTTTATCACACATCTGAGGTAACGAATAATACCAATCGGTAACGTTGTTTAGGCAAGTGCTGTACATCCAGCACTAACTTTGACCTGCCCAGCATCTGCTGGCAAGAAGTTCTGTAGCCATGATTGGTTATTAACTCTTAATCATAGCCTTCTTCTGCAATCAAGAGCTTTGATTAACTCCATTTACAGTCCTGAAAGGGCAGAAGTGAGGGGGCGGAAGGAGTTGTGAAATTAGACGGTAATGATCATTCTGGGCTCCACAGCTAGTCCAGGGTGACTATTTCATTTCTTGTTAGTCCCTAAGTGATAAAACGCCAGGATTCTCACCCTCCTGTCATGTGTTTCCCTCTCCAAGACGTTTCTGCTGTGAGCCTGACTGCCAACCTCTGTTCCCAGGGGTGAGGCTATTGCCAAGAGAGGATCCAATACAAAAAGCAAGTCAAGCCAAGAGTGTACCTGGTCAGACAGGGAGGATTGTCAGAGGGGGAGACCAGCAGTGTTAAAGCCCACCACCAAAGGCCTGACATTCCATTAGCAGAGTGCACACTTCCCCTAAACACTCAAAGTATTGGGCTGTTCTTGAAAGCAGCTGTCTTCTTGGATCATGATGATGAGGCCAAGGCTGAAGCTCCCTATTCCCTCTTTTGCCTATTTTATGAGCCCAGCACCATCTGGGATGATATTTGGCTTTTGAACCTCACTAAGAAAACAAAATTAGCCCTGGATGAAGTTATTACATTGCAAATATCTGATTGTCATTCAGAGTTTTCTGTGATCTAATCAGTTCTCATCAAGTTCATATCATCCAAAAAGCACTCTGAGGATAGTGTGTCTTGTAAGAAATAGCTCACCTTCAAGGGTCATGACATGTAAACTGGTAATTACAACACAAAAGAAAGCAATGACTCAAGTCCCAGAGTGGCTGAAACCCTATCTGGTGGGAATCAGAAAGGCATCAGGGAAAAGCAGCTTTGGAGATAAGTCTAAACAAGGAGAAATATTTCAACAGGTAGAGATGAGGTGTGAATCTACAATGTTCCTCTAAACTTCTGAAACATTCACACCTTTAAATTTTTCACTGAACTGTGTTGGGCTTAATTCATTCAGTTTCAACCCCTCATTTGCCTATTTTTCTCCACCGAAGTTGCAGCGTGATGGGAACAACGCGTTCTGCCTCCGCCCACTGGCTGGCAGAAGCGTAATGCCTGCGAGCAGAAGGGGTAATACTGGAGGCTGAGTCACAAGCTCCATTCTTCTTTTTTAACTGCTCTATTGAGGTATCATTGACAAATAAAAATTGTATTTATTTAAGGTTTACTGTTTGATGTTTTGATATATATGCATTGTGAAATGATAACCATGGGTCAAAGGGAACATAGCTTCAATTATGCAGACTCCACTCTGACTTGTAGCCCTACTGATGAAATGCTGCTCTGTAGCTCTGGTGGTCTGATGTTTTTACACCAAAAACAGGCCAAGCCAAATAAGTTTCGGGAGACTGTCCTGGCAGGAAGCCTTTATATTTAGATTAATCCAAAAGGCGTCATTTGTTAACTGCGGCACACTGTGCCTGAAGCGCAGGTCACGCAGAACATCTGGTTTTGGTCAAGTCTTAGTTTGTATTCAGTTTTCCAACTGGGCTGAGTCAACACAAGTTCAAAGTATGTGCCCTGTAACAGACAATACAGCCTGCTATTGAGCTGTCCGGGACACCCAGCCTTCTGCCCTAACTCTGTCACCTTCGACAGGGTATACCTTTAATCTCGGTGACTCGAGGAAAAGCAAAGGGACGCCTGTGTTTTCTGTGCATTCATTCATTAGCTCTTCATTAAGACATTGTCATTGACAATCAAACAAATGTTAATGGCATTTCTTTTTTTTCCTTTGAAATCAAGATAACTCTTGTTCAGACAACATACAACATCATGTCTAGAACATACTATCAGGACTAAAGCCAAATGCATTATGCAGTGTCCCCTCTAATGGCAGTGTGTGGATGCTGAAGGGTTTGTGAACATTCTGGGTGAAGCTGCAAGCTCTTTTATTTTATTTATTTTTTTTTTTGGAGTGTGTTTTCATTTCGACGCTTGTATTAATGTAAATAGCTCCTCTGGGTAATCACCTTATAACCAATTACATTTCCAGATTTCATGGCTCATGTTTGCATTTCTGTTTGTAGTTATGTTGGAGAACCATCCAGATAATGGGAAAAGAAGTGAGATTAATCGATAAATGAAGCATTCTCACTTAATGAAAACAAAATGATGCTAAAATGACTCACTATACAGATGAAGGTTTGTCATGGCATAAGTAAAATAATGTAATAGGAAAATTGATTAACCACATAGCACATGGGAGTATAGGCACAGCAAACTCATGCCAAATTCAGTGGTGAATAGCCATGTAGTTTCAGCAAAATAACACCATCCTCTACATCCCATTAATGTTGTCAATTTGTCACCTTTTAAATTTTTATTTGTATTAACTTTATAAATTTTATTTTAATAAATCATTTTATAAAAGCTGTAAACATAGCATGTTCTCTCTAGTTTTATGTTTTTATGCATTAGGTAAAATAATAAAAATGTAAAAACAATTTAAGTCAAAAATTAAAATATCAAAAGTGTTATTACCCTTTTGCTCAAATTTGAGAAATAGTGAAGTAAGCCTAATCCTCCCTATGTGTCTAAAATGTGATGGGCTAGGTCAACAAGGCAAGAGCCCTGACTGATTTTCAAGCCAGTTGAATTAGACGAGAAGAGTTTTAGAATAATAAAAGCAAAAACGGTCAAGGAGCTAAGAGTTCAAATCTCAACTATGCCATTTGCAGAGTGTCAGAACTTAGATAAGCTACTTCCACTTCTCTGGGCTTCAGTTTAATCATCTGTGAAATAAGGAGGTCTTAGTATAGAACTATTTCAGGTCCCTTTCAACTCTGAAATTTTATGGTTCTATTTCTCCTTTATTCTAAAGAAGTTAAAAGACAGTCTCTGGGTCGTAGAAGCCTGCCCTCTGCTGGCCGAAGCCCATTCTTCAATCCTGACGTCTGCCAAGTGTGGAGATGAAGAGACCTAGACCGGCCTCAGCCCTAGAAAAAGGTCTAGGCCCTAGAAAAAGTTAGGGCCAGACGCGGTGGCTCATGCCTGTAATCCCAGCACTTGAGGCAAAGATGGTCCGGTCCCCTGAGGTCAGGAGTTCGAGACCAGCCTGACCAACATGGGGAAGCCCCATCTCTACTAAAAATACAAAAAATTAGTCGGGCGTGGCAGCGCATGCCTGTAATCCCAGCTAGTCAGGAGCCCGAGGCAGGAGAATCGCTTGAACCCGGGAGGCAGAGGTTGCAGTGAGCCAAGATGGTGCCATTGCACTCCAGCCTGAGCAACAGAGCGAAACTCCGTCTCAGAAAAGAAAAAAAAAAAAAAAGTAAACAAAAAGGCAGCCTACTTTGCTTTTTTTTTTTTTTTTCTTTTTTTCATCTTCTTTCTGTTATTTTCTTTTCTTGGATTCTGCTCTTGGAGTAAGGGAATGCTGAAATGTCCTTCACAGTCATCCTCATCTCTAATCTGTTCTTAGGCAACAGCCCTGTCTATACGCAGTCACCCTACAGCGACTGGGTTTATACCATGACATCCCAGTCTCGCCTCACCACAGCTAACTGGCAAGTCAAGAGCAGCTAATCCAACTATTCGGTATCCTATGGCATGACCTGGAGGAAAAACAGGAGCTGCATGGTGTAGTCTTGCATATGAATTGATGAAATCTTAAGCTAAAGAGGTGTCAGAGTCCACCCCCAAGATGTCCCTGGAGATCTCCACCTCCTAGCCTTTATGTCTTGTGTCGTCCCCTCCCACAGTGAATGGGACTGACCTGTGGCACCAATAGCATATTGTAGAAATGGCAACATGTGACTTCCGAGGCTGGGTTATAAAAGCGAGCTGCCTCCGCCTTGCTTGCTCTTGGATCACTCCCTCTGGGGGAAGGAAACCAGCTGCCATATTGTTAGGACACTTGGCAGCCTATGGAGAGCCCACATGGTGGCAAACTGAGACTCCTGCCAACAGCCAGATGAGTGAGCCATCTTGGAAAAAGATCCTCTATCCCCAGTTATGCCCTGCAATGACTACAACTCTGGTTGTTGTCTTGACTACACCCTCATCACAGACTCTGAGCCAGAAACACCCAGCTAAACTGCTCTGAATTCCTGATCACCAGCAACTGTGTGAGATAATGTTTATTGTTTGGTGCCACTAAGTTATGGGGTAATTAGTTACAAAGAAATATATATCAAATATAAGAGATGGCACCCTGAAGGCATCTTTTGGGAAATTCAGGGAAGATCTGGGGCTATCAAGGACCCCTGGTATTTATACCCCTCATGATGTAAGTCCCATCTGTATGCACTAAGAAAGGAGGTCTAGGGGTTCTCATGGGTAGTTACCAGGATTGCTATGTCTGGAGGCAAATATGACTAGGAAGTATATTTTGGTAATGCTCTGGCCTATTGGGTAGAGAAACATAATGTAGAATCATGACATAAGAAATTAGTCAAGGAAAAGACAAAATTTCAACCCATATGTAAAATAAGTTGGCAGGCCCTGCCATAAGGCACAAGAGGGTAAAAGTAACACAGCTTTGAACAACAACAACAACAGAGTAACAGCTAGAATCAATGTGTTTGTGGGTGCATTCAGAAAGTAAAGGAGTACACATGTATGTTGGGAGACAAAGGAAGGATGAATACAAAAATCAAGACTGAGAAAGGTGGGGTTGAGGAAGTTGCAAAAACTGTAGGCTTAGTGCCTACATAGGGTATCCAAAAAGTCCAATGTGCTGTCTTCAAATGGGCATGGTAAACCCTGCTTGCTTGGGACAGATATCAATATCCAGTTGAGTTTTATCTGAATGGTGAGACATCGCACAGCTGGTCAGGCGATAAGCACAATCTTAGGCAATCAGTCCATCAGCAGACCATGTGGTTAGTGCTTGGATCGACAGAGAGCAGAACACAGCCTGGGAACATGTTTCTCCAATAGAAACATGCTTTAGATCAAAACTCCTGGCTCAGGAGAGAAATTGAAGCAGTATATGGACTGGATTGTCTCAAAGGGACTAAAAAGGCTGGGACTCAGTAGATAGATGCATGCATGTGGCTTGGCTAAACACACTGGGTACCAAGACACATTTAATTCCTGATCCCTGGAAGTTCAGGACTGATTTCAGAACTGGTTGAAGCTGGGAAGGCATGAGCTGGCAGACAGCTTGAATGTTGTCAATGACAATTGTTCCACCAGCATTGTAAATAAACTGATCTACCAAATATTTTTGAGCAATTATAAGGTGTAAACAACAGGGAAGGAATTTCGCCTTGAAATTTCTAGAAAGCTATTCTTATTGTTGCCACTCTATAGAGACAAGAGAACCCCACTCAAAATTCAGTTTGGATGTTGATATGGTTTGCCTGTGACCCCACCCAAATCTCATCTTGAATTGTAGCTCCCATAATTTCCTCATGTTGTGGAAGGGACCCAGTGGGAGATAACTGAATCATGGGGGCAGTTTCCCCAATACTGTTCTCATGGTAGTGAATAAGTCTTGCGAGATCTGACGGTTTTATAAGGGGAAACCCCTTTCGCTTGGCTCTCATTCTTCTCTTGCCTGCCACCATGTGAGATGTGACTTTCACCTTCCATCATGATTGTGAGGCCTCCCCATCCACCTGGAACTGTGAGTCCATTAAACCTCTTTTTCCTTATAAATTACCCTGTCTTGGGTATGTCTTTATCTGCAGTGTAAAAATGGACTAATACTCACTCACTCTAGTCAGTTATCAGTCATAAGACATTCCTAATCCTTGTGCATATTCTGTCACTGCGCTTACTTTCATTAATTTTTAAAATAATGATTTGCATCTCAATAGATGCAGAAAAACTTTTATAAAGCCCAACATCTTTTTATGATCAAAGCTCTCAAACTAGGCATCAAAGGAGCATACCTCAAAATTATAAGACAAGTCTATGACAAACCCACAGCCAACATCATACTGAATGGGCAAAAGCTGGAAGCACCTCCCTTAAGAACTAGAACAAGACAAGGATGCCTACTCTTAACCACTTCTATTCCACATAGTACTGCAAGTCCTAGCCAAAGCAATCAGGCAAGAGAAATAAATAAAAGGCACCAAAATAGGGAAAGAAGTCAAATTATCTCTCTTTGCTGACAATATGATTCCATACCTAGAAAATCCTCAACACTCCACCAAAGGCTCCTAGGACTGACAAACCACTTCAGTAAAGTTTCAAAATACAAAATCAATGCACATAAATTAGTAGCATTTCTATGCAGCAATAATGTTCAAGCTGAGAGCCAGATCAAGAGCACAAACCCATTTACAATAGCCACAACAAAAATAAAATACCCAAGGGTACATCTAACCAAGGAGATGAAATATCTCTACAATGAGAACTACAAAACACTGTGGAAAGAAATAATGGATAATACAAACAAATGGAAAAACATTCCCTGCTCATGGATTGGAGGAATCAATATCGTTAAAATAGGCATACTGCCCAAAGCAAGCTCCAGATTCAATGCTATTCCTATCAAACTACCAAAGCCATTTTTCACAGAATTAGAAAAAATTATTCTAAAATTCATATGGAACCAAAAAAGAGCCCGAATAGCCAAAGCAATCCTAAGGAAAAAGAACAAAGAGCATAACCTTACCCAACTACAAACTGTACTACAAGGCCACAGTAACCAAAACAGCCTGATACTGATACAAAACAGACACATAGACCAATGGAACAGAATAAAGAACCCAGAAATAAAGCCACACACTTACAATCAATTGATCTTCAACAAAGTTGACAAATATAAGCAATGGAGAAAGGACTTCCTATTCAATAAATGGTGCTGGGATAATTGGCTATTCATATGCAGAAGAATGAAACTGGACTCCTACTTATCACCACATAGAAAAATTAACTCAAAATAAATTAAATACTTAAACGTAAAATCTTAAACCATAAAGACCGTAGAATAAAACCTAGGAGCTACCCTCTAGACCTTGGCCTTGACAAAGAATTTATGACTAAATCCTCAAAAGCAATTGCAACAAAACCAAAATTTGACAAGTGGGACCTAATTAAACTAAAGAGCTTCTGGACATTAAAAGAAATTACCAATAGAATAAACAGATAATCTACAGAATGGGAGAAAATATTTGCAAACTATGTATCCAACAGAAGTCTAATAATATCCAGAATCCATAAGAAACTTAAACAATTCAACAAGAAACAACAAATAACCCCATTAAAAAGTAGGCAAAAGACATGAACAGACAATTTCTCAAAAGACATACAAGCAGCCAGCAAACATATAAAAATATTCATCATCAAAATCGAAACCACAATGAGATACCATCTCACACAGGTCAGAATAGCTATTATTAAAAAGTCAAAAAATAACAGATGTGGGCAAGGCTGCAGAGAAAAGAAAACCCTTATACGCTGTTGGTGGGAATGTACATTAGTTCAGCCACTATGGAAAGTAGTTTGGAGATTTCTCAAAGAACTCAAAACACAACCACCATTCAACCAAGCAATTCCATTACTGAATATATACCCAAGGAAAATAAATCATTCTACCAAAAAGACACTTGCACTCATATGTTCATCACAGCACTATTCACAATAGCAAAGACATGAAATCAACCTAGGTTCCCATTGACGGTGGATTAGATAAAGAAAATGTGGGACATACACACCATGGAATATGATGCAGCCATTAAAAAAAGAATGAAGTCATGTCCTTTGCAGCAACATGGATGCAGCTGGAGGCCATTATCCTAAGAGAATTAACTCAGGAACAGAAAACCAATACTGCATGTTCTCACTTACAAGTGGAAACTAAACAATGAGTACACACATATACAAAGATGGGAACAATAGAAACTTGGGACTATAGAAGGGGAGGAGGGAAAACGGAAAGGGTTGAAAAACTATCTATTGTGTACTATGATCACAACCTGGGTGATGGGATCAATGATACTCACAACCTCAGCAAGATTCAATATACCCATGGAACAAACTTGCACATGTACCCCCTGAATCTAAAATAAAAGTTGAAATTTTAAAAATAAATAAATACTAAAATAAAATAATGATCTGTATTTACCTATTTCCTTCAGTAGACCGTGAGCTCTGCGAAGGCTGGGACAGCGTTTTGTTCATTTTTGCATCCCTACAACTTGGGTCCCAGCACAGTGGTGTCAATAAATATTTGTTGATGAGAAGAATAAAAATATACAGGACAGTGTTTGAAACCTGGGGATAATCTTGATTCATAGGCAGGGAGTAAGAAGTTCTACTTGACACCGGGGACTCTTGTGGGGCAGGGGCGGGGAGGGATAGCATTAGGAGAGATATCTAATGCTAAATGACGAGTTAATGGGTGCAGCACACCAACATGGCACATGTATACATATGTAACAAACCTGCACGTTGTGCACATGTACCCTAAAACTTAAAGTATAATAATAATAAAAAAAATTTTTTTTTAAAAGTTCTACTTCATACTATGCAATTCAGCAGAAATTCAGGCTTCCCTGCAGTGCAATCTGACCTCAGACTTCCATTAAGTAACTAAACTTTATATTGTCCTAACACCTTTAGCCTCAAAACTCAATAATCACATTTTCTTCAACTTTTAGGAGTGGTCTTGCTCTTATCTTCCTTAGGTCCTCCCTTCATATTTACTCATTTATTCAACGTGTGCTCATCAGATATTTATTAAGTGGTTACTATGTCCCAGGCACCATTCTAGGCACTGGGGATACATCGATGAGGGGGAAAAAAAAAAAAAGACAAGAATACCTGCTCTCATGGAGCTTTTGGAAAAAAGAAAAAGTACACTGGGAATTCTGCTTGTGGTCAGAATGCAGTTTTAAATCAGATGGTGAAGATATACCTCAATGCAGAGATGAAATTTCAGCAAATACTTGAAGAGAATGAGGGAATACGTCAAGCAGCTAGGGGGAAGGAGTCCTAAATAAAGGGACCAGCTAATACCAGCACTCGAAGGTTGGAGCAAGCATGTGTGTTCAAGAAACTTCTGTGGTTGAAGCAGAATCAAGTAATGGGAGATAATGCTAGTAGATGATGCAGAGACAAAAGTCCAGCCCCTGAGCTCTAGTTTCATCCTTGGTTGTCTCTACGGGGCATTGTCATCAGAAGTGCCAGGGATTCGGGACCAGAAAGAGGTGCCTTGGAATTTCTTCTCTACCTCTCACCAGCTCTATAGTTTGGGGAAGCAATTCCCTCTGTTCTGCCTAGGAAGCACTTTATGCAGGTTATCTCAATGAGTCTTGGAAATGCTCCATCAAGTAGGGGCAAGTATTCCCATTTTACAAGTTGGAAACTGGCCAGGTGCAAACTGGCCAGGTGTGGTGGTTCACACCTGTAATCCCAGCACTTTGGGAGGCTGAAGCAGGTGTATCACCTGAGGTCAGGAGTTTGAGACCAGCCTGGCCAACATGGTGAAACCCCATCTCTACTAAAAAAAAAAAAAAAGAAAAAGAAAAATACAAAAATTAGCTGGTCATGGTGGCGGGCACTCTTAGTTCCAGCTACTCAGGAGGCTGAAGCAGGAGAATCACTTGAAGCCAGGAAACCGAGGTTGCAGTGAGCTGAGATCACACCACTGCCCTCCAGCCTGGGTGACAGAGCAAGACTCCATCTCAAAAAAAATTAAATTAAATTTTTAAAATATATAAATAAAAATAAAAGTTGAAAACTGAAGTTTAGAGGGTTAGAGAGGATTTAGTAACTTGCTCAGAACTGTCAGAAATGACAGAATCAGGATGGGAACTCTGGTGACTTGATTCCAAAGGCTGTGTCCTTCCTCCCTACTTCACATGGGATAGCTCAATGTGTGTCCAGAGTCTGGCACGTACTAAATGTTCAGTAAATGTAATTCTTTCTTTCCATTACCTTGACTGAGTTCTCTGAAGTTGTCTGCTTCCTTGGCCAGATCTCTGAGTGCTGCCTGCTCTGAGGATCCCCATTTCCCACGAGGATGCCTTCATTTCCCAAAACAGAAGTTCTCATTCAACAGTGTTGAATGCCTGGCCATTGCCATTGCTATGTGACCTTGGGCAAGTCATGTCACCTCACTTGTAAACCCGGCTTGGTATTCTCTGCTTGCTCCAATGGGGGACATATAGGACAGAAGCCATGTAAAGCATCTCACACAGAGCTTCCCAACTCAATGACTAGTCGTTGCTACTATTGTGTTCTTCTGGAACTTGCTTTCTTTGCCTTCTTGGCTGGCTTTTCACCAACAGTTGAGCCAGCCTCACTTCAAAGGTGGATGGGATTATGGGTTCTGACCCCTTGTAGTCTCCTCAGAAGATTTTTCCATTGCTGGCCATGTTAACAGATGTCATAAATACATCTAATTTTTAAACAAGCACATCTAATACTTTTAATGTTTTAGCTACAGATGTGAATAAAGGGCAGATAGCTCTGCTGAGGTCAACTTGGACTGTCTGTTCATGTACTTATGGTTTTGCTAGAATCCATATACTGGAAAGAAACATTAGCTAATTTTTACATTTTAAAACACTTTCTCTATTTAGAAAGATTGATATAAACAGGGTTGTGGTGTTACACAGCTCTAGGAGGTATCATGCACATGTTTGTACCTGTGGAGCTGTGCAATGGTTGACCCTAGGAACAAAGAAACACATGCTGGACACCTGTCCCCGGCTGCCATGAGTGTTGGCTGCTAAGCACTCAGTTGCCCCCTCTGGAGAATCATTCTCAGCTGCGTGTGGAGAAAAGGGAAGCCTTGCACACTGTTGGTGGGAATGTAAATTAGCAAACCCATCATGGGCAAATGTATGAAGATTCCTCACGATATTAAAAATAGAACTACCATATGATCCAGAAATTCCACGTCTGAGTATAGTACAAAGAAAATGAAATCAGTATGTCCAAGAGACATTTACACTGTCATGATCATTGTGGTATTATTCACAATAGTCAAGATATGGAATCAACCTAAGTGGCCATCATTCAACCATGAATTGATAAAGAAAATGTGATGTGGGGTGGCTCATGCCTGTAATACCAGCACTTTGGGAGGCCAAGGCGGGTAGATCACTTGATGTCAGGAGTTTGAGACCAGCCTGGCCAACATGGCGAAACCTCCTCTCTACTAAAAACGCAAAAAAATAAAAAATTAGCTGGTCATGGTGGGTGCATGCTTAAAATCCCAGCTACTCAGGAGGCTGCAGCATGAGAATCACTTGAACCCGGGAGGCAGAGGTTGCAGTGAGCCGAGATGGCACCACTGCACTCCAGCCTGGGAGACAGAGCAAAACTCCAACTCCAAAAAAGAAAAGAAAAGAAAAGAAAAGAAAATGTGTTGTATGTACACAATGGAATACTATTCAACTTTTAAAAAGAAGTAAATCCTGTAATTTGCAACAACATGGATGAACCTGAACCTAGAGGACATTATGTTAAGTGAAATAAGCCGGGCACAGAAAGGCAAATAAATACCACATGATGTCACTTACATGTGGATTCTAAATAAGTTGAACTCAAAAAAGTAGAGTAAAATGGTGGTAACCAGGGTCTGAAATGGTTTGGGTGGGGTGGGGGGGAGACAGTGGGGGCAGGGGCCGGAGCTGGGGAAATGTTGGTCAAAAGGTACAAAATTTCAGTTAATCAGGAGGAGTAAGTTTAAGAGATCTATTATACAACATGGTGACTTCAGTCAATAGCAGTGCAGTGTACTCTTGAACATTGCTAAGAGTAAACTGTGTGTCCTCGCCACAAAAAATAAGGATGTGAGTTAATACGTATGTTAATTGACTCGATTTGGCCAGTCCACAATGCGTACATATTTCAAAACTTCATGTTGTACACAATAAACCCATATAATTATTATCAACTTAAAAATTAATTAAAAAAAAAAAGGAATTGTCCTCAGCCAAACAGACCCTCAGCCAGACCCAGAGGCTAACAGGAGGACAAGACAAGTTAATGACCAGAAACATTTGGTGAAAGTTAGCAGTTATCTTTATTGCTACTAGTGATGTTTGATGACTGGCTGACCTGGGACATCAAACTATGGCTTCTGATCCTAACTCGGGACTCTTCCACTCTATGACACATCTATCTAATCCAGCTCAATCTCAACTCTACGATTTAGATCCACCTACCCTCAAAACCAAAATTCAAATCTATCTTCCCAAGCTGGCATTCTTTCCAGGTTGAACAAAAGTTATGAGTCATGGGGAAAGGAGTCCAAGAAGAGGCTCAGGTTTCCAAATCTAAATCTCAGAAAAATAGAAGCAAAATGTATTTCTTAAAGAACCCACATCCCAGCCCTGAAAAATTTTGATTTTCAACACTCAAAACATAACCTATTCAGACAACTATATTGGGCTGAGTATATTGCAGCTGTGATAAATTCCACATGATTTAATATAATTTTAAATAATTCACATTCTCAACTATGTCAGTAAATCTAAAGATGCAACAGCACTGTAGCAAAAATGCATCTTTTTGTATAAATATGTCTTTGTTTCCTCAAAAGAAGGCTCACAAAAGGATTTAACTCAGAACTACTTGAACTGATTTAATTCAACTATTTGAATGCCTCAATTTTCAGCAAATTGGCTGTGTTCTATATAAATCAACTAATGGTATTAAAAGATATTAAACAATGATAATGCTTATTAGAGGCATAATCCTATCTCAGGCGAATTCTCTTGGAGGTTAATATGGGAGATATATTTCCTTTCTCTAAAGATAACAGCAAATGCTCAGATTTTCAGTCATTGAACCAAAAGAATATTAGAGCCCCACCTGGTGGATCTGATGCTTATTCAGCGTACAAAATAAAATTTTTCACTAAGCCATTACTGAGTACCGTGCTATAACTGCTTTCAGAATGTAGCAGTTAATCTGTTTCTTCATTTTACATTTTGGTGTCTATTTCCTTCTGCTTGAATGGCTGGACTTCATCCTCCAGCATTTATCCACCCCTCTCTTTCTCTAAAAACAGCCTTCATCTAGACATGGATTAACACAGTTGTGTTTAATATATAGAAAATTACATTTCAAAAGATTCTATTTTAACAAAGTTGACAGATAACCTAATCACAATTATATCACAACATAAATTATATATTATAGTATATGTGATATGCATATATCGCAAGTTACTAAATTGTATAATATTAAAATACGGTCACACATTGCTTAATGAGAATGATATGTCCAGAGAAATGCATCTGTCTCCTCCGCATCTTGTCCCACTGGAAGGTCTTCAGGGGCGATAACATGCACAGAGCTGTCATCTAAGATAACACTGCCTTCTTTTGGAATACCTCTTCAAGGACCTGCCTGAGGCTGTTTTACAGTAACTTATTCATAAAATAAGTAGAAGAGTAATGTTATAAAATACTGATGTAAAAGTATAGTAAATACATACATCAGTAACATAGTCATTTATTATCAGTATTATACACTATACATAATCATATGTGCTAGACTTTTATACAACTGGTAGTACAGTAGGTTACATCAACATCACCATAAACACATGAGTAATGCATTGTGCTAACAAGTTACAATGGCTACAATATCAGTGGGCCATAGGAATTTTTCAGCTCAATTATAATCTTATGGCCTCACCACCATCTACATAATTCACTGTTCACCAAAATGTCATTATGTAGCACATGACTGTATATATTAAACTTTATATATAACTTATAAGATATACTCTCAAACACAGACAAGTTTTAGGAATAGAGTAATAACAGCCTTTATTTTCTCAACCAAGATGAGGCTGTCTACTAAGATATGAGGAGTGGTGGTTGGTCACGAGACTGGAATAGTTACTGAGAATGGGAGACAGAAATAGCTACTCTAGGAAAAGTAAAAGCAAGTCTCAAATGAGATATGCTTTCAATAATCTGGGGACAGAATCAGAAAAATTACCTCCACACAAAAGGACAAAGGAAGGTATTACATAATGATAAAGGGTTCAATTCAACAGGAAGACTTAACTATCCTAAATATATATGCACCCAACATTAGAACACCAAGATTCATAAAACAAGTACTTCCAGACTTATGAAACAACTTAGACAATCACACAATAAGAGTGGGGGACTTCAACACCCCACTGACAGTGTTAGGTCATCAAGGCAGAAAACTAACAAAAGAAACTCTGGACTTAAATTTAACACTAGACCAGCTGGACCTAAAAGATATCTACAGAATGCCCCACCCGTCAACCACAGAATATACATTCTTCTCATTTGCACACAGAACCTAATTCAAGATCAATCCCACTCTCAGCCGTAAAGCAAGTCTCAATAAATTAAAAAATATAGAAATTATACCAACCATTCTCTTGGACCACAATGGAGTAAAAATAGAAATCAGTACAAAGAAGATCTCTCAAAACCATAAAATTACATGGAAATTAAACAACTTGCTTCTGGATGACATTTGGGTAAATAACACAGGAATCAAAAACGTATTGGAAATAAATGAAAACAGAGATAGAAAATACCAAAATCTCTGGGATACAGCAAAAGGAAAGTTTATAGTACTAAATGCCTACCTCAAAAAGTTAAAAAAAAGACCTCAAATTAATGATTTAACATTAGACCTAGAGGAACTAGAAAAACAAGAACAAAATAACCCCAAAGCAATTAAAAGAAAAGAAATAATTAAAATCAGAGCAGAATGGATGAGATTAAGACCCAAACATCCATACAAAGAATGAACAAAACAAAAAGTGGTTTTTTGAAAGGATAGACAAGATCAATAGACTGCCAGCTAGATTAACAAAGAAAAAAAGAAGATCTAAATAAGCACAATCAGAAACAACAAGGTGACATTTTAACCAACTCCACAGAAATACAAAAGATCCTCAGAGGCTACTACAAACAACTCTATACACACAAACTAGAAAATCCAGAAGAAACTGATAAATTCCTGGAAACACACTCTCCCAAGATTAAATCAGAGAGAAAATGAAACCCTGAACAGACCAATATCAAGTTCTGAAATTGTATCAGTAATAAAAACCTGCCAACCAAAAAAGCCTAAGACCAGATAGATTCACAGTTGAATTCTACCAGATATACAAAGAAGAGTAGGCATTAATTCTACTGAAACTATTCTAAAAAATTGAGGAGGAGGGACTCCTCTCTAACTCATTCTACAAAGCACCTGATACCAACACCTGGCAAAAACACAATAAAAACAAGAAAACTACAGGCTGATATCCCTGATGAACATAGATGCAAAGATCCTCAACAAAATACTAGCAAACCAAATCCAGCAGCACGTCAAAGACTTAATTCACCATGATCAAGTAGGCTTCACTCCTGGAAGGCAAGGTTGGGTCAACATACACAAATCAATAAATGTGATTGACCACATAAAGAAAATTAAAAACAAAAACCATATGATCACCTCAATACACACGCAAAAGGCTTTTGATAAAAATCCAACATCCCTTCATGATCAAAACCCTCAACAAACTAGGCATCAAAGGAACATACCCCAAAATTATAAGAGCCATCTATGATAAACTCACAGCCAACATCATACTGAACACGCAAAAGATGAAAGCATTTCCCTGGAAAACTGGAAAAAGACAAGAATGCCCGTTCTTGCCACTCCAATTCCACATAGTACTAGAAGTCCTAGCCAGGGCAATCAGGCAAGAGAAGAAATAAAAGCAATCGATATAGGAAAAGAAGTCAAACTATCTCTCTTTATTGACAATATGATTCTATACCTAGAAAACCCTAAAGACTCTACCAAAAGACACCTAGAACTGATAAATAGCTTTAGCAGTTTCAAGCTACAAAATCAACGCACAAAAATCAGTAGCATTTCTATACGCTAATAATGTTCAAGCTCAGAGCCAAATAAAGAACATAATCCCATTTGCAATAGCCACACACACAAAAAATACTAGGAATACCAAAACTACTAGGAATCACCAAGGAAGTGAAAGATCAACGTTACTGAAAGAAATTATAGATAATACGAACAAATGAAAAAACGTTCCATACTAATGGATTGGAAGAATCAATATCATTAAAATGGCCAACTGCCCAAAGCAATCTACAGATTCAATGCTATTCCTATCAAACCACTAATGTCATTTTTCACTGAAATAGAAAAAACATTCTAAAATTCTTATAGCAAAAAAATAGCCTAAATAGACAAAGCAATCCTAAACAAACTGAACAAAGCCAGAGGCAGCACATTACCTGACTTCAAACTATAGTAAAAGATTATAGTAATCAAAACAGCATGGTATTGGTACAAAAACAGACACATAGACCAATGGAACAGAATAAAGAACCCAGAAATAAAGCCACACACATACAGCTATGTGATCTTTGACAAAGTTGACAAAAATAAGCAATGGGGAAGGGACTCCCAATGGCTGCTGTGATAGCTAGCCATATGAGGAAGAATGAAACTGGACCCCTATATTTCACCACATACAAAAATTAAATCAAGATGGCTGCTGGGATAGCCAGCCATATGAGGAAGAATGAAACTGGACCCCTGTATTTCACCATATACAAAAATTAAATCAAGATGGATTAAAGACTTAAATGTAAGACTTCAAACTATAAGAATTCTGAAAGAAAATCTCAGAAACATTGTTCTGGACATCAGCTTTGGGAAAGAATTTATAGCTAAGTCCCCTAAAGCAATTGCAACTAAAACAAAAATGGACAAGTGGGATCTAATTAAACTAAAGAGCTTCTGCATAGCAAAAGAAGCTATCAACAGAGTAAACAGACAACCTACAGAATGGGAGAAAATATTTGCAAGTTATGCATCCAACAAAGGTCTAATATCCAGAATCTATCAGAAACACAAACAATTTGACAAGAAACAAAAAAACAAATAGCCCTATTAATGGTGGCGCATGCCTATAATCCCAGCTACTCAGGAGGCTGAGGCAGGAGAATCACTTGAACCCAGGAGACGGAGGTTGCGGTGACCTGATATCGTGCCATTGCACTCCAGCCTGGGCAACAAGAGTGAGACTCCATCTCAAAAAAAAAAAAAAAAAAAAAGGAAAAAGAAAAAAGAAAAAGAAAAAAAGGAAGCAAAAGACAGAAACAGACACTTCTCAAAAGAAGACATAAAAGGGCCAAACAAATATATGAAAAAACACTCATCATTACTAATCATCAGAGAAATGCAAATCAAAACCTCTGTGAGATACCATCTCACACCAGTCTAAACGGCTATTAATAAAAAGTCAAAAAACAACAGCTGCTGGTGAGGCTATGGAGAAAAGGGAACTCATACACTCTTGGTGGGAATGTAAATAGTTCAGCCACTGTAGAAAGGAGTTTGGAGATTTCTCAAAGAACTTCAAACAGAACTACCATTCCACCCAGCAATTCCATTACTGGGTATATATCCAAAAGAAAAGAAATCATTCTACCAAAAAGACACATGCACTCATAAGTTCATCACAGCACTACTCACAATAGCAAAGACATGGAACCAACCTAGGTGCCCACCGATAGTGGATTAGATCAAGAAAATATGGGCTTGGTGCAATGGCTCATGCCTGTAATCCCAGCACTTTGTGGGGGCCGAGGTGGGCAGATCACTTAAGGCTAGGAGTTCAAGACCAGCCTGGCCAATATGGTGAAACCCCATCTCTACTAAAACTACAAAAATTAGCTGGGCATGGGCGGTGCACGACTGTAGTCCCAACTACTCAGAAGGTTGAGGCAGGAGAATCACTTGAACCCAGAAGCCACAGGTTGCAGTAAGCCGAGATCCCACCACTGCACTCCAGCCTGGGCGATGGAGCAAGATTCTGTCTCAACAAAATAAATAAAAAAAAAAAGAAAGGACGAAGGAAAGAAAATGTGGTATATATACACCATGGAATACTACGTGGCCATAAAAAAGAACAAAGTCATGTTCTTTGCACCAACATGACTTTTTTGCAGCTGTAAGCCATTATCCTAAGCCAATTAATGCAGGAACAGAAAACCAAATACAGCATGTTCTCATTTATAAGTGGAAACTGAACATTGGGTACTCATAGACATAAAGACAGCAACAATAGACACTGGAAACTACTAGAGTGGGGAGAAGGGAGGAGGACCAGGGTAGATAAACTGCCTATTGGGTACTATGTTCACTACCTGGGGGATGGAATCATTAGTACCCCAGACTTCAGCATCACACACTGTACCCACATGACAAACCTGCACATGTGTCCCTGAATCTAAAATAAAAATTGAAAGTAATTTTTAAAAATTTAATTCTTTTCCACTTACAGATTTTTATTATCACATAACTTGAACAATAAAAATCTGATGTTTTAATTTTTTTTTTTAAAAAAGGAAAATTAGCTCTAGAATTTGAAATGTGTAAGAATC
The DNA here is from genome assembly GCF_000001405.40 of Homo sapiens. NCBI lineage: Eukaryota > Metazoa > Chordata > Mammalia > Primates > Hominidae > Homo > Homo sapiens. The sequence goes on from NC_000013.11 coordinate 97,815,948, forward strand.
AACCTAGTAGGGATAAGATTGGCCATGTGTAGATATCTTCTCCAAAAGTGGCTTACTTTTAATTTCCATTCTAAATGTGTTCCTGATGAGGCCAGGGCATATTCTAAAATCTGATTGGTAAAAATAATCTAAAATGGAAGCAAATAAGACAAACGGAAGTGATTAGCGTGACTTGCTCATGATACAGTAATGTAGAGTAACAAGTTAGGGGTCACTAATGAAAAAAGGAAGTTGCTAATTGCCTTCCCAACATCCATTTCCCACTCATTCCTTCCTGGCTAAACCCCAAAGTTGTTCAGTATAGCAATCTGCCCTGTTAAAATATTTTGACTCTCACCTTCCTTGCAGCTACGGGTGGCTAAGCAAACCAGCTCAGCCAATGAGATGCAGGTTGAAATCCCTGAGGAGGGCTTCCAGAATGAAAAGGTAAAACCTCTGCTTAAGGGTTGTGACCCCTTGTCATGGGCCTTCCCCTTCACCTTTCTTCCTTCCTAGAGGGAAGACATGATGCCAGAAGGTACACACAGCAGCCATTTTCACCCACGAGGATGAAAGCCAAATGCTAAGAGTGTTGGAGAAGGAGGACTCTGGTTCCTTACTGAGGATTTTGAGCTTGGTTCTGGCTTTTTGTAACAGGAGAAAATAAGCCCCTTCCTTGTTTAAGACATAGTCTTTACTAATATCTAAAGGTAATCCTAACTGAGAATAGGATTAAAGTCTATCTATGTAGCAAAAGGTAATTCAACATCGCATTCTGAAAAAAGAAAAGAAGAAAATGAAAGAACGACTTTAAAACAGTTACTGAGAATATAAAGCTATAAAAAATACCATCTCTATTTTGAAATCACACTCACAATCAAGTGAAAAAGACAGATTCATATAGAGATGATTTCAATGTATATGTTTAAGCTACGAAAAAGGATGTGAATTTCATGAAGGCCAACAAGAAATAGAGATGTTGAAAGAAAACAGAGAGAAAGGATAATTCTCAAAGCCAGGCATGTGGAGAATTTAGGACTGATTTGTCAAAAGTTCCCAGGGAGACAGCGCAATCTGATTTTTTTAAAAAAACAAAATATATCCACTTGATTTAAAGGCCAAATTGCTATTTTGCAGCCTTGGTGATTACAATTTCAGTGGTTAAGGAGGAGGGCAGATGTCAAATTGCAGTAAGTTTGGGGAGTAGATTGGAGGTGCATACACACCACCTTTATAACCTACCTCCAGGCGTGGTGGCTCACTCTTGTAATCCCAACACTTTGGGAGGCCAAGGTGGGCAGATCACCTGAGGTCAGGAGTTCGAGACCAGACTGGGCAACATGGTGAAACCCCATCTCCATTAAAAATACAAAAATTAGCCAGGCATTGTGGTGGGCGCCTGTGGTTGCAGCTACTTGGGAGGCTGAGGCAGGAGAATTGCTTGAACCCAGGAGGCAGAGGTTGCAGTAAGCCGAGTTTGCACCACTACACTCTAACCTGGGCAACAGAGCGAGACTCTGACTCAACAAACAAACAAATAAAAATAAATAACCTAGCTGATAGCTAGGTGGAGGGATTTAGGGCTTCCTATTGATATGCTTACAGGTTGACGGGAAAGATGCAGTACGGAGAGTGAGGTTCAACTTACAAGAAAGTCAAAAATACACAGAGCAAGACAGGGCACACAGGGAAGCATAGGACCGAAAGCACAAATGGATGGGAGGAGCCTTAAACAGAAAGATGCAGAGCATCTCAGAGACGAAAGGAAGTAAGTGAACATGGGCAGAGACATGTCAAGTTTCAGGAATATAATGCTAGCCTTTGTGTTCTCAGCAAAGCTGATGGAGCTGTCTGCTGAAATGGAAAAGGTGGCAGCTGGTCCATGCACTGGAATGGTTGCTGGGAATGGGAGGGAAAGAGAGCTACTTTAGCAAAAAGTAATAATAATAATAGCACATTTTTAAAAGTCAAGAGGAATTCATTGTCCAGCTATGATAAAAGGGACAGAGAGGGGATAATGAAGAAACCTCTCTGATTTTCTGCATACTCACAATGCATGCATTTGCCAAGTGGGGATGGGGAGGCAGGGAGCATTTAAGAGAGGTTAGATCAGCCTATAGAATGGCAGTCCTTAGGTCAAAGTCCCATTCGTGGTGCATTAACAGGGAGCAGGGTTAAGTGGGGATGGGACCATTCCATGGCCATGGCCTCATCCTTCATCAAGGAATGTGAGCAAAGCGAGTCCCTCCACGGAGGGAAGTGCATATGGTGGACATTGTGAGACTTGCCTATCTGATACTCCTCCTTTTATGGATTTACAGAGTAGTACTCGCATTACATATAAAATAAAAGGTTGAATCTGGAAATTAACAGACATGATCCAGAGTTCATGGTGACATCCATCAAATTACAAAAGTTATAAGGCTCCGGGCAAAACACCACCTAACTTTTCTAGACTAACTAGTTTTAAAAATAAAATAAAATAAAATGTAACTACCAAAAAGGGGAACATATGTAATCTACTCACTCCAACCATCTTTCGAGTACATGCTCAAAAGCACTGAGCTGAGTACCTCTCCAAATGGGAAGATGAAAATTATCCAGGCTCTGCCCTCAAAAATGCATACTCCTAATGATGGAGACTGGTTGATGCCGCCTCTGGTTCTGTATTCTACCATTTATTCTCCCTTCCTGTGTATATTATAGGCAAATAAGCTAACCAGAACTGAACCCAGCATGCTCAAAAACTGTGCTATGTTTTCTAAAAAGTTCATGGAAATAGACCTTACCTAGGGAGCTTCTGGCATGCCTCACTCTGACCCCATATCAATGAATTCTGTTCCAGACGTCACACTGTGAGACAGATGTATGCATAATACAGCTCATGCATGAGGGACAAGGGACTATTACAAGTGAAATGTTTTAACAAGTTTTACAAAGACGAGAAAATCTTAGAAATCTCCAGTGCAAACTTTTCGTCTTAGAAATGTCAAACCTGTGCTTTGAGAAAGTGAACAGTTTTGACCAAAGCCACACAATCAATAAATAGCAGAGTTAGGGCTCAGGTCTTCTCCATGTGCCATTAGTATTAACAATAGTTGGGATATTTCACTTGGAGAAGAGGAGACGGAGAGACAGACAGATCTTCCATGAGTTGAAAGGTAGTCAAGAGTAAGAAAATTTTTTCCCAGTAGCTTCAGAACATAGGAGCCAGTATTTCAGTTTCTTTCTTCTTCAGTCACCTATTAAATCAACTCACATTTGAGTTGATTGTCCAAGGCCACAAACAGCATAAGTTACACAGAAAATAATCAAAGATGTTTTATACAGAGAGCTGTTTCCAACTTTCCCAATGACTCCCAACGTGCTTTGCTTCCAGTCATCTTATCTTCTTCAGGTTCCAATTCTCCCTTCGTAAAGTTAGCATGCTTTTATTTTCTACTTGTTGTCCCCAGAGGTATGTTAAATTAAGGATTTTGTCTTGGTGCAATACTGTCACCTCTTTTCAGCAAAAGGAAGGGCACATGAGCAATGAAATATTGCCCGGGAGCTCAACTGGCTACTCTTCTCCCAGCAAGATTCTGTATACTGGAGGTTGTGCCAGTTGTTAAGTTATTGCTCCTTGGCTCCAAATCCACTGTTCTCTGCCCAGCTTTGCCATACTGGAACTGGACCCTGTAGACATTTCTCCTTTGCCAGATAGCTTGATGTTTTTGTCAATGGGGGTGCTGGAGGGACCCTGCAAGGCCAAAGCTGGAGGAAAGGACTCTCCTTTCTTCCTGTATAGTGTTATTTTCTGTGCATCCTGCTCAGGGCCCTGCAGCACTTGCCACAGGGCAGGGGTCCTCACAGACCGGCTGCAGCCCAGGCCCTCCAGTAAGATTACCTGCCAGGAGTAAGGCTGCTGGTTCCAGCTGGTTTCTCAGACAGACAGAAATGGGCCATTCCCAGGTACCAGCTTCAGCCTGTGCCCTGCAGCACGTGTCTCTGCCACCAGCAGGATGCACGTTCTGTAGCTTTCATGTCCTCTCCACAAAGGACTGAATCTACACTTTGTGGAGAACAGGGATCTCTTCTAACTTTCTGAAGTTATTTTCTTGTTCACATTCCCTTTGTTATCAACATCGTAGCTGCTTTCCACAGTTGCTATTCGTGTACTCTCTAGAGTCCCATTCTATCCCTACGTATGGTTAACTGCTCTTTTACTAGGAAACAATTCTTTACATAAATTTTACCTATTTAAGTTACTGGCATGGTTGGTGTCTCCTGAACCTTAGCTGAATATTTTTCAAAGTTGCTCAGGCTCTAAATCCTCTTTCTGTTCTACCCTCTATTTCCATATAAATTAATTACAAATTCTATTCATTCTTATTTCCAAAGTCTTTGAAAAATTAGGCTGGGGGTGGTGGCTCATGCCTGTAATCCCAGCACTTTGGGAGGACAAGGCAGGTGGATCACCTGAGGTCAGGAGCTCCAGACCAGCCTGGCCAATATGGTGAAGCCCCGTCTCTACTAAAAATACAAAAATTAGCTGGGCATGGTGGCAGATGCCTGTTGTCCCAGCTACTCAGGAGACTGAGGCAGGAAAATTGCTTGAACGTGGGAGGCAGAGGTTGCAGTGAGCCAAGATTGGGCCACTGGACTCCAGCCTGGGTGACAGAGCAAAACTCTGTCTCAAAAAAAAAAAAAAAATTTTTTGAAAAACTTTAAATCTCCTTTCATGTCCAAGGCCACCCACTCTCACTCCTAACCTCCTATCTAGTTGTGTTCCCACATTTTTATGGTCTGTGTCCCTTTCAGTACAACCGTAAAAGTCAGCTTTCACCATATCTGTTGAACAAGTTACCTTGCTCACCTGGAGCAGAAGTCCTGTTCTGTTGCCTGTCACCAGGAGCAGAAGTCCAAGCACTCCGCCCACTGCCTCTTCACATCAGAGTCACCAAGGAGAACAAAATGCCGCCTGGCACTAACTAGATGGAAGAAGGCGTTCCCCACGTAGGAAGGAGACGGAGCAAGATCAGCTTCAGTAGAGGGTGTTGGTGCCCCAAAACCAGCAAGTTCCTCCCAGCAGCTGGCACAGGGCCCGTGGCCTGCACATACCCATCTTGTGCTTTAGCAGGACCCCAACCCCTCCCCATGAGGCACAGGTATAACAGTGGGGTTATCCACATGATGTACACACCAGCAGAACAAAGGGGTACATGCTGAGTCTGAAACAGGGAAAGATATTCCCACACAAGGTAACAGCCCAGCACAGGCTGTGAAAACTCTTCGTATCTTAAGAAGGAAGCGTTCCAGGCACAAGACCCATTCTTATGTGGCTGAGTGGATGATATGGTTTGGTTCTGTGTCCCCACCCAAATCTCACCTTGAATTGTAATAATCCCCACCTGTCAAGGGAGGGACCTGGTGGGAGGTAGCTGAATCATAGGGGTGGGTTTTTGCCATGCTGTTCTCATGGTGGTGAATAAGTCTCATGAGATCTGATGGTTTTATAAAGGGGAGTTCCTCTGCACACGCTCTCTCTTGCCTGCCACCATGTAAGAGGTGTTTTCAACTTGCAGCACTTATTAGTGCTTTGAAAAGCAATCATTGACTCATGCCACATCTTTTCTTTTATTATTCTGCTTTGTCATTTAACTCACATAGTTCTTTATTTCTCCTGACAATATGTCTTTTCTACTTAGAAGTCAAAGTCCACCCAAGGTGGTATTTTGTGTCAAACTTCTTCATATCCTCAGAATCTAGCAAAATAAGTCATGCATCTTACATACATACATGAGTAGAATGAATATCAATGAGTAAAATGTACTAAGATAGAACTATAGGTCCCCATAAAGAAGAATAATGAGAGTAAATTTGCCCTAGGAGATATGTAAATATAGTATGAAACTATAGCAATTAAAGAAGGATGTTACTGGCTTAATTAAATCAATCAAACAGATTTAACACATCAGAAACTTCCAAATAATTGGGATTTTGTTATATTAAAAAGGTGGCATGTAGCTACCTTACTGAATAGATGGGGAAATTATGTACTCTTCAAAATATAATGAGAAAATTGACCAAACATTTGGGGAAAAGTTAGATTCCTACCTCTTCACTCTACCCCAAAATTAAGTCCAGATGGAGTAAGATTTCAATGTTTTTGAATTTTTATTTTCTGATAATGATGAGTTCGTTTATTCAAATTTTCCCCATAGAAAATGACTAAAAATGGTAGGTAAAATATTTTAAAATATCTTAACTGCAACCAAGAGAAGCAGATAAATTACTGAGCTAAAGGCAAATGAAAGTTACAAACCCAGAGAGCTATACTAATATGAAAGCCACTTTTGCTCTAAAAAGTGTTTGCCAACACAGGCAAACATGATTGTTTGCTTGAGTGGCTTTGGGGGAGAGTGGAATAGAGGAAACATTCAAAGAGATAAAGGCTGATGAATTTTCAGAACTGACTTAAGACACCAAACCACAGATTTCAGAAGTTTAAGGAATCTCAAGTTAAACAAATAAAAAGAAAACCAAACCCAGGTATGTCATTATGAAACTGCAGAAAACCAAGCAAATAGAAAAATATTTAAAACAGCGGGAGAAAAAACAAAGGCAGACTCTCTGTAAAGAAAGCATCATGAGACTGACAGCTGACTTCTCTCTAGCAGCAATGAAAGTAAAAATCATGGCTTTGTCTCAATTCACTTAATAGATTGCTGCCTCCAGCCTGTATTTTCCATTCTAGCCTTTATCTATCTCCCTTAGAAGGTGAAAGATGCAGTTCTTCTGTGTTTTCCATACACCTTGCCATAAAGCTACCTTCACATACCTTTTCATTAGAGTTTAAAATACTTTAGAACACAACCCTTTGGGCAACTGCTGCATTGCAAACACATTGCCCTGATTTAAAGCAAATCTACTCTGTAGTAAAGTGCATTTACCATTTTCCCTCAGGAATGTGAATCTCATTTCTGAGAATGGTAACTTGCATTATGGTACTATGTGCCAGGAATTGTATTAGGCTGTTGATGTTCAGTATTTAATTCAGTGTTCATAAGAACTCTATGAAGAAAATGTTTTTACCTCCATTTGACAGACCAAAAAAAAACTGAGGTTAAGAGATTTAACACATTTTACATGATTTTGCAGCTAATGATGGCAGAGCCAAAATCTAACTAGTCTCTGACCTCGAATCCTATGCATTTTCCACTTCTCATGCTGTCTCCAAGAAGTCCACAATCTGAAGGCATAATAACACAGATTACATGTGACTACCAAATGTTAGTCTACTTCCTTTTAAATTCTAACTCTTCTGCATACTACCTGAAACATACACATACAAGCATCAGTACATACTTTTCCTTAATTAGAAAAAAAAGTATTATTGGATTGCAAATGTTTGTACCTAGAGATAATAAATGTTCCCCTGTTCAAATGTCAAATTTTACAAGGATAGGACATTTAGTCATTGCACGTTTGCAACAGTCAGCCACCTGCTGAGGATTATGTCTAGATGTAGATTTCCAGGATGTAGATTTCCTGATAAAAGGATGTATCTGTCTAATTGCTGCAGGATAAAAATTTTTTACAAACAAGCATGTTTCTTTCAGTAGAAAATAATCCTCATAGGTACACACTCAAGACTGCCATTTTTTGATGTAAGAAAAGGTGTTCATAGTATTTTACTGTCAAAGGGAGAACTTTTTAATAATACACTGGATTTCTGAATTTTTAAAACCCAGTTTCAAATCCTTTCTTTATGCCTATAGGGAGTTTAGACTTTACTCTTTCCAGCTGTCTCATAATCCACTGGTATTTAGCAAAACATTTGGAAGTAGGTGAAAAGAAGGCTAGACTCAATGATTTCAAAATGAGTGATGACTTCTTTACTTCTGCATTCTCTAATACAGTAGCCACTAGCCACATGTGGCTACTGAGCACTTGAAATATTATTGGTGCGAACTGGGATGCCAAGTATAAAATACACACTGAATTTCCAACATTTAGTATAAAAAAACTAAACTATCTCAATAATAATTGTTTTATAGTGATTATATGTAGAAATAAGTTGCGGATATACTGAATCAACCAAAATATATTATTATAATTAATTTCACCTGTTTCTTTTTACTTTTCCTAATACATGGCTACTGAAAAATTTAAACTTATCTGTGCAGATCCATTTTGTGGCTCATACCATATTCCTGCTAAACTGTGCCATCTTACTGAAAGGCATTATCCTCCTAACTGGCGTGCCTGCCTCCATCTATGGCATCCCTATAGTCTATTCACAACAGAGCAGCTAGAGTAAACCTTACAAAAGCGTAGGTCAGATCACATCACTCCTCCCTCAAAGACCTCCAATGGCTCCCATGTGAGTCAGAATAAGAGCCAAAGTCCTCACAATGGCCCTCCAGGCCTTATACAGCTTGACATCAACATCTCTGCCTTCATTTTCCCCACTTCTGCTCACTCAGGTGACCCTAACTACATAGGCTCCCTCACTGTTCTTTAAACACCCCTTGGTGCTCTCACCCCAGGGCCTTTGCACTAGCTATTCTCTCAGTCTGAAGCATGCTTGCCCCTGTTATCCTCATGGCTGAACCCTTCGACTGCCTTAAGGCTGCTCAAAACCCACATTCCCGATGAGGTTTAACTATCCCCTCGCTGCAAGTGGCAACCTGTGAAAATCTGCACAACCCTTACTCTGTGTTGCCTTATCTTTTTCCCTTTTTGATAGCTTTTATCATCTTTAAAATCTACCATATAATTTACTTATTAAATTGGTGTCTGCTTTTTATTGTCTGTCTTTCCCCACTAGAATGAAAGCCACAAGAATAGGAATATTTGCTGTTTGATTTACTGCTGTAATCCAAGCACCAAGACCACGACCAACACATAGTAAGCACTTGATTAATAACTGTTGAATGGACCAGGCTGGCGGGGAGGGGGTGACATTATTGCATAGTACAAATTCTTAGCACTTCCAAAGGATCCTTGGCAGTAGAGGCAGGAGAATTGTTACACATAGGAGGGAAAAAATAGAAAAGAGTGGGAAACCAATCAATGGGCAAAACTAAATGATCATTTGTTTCCAATAACATTTTTACCATCACTACAGACAATGACCGTCTTATAGACAAGAAGTATATCTTTTTCATATACATTTCTCTTGCAGCTTTACCTATGGTAAATTGAACTATTGGCCCCAATTAGTCTGCTTTAGTAAGATTATACATCCACTCTCCTGTCATGATGGTGCGGGGGAATATACCTCCACATCCACTGACTCTGGTCATGGCCATGTGACTTGCTTTGGCTAATGGGAGGTTAACAGACATGACACAAGCAGAAGCTTAAAATGTGCTTGCACAGGCTGGGTGTGGTGGCTCACGCCTATAATCTCAACACTTTGGGGGACCGAGGCCAGCAGATCATGAGGTCAAGAGATCGAGACCATCCTGGCCAACATGGTGAAACCCCATCTCTACTAAAAATACAAAAATTAGCTGGGCATGGTGGTGCACACCTGTAGTCCCAGCCACTTGGGAGGCTGAGGCAAGAGAATCACTTGAACCCGGGAGGCGGAGGTTGCAGTGAGCTGAGATCACGCCACTGCACTCCAGCCTGGGTGACAGAGAGAGACTCCATCTAAAAAAAAAAAAAAAAAAAAAAAAAAAGCTTGCACAGATTGGCCTGGCCCACTTGTACTTCCAAACTCCTACATTAGAAGAATAAATTCCCAGGAGCCATTGATTCTCCACCCTGAGTCCTAGAATGAGAAGCATGGAGCAATCCTGAACTTGACCCACGGACTGAAGCTTATAAGCAAAAAATAAAAAAGTTTTGTTGTATGGCACTGAAATTTTGTGGTTGGTTGTTATGTAGCAAAAACTGACTAATACAGCATCTGATACATAGTCATATTAAAAATATATAGAACCAGGCATGGTGGTGCACACCTGTAATCCCAGCTACTTGGGAGACTGAGGCAGGAGAATCACTTGAACCTAGAAAGTGGAGGTTGCAGTGAGCCAGGATCGCACCACTACACTCCAGCCTGGGTGACAGAGTGAGACTCTGTCTCATTAAATAAATAAATAAATAAATAAATAAATAAATAAATAAATAAATAAATAAAATATGTATAGGCTTAATGGGGAGAAGTTACAACACTGTCTGCCATTCCTAGCTGGTGCCTGACCTCCTGCACTATTGTATTTGTTATAAGTGTATTTGTTGCACCTAACTCCTGCCTACCCACCTGACTTTTACTCCTTGCTTTGTGGGCTAATGGAAATATACTGTGACCCCACATCAGCCCGACTGACCCACTTGGCTTTGCAACCCCACTCACTTTCACTACTGCCTTCCTGCTACTTAGCCATTTCTGGATCACTACTCTGTCCAGGCTTGACCTTGACTAACCCAGGCTTGACCTCCTGCTGTGTCTGATTTCCACCAGAGCCCATTACCCACCCCTAAGAGACAGCAGGTCTGTTCAGGGAGGTCAAGAGAAGATGGACTTGAGTAAGAAGAAACACAATATTGGGCAGTAGTGTTAAGAGGAAAGAGAAATCATTTAGAGAAATATTTAAAGTGTGTAGAAAGAACAAACTTCCAATGATTGTCCCGAATGCCAGCTAGACATGTGTCAGAGGCATTCAAGCCAGAGGGACTCCATCTTGAATTGGGGCTGGGTAAAATAAGGCTGAGACCTACTGGGCTGCATTCCCAAGAGGTTAGGCATTCTTAGTCACAGAATGAGATAGGAGGTCAGCACGAGATACAGGTCACAAAGACCTTACTGATAAAACAGGATGCAGTAAAGAAGCCAGCCAAAACCAAGATGGTGACAAAAGTGACCTTTGATCATCCTCACTGCTCATTATATGCGCATTATAATGCACTAGCATGCTAAAAGACACTCCCTTCGGTTCCATGACAGTTTATAAATGCCATGGCAACATCAGGAAGTTACCGTATATGGTCTAAAAAGGGGAGGAATCCTCAGTTCTGGAAATTGCCCCTTTCCCAGAAAAATATGTGAATAATCCACCCCTTGTTTAACACATGATCAAGAAAGTTGAGAAACCCATGCCACTGCTCTGCCTATGGAGTAGCCATTCTTTCGTTTATTTTCTTTCTTAATAAACTTGCTTTCACTTTACTTTATGGACTCACCCAGAATCCTTTTTTACATGAGCTCCAAGAACCCTCTCTTGGGATCTGGATTGGGACCCCTTTTCAGTAACACATGTACATTCACTCAGGAAATCCAGATCCAAATGAGTATGGCATTTTTACCCAGTAGGAGGTAGAAATCATCCTCACACTTTGTTTTCTCAATGTTCTCTTCCCAAAAGCCCTTGTCCGGTACCTTGAGGAATCACCAAATCTGCCCCAAAGCCCATCAGATGCAGGAGCTGATGGACAGAAGAGGTCATCCCATGAAATGGAAAACTTCCCCTCCAGAAAAGATGCCCTTCCTCATGACACTGCTGTGGGACTCTACAAAAAGTCCAAGCTCATCTTTAATGCCCCTGCAGAGCAAATGCTTAGACATTGCTTTGGCATCTACAGCTGAAATCTCCAAGTGTGAAGGTTTTGTAACTGCTTCTTTTGAATTCATTTTGTAAGTGCTGATTACTTGGCTCCAAAAAAAAATGCAAAGCTTTTAGAGACCATTATCAAGCCATGAGTGCTGCATCCCCTTTTCTGATGGTTCATTCTTCTCCACCACACTTTTCGGTGAAGTCCATCTCCTTTATTGGTTCACTGAATCGATTCATATTAAGATAAAAGGTCCATCTTCTGGTTTGTGGCAATGATGCATTTTATCTTGAGTTCCCTTCTTTATCTCTTTTATAAAATTAATTTGAGGACATTTTCCTCATGAGTTTATCGTAACATGAGATTATTTTTAAAACTTTTTATTGAACTATAGCATAAACATCCATAAAAAATGCAATCATCAAACCAAAGTGAAGCCTTTGCACAAAGTGAATACACCAATGTATGTAGGACTCAGAACAAGACACCAGACATTACCAGAACCCTAAAAGCCCCCTCGAGCACCTGCTGGTCATTAACCCTCCCACCCTCAAAGGTCAACCTATACCCTGACTTCTGACACCATAGATTAGTTTTACTTGTTCTTGAACTTCACATCAATGAAGTCATAGAGCATGGACACTTTTGAATCTGGCTCCTTCCATTCAAGATTATACAAACTTTATTCATTTGCATCATGTAGTTGCAGTCCAATCATTCTTATTGCCGCATAGTATCCCATTGTTTGAAGATAACACACTTGATTATTCTGCTGCTGATAGGTGGACATTAAGATTGCCGTCTGCTTGGGGCTATTATAACCAGTACCCCAAGGACGTTCTCCTATTTGTCTTTTGGTGAACGTGTATGTATGTGTGTGTGTGTGTGTGTGTGTGTGTGTATATATATATATATATATATATATATATATATATATTTCTGTTGGGATTGTATCTACTAAAACAATGATCTTTTTTTTTTTTAATTATACTTTAAGTTTTAGGGTACATGTGCACATTGTGCAGGTTAGTTACATATGTATACATGTGCCATGCTGGTGCGCTGCACCCACTAACTCGTCATCTAGCATTAGGTATATCTCCCAATGCTATCCCTCCCCCCTCCCCCCTCCCCACCACAGTCCCCAGAGTGTGATATTCCCCTTCCTGTGTCCATGCGATCTCATTGTTCAATTCCCACCTATGAGTGAGAATATGCGGTGTTTGGTTTTTTGTTCTTGCGATAGTAAAACAATGATCTTAATTTAGAAGTTCTTCCTGTTTAAAAAAAAAAAAAACTTCTGAATATTTCTGAAGAGGCTGGTATTTCAAATTCTGAGTTCCAGATCTAGACTTTCAGGAGGAGTTTCTCTATCACCTTCCCTGAAAAATAAACAGATTTCTGTGGAAGGAAGGGTCCAGATATTGAACGGTATCCAAGTATTAATAGGATAGGAAATGTAGTAGAAAAGAATATTAACACTTAAGTGATTTGTGCCTCTTATTCTGGGGAGTGTTAAAAGTTTTAATTTTCTTAATATATTTTATTCACTTAAGAAAAAGCATTCTGGCTGTCAGAACACAAAGCCAGCAATTTTCACCTCAGTCCCTTCCAACTTCAGCCTCCAGAGAGCTAGCTGATTGAAGGTCATATTAAAAGAGCATTAAAAAAGAGATTCTACCAATTGTCAGTGATCCATCTGCAGCTTTTCCTCACCAGAACACACAAACCAGAGCAAGGACAGTCAAGAAATATGGGAAGCAATGGTAATAGACATAAAAATAGTCTTTTTTGGAAATGCAAAATGGTACAGCCACTTTGGAAGACAGTTTGGCAGTGTCTTACAAAGCTAAACACACTCTTACCATATCATCCAGTGATCACTCTCTTGGTATTTACCCAAAGGAGTTAAAAACATATGTCCGCACAAAAACCTGCACATGAACACTTATGCCAGCCTTATTCATAACTGCCAAAACTTGGAAGCAACCGAGATGGCCTCCGGTAAGCAAATAGATAAGCAAACTGTGGTACATCTATAAAAGGGAATATTATTCCGAGATAAAAAAGAAATGAGCTATCATCCACAATGATATACTACCTCACACCCATTAGGATGGCTACTCTCAAAAAAAAAAGCAGAAAATACTCCTGACCTCAAGTGACCCATCCACCTCGGCCTCCCAAAGTGCTGGGATTACAGGTATGAGCCACTGCACCAGGAGTTCGAGACCAGCCTGGCCAACATGCTGAAACCCCGTCTCTATTAAAAAATACAAAAATCAGCCGGGTGCGGTAGCGGGCATCTGTAATCCCAGCTACTTGGGAGGCTGAGGCAGGAGAATCGCTTGAATCCAGGAGGCAGAGGTTACAGTGAGCCGAGATCACGCCACTGCACTCCAGCCTGGGTGAGAGTGAGACTCCGTCTCAAAAAAAAAACAAAAACAAAAACAGAAAATAATAAGTGTTGGTGATGATGTGGCAAAATTGGAATCCTCGTGTACTGTTGGTGCAGCTGCTATGGCAAACGGTGTGGTGGATCCTTAACAAATTAAAAATAAAATTACTACTTCACTCAGCAATTCCATTTTTGTTTATATACTCAAAAGAATCGAAAACAAAGAGATATTTACACACTTGTGTTCATGGCACCATTATTCACAATAACAAAAGATGAAAGCAGCTCAAGTGTGCATCGTTGAATGAATTAGATAAAATATGGTGTATACACACAATGGGATATTATTCAGACTTAAAAAGAAAGGAAATTCTGACACATGCTGCAACCTGGATGAAACTTGAGGACATTATGCTAAGTGAAATAAGCCAGTCAAACCCCAACAAATATTGTATGATTCTACTTATATGAACTACTAGAGCAGTTGAGTGAAAGAAAAATCAGAAAGTAAAATGGTGGCTGCACGGGCTGGAGAGAGGGGAAATGGGGAGTTATTTTTTAATAGACGGAGTTTTAGCTTTGCATAAAGAGTTCTGAAGATGGATGGTGGGGCAGTTGTACATCACTGTGAATGTACTTAACACCACTAAACTCTACGCTTAAAAATGGTGAAGACAGTAAATTTCATGTTGTCTATATTTCATCACAATTTAAAACAGTGTTGGCCAGGCATGGTGTCTCACTCCTGTAATCCCAGCACTTTGGGAGGCCGAGGCAGGCAGATCACTTAAGGCCAGGAGTTTGAGACCAGCCTGGCCAACATGGTGAAACCCCATCTCTACTAAAAATACAAAAATTAGCCGGGCACGGTGGTGCACACCTGTAATCCCAGCTACTCGGGAGGCTGAGGCAGGAGAATCTCTTGAATCCAGGAGGCAGAGTTTGCAGTGAGACAAGATTATGCCACCGCACTCCAGCCTGGGTGACAGAGCAAGACTCTGTCTCAAAAAATTAATTAATTAATTAATTAATTTTAAAAATAGTGTTAAAAAGAATGAACTATCAAGCCAAGAAAAGAGGTAGGAGGAGGTTACATGCATATTGTTAAGTGAAAAAAGCCAGCCTTCATTACTGTCTGAATCCAGCTATATAAGATTCTGGAAACACAAGACTATAAAGACACTAGAAAGATCAGTGGTCACTAGGGGTTCACCAGAAAGCAAGGGAGGGATGACAGGGGATGCACAGGGGACTTCCAGGGCAGTGAAACTATTCCGTATGATACTGTAATGGTGGATACGTGATAATATACAGTTGTCAAAACCCATGGAATGTATCACACAAAAAGTTAATCCTAATGTAAACTATGGACTTTGGTTAATAATGTCTAAATAGTTGTTCACCCATTGTACCAAATGTACACCAAAGCAAGATGTTAAAAATCAGGAGATGGTTGGCTGGGAGAATGAGCATATACGGCAGCTATTTATACTTTGACCCTCTGTCCTCATCAGTGGAATCCTGGAAATGGAGCTCCCAAAACTTCTCCCCTCTCTGGGCAGAGTCATGTCATCATTATTTTACTGGTCACCAGTGCCCACCTCTGCCAATCTCTGGCGCCTTTGCCCTGTGATCCTAGCTCCCTCTAAGTCTCCACTTTCTTAGCATGCACTGACCTCGCCTTGATTCTGCCTAGAGTCTGTCGCTGCCGTGATGGCACCTCTCCACCTCTCTCACCTCTGCTGATGCTAACCTGGCCGCTGACAATGCTCTTGCTGGGCAATGACACTAACTCTACCTACCAAGTATACAATGATTATAAAGTGACTGAAGGGGGCCATCCTGATCTCCCAATTTCCTGCTTCAGTCTTTTATATATGTTAATTAAGTTTTAGCTCTCCTACAGCCCCTGCCTCCTTTCCATGTCCAAGGAACGTAACCAAGGTGCTTTTGGGATTGGGAAATAAGCTGTCACCCAAGTGACCCCATACAAAATCCCATGCAAAACATCCCTTTGTGCTGCAAGTCAGTCAATGTTCTGTGCCTCTCTCTTACCTCTGATCGCTCCCTGATCACCAAGAACACTATCAAAAACAGGGAAGCTCTAAAGTCTTAACAATAAGCTCCTGAGCCAGCCACTCGAAGACCTTGAAACTGCTTCTCTGTTGGGATAATTGATTCTGCATGAAATAGATTCCTGGTGGATCTGCCCTGGCATTCTAGAGTTTTCTAGAGCTGAGGTTCCCAAATGCTAGGCCATTAGGCCTTGCCTTGCTAGGCAAGGTTCTCAAAATTCCATGGCAAAATGAGAAAAATAATGTAGTGAGTTTTTTTCACAAAAGCCAAACTTACTAAATTTTAAAAATTGCCGGTTTTGGGAGATTGTATCTTTCCTTCATTGGGATGGGTGTTGGTTAGAGGTCCATTTTTTAATTGAAATGATGATGACAGAAGTTTGCCTGATAGTAGGTGTTTAAAGCCACCTCCTAAACGCATTTGTTGTGAAGGAAAAGAAAAAGCCACCAACACTCTGTTGATCAAAAAAAAATTAGTTTTCCTAATCCATAAAAATCCATGTTGGGATTCATTGCCCTAAGTGAATATACAGATTACCTCTCTTCCTCCAAGGATCTGAAATATATATAAGAAAAACCTGGATACTCAAAGTCACCACCTAACCTAGAAATTGTATCCAACAGAAAGTTTCCACCACCTCCCCTTTGCACCCAGTGTCCTGCTAGAACTGCCAGCCCAGGTGGACTTTTCCATGCTGCTTCTCCCCTTGATCTCCTTGATGACTAAAATCAGGCAACAGAAGGCAGACGGTGGAGACTCAAATGACTGAATCATCCATCTGCATGTAGATCCTTGAAAACAAGATTTTTCTGCAGCCCAACCCACAGTTAGATCATGTGCCCAGTTGAGTCTCGTAGTTAATGGAAACAGGTGTCAGGAGCCAAACACAGCAACCTGCAGGCTTTAGCGTGGCTTTCAGGATCACAAGCTTGTACAGGATTCATTCATCACTTTGGAGCTTAAAGGAGAAGCTTGAACTGAGACCATTTTCCAGGAAGATCATCCCACAGGGCCTGAGGCAGAATCAACATCACCCCTACCTGGAAAACAGGGGCTCATTTGCTTTGAAAGAACCTCCTGTGGGCCACTACACTAGCAATTTCTTTTTTCAATCCAAAAAAATAGGATAAATCCATTATTAGTCACTAAGCCAAGATTTACTACAAAAATTGACATCCAGGAAAATGTTGGCTTGTCTAAGTTGAAAGGAAATTTCTGTATCCACATTTGTTTTCATATTAGTTTCATTATTTCTCTCCAGCCTGGTATAATGATTCATCTGTGAATTGGAATCACTTTCCTGGGATCCTTGAAAACAGACAGGAGGCTGCTATTAATTGATATAACCATTTTAGAGACAGAGAAATGGAGACAGAATTCAACACCTCAACAAGGCAAGAGACCAGCTGAGGAAAGATACCCCTATTGCCCATCAGTATAGCACCTTTCCTGCAATCAGACCATATTGTCTCTTAGAATACTGTTCTCAGTTACCATGATCCTTTACCTTCTAAGATTCTACATGTATTATATAAAGGTCCAGGATAGTTTCATATTTGATCAAATGATGTAACTTCTAGCAGAGGTTTTCAAACTGTGCTTCATAGGGAAGGGACCATATTGAGGGGAAGAAAGTGTGGGTATGGGTGGAGGCATTGGAAGAGTTGAAACTTCACCCCTTGTTCAACCAGAGAAAATCCATTTTTAGATTTTTTCTTACACATTGTGCTTCCATGTAATATTTCAAGAAAAAGTGCATTTTTTTAAAAAAAGTTTGCAAATTACTCATAAATCTGAAACTGTTTTTGCAAACTATAAGGCATAATGCAAATATAGGTGTTTCTACTGTATACATACAAGGAGAGTGAAGTCTGCTCATCAGTGGGCACAAGCAGACAGACATTTATGCATGCCCATTTTACAGATGAGAAAAATGAGGTAAATTCCCACATCTAGCAATATTTGAGAATGACTAATTCCAAAACCTGTGCTTTTTCTTCTTTATCAGATTCTCTAACCTTTTAGCCAATGCATGTGTCTGGCTTCCTCAGAAAATTAAACACCACAATCTTGGTTCTAAAACATCCTCAGAGGCTCAGGAGAAGGCAAGGTTGAAAAGTTCAGCTTTTACTGCTATTTATGGTATTATCACACCAACTGTCAAATATAAGGTTTAAATTTTTTTTAATTTACTGTTTCTTTTCTGAGATAATACATGACCATTTTTAAAAACATATTCCTGATTCTTTCAATGGCAATCAAGTCATTAGGCTCCACTGGCGTTTATTAGCCTTAATGAGAAAGAAACATAGCCAAAGATTCTAATAAATAAGAGTGTTTTATTCGGTCTGCACTGCATTTTCCTTCTCTTCATTAGCAATAGCCCATATGGATGCACCCATTGCTTGAAAAATGATTGTCATCTTTCTCAATAATTCTGATGAGGAGCCCTATTTTTAACTCCCATCTAAAATACATTAAGGGAGCCATCTAGTGTTTCCAAGTCGGCATTTAGTAGTTATAGAGCACATCCCTCCTCCCTAAATTTGATTTACCATCTGTGTTCATTCTCAGTGTTCCAAAGCATCAACACGCGGTGTATATTTCATTGGGGGGCGAAAAAAGGTTAAAAATAAGAGCTCCTTAAGCTGCCTTACACCTGATTCTCTGTATTTGAAGGATTCTTAACTCCATGGTTACTATGAGTTTTTTTTTCTTTCTTTGTTATTAGGTTCAGCAAGGTAACAACATGTAAACAGTTGAGCCATTTGAAATAAACACACTGTATGTTCAGCAGCCTCCCAAACTTAAAACCTACATTATATTGACTATTTTTCTGACAGCAAAACAGGGCCAAACTTAGACACAGGCAGTGCAGGTCACAGTCTACTTGATGAAATTTTAGAAGCATCAGGAAAGGCTCCAAAACATCTTCCACCACCTCCTGCTTTATGCTTTCTAATCTTCTAATAGCTTTACCGAGGTACAGTCGACAGAATAAACTGCCTATATTTAATAAACTGTACAGTTACATGAGTTTCAGCACATGCACACAACGAGAACATCACCACAATCAAGATAATGAGCATTTCATCACCCTCAGAAGTTTCATCCTGCCCCTTTGTACTCCATCCCCCCATGCTCCTCCCCCAACCTTCAGGCAACCACTGCTCTACTTTCCATCGAGAGATTAGTTTGCATTCCTAGAATTTTGTAAAAATTAAATCATATGGTATATACACTTTTTAGTCTGGCTTCTTTCATTCAGCTAAATAAATTATTCCATGTTGTTATATGTCAATATTTTGTTGCTCTTTATTAATAAGTAGCACTCTAAGGTAGAGATATGCCATGGTTTGTTGATCAATTCACCTTTGGATGGGTATTTGAGTTATTTCCAGTATTTGGCTGTTACAAATAAAGCTGGAATAAATGTACAAGCCTGTATAGACACTTACTTTCATTTCTCTTAGGTAAATTCCTAGGGTGTGGAATTACTGAATTGTATAGTTGGCATTTGCATAACATTTTAAGAAACTGCCTGTCTTCTGGAGTGGTTACATCATTTTACATTCCATCAACAATGTGTGAGAGTTCCAGTGGCTCCAAATCATCACCAACACTTGATATTTTTGGTATCTGGATTATAGATATCCTAATGGCTGTATGATGGTATCTCATTGTGATTTTTAATTTATTTTAATACATATTTATACATATTTATGGGGTAACGTGATATTTTGACACATGCATACAATGTTTAATGATCAAATCAGGGTATTTAGGATATCCATCACCTCGAACATTTACTATTTCCTAATGTTGGGAATATTTTGAAGTTTCTCTTCTAGCTAATGAAATATACAACATATTATTGTTAACTATAGTCATCCTACTACGCTATTGAACACTAGAACTTATTCCAACTAACTTATTTTAAAATTAGTTTGTGTATGTGGTATAAGATAGGAGATGTTCATTTTTTTGCATATATGTGTTCAATTGTCCTGTCACCATTGGTTGAGAAGATTAAACTTTCTCCTACTGAATTCCCTTTACACCTTTATCAAAAATCAACTGGTCATTGGACTACTTTTGGGTTCTCTATTCTGTTCCATTAATCTAAATATCTATCTTTATGCAAATATCATATTATCTTCATTTTACAAAAAGTCTGAAAACAGGTAGTATAATCTTCCAACTTTGTTTTCTTTTTAAAATTGTTTTGGGTGGGGTGGGGTAAGAGATAAAAAAAAAAACATATTGGGTACAATGTGCACTATTCAGGTGATGGATGCATTAAAATCTCACACTTCACCACTATGCAATCCATCCATGTAATCAAAAACCACTTGTACTCAAAAGCTATTAAAATTTTAAAAAATTAAAAATAAAAACAATAAAATTGTTTTGGCTATTCCAGGTCCTTTCACTTCCGTATAAATTTTAGAGTCAGCTTGTTAATTTCTATAAGAAAGCCTGCTGAGATTTTGATTGGTATTACATTGACCAATTTGGGTAGATATTAAGCCTTTTGATCCATGAACATAGTGTATCTCCCCACTTATTTAGGGTTTGTGTTGGTTTGTTTTTACATCAGCAACGTTTTATAGTTCTTAGTGCATAGTTCTTGCATCTATTTTGTCAAATTTATCCCTAAGTATTTTATATTTTGTTATTATAAATGGTATTTTTCATTTTTAATTATTGCTACTATATAGAATTATTATTTCTGTGTATTGATTTTGTGTCCTACCAACTTACTAAACTCACTTTACAGTTCTAGTAGCTATGTGGTAGATTTTTATGAGATCTTCTAAATAAACAATCATGTGGTTGGAAAATAAATATGGTTTTATATCTTCCCTTTCAATCTGTATGACTTTTTTTTCTTGCTTTATTCTTTCTTTTTATTTTGAGACAGGGTCTCACTCTGTCACCCAAGATGAAGGGCAATGGTGTAATCACAGCTTACTGCATCATTGCAGCCTCAACCTCCCAAGTTCAGGCAATTCTTCTACTTCAGCCTCCCAAGTAGCTGGAACCCCAGTGTGCCAACACATCTGGCTTCTTTTTTTTTTTTTTTTTCTGTAGAGACTGACACTCCCTATGTTACCTAGGCTGGTCTAGAACTCCTGGACTCAAGTGATCCTCCCGCTTCAGCCTCCCAAACTGCTAGAATTACAGGTGTGAGCCACTGCACCCAACCTTTACTTGCTCTATTGCACTAGCTAAAACTCCAGTACAATGTTCAGTAAAGATGATGAGAAAGGACATCCTTGTTTTGTTCCTGATCTTAGGGGGACAGCATTCACTCTTTAACCATTAAGTATACAATTAGCTGTAGGTTACTATATAATTGTTCTTTATTATATATACTCTATTTTTTAAAGCAGTTTTAGTTCCTAGCAAACTTGAGAATAAGGTACAGAGATTTATTCTACTTTTCTTTATTCTGTCAATATAGAAAATTGATTTTCAAATGTTAAACCGACTTTGAACTCCTGGGACAAACCCCAGTTGGTCATGATGAATTATCCCTTTATATATTGGTGGATTTGACTTTCTAAAAGATTTTTCAAAATTTTCCTATCTAAATTTATGAGAAATGTTGATCTGTAGTATTAATTTCTTATAATGGTTTTGGTTTAGGTTTCAGCATAATTCTGTACCCAAAGAAAGAATCAAAGAATTTCTTCCTCTTTTGTTTTTCTATACAAGTTTGTTTGCATGAATTTTTCTTTAAATATTTGGTAGAAATCATCAGCAAAACCACAGAACTTTTTAATTTTATATTTTAATTTTTGTGGATACATAGTAGGTGTATATATTTATGGGGTACACAAGATGTTTTGATACAGGCATGCAATGTATAATAATCACATCACGTAAAATGGGGTATCCAGTAATAGATGTGATTGGCTTATTTTGTTATTTCCTGAGTGAGATCTGGTGGTTGTTGCTTTTCAAAGAATTTGTCTTTTCCATATAATTTGTCAAATGTATTGGCATGAGCCTGAGCAACATAGTGAGACCCTGTCTATACAAAAAAATTTAAAATTAGCCAAGCATGGTGGTACACGTCTGTAGTCCCAGCCACTTCGGAGGCTGAGGTGGGAGGATCTCTTGAGCCTGGGAGGTTGAGGTTGCAGTGAGCCACAATTGCACCACTGCACTCCAGCCTGGGTGATAGAATAAGACCCCATCTCAAAAAAAAAAAAAAATATTGGCATAGAGTTTTAAATAAAATCCCCTTATCCTTTTAATTCCCTTCTCCTATTGCTGATAGTGATAATTTGGGTCTTTTCCTTTTTTTTTCTGATCATTCTGACTAGAAGTTTGTTTATTTATCTCAGAGAACTAGTTTTGGTTTTATTCATTTTCATCATTTTATTTTATTGCATTTATTTTTGCTCTTATTTTTATTATTTCCTTTCTTCTGGTCACTTTGCATTAGTTTGCCCTACTTTTTTTAGTTTTTTAATGTGGAAGCTTAGAATATTGATTTTATATTTATCTACCTTTTTTTTTTTTTTTGAGATGGAGTTTCACTCTTGTTGCCCAGGCCAGAGTACAATGGCACAATCTCGGCTTGCTGCAACCTCCGCCTCCCAGATTCAAGCAATTCTCCTGCCTCAGCCTCCCGAATACCTGCGATTACAGGCATGTGCCACCACACTCAGCTAATTTTTTTTTTTTAAGTAGGGATAGGTTTCACCATGTTAGTAAGGCTGTTCTTGAACTCCTGACCTCAGGTGATCCATCCACCTCGGCCTCCCAAAGTGCTGGGATTACAGGTGTGCGCCACCATGCCCAGCCCATTTATCTACTTTTCTAATTTGTTTAATGCTATAGTTTTCCTCTAACACTAATTTAACAGCATCCCACAAATTATAAGTAATATTTTCATTTTCATTTAGTTCAAAATATTTAACTTCTCTTGTGCTTTCTTCCTTGACCCATAGATTATTCCAAAATATGTGATTTTGTTTTGAGATGTTGGAGCATTTCAAGACATCTATTATTGATTTCTAGTTTGACTTCATCATAATGAGTCTCTAAATATTTGTTGTATAACTTTAATTCTTTGAAATTTGTTAGAATTTATTTTATGGCTCAGAATTCATCTATCCTTTTTAATGTTGTAGGTACTCCTGAAAAGAATCTGTGTTGTCTTCTTGTTGAAAAAAGTGTTGGAACACTATAAATGTTCATTAGATCAAGTTGATTGATAGACTTTTTCAAGTATTCTGTATCTTCACTATTGTCTCTCTACTTGACCTATCAATTGTTGAGAGAAGGATGTTGCCATCTCTAATTATAATTGTCAAGTTCCAGTTGTGGACCCTATTTCTCCATTCAGTTCTGTCCCTTTCTGCTTTATGTATTTCAAAGCCCTGTTATTATGTACATAAACATCTAAAATTATCATGTCCTCTTAATGAATTGACCTCTTTATCATTATGAAATTACTCTTTATCCCTTAAAATATTCCTAGCTTTGAAATCTTCTTTATCTGATATTAACATAGCCACTTCAGCTTTCTTTTTATTAATGTTAGCTTGGTATATCTTTTCCCATCGTTTTCCTTTTAACCTATCTGTGTAGTAGACAGCATATAGTTGAATTTTTAAAAATAAATTTGACAATCTTTTCATTTAGTTGCAATGTTAAGGCCATTTACATTTAATGTGATTATTGATATGGTTGGGTTTAAATCTACCATCTTAATGCTTGTTTGCTATTGGTTACCTCTGATTTTGCTCCATTTTTCTTCTTTGTCTATCTTCTTTTAGATTGAATATTTATGATTTATTTTATCTGATTCCTTATTAATTATATATTTCAATTTTGTTCTTTTTGGTGATTGCATTGGGGTTTACACTATCCATCTTTAGCTTATCACAGTTTACCTTCAAGTAACATTAGTTCACATAATGTGTAAGGACCTTACACTAACATAGTCACATTTTCCCCTCTTTCAGTCTTTGTGCTGTTTTTGTCACATATTTTGCTTCTACATATTTTTATCCCTTTATATTGTTATGATTCTTGCCAATATTCAAACATCTGTCTGAGTTCATATTCACTGGAGTCCAAATGAAGCACCTGAACAGGTTTTAATGAGAGATGAAGATAGGAAGAAAGCTTGACAGCTAGGTGAATAAACACCACACCAAGGAATAAACAGGGCAAAAGGAGACTTTTCCTATTTTAAGCTTTTGGGAAAGCAAGCTTAGCCAAATGCTAACTATTTGAGAAAACTCATCTGTTTCCCCTTTAGACTGCCCAGATTTAAAACGCTGGACAGTACACTTACAGCATTAACCTTTGCATTTTAAAGCTACAAGAATAAGGCAAGGTGAAGAGAATATAAGATCATAGCTTTATTATGAACTAGTTAGTTAACTAGTTAGCTTGAAAATCAGCTGATTTTAAGAAGCAGGTAAGCCACTGATGTGACACATTAGCCAAACAAGTAGTTAATTGAATGTGTATTCTTCTTTCATTTTTTCAGATCTTATGTTTAATGTCATATAGGTCTATTACTTTCAGAGACCAGACCAAATTTATAATAGAAATGTAACAAAGTTAAAAATAAATGAAAGTTTACCAAATGTGATCCTATAAACAGAATTGTTTATTCTTCAGGAAATTTTACAATAAACTCCTTGAGCTATAAGACAGAAATTTGCAAAGAGATTCAATAAATATAAAGCCTCCTCTCTCTTACCGTCCTTTATACCCACTCCTACCCTTCCATTTGTCTGGACTCCAAAACGCAGAACAGGAAGAGATTGGAGATCCACCAACTCCACGATCTTGGCAAGACTTCAGCAGCCATAGGGTCCAGGCTTAAGTACCCATGTTCCCGAATCTTGATGACATCTTAACACTTCAAGAATTTTTGGCATAAAGGAGCTATTGTAAGTAGAAAGTCTTGGAAATATTATTCTACAAAAATTTGTTTACCACAAAGTTAAAAGTTTTCTGTAGATCACCTCATTTCTGTGAGGAGAAATATTTTCTAGTGCACAGATTTCTAATAAGCTTCAGTGTCTTTTCCACTCCCTTCTCACTCCCCTCTCCTTTTCTCCCCTTCTCTATTTCTCTCTATGTCTCTTTATTTCCTACTTCTCTTCTTTAAATAGAATAGTGGTTAGGAATACAGACACTGGATCCAATTCTCCGAGTTCAAATCCTAATATTGTCACTTATCAGTAGAGTGACTTTGGCCACCTAACTTCTCTACTTCTCTGTGCCTCAATTTTCTCATCTCCAAAAGTGAGGATAATTGTTCCTACCTCATTAGAATGTTAAGAATATTAAATATATAACATATTTTAATATTTAATATATAAATATATTAAAACATTTAAAACAAGCCCTGACAGTAAATTCTCCATGATTAGCTATGATGATTATTATTAGTGATAATAATCTTTATCATTATTTAAGTGAGAAATATTTACTCCCCTGGAAGGCTGTGGGAGAGAAACCACCAAGTTTCTCTGCATTGCTCTCCCACTCAGCTTCCATTCTGACCACTTACAGGTGTCATAAGTTTTGGGTCCCCCACAAGAGACACTCTCTGAGCAACCTTAAGCCTCCAAGAACAGAGCAGAGGCAAGAACCAGCTTGTCAAGACTGTGCACGGAAGAATGGACCCAGATTTGCAGCAAACATTTTATATCATCTTATACAGTCACTTTATTTCTCCAATTTTTTTTTTTTTTTTTTTTTTGTGACGGAGTCTAGCTCTGTCACCCAGGCTGGAGTGCAGTGGCGCGATCTCGGCGCACTGCAAGCTCCATCTCCCGGGTTCACACCATTCTCCTGCCTCAGCCTCCCGAGTAGCTGGGACTACAGGCGCCCGCCACCACACCCAGCTAATTTTTTTGTATTTTTAGTAGAGACAGGGTTTCACCGTGTTAGCCAGGACGGTCTCGATCTCCTGACCTCATGATCTGCCCGCCTCAGCTTCCCAAAGTGCTGGGATTACAGGCGTGAGCCACCACACCCAGCCTATTTCTCCAATTTTCAAACTTCCTTATCCATGACATGAAGCGTTTGGAATAAAATTATCCCTAAATTCCACCCCGCACCATGCTACCTCAAATTCCATAATCTATTCCATGTATACAGGTTTCTTCATATTTGCAAAATACAGAATACATGGGGCATTGAGAAGTGATTAATTCTGACTTGGTTGGGGAGTTGGCAGGAGAGGTGAGCCTCCCACCTTCCTGTGGGCAAGCTCACATGGGTTACAACCTATTGAGCTCCTGACAACTCAACCGCACCCACCAAGAGGAAAGCGCAGCAAGTGCACCGTGGGTTTGCTGGGGCAGCAGGGGCCTTTCCATGCAACGCTCCTTCCAGCTGTCTTACAAGAAGAAATACCAGGAGCACATCACAGCACTAGAAAATAAGGGTGCCCCCTGTCCCCACTACAATTATATGTACGCCTCTTTCTATTTTCCTCTTCCTCAACGCTCATTTCCCTTTCTCTTTTTTCTGCCTCTCCTCAGCATTGCTTCCCACTGCTGCTGACATTTAGGACTGAAAGGCTGCAGCCACTGTGGTCGATAAACATCTGTCCACCCAGCCTTTCTTTCTCATTTGATGGGCATGTTTCTCATTTATATGAAGTTACATGCACAATTTTGTACAGATAAGTTGTACAATGTTGAAGAAAAAATAACAAGGAGAAGAGCAAGAGAAGAAAGAAAAAGAATTATCTATACTCCTACCACCCAGGTTTTTGTATATTTTCTAATCTTCTTCTGGGCATAGATTTTTATCTTCCCAAGGAATATTACATGTTTCCATTAAGTGATAATACCACAGTTTAAACCTCCTTTTTCCACTTGATACTATTTTCAAGCATTTTCCACGATAGCATCTATGCATCACAAATATATTTCATGTTAATATTTTATACCCTATCAAGTGCATATGCTAACGGTTGCATCTGGTGGACTGGTGAAGTCAGCTTTGGCATATGCACTTGCTGGGGTAAAAATATTGATCATTTAGGTTATCACTGTATTGATCATTTAGGTTATTTCCAGGTTTTCACCATTTTCACTAGCACTGCAATGAGCATCTTTGTGCGTTAAGCTTTTAATATCTTAGAGGTATTTATTTTGGATCCCATAAATTGAATCACTGGGTCAAATGGTGTCAACATTTCTAATCTATGTGTTTGCATAATATTTTCCAAAAGACAATGATTTCAACCACTTATTCATTACACCATCATTAATTCATCTAAAAAATTTTATTGAACATCTACTGTGTGTAGGCACTACCTAGATGCTGCGAATAATAGTGAAAAGTGCAGATGTGAAGCTTCCTTTCCTTCCAGCCACATACAAGAGCCTCCTCCTTCTGCACCTGGGACCAACCCATCCCTTAAAGAGCTGAGTAAACAGCAGCAGCTGTTGAATATGCATTGATAGTTTCTATATGCACATGATTTATGAAGTTTATTGCATGCAATCAAAGGTATATGACAACCCTGTAGGGAGGCATTTCCATAAACCTCCTTTACAGTTAAGGAAAATGGGATGTAGAGGAGTTGAGTGGCATACCCAAAGTCAGATTTATAATAAAGAGTGGGTTGAAGGGGCCAGGGGCAGTGGTTCATGCCTGTAATCCCAGCACTTTGGGAGGCCAAGGCGGGTGGATCACCTGAGGTCAGGAGTTTGCAGCCAGCCTGACTAACATGGTGAAACCCTGTCTCTACTAAATACAAAAAAAATTAGCCAGGTGTGGTGGCACATGCCTGTAATCCCAGCTACTTGAGAGGCTGAGACAGGAGAATCGCTTGTACCTGGGAGGCCTAGGCTGCAGTAAGCCGAGATTACACCATTGCACTCCAGCCCGGGCAACAAGAGTGAAACTCCTTCTCAAAAAAAAAAAAAAAAAAAAAAAAAGCGGGGTTGGGGGGGCTTGAAGGAGATCTGTTGGTTCTCCAATCTCGTTCCTTTAGCTAATATGCTATACTGCTACCTATTGTACATCTTTATGTCTTCAGGATCTACCCTTAATTTCCCATTTCTCAATGAATGCTAGTAAATGGTCACTTCTTAGCTCCTGTGCTCCTGGGATCTTCTCTTCCTCTCCAATCTAACTTCCATAACATGGCCTTCCCTTCAACCAATCTCTTGCAAACCTCCCAAATCCCTTGCTTATTGTTCCACATCAACCACCCAGAAAATCTTAACCCTGGACACATCCAGACTAATGTGAAACTCTACACGCCCATCATTCCAGATGTCCTTCCATTCACTGGACTCACCATCTTCTCTCCCGTCTCTGCATCGTGGGATGTGGTGTTCCCCTGCCTGTCACTCTTTTCTCCACCTCTTTGTCTGGCTAGCTCTTACTTATTCTTTACCCCTGGGCAGACATATCACTTCCTCCAGGAAACCCCAGACCAGATAAAGGGCCTCTCCTATGTGTTCCCACAGGCACCAAAACACTTATTACACTCACTGGTCATTTCTTGTCTAATGTCTTCTTTGCTATAGTATAAGCTCAGCAGGGACAGGGACCCTCGAAATCTTGTTTACCCCTATGCCCCACACCTCGTCCAGTACCTGAAAAGTAGCAGATCTCTGTCACTGTTTATAAGTTGAATGAACATTCTGTGACGTTGGTGCAAAAGTAATTGTGGTTTTCACCATTACTATTAATGACAAAATTTAAAAATTGCCATTACATTTTTTTTCTTTTTTTTTTTTTTTTTTTTTTGAGAGGGAGACTCACTCTATCACCCAGGCTGGAGTGCAATGGCATGATCTCAGCTCACTGCAAGCTCTGCCTCACGGGTTCACGCCATTCTCCTGCCTCAGCCTCCTGACTAGCTGTGACTACAGGCATCTGCCACCACACCTGGCTATTTTTTTTTGTATTTTTAGTGGAGACAGGGTTTCCCCGTGTTAGCCAGGATGGTCTCGATCTCCTGACCTCGTGATCCACCCACTTCAGCCTCCCAAAGTGCTGGGATTACGGGCGTGAGCCACCGCGCCCAGCCGAAAATTGCCATTACTTTTAATGGCAAAACCCACAATTACTTTTGCACCAACCTGATAAAAATGTCCCTGCATGGAGATGTCTAACAATGACAATGAAGAATTTCTTCTACTTTACATTTTAAATGTCTCAGGTAGTTTTCTTCTTCATGGGTTTAACATTGTATACCAGGGTATACATACCCCATTTTTTTCAATCTTCAGACATTAATTGTATATAAAATTAATATGGAAATCTAGGTTGATTAACCTGTTTTGTTTGGACAAAAGCATTTATCTGTTAAATAAGAAACTTCATCAAATGTTAAAATGTTTCAGTGAGACTGCCTGGTGTGTTTTCTCATTTTTAAAAAAGTTTAATTGTAGTAAAATATGTATAACATAAAATTTACCATCTTACCCATTTTAAGTGTACAATTGAGTAGCATTAAGTACACTCATAATGTTGTGCAACCAGTCTCCAGAACTCTTGTCTTTTCTCATTTTTTTAGTAAACCTCAAGCACTAGAAATATTTATATAAATGTCTCTTCTTTAGAACAGGGGTTTCCAGAGTTTTCAAATAAAGAAACATCCTTTAATATTTAAAAAAAAAAAAGTCCATGGAGCCCTATAGGATAACAGCCATGTTGCTAATATCTGTGAGAAAATAAACTGTGGAAATATTTTTTTTTTCTGAGACGGAGTCTCACTCTGTTGCTCAGGCTGGGACTACAGGTGTGCGCCATCATACCAGGCTAATTTTTGTTTTGTTTTGTAGACAGAGTTTTGCTCTTGTTGCCCAGTCTGGAGTGCTGTAGGGCAATCTCAACTCACTGCAGCCTCCAGGGTTCAAGTGAGTTTCCTGCCTCAGCCTCCCAAGTAGCTGGCATTACAGGTGCTCGCCACCACGCTCAGCTAATTTTTGTATTTTTAGTAGAGACGGGGTTTCATCATGTTGGCCAGGCTGGTCTTGAACTCCTGACCTCAAGTGATTTGCCCACCTCAGCCTCCCAAAATGCTGGGATTACAGGCATGAACCACGGTGCCTAGCCAATAAATTATTAATCCAATAAAACTTTCAGATTTGCATTTTACTAATCAACAAAACCTGAAACAAAAGCCTGCAATGAAAAACCTGCAACAAAATCTGCATGTAGGTATAACAGACAAGGCTTGGATTTTCTGTCTATTTCACAATGACACTCATTAATCCACAATATAGTAGGGGCAGGCTTCTGGCAGCCACAGATCACCAGACCAAGAGAGGTCACCTAATTCAATTGAACTAATCAATTCCTTCATCAAGAATTTGAAATTGGTAGAAAGACAGAGGCGGATATTGATGGATGGGTTGATGGATTCGGTGTTTCTATGAACTAAACCTGAAAGATAAATTCAGAAATTGTGGGTGGTCATATTCAACAGCTCATCAGCACCATAATTCTTTGGAGGGGTCTATTATCCCCATGTTACAGATGGGAACACAGAGGCACGGAGAAATTTTGAGCCTTGAACTTGGACATCAGCTATTTCTCAATATGGCCTCCCATTCAGCGCGGCACTCTTGAAATGGGGCTGTCATTGCAAGTTTACCTGTCTGTCTTTCCATTAAGTTATGAGCTCTGTAAGATCTCGGACAGTATCCTGTTCAATGGCTGCCCAATGAATGTTGATTAAGTAAATAAATGAAATTATATTTTGTACTGTATGCAGTAGCAAAAAATAATATAAACAATTATTGACAAGAAACCTAACCAACTTGCTCAAGCATTGAAGAAATATGGTTAATATGCCTGAAAACTCAGATACTGTGTAGAGTTTAGCCTTCATTGTATGATTATTTGGAGAAGGAAAATGATCACTGTGTTTTGTGTCAGCTTAAACTAAGTGTGATTGATGATATAAAGCTACAACTGTTGTCTTTTAAGGCACTTCAAAGCAAAGTCAGGCTATAAGATGTTCTGGATATTATTATTCCAACACTGTCATTAACACTACTGCAAATGTAACTTCTAAGCTCATAAACTTTGTGTGTACCTGTCATTAAAGTCCTTGAGGAGCTATTACTTATCTATAGTTGGAAAATAAGAAGGGCTGTTAAGGTGAGATCCGAGAGGTCTGATTCAGTGATACTTTGGTCTTTGAGATTATTTTATAAGTAAATTTAATCTCCTTAAACACAGGTTTAAGTTATGTCCTATTTTAACACACTCATAATCCTAATGATTCTCAAAAGTTTGAGAATATAATTATTTCAGGACCTCAATTCCAACTCCATATGAAATATTGATCTTTAAAAGTCTGTCAGAATTGACAGCCTTCACAGCCTGAAAAGATAAATGAAAAAAATTATTTGATAAGGCCAGGGAGAAATTTCTTCCCTCGTATTACTGATAGATGTCCCAATCTGTCTTCAGATCAAGCAGACAAATTTCAAATTTATTCATAGAACACATTTCACACCTCCTCTGTGTCATAAGTTTAATATGTTTCCTACACCATATTGTATCAAAATGCATAACTGAAATTGGTTCTGTCATAAATTGTTACAAAATGAAATTCTGAAATCAGATTAGTACTTATTTAGGAACTGTGCATACTGAAAGAGGTTGAAAGATTTTCATTTATTGTTACAATTACTTTGCAAGGAAATAAGTTACTATCATACTATTTTTCAGTGTTAAAGTTCCTTCCTTTCAAAAAATTTTGCCAATGAGCAGTGGCTCACACCTCTAATCCCAGCACTTTGGGAGGCTGAGGCAGGCAGATCACTTGAGGCCAGGCGTTCAAGACCAGCCCGGCCAACATGGCAAAACCCTGTCTCTATTAAAAATACAAAATTAGCCAGGCATGATGGCGCATGACTGTAGTCCCAACTACTTGGGAGGCTGAGGCAGGAGAATCACTTGAACCCAGGAGGTGGAGGCTGCAGTGAGCTGACATTATGCCACTGCACTCCAGCCCGGGAAATAGAGCAAGACTCCATCTCAAAAAAAAAAAAAAAAAAGATTTTGATACCACCTCCACTCCCCTTTAAAAGCTCACTACGAGTTAACACAATGTATTTGGTCCATAATTCATTTGCTTTTTATTATTGGATCATGCTTTCAGTATTCTCTGAAGTTTAATTACAAAATTATTTCAATGCAATTCAGGATGTTGGCAAATGTGTCAAAATCATTTTCATTTGAAAACATACAGTATTGTTATTTTAAATGTACCACCTATATTATTTCCAAGACATTCAGTTCTTTGTATGTAGAGATGGCACTGCTGATCCCTTATCAGCGGGAAAATCACTACATTGTACTGCTAGCAGTGAAAACTATCTGTAGTTAGACATCCTTGCTTCCTCAAAAATCCTGCTTTTATTAGAGATGTTCAAGGAGCATAGCTTTCTCTCAGCAATGTTAACTGGACCGCGTAGTAACTAAATTAGTCCTGGAGGTCATGTTAATGCAATGCTAATCACCTAAGTTATCAAACTGAGACACTTTCCATTTTGGGCAGTACTCCCTCAGGTACAACCAACAGACACTCAGTTAAACTGGCTTAGTCAAAATAGAGAAATGATTGGCTCTTGAAACAATTATAAAGTCCAGGAGTATGACCAGCTTCAGACACAACAAATTCAGTGGCTCCCAACAGAACGCAGGACCTGGGACCTCACACTGTGTCTCTCTCCACTGAGCTTCTCTAGGCTGGCTTCATTTGCATATTATTCACAATATGGTACCCTTCAGGCTTACCTTGGCTAGTTTGCAACCCCAGTAGAAACAGTGTCTCCAGTTCCTGGGCAGGACACTTGCAAGGCCATCTTTCAATTAATTACTGTGTCCAGGAACAAGCAACAGTAATGCCCACCCCTAACTTCAGCACATGAGGTTCATCTTTCCTGAACCTCATGAATTGAGATGGGAAGAAGGGTTGTTTCCTCAAAGGAAAAATCTGCGAGCTGGTCCAGAAGAAAGGGGAATAGTGCCAGGCAGGCCAAAACAACAGATGCTGTTTTCCATGGATAGGCAGCCCTGTGAGACTCAGAGGAAGTTTTCCCTTCCTGAAACCTTCAGTGACCTCCAAAATGAAACATAACAAGGTTCCCCAGCAGCAGAAAGAGCACTTGGCTTCCTGCGTGAGGTCAAGGGGTCTCACTCCAGTCCTGCCATTACTTAGGAATGACTTTGAGCTGACTGTTCCAGACCTATTTCCTCACCATTTTAAAAAGCTCTCTGGACCAGTCCCCACCCAGAAGAGTCTTCAACAGTGATCCTCTGCCTGAAATGCCCGGCCTAAGGTTTTCCAGACTTAATGCACACAGAATCCACTGATTTATCCCCCGAAAACTCATCGAGATGGCTCTCAGACCCAAGCTCAACATACGTCCCAGCCCCATTCTCTCTCTCACTCTCTCACACATATACACAAGCACAGCCTACACCTGTTCCTCCTTCTCCTTTTGTGTTTCATACCACAGAACCACAGTAGGTGACCTCACATCCTAGCCAAAGCCAGGAGCCAGAAATTTTCTAAAATAACCACCAGATGTCAGCCTACACATATGTCCCCTTCCCTCAAAAAGACTCTCAGGTCTAAGGTCTACCTGGACCCAGGGAATCTCACCCTAGAGTCCGTGGGTGGGTTCCATTCAGATCCATGGGCCTCCTGAAATGATATATCAAGTTGTGTGGATGTGCACATGGGTGCATGTATTGGACATTTTCCCAAAAATAAACTTTTTAGTTCTTATCAAAATTTAAAAGAATATCCATCCCTGTGTCTCCCTTTAAAAAAACCTCAAGAACCACCATTTAGCCCAGCACTAAAATGTCCCATGCCTCTCCTCACTTCGCTAATGATGCGCAAACACTCAGCACCTTCAGGTGGCTTTTAAACATGGCCTCAAATTCTCCAATACCCTCCCTGATGAGAGCTGGGGTCTACAGTCCGTGTTCTAGAATCTGGGTGGATGTGTGACTGTAGAAGCCAGAAAAGAACAGGGAACGGGACCCTGGGTAGCTTAGGAGTCCGGCCAGCTTACAAAGCCATGCAGCTTCCACCTGGTCACCACAACAGTATCATCTTTGGGAGCCCTGAGCTACCGGTATGAACTCTAACTACCTGCAGCCTCCATGCTTGAGAGGCTATGGTGGGTCAACAGTCCCCATGGAGCCCAGCCTCCCAGCCATTGCCATCATCACTAGGCATGTGAGTGAAGCCACCCTGGCCCCTCCAGACCAGCCCCTCTGGCTGCTGATCATTACTGAGGGACCCTGTCAACAACCATGTGGAGAAAATAATCATCTAGATGAGCCCTGCCCAAATCTGTGACTCACAGAATCATGAGATAGAATAAAACGGTTGTTGATAAAGCCATTAGTGTTAATGTGGCTTGTTATATTGCAGTAGATGACCAGAACGTCCCCAGACCTCTTCCCCAGTTCAAATGCCATGTGGCTGCCTAGAAAAGATAGGTGGATGAGGCAACCTTGTTGAACTAAAGATTTCAAGATGATCTGTGGCAGTAAGTGAAGTGCCCAGGGTAGGAGCTGGGGCTAAACATGCAAGTTCCTGCCCAGCAATTAAAAACAACTGGAGGCTTCTTAGAACTCAGCTCTGGCCAGGCGCGGTGTCACGCCTGTAATCCCAGCACTTTGGGAGGCCAAAGTAGGTGGATCACAAGGTCAGGAGTTCGAGACCAGCCTGACCAACATGGTGAAGGCCTGTCTCTACTAAAAATACAAAAATTAGCCGGGCGTGGTGGTGCACACCTGTAATCCCAGCTACTCAGGAGGCTGAGGCAGGAAAATCGCTTAAACCTGGGAGGCAGAGGTTGCAGTGAGCCAAGATCATGCCACTGCACTCCAGCTTGGGTGACAGAGCGAAACTCCGTCTCAAAAAAAAAAAAAAAAGAACTCAGCTCTCTGTAGGGGATAGATCATGTCCAGAGAGAAAAAGAAAGCAGCCTCGGTCCAAATCAGGGCACATGCAGATCAGCAGGGTATTGAAACCAGTCAGATACGGCTTAGTTTCTGAATATCTAAATGATAATCCTAATGAATTATCTTGAGCACTGTGACAGGCAGAATAATGATCTTCCCAAAGATGTCCACATCCTAATCCCCAGAACCTGGAAATATGTCAGGTAACATGGCATTAGTCCATTTTCACATTGCTATAAAGATACTACCCAAGACTGGGTAATTTATAAAGGAAAGAGGTTCAATTGACTCACAGTTCCACAGGGCTGGGGAGGCCTCAGGAAACTTACAATCATGGCAAAAGGCGAAGGGGAAGCAAGGCATCTTCTTCACAGGGTGGCAGGAGAGAGCAGTGCAAACAGGGGAAATGCCAGACACTTATAAAACCATCAGATCTCCTGAGCACTCACTCACTATCACGAGAACAGCATGGGCGAAACCACCCCCCCATGATGCAATCACCTCCCTCCCTCCACACGTGGGGATTACAGTTGGAGATGAGATTTGGCTGGGGAGACAGAGCTAAACCATATCACATGGTAAACGAGAATTAAGTTGCAGCTGGAAGTAAGGTTGCTAATCAGCTCACTTTAAAGTAGATTATCCTAAATTATCTGAGTGAGCCCAATGTAATCCATTTACAAGCAGACAAGGAAGCAGCAGAGAGTCAGAGGAGGATGTGACCAGAGAAGAAAGTCAGAGAGAGGTGATGTTGCTGGCTGTGAAGATGGAGGAGGGGCCACAAACCAAGGAGAGTGAGCAGCCTCTAGAAGCTGGAAAAGGCAAGGAAACTGATTCACTTCTGGACTTTCCAGAAGAGAACACAGCCCTGCCAACACATGAATTTGAGCCAAGTGAAGACTTCTAACTAAGCCAAGCGTGAGACTTCTAAATTACAGAAATATAAGGCAATAAATTTGTGTTGTTTCAAGCAACTGTGTAATAATTTGTTACAGCAGCAATAGAAATTATTACAAGCAACTACTATGTTATAGATGTTATATTAGGAGCAAAGAATCTATGAGTATACTGCCTTATTGAGTCCTTGCAAAGAAGTATTGCTATCACTGCTTTTTAGATGCCAAACCAAGGTTCAGAGCAGATAAGCAATGGACGAAAAGTCCTGTATTAGTCCGTTCTCCCATTGCTATAAAGAAATACCTGAGACTGGGTAATTTATAAAGAAAAGAGGTTTAATTGGCTCATGGTCTGCAGGCTGTACAGGAAGCATGGCAGCACCTGCTTCTAGGGAAGCCTCAGGGAGCTTTTGCTCATGGTAGAAGGCACAGTGGAGGCAAGCGTCTTACCTGACAAGAGCAGGACCAAGACAGCGGGGAAGGTGTTATGTACTTTGAA
The DNA here is from genome assembly GCF_000001405.40 of Homo sapiens. NCBI lineage: Eukaryota > Metazoa > Chordata > Mammalia > Primates > Hominidae > Homo > Homo sapiens. The sequence goes on from NC_000013.11 coordinate 97,852,303, forward strand.
AAACCAGATCTCGTGATAATTTACTGCCTCACTGTCATGAGAACAGCACTGGGGGGATGGTGCTAAACCATGAGAAACTGCCCCTGTGCCTCCAAAGCACTGAGCACCAGCAAATATTTAATGCTTAACAGACTGCCTGACTCATACTTGAATACTTGAAGAATCAAAGATGCATGGATGGATGGATGGGTGGGTGAAGGGGTAGATGAGTGGGTGGGTAGATGGGTGAATGGGTGGGTGTATGGATGGATGGATGGATGGATAGATGGTTGGTTGTGTGGATGGTTAGATGATTGGATGGAAAAATGGGTGGTTGGATGGATGGTTAGATTAATGGCTGGGTAGATGGAAGGATCAATAAATGCGTGGAAGTGTGGATGGGTGGATGGGTGGATGGATGGATGGATGGATGGATAGATGGATGGATGGATAGATGGTTGGGTACATGGATGGTTAGATGGTTGGATGGAAAAATGGGTGGATGGATAGATGGTTAGATGAATGGTTGGGTGGATGGGAGGATCGATTAATGAGTGGATGAATGGGTGGGTGGATAGATGGATGAGTGGATGGGATGCATAGATGGGTGGGTAGGTGGATACATGGTTTGATGGAAAAATGGGTGGGTGGGTGGGTAGATGAATGGATAGATGGGTGGGTAGATTGTTGGATGGATGCATAGGTGAATGGACGTGAGGGTAGGTAAGTAGATGGATGGGTGGATGGATGGATGGATGGATGGATGGACTGGTGGGTGGATGAGTGGGTGGATGGGTGAATGGGTGGAAAAATGAATGGGCAGTATAGTAGCCATTCAGAGACTGCTAAAGTGCTGGAAAGTTGACACAGAGCTACGTAACAGTCTTATTTGATATTTACTAATAATACAGTTCCATGGAGAAAAACATCAGCTTATTTGACTTAAATATGACATGTATTTGCAAATCTCATGAAGAGAAACTCACACTGCTTTTCAAAAAATGGTCCTGCCCTGCAGTGGTGCTGACATCAAGCAGTGTCCCAGAGAGGGGAGGAAGCAGACACTGGCCAGAGATCCATTATAAGGGCTCTTGGCTCATTAACTTTCTACTTCCATCAGTGGCCTTGTCACCTCAGTTAACCTTCTTTCCATCTCATTTCACTCCCCCTTCTCCCAGAAATCCATGATACTTCCATTTTCTCTTCCATTAGGGCACAATTAGGAAGGTGCTTGGCATGTAAGGAAGGCCCAATAGATATTTGGCAGTGTTTATTAATGAATCCCACTGTTCTTCTGACACATCTATCCCCTCTAGTCCTTCACCCACGCAGCTACCAAAAATATCAAAACAGCATGAGATGTCATATTTTAATGTGTAACACAAATGAAATGTGGCCTGCTTGCTACTGATTTAAGGTCTAGCTTAGTCCTGTGACTCATTGCAAGTCAAACAACAAAAATCCTTGAAGAGTAAATAGCAAAATTTCCTAAAAATTTCCATTAGACTCTCTCTCCCTAAAGACCCTAATCGTTGCTTTCTTTCTCCAAAAACAAGACAAGGGTGGGGCTTTCTGAACTGGCTCCGGACACCCTCCCTCCTGCTCATCCAGACTTTTCTCTCCTCTTGCTCACTTCCTGCCATTTCACATGCAATCGAATTTCAACTTCCCAAATATATTGTGAGTTCCCCAGATCTTCTCACTCCTTTTCCATGATCAGTGCAATTAAGACATAGAAATCAGAAGGTCGACATGTGAAAAAAAATGCTCAACACCATTAATTGTCAGGAAAATGCAAGTTAAAACCACAATGAGGTATTACCCCACACCTGTCAGTATGGCTGTTATAAAAAAAAAAAATGATAACAGGTGTTGGCAAGGATGTAGAGAAGAGGGAACCCTTGTACATTATTGGTGGGAACATAAATAGGTAAAGCCAGTACGGAAAACAATATGGAGGTTCCTCAAAAATTAAAAATAGAACTAGCATATGATCCAGCAGTCCCACTACTGGCTATATATACAAAAGATATGAAATCAGCATGTCAAAGAGTTATCTACATGCCTGTGTTTACTGCAGCATTACTCACAATAGCCAAAATAGGAAATCAACCTAAGTGTCCAGCAACAGATGAGTGGATAAAGAAAATATGGTGTAAATACACAATGGAATACTATTCAGCCACTAAAAAAAGGAAACCTTGTGTTTGCAACAACATGGATGAGCCTAGAGGACATAATATAATGTTAAATGAAATAAGCCAGGCACAGAAAGACAAACACCACATGATCTCACTTACATGTGGAGTGTTAAATGTCAAATCATATAGAAACAGAGAGTAAAATGGTGGCTACAGGGAAAGAGGAAGTAGAAACGGGAAGATGTTGGTTAAAGAGTATCAAGCTTTGGTTAGACCACAGGAATAAATTCTGGAGAGCTATTTTACAGCCTGGTGACTATAGTTAACAAATGTTAATAATAGCAATGTATGCTTGAAAATTGTGGCCCAGGTGCAGTGGCTCATATCTGTAATCCCAGCACTTTGGGAGGCCGAGGCAGGTGGATCACCTGAGGTCAGGAGTTCGAGACCATCCTGGCCAACATGGTGAAACCCCATCTCCACTAAAAATAGGAAAACTAGCCAGGAATGGTGGCAGGCACCTGTAGTCCCAGCTACTCGGGAGGCTGAGGCAGGAGAATTGTTTGAACCTGGGAGGCGGAGGTTGCAGTGAACCAAGATCGCGCCACTGCCCTCCAGCCTGGATGACAGAGGAGACTCCATCTCAAAAAAAAAAAAAAAAAGGCTAAAAGATTAGCTCTTAAATGCTCTCAACACAAAAGCGTGATAAGAATGTGAGGAGATGGATACGTTAATTAGTTTGATTTAGTCATTTCACAATGTATACCTATATCAAAACATTGAATGTTATACCATAAACATATACAATTTTCACTTGTCAATTATACCTTAATAAATCTGGAAAAAATTAAAATTTAGAAAAGAATATCTCACAATTATAATATTCTTTTAGATATGCTTTTCTGGAATCATTTCCTTTGTATGTTACGGATTAATGTATAATATATGAACATTACAGCAAGGTAATTCAATCTTTGCCTTCCGATCTTTGTGCTGTTGTTATCAATAATTTTATTTCCACATATGTTAGACATGGTTACTATCTTTGCTTTAATCAGTCAAATATATTTTAATAAAAGTTTAAGATGAGAAATAAAAACTAAAATAAAATAGAAGCCAGGGAAAGTCTTGGAATAATTGTTTTTAGTATCTGTCACATGTGATTTGTTGCAGTTAGATTTCATCAAAATGCATTGGCTTTATTTGGAGAAGGCCATGGCAATGTTGGAGCCCAAGCAGCATAGATAATGTGCGTATATTTGGCACTAGGGGGCGATATAGCATTGCTTTCAGCCCTTCACTGTCAGCGCACACGCAAAATAAATGAATTCCCGCTAAGGAAAATCATTCCCAACTTTTCTTCTGCATCTCAAGTCATTGGCTCTTACGTCACTTGGCAAAGCACTCTGAACAGCAGGCCTCGAAGGTCCATTCTTTAAGTTACTGATTTATCGATTTTGTTTGCTGGTGTTTTCACTTAATCCTTGGTTTGCTTTCACTGAGCTCTGAGAGTTTTTTTAAATTGGTCAGTCTTGCTAGAATTCCAAACATACAAACAAAAAAAAACTCTACTGTTTACAGTAATCTACCATGGATCTAGTGGTTGTCTGGATTCTGGCACAGGGACTGGCTCTGGGGGGCAGCTGAATTCTGATGGAAGAAAGCACTAATGCTAATGTGGAAGGCCTGCGCTTGGCTGAGTCCCAAAGGAAGCAATTCCAGGCCCTGACCCCAGGCTGGGCCCCTGTTTCTCGGTCACAAGGGAGGCCAGCTAAGACTTGTGCAACCCGGCTCGAAGGATGTCGAAGCACCCTCAATTTCATATGCAAATGAGAGCCAGTCCAAAAAAGGATTGCAGGGTTTCCCAGAAGGTCCAGCTCCTTGGAGGATTATGAAGCCGCCAGCTGATTTCACATTCCACCTGATTTACAGCATTAACTGCAGATTTTTTTTTAAATATCTAATACGATATGATGCCTACGTGTATCAAGATGGCTCTAAGGAGCTTTAATTTGCATTGGGTTTTTTGGTTTTGCTCAGTCATAGCATGTTCTAGGAGCTACTTGTATCAATATCAAGAGGGTAAGTCCCACCAGCACTCTCAGGAGGAGGCCTTCCTGTAGGTATTCAGGCCCTTGGAAGAAGGGCTGTTGGCCCTAGAATTTACCAAAGGGGCAGAACTCAGGCCCTCTGTATTCTGACGGTGAAGTTTGTGGTTCCCCAAGGAGGAGGAAGAGATGACACAGGTGCTCCCCAGGTGTCTCTTGCCTCCTGGAATGGCCGCCAGAAGAAGTGAAACAGCTGAGCTATGAAAGCTGTAAACTCAGGAGCACAAGGAGGGCAGGGGCTGGGTCCTCCCTCAGAGAACCACAGTAATGAGCACAGAACTCAGTCTGCACCAGGTCAGCATCTCTGTCAGATGGTGCTGGACCAGGCGTCCTCCCTACCAGGGCCACCACTTGGGATGTTGGACGTGAGGCTCACAGAAGCAAGTAGGAGCTGAGATCTTGCCCAGATTTCCTGTGCCACACAAAGAGTCCACAGGGCTGTGCATGCCCAGACGGGCATTCCTCCCTAACTTCTGGAAAGTCCCTGGGGGACTTAGAGGTGGCTCTGACATTGACACGGTGTGGCAAGGAGGAGCTGTGGCAACGGCGAACTGATTAAACTTTGGCTTCACCACCCAACTCCCTACCACCTCCCACCTTAGACACTATAACCCTCAAGTTTTTAAACAACTGGGGGAGCAGGTAGCCCTAAGAAGGAGATACCAGCCTTTCTGCTAGTCAAGAATGACTTCGGAGCTGGGTGTGGTGGTGTGGCCTGTAACCCCAGCCACTTGTGAGGCTAAGGCAGGAAGATTGCTCAAGCCTGGGCATTCGAGGCCAACCTGGGCAACATAGACAGACCTCGCCTCTAAAAAAAATTTTAATAATGATCTTGGGTTAGTTTTCATTTTTTAAGAGATGATGAGACCACGTGTGTGCTGCAAGTTTGTGAAATAACGCATCAATAGCGCTCAGAGTAACACTCAGACGGCAAAGAACTTATCATAATGCCTTTTTTAATGCCAAAATGAGTCTTAGAGAGATTAAGTGACTGTTGCACAGATAATAAATGAAAGAAATGTGAGTACCCAGTTTCTCTCCCCAGTACTCTAATTGATAGATTTTGGAGCAATAGTCCTGCTTTAATAATTAATTCATATTGCTGCATGGATGAGCTATGGGATATTATAGCCAATTCTACCATAAAATATATCATTAAAAAATTTTTTGCAAACTAATTCTTAATTTGGCTAGCTGAGACCTTGGACTAATTCCTGGAACCAAACCCTCTCATTTCTACATCTGCATGGTGACAGGATTGACAGGCGATTTCCAAGGGCCCTTTCAACTGCAGAATTCCCATAGTCTGAGCAAAAATAAGCATTGACTATACAACAGAAATTAAAATAGCTTTACAACAACACTGCCAGGAATTATTCTCCAGATCGTGCAGATGAGAAAACCAAGGCTTTGAGAGATGAAGCCTCTTGGACAGGATCACTCAGCTGGTCAGTAGAGAGGCAGGATCATGAGCATGTGGCTGCGAAGCCCACACTCCATTGACACCCTACATGACCTGCATCAAACAAAATACTCTTCCCTTGGTTTCCCCGCCAATGTTACACACTATGATTCGGTCCGACATACTCTGGGAGAACTCACCACCAGTAGGAGTATGTTCAAACATGGTCACTCAAGGAATGGGGAGTTTGGTGGGGAATTGAGAGTACAGACGATGTGTACAGTGAGAGGCATTATTTGACCAGCAGGCCTGGAAGGAGGAAGGGCTGCCATGGAATCAGGGGATTCAGTCCCCTGGAAGGTTCTGAAAGGCAGCTCAGAGCAGAGGCAGTAAACTAGTGGCCTGCAAGCCATATGTGGCCACAGCTGTGTTTTTGGTGAGCAAAGCACATTTTTAAATTGAATGAGTTGCCAACATTTTTAGATTTTTTTTTTAATCCAGATTTGTAACCCAGGCGGTGCTGGAACTTAACAACAATAAGCTGGAGTAGAGGAGCCCCATCCCCCTGGAGCTCTGCATCTCTAAAGTCACCATCCTGTCTAGTTTTATTAATTTAAGTTAGCTGCCTCTTCAACCACTCCCCATAGGCAGTTGAGGTTAAGACCCTTGTTCTGGAGGCATTGAATTGGCGGGGAAGAGAGCAGCTGTAGCAAGTGGCGGGGGGTGGGGGGTAAATGTCAGAAAGGACCAAAGGATGCTGCTGAAGACAACTTCCCATAATTCAAAATTTTGCAAATGAAGACTGGCCAGATTCTGTGCAATTAAGAACCTGGCCCAGTCCAGGGAAGGGCGCCAGCCTGGCGTAAAGAAGTTTTGAACGTGATCCCGATGCGAGTGCTCACAGCAATGAGAATTAGCTCCAGAACCTCCCCTTCCGCTTCACCTGCTCATAGGTTGTTCTGCTCTCTGATATCCTATTCCCAATCCTTGCTTAATGTGTAGATTCTATCCTGCCCCATTCCTCCAACAAGACTCTCTAAAGTCCCAGTCTTGGGACTCATTCTTGGGTTCTAGCGTTCACTTCTTTTGTCTTGGAGTCTGGTGCCCTGGTTGTGTAAGTCACAGTACTGTGTCACTTTTAAAATTTCTCTGGATTGCAAATAGTTTGTTGGGTAAAGATTGTTGTCTGTCTCATTATTGCATTCTGAGGGGGAAGGGGGAATATCCCCTGAGGATTCAGAACCAACACTTGGACCTTACTCAAGCCCAATTATATATATGTATACGCGTATATGTGTGTATATATATGTTAGAGTATATATATACATATATAAACACACCTGTATACTCTAGATACCTTTAATCCAAGAAATTCAACAAATTAATAGAAAAGCTAGCCCCAATCTTATGATACCTCTGAGGCTCCAGGAAGAAGTATACATAAAACCTTTCCAAAGAGCATATCCCCCAACAAGACCGCACTGCAGTCCTAGATGTAAAATCCCACTGGAAAATCAGCTCTCAATTCAAGATTATAAAATTCACAAGAAAAAAAATGCACCAAGAACAAAAGTCTGCATATACAACAAATATCAAGATTAGATCCTCTAAAGTTTCATTTAACAGAGCCATCTGAGTATAAATAAATATGTTTAAGATTAATTTTAAAAATAGAATTAAAAAATTAAACACATAGATAAACATTCTGAAAAAAGAGCAAGTATATTTTAAGGGGGTCAAATAGAACTTTTAAATTTGTGAAAAAAGATTGTCATTGAAATAAAAAATTCAATTGATGGATTAAGCCACAAATTTGAGGTAGCTGAGTAGAAACCCAGTGAACATGAAGGAAGAGCTGAGGAATTTACACAGCATGAAGCACAGAGAATTAAAAGACAGAAAATACGAAAGAGAAGTTAAGCGATATGGAGGATAGGAAAGAAGGTCCAACATGCTTCTAATGAAAGTTCTAGCTGGAATGCATACAATGGAATACTATACTGCAATAAGAATGAACAAATTACAATACATACAGCATGGATGAATTTCACGAACATAATGTGGAGTGAAAGAGAATTAGAGTATGGCTTCATTTTTACACATTTGAAAAGCGGGTCACACTAATCTATGGTGAAAGAAGTGAAGATAGTGTTTACCCTTGATAAGAGGCAGACAGTGACCCAAAGGGGGCCTAAGGAGGCTTTGGGGGTGCTGGGGCTGTTCTGTTCCTGGGTCTTGGTGCTGGTTAAACAGGGATTTCTGTTTGTGAATATTCATCAGACTGAACACCTCTAATTTTTGTACTTTTTAATGTATTTTATGCTTCAATAAAACTTTCACTGAAGAGTAAAAAAGTTTGAGATAGAAAAGAGAAAACAGGACAGGGCTGAGAATGGGGGCTCACGCCTGTAATCCCAGCACTTTAGGAGGCCACAGCAGACAGATCACCTGAGGTCAGGAGCTTGAGACCAGCCTGATCAACATGGTGAAACCTCATCTCTGCTAAAACTACCAGCCTGACCAACATGGTGAAACCTCTTCTCTACTAAAAATACAAAAATTAGCCAGGCATGGTGGTGCATGCCTGTAATCCCAGCTACTTGGGAGGCTGAGGCAGGAGAATCTCTTGAACCCAGGAGGCAGAGGTTGCACTGAGCCAAGATGGCACCATTGCACTCCAGCCTGTGCAACAAGAGCAAAACTCCATCTCAAAAAAAAAAAAAAAAAAAAAAAGGAAAGAAAACAGGACAAAAACAACATTCTAAGACATAAGGCTGAGATTTTTCTGGAAATGACAAAATGCATGATTCTGTAGACTCAGGACAACAATGAATCTTTTGGAAAATAAATTAAAATAAATCCACATCTAGACATAGTGTGGTTTAACTGCAGCAAACAACAGAGCTTTAATGCCATCAGAAAAAAAAATGAATGAATGAAATATCATCTACAAAGAAATATCATCTACAAAGAAATCACAATAAGATTAATTTCAGACTGTCCAGGTGCAGTGGCTCCTACCCAGCACTTTGGGAGGTCAAGGTGGGAGGATCACTTGAGTCCAGGAGTTCAAGACAAGCCTGGGCAACATGGTGAAACACCATCTCTACAAAAATTGAAAAATTAAAAAAAAAAAATAGCCAGGTGTGATGGAACAAACCTGTGGTCCAGCTACTCAGGAGGCTGAGGTGAAAGGATCCCTTGAGTCCAGGAATTCAAGGCTGCAGTGAGCTATGATCATGCCACTACACTCCAGCCTGAGCGACAGAGCAAGACCCTCTCTTGGGGAAAAAAAAAATTAAAGATTAATTTCACACTTCACAACAGTAGCAAAAGAAACTAGAAGACTCTGAAATAATATTTTCAAAGTGCTTAAAGAAAATAATTGTCAATCTGGAATTCTGATCCAACTAAAATGTCATAAAAGAATGGAGACATAATAAAGACATTTGCAAACAAATCAAGACTAGATATACTTGAGGTAGAGGAAAATTGAACCCAAAAGTAAAGAGTAAGCTATAGGAAGCAATGTTGAGCAAAATATTGGGTAAACAAATAAGTAAATCTAAACATAATGGCTAATTTGAAGTCTGTAAAAACAAGGTAGGGAGATGTTATGAGCTGAACTGTATCCCCCAAAATTTCATACATTGAAATCCTAACCTCCAGGACCTCAGAATATGACCTAATTTGGAAATAGGGTCATTGCAGATGTAACAGTTCAGCTAAAATGAAGTCATTAGGTGAGCCCTAATCCAAACTGATTGGTGTCCTCATAAAAAGGGAAACTTTGGACACAGAGACACCCACACAAGGAGAATGTCATGTGAAGATAAAGGCAAAGATGGGAGCAATACATCTACAAGCCAAGATGGCCAGAAAACCACTAAGAGCTGGCGAGAGGCATGGGAAAGATTTCCTCTCACAGCCTTCAGGAGGAACAACCTGGTCTTGACCTCGGACTTCCATTCTCCAGAACCGTGAGACAAAACATTTCTGTTGTTTCAGCCACCCAGTATGTGACCTTTTTACAGCAGCCCCAGCTAACTAACACGGGGACTAAAATTTATGCTGGAGAACAATTGCATTTTAGACAGGGGTCTGGGGTGGGGGAATTAAAGGTAAAATGATCTTGTGTGTGTAGGAAAAACGTCAAGAGAGTGATTAACTTTGGTCTTCTTAATATCCAGAATGTGTGTTAAATTATAAGAGTAATCACTACCAAAAGAACAGAAATAAAATGTATAGTTTCTAAACGAGCAAAGAGGAAAGAAGAAATTTCTTAAAGCAGCAAAGAAAAAGTACAAAAAAAGATAGATGGTAGAAACAGACCTGTAAGAAATGTGTAATTAGAATACATGCAGACTGACTAAATTCTGCATTAAAAGAGTATCTCATTGATGGATGGATACATGGATGGAAGGAAGGAAGGAATGAGAGATGGAAGGAAGGAAGAAGAAAAGGATTTTTGTCATATGCTATTTTCAAGAGACACACCTATAAGAACTCACAGTGGTTAAAAATAAAGAGATTACTACTCAAATCCTAACAAAAATAAATTATTATAACTGTTCAGTGGGCAGAATAATGCCCCTCATCAAACATGTCCATATCCCAGTCTCCAGGATCTGTGACTATGTTAGGTTACATGGCAAAAAGGAACTAAGATTGCACACAGAATGAAGGCTGCTAACTTCCTGACCCTAAAATAGGGGGATTGCCCTGGTTATCAAGGTTGGCCAATGGAATCACAGAGTCCTGAAAAGCAGGAAAGGGCTATAGAAGGAAGTCTGTCTGAGTGTATTAGTCCGTTTTCACACTGCTGATAAAGACATACCCAAGACTGGATAGTTTACACAAGAAAGAGGTTTAATTGAATTTACAGTTCCACATGGCTGAGGAGGCCTCACAATCATAGCAGAAGGCAAGGAAGAGCAAGTCACATCTTACATGGTTGGCAGCACGCAAAGAGAGAATGAGGAAGGTGCAAAAGCGGAAACCCCTGATAAAACCATCAGATCTCATGACACTTATTCACTACCATGAGAACAGTATGGGGGAAACCACCCCCATGATTCAATTATCTCCCACTGGGTCCCTCCCACAACACATGGGAATTATAGGAATACAATTCAAGATAAGATTTTGGTGGGAACACAGAGCCAAACCATATCATTCCATCCCTGGCCCCTGCAAAATCTCATGTCCTCACATTTCAAAACCAATCATGCCTTCCCAACAGTCCCCCAAAAGTCTTAACTCATTTCAGCATTAACTCAAAAGTCCACAGTCCAAAGTCTCATCTGAGACAAGTCAAGTCCCTTCCACCTATGAGCCTGTAAAATCAAAAGCAAGCTAGTTATTTTCTAGATACAAATGGGGGTACAGACATTGGGTAAATACAACCATTCCAAATGGGATAAACTGGCCCAAACAAAGCAGCTACAGGCCCCAGGCAAGTCAGAAATCCAGTGGGGCAGCCAAATCCTATAGCTCCAAAATGATCTCCTTTGACTCCATGTCTCACATCCAGGTCACACTGATGCAAGAGTTGGGGTCCCATGGTCTTGGGCAGCTCTGCCCCTGTGGCTTTGCAAGGTACAGCCTCCCTCCTGGCTGCTTTCACGAGCTGGCGTTGAGTGTCTATGGCTTTTCCAGGCACTTGGTACAAGCTGTCAGTGGATCTACCATTCTGGGATGTGGGGGACAGTGGCCCTCTTCTCACAGCTCCACTAGGCAGTGCTCCAGTGGGAACTCTGTGTGGGGGCTCCGGCCCCACATTTCCCTTCTGCACTGCCCTAGCAGAGGTTCTCCATGAGGGCCCCTCCCCTGCAGCAAACTTTTGCCTGGGCATCCAGACATTTCCATACATCTTCTGAAATCTAGGTGGAGGTTCCCAAACCTCAATTCTTGACTTCTGTGCACCTACAGGCTCAACACCACGTGGAAACTGCCAAGGCTTAGGGGTTCCATCCTCTGAAGCAACAGCTCAAGCTGTACCTTGCCCCCTTTTAGTCACGGCTGCAGTGGCTGGGACCCAGGGCACCAAGTCCTTAGACTACACACAGCAGGGTGACCCTGGGACCAGCCCACAAAACCATTTTCTCCTAGGCCTCTGGGCCTGTGATGGGAGTGGCTGCCATGAAATCCCTCCCCCATGGTCTTGGGGATTCAGCTCCTCATTACTTATGCAAATTTCTGCAGCCAGCTTGAATTTCTCCTCAGAAATTGGTTTTTTTTTTCTATCACATTGTCAGACTGCAAATTTTCTGAACTTTTATGCTCTGCTTCCCTTATCAAACTGAATGCCTTTAACAGCCCCCAAGGCACCTCTTGAATGCTTTGCTGCTTAGAAATTTATTCTGCCAGATACCCTAAATCATCTCTCTCAAGTTCAAAGTTCCACAAATCTCTAGGGACCATGCAAATCTCTTGGAAGTTCCAAACTCCTACATTTTTCTCTCTTCTTCTGAGCCATCCAAACTATTCCAACCTCTGCCTGTTACCCAGCTCCAAAATCCCTTCCAAATTTTCAGGTATATTTTCAGTAGTGCCCCACTCTACTGGCACCAATTTACTGTATTAGTCTATTTTCACACTGCTGATAAAGACATACCCAAGATTGGGCAATTTGGAAAAGAAAGAGGTTTAATTGGACTTACAGTTCCACATGGCTGGGGAGGCCTCATAATCATGGCAGAAAGCAAGGAAGAGCAAGTAAGTCCCGTCTTACATGGATGGCAGCAGTCAAAGAGAGAATGAATGAGAAAAACCATCAGATCTCCAGAGATTTATTCACTACCACGAGAACAGTATGGGGGAAACCACCCCCATGATTCAATTATCTCCCACAGGGTCCCTCCCAGTGGGAATTATGGGAGTACAAGTCAAGATGAGATTTGGGTGGGGACAAAGCCAAACCATATCAGCAAGGAAGGTGTCCCTATGAGAGAAAGGCACAGAGGGATGCAACATTGTTAGTGTTGAGGATGGAGGAGAGGGCCATGAGCCAAGGAATGTAGGCGGCCTTTAGAAGTCAGAAAGGGCAAAGAAACAGATACACCCCTAGAGCCTTCAAAAATGAACACTTTTTTTTTTCTTGAGACAGAGTCTCACTCTGTGGCCCAGGCTGGAGTGCAGTGGCAAGATCTTGGCTCACAGCAAACTTCGCCTCCCAGGTTCAAGCAATTCTCCTGCCTCAGCCTCCTGAGTAGCTGAGACCACAGGCACCTGCCACCACGCCTGGCTAATTTTTGTATTTTTAGTAGAGACGGGCTTTCACCATGTTGGCCAGGCTGGTCTTGAACTCCTGACCTCAAGTGATCCTACCACCTCAGCCTCCTGAGTGGCTGGGACTATGGGTATTCATCACCACACCCAGCTAATTTAGCTAATTTTTTAATTTTTTGTAGAGACAGGGTCTTGCTATGTTGCCCAGGCTGGTTCCAACTCCTGGCCTCAAGTGCTTTTCCTGCCTTGGCCTCCTAAAGGGCTGGGATTACAGGTGTGAGCCACTATGCTCAGCCTGTGTCAGACTTCTAACATACAGAACTATAAGATAATAAGTTGTATTGTTTTAAGCCACTAGTTTCTGGTAATTTGTTGCAGTAACAGTAAAAAAACTAATCTAATTATATTAGCATAAATATATAATTAATACATTAATATAAAGTGATATATACTTAATAATCTACTGAATAATTAAGCATACACTGGTTAATACCTATCAGTAAGCTTGAACTTATAATGACTCTGAGGCTGCATGTTTTTAACAGCATTGCCTTAAAGTATGTAAAGCTAAAATAAAATAGTTACTAAAAGGAATTGAAAACTCAGCCATCATAGTAGGATAGCTTAATAAACCTTTCAGTAAATGATAGATTAAGCCGACAAAAAAAAAATAGGATATGGAAAATCTAAACACACAATTGTAACTTTAACAGTACAATCAGAAGCCATTGAAGATGTTTAATCTTTTTTAGTTTTAAACAAGAGGAAATAATGGAATCCTTGTTAAGTAATCCAGGAAAGTGTCATAATACAAAAGCAACATTTTAAGAAAAATTGGAATTTTTCTTAAATTTAAATGCCACATAGTAAGTATCTGTGAAGCTTCAAAATATAGAATCCTTGATTCCTTTTCTGTACTGTACAGACAATGCTGCCATGAAAATTCTGAAATATTCACAAGATAATATCACAGATGAAAGATTAGGTGATTGTAGTAAAAGTCTGAATTGGAACAACTGAAAAATTGTGAGTTTGGCTTAAATTAACAGGTCACAGTAGCTATGAAGAATGTTTGTTCACTTTGGGTCCAGGGCTCAGGTTACCTCCTGATCAGACTTGAAAACAGCATGAAAAATACCAAGAAATTCCATCGGGTTTTATTAATAACATAAGTAGGTCTCATATTTACAGGGAACCAAAAAACATTCAAGAGACAACAAAAAATTTGGCCTTGCTTCAAGTTGGGTAGAAATAACAGGAAATTAACCAAATTGGAACTGTCTGGTGAATGACCACTGAAAACTGATGGGTTTGTTCTAACAGTGCAGCCAGGTGAGACAAATGCGTTCCTACGGAAGTGGAGTCATCATTCCAAAGTGGATGATTCAGTTGGAAGCCACTGTCTTAGGTCTAGATGATTGCTTGGATTCATAAAAGAGGTAAATTACCCAAAAAAAGGTGAGCAATTTGCTTCATGTGAATTTCCTCATTCAGACCTCTTTCTCCTGGAATCGGTTTGAATGACACAGAGTGCCATCTGTCCCAAGAATACCCAATGCCTTTGTGAAAGCCGTCTTTTGAAATCATAAACTGAGACCACAGAGGCAGCTAGGTAGCCCAGAGACAGATTACCTTGCTCTCCCTTTCCCCTAACCCAATCTGAAGTTCTCTAGCTTCCAACCAAGCTGATAACCCAATATGCGTAACAAGAACTAACTCAATGTTCAAGAATTGCAATCAGGTGGCGGCTCACACCTGTGATGCCAGCACTTTGGGAGGCTGAGATAGGAGGATTCCTTGAGGCCAGGCATTTAAGACCAGTCTGGGCAATGTGGCAAGACCTGTCTCTACAAAATTTTTAAAAATTAGCACAGATGGGGTGGTGCACACCTCTAGTCCCAGCTACTCAGGAGGCTGAGGCAACATTGAGCTGTGAGCACACCATCGTATCCAGCCTGAGCAACAGAGTGAGTCTCCAAAAAAAAAAAAAAAAGAATTGCAAAGAATGACATTTGAAACACAGGCTGGGTTTTAATTTAGCTTTCCTTTATCACAAAATAATGAAAAGAGACAAGTCCTTGTAATGACTCTCGCCCCTTCCACACACACTCTTCCTTCAAGTCACCTCTCATTTAAGACAGGAAAGTCCGCACAGCAAGAGTCTCACCCATATTTGCATGGGGTTCCTAGTGATACAGACAGGAGACAGGGAAATACTGAGTAGAAGAGGGCAGTTCCCTGGCAACGGCCCCACCCTCAAGCCTGGAGACCCACAACCCTAAATGGGAAGAGGCATTCCTGTTTTGGCACCCAAATGTTGCCTTTTCCAAGACCACTCTGGCCCACCACACTCCTATCCTATGCCCATATAAATCCCAAGCTCCACTGGCAGAGCAGCAGAGGAGAGGAGTGTCTGAACGTTGAGAGGAGTTCAGCTGGAGATGGTCAGAGAGGAGATTGGCTGTGTGACGGCCAAACACCAGGGGAAGATCATCTTCCCACTCCATCCCCTTTCCAGCTCCCCATCCATCCCACTAAGAGCCACCTCCATCACTCAATAAAGTCCCTGCATTCACCATCCTGGAAGTCCATGTGACCTGATTCTACCTGGACACCAGACAAGGAGCCAGGTACCAGGAGGGCAGGGTGTAAAAGGTAGTCACCTGACTCTCCACTGAGCTGTTTTAACACTTAGCCATTCACAGACAGCAACTGCTAAAAGAGCATTAATTGTAACACACCCCTAGACGCTACAATGGGGCCAGAGGCCAAAAGCACTCGTCCCAGCTCCTGCACCTGCCCATGTGTGTGCTCCCCCTCCATAAGGGGTTTGAGTGCAAGAGCAAACAAGCCCACACCCCTGTCACAAGTCCCTCGAGGGGGTCAGGGAACTCTCCAATTTCAATAGTCCTGGAATCCCAGAGGCCTCTGCTGATAATGTCAGAGCACACATCCCAGTCTGTCTTCACATCCAGAGTTTAACTCTAGGAGGAAGGAAGTCCTGGAAGCTTGTCATGTTGGGAAACAAGGGGTGAAGGGAATAATAGACAGCAGTAGTGATTCCCAAGCTGAGGTAGCAGCTTTTACAAATCCCTGAGCCAGGAAGAAACTTAATCAGATTGGAGAATGATTAGTACCACAGTTCTGCATCGTTAGAGTACCATAGAATGGAGGAGTTGGCCATGGGACAAGGCAGAAGATTAAAGAAACAGGCAGAGGCTGCATTTTATTTTAAGGCAATTGTTCTCCCACTAATTTAATGTGCATCAGAATTACCTGGAGGACTTGTTAAAACTCAGGGGGCTGGGGCCTACTTTACTCCCAGAATCTGATTCAGTAGATCTAGACAGGGCATGAGAACAATATTTATAACAAGTTTTCGGGTGCTGCTGATGCCACTGGTCCAGGAAACACACTGAAAATCGCTGCTCTAAGGGGCTCCTACAGTATCCTGAAGGCTTGCAAATGGAAAGAAGTAGAGGCTCCAGGAGCTGTGATGGAAAGGTCTTGAAGAGCGTTTTGAATCTGTAGAGGGCAAGGTCATGACTGAGCACCAGGAGGGTGTGGGGGAGTTTGAGGAGGGCAAAGGCATTCGGAAACAGGTGCTGGGTTCATAGCAGGGGCGGCTGGGTAGTTTTAAGGTGTAGATGAAGTTGGAGATGATACATGTGTAATGGCAAACTGTTATCAGTTGTCTGACTTTCCCCAGCAGGAGTAGGAGGTGCAAGGGTAAGAAAGGAGAAGGGGAATAGTGGTTTAGATCCAGGATTAGAGTTTTCTTGATGGCTAAATATAAAGAAAGGGGAGATGGCCGGGCACAGTGGCTCACACCCGTAATCCCGCACTTTGGGAGGCCGAGGCAGGCGGATCACGAGGTCAAGAAATCGAAACTGTCCTGGCCAGGATGGTGAAACCCCATCTCTACTAAAAATACAAAAATTAGCCAGGCGTGGTGGCACGCGCCTGTAGTCCCAGCTACTCAGGAGGCTGAGGCAGGAGAATTGCTTGAACCCAAGAGGCGGAGGTTGCAGTGAGCCGAAATCACGCCACTACACTCCAGCCTGGGCGACAGAGTGAGACTCAGTCTCAAAAGAAGAAAAAAAAAGAAAGAAAGGGGAGACAAAACAAGTTGGAATGTTGGAGTGTGGTGTTTGAGCTACTTAGGAAAAGACATTACTACCGGTGGGTTCTGATAGACTGATGGGAAATTAGGGCCTGGAAGTGTAGATGAGATCAAAGAAAAGGTGTTGTGGTTGCAAAGGAGGGAGAGCATTGGAAGGATAAGTTGTGGATCAGAATGACAGGTTAGGACCAAGATTCCAGGGGTAGAGAAGTTTCAGGCCAGGCAGGGGCAAATGGATGGGCTCCCAGGGGTTTGCAAACCCCTTGCAACTTTTGGGGAAATATCAAGTGAGGTCTGAAAGATCATTTTCTCCCTGAGAGAGGATTCATAACCTCAAAAGTGTTTCTGAGCCATAACTGACTGAGACTCAGTGGCCGTGTGTATCCCCAGAAGAGGGTGACAGAACTGGAGTTGAGGTGAAGGCCCCCGGGTTTGAGGGGGCTGGAGAACCGTGGAGCAGGACTTCTGGTGGGCAGAAGACAATAAGACAAGAACCAAAGTCCACCTGCAAGTAGACACATTACAGAGATCAGAGAGGTGGTTGTGACAGTCACTGAGGATGGCAGTTATCAAAGTATCTTGCAAACAGTAAAGCATTTCTAAATCCATAAAGGTTATTTTTTATTATTATAATAACTTATTTTCTGACTACTAAAATAAAAATTCCCCCTTTGGAATTTTTTAAAATACAGAACTGTAAAAAAGATAACTAAAAATTATGTAACTGCTCAAATTAAGTGATCACTGTGAATTATAGCAGATTTAGGGTAAAATGACTATGAGTGATGACAGCCGTACTGCCTTTCACATGTGATGCTCGGACCTGGAAAACCAACAGCCAGACCAAAGCAGCTCAAAGTAGCTAAGCCCTCTGGGTTGGGCTCTCTGTTCATGCCCAGGAGCCACTCGAGCTCACTCCTCCAGCAAGAGAGGCTTCTGTTTGACAAGAACATTCATTTCTATTACAGAATTATAAATACAAAGAGTGAAAAAATAGTGCCTATCAGTCTCCAACACATCAGAGTTGTCAATTAAACAGATTTCATCCTAGTTCTGGTCTTTAATTGCTGACATTTTAAATTTTGCATTATATTTCTGTGCCCACCCCATAATCTCACTTATCGTTAAAAAATTAATTTATTATAAAAGTCCTGTTTTCCAGCACAATGGAGACTAGTCATTGGTTGGTTTGTTAAGGTGGAAAATAATTATCTTTTTTTTTTTTGAGATGGAGTTTCACTCTTGTTGCCCAAGCTGGAGTGCAATGGCACGATCTCAGCTCACTGCAATCTCTGCCTCCTGGGTTTAAGCAATTCTCCTGCCTCAGCCTCCCAAGTAGCTGGGGTTACAGGTGCCCACCACCACATCCAGCTAATTTCTTGTATTTTCAGTAAAGATGGAGCTTCACTATGTTGGCCAGGCTGGTCTCGAACTCCTGACCTCAGGTGATCTGCCCGGTTCAGCCTCCCAAAGTACTGGGATTACAGGAATGAGCCATCACACCTGGCTGGAAAATAATTTTTTTTTTTTTTTGAGATGGTATCTTGCTCTGTTGCCAGGCTAGAGTGCAGTGGCGCAATCTCAGCTCACTGCAACCTCCACCTCCCAGGTTCAAGCAGTTCTCCTGCCTCAGCCTCCCAAGTAGCTGGGATTACAGGCACCTGCCACCACACCCAGCTAATTTTTGTATTTTTAGGGGAGGCGGGATTTCACCATGTTGGCCAGGCTGGTCTCAAACTCCTGACCTCATGATCCGCCGCCTCAGCCTCCCAAAGTGCTGGGATTACAGGTGTGAGCCACCGCACCCAGCCTTGTCTGCCTATTAAGCTAGGTTACAGTTCGTCAACAAGGACTCAGATATAGAAGTACAGAGCCCTTCTCAGGCCATATTTAGTTTACTATAACATTTGTAAACCAGTTCTTAAAACAAAGGTGGTTTTAGCTGCTACTCTGTGAGTGGTGTCAAAGGCGTAAATCAATATGCATTAGCACACTATACTTATACTGCATTAAATCTTCCCCAAGGATTTTGAAAAAAAAAAAAAAGCATCAGTTGCAACAGAAATACTCTTGGGAAGATGAAAAATAGAGTGATGTGGATATTATCCTTGTTGATATACCTGAAATATATACCCAGAGCTTTTTGCAAATACAGCATACAATCATCTGAATTAAGTGGAAAAGAGCCAGATGAAATGAAGACCATTAAGTTTTTACAGCTAAAAAAACTCTCATTTCATCTTTATATTGTATAGGTTCATTAATATTTCAATCAATTACATAATTACAATAACAAATACGTCTGGCCTAAACATACAAAAACAAAACTGATTCTTGGTAAGCATATCATCTCTACTGATGGGGGCTTAGCGGTGCAGGCAAACCAGAGAGAACTCAGCATCATCTCATGAGGGAACAGCACACGGAGCAGCCATCTGTGTTTTAAAGGAAGAGTGAAGAACATTGTTTGATCCATGAGTCCCTTAAGTGGAAGTCAAGACCATTAAGGGGAGACAAGTTAAGAGAGCTATTATATATTCCAAAATTTTTTAAGGCCCGCTAGGCATTACACATCAATTAGAAGGGCTAAAATTTAAAACACTGGCAATACCAATTTCTGGTAAAGATGTGGAGCAACAGAAACCCTCATTCATTTCTGATGGGAACACAAAATGGTACAGACACCTTGAAAGACAGTTTGGCAGCTCTTCACAAAGTTAAATAGAGTCTTACAATTTGATCCATCATTGAGCTCCTTAAGTGTTTAATTTGAAGGTTTATGTTCAAACTAACTAATTTGAAGGTTTATGTTCACACCAAAACTTGCACGTGAATGTTTATAGCAGCTTTATTCATAATTGCCAAAAACTGGGAGCAACCAAGCTGTCCTTCAGTGGATGAATAGACAAACTGTGGTATCCATGCAATAAAATGCTATCCAGTAATTAAGAAGAAATGCACTATCAAGCCATGCCAAGAAATAGATGAATCTTAAATACATATGGCTAAGTAAAAGATGCCACCCTGAAAAGGCTGGATACGATGTGATTACACTTGTATGAAATTCTGGAAAAGGCAAAACTATAAAGACAGTAAACAAATTTATGGTTGCCTGCAGATTGGGGAGAGAGAAATGTTGAATAGGTGAAGTGTGTGGGAATATTTTAGTACAGTAAAACTATTCTATATAATATTGCAATGGTGGATACATAACACTATACATTTGTCAAAATCCATAGAACTTTACAACACAAGGAATGAACCTTAATGTAAACAAATTTTTAAAAAATCATATAGGGGAATCACAGGATGGTATGCACAATGTAACAAAACAATCCGACTCTATTACATATGTAGGAAACAACACAACTGAAAGGGTAGAGGGAAAGGGTATGTATTAGTTCATTCTCACACTGCTACAAAGAAATACCCAAGACTGGGTAGTTTATGAAGAAAAGAAGTTTAAGTGGTTCATGGTTCTGCAGGCTGTACAGGAAGCGTAGCAGCTTCTGCTTCTGGGGAGGCCTCAGGGAACTTGCAATCATGGCGGAAGGCAAAGGAGGAGCAAGACACTTCACATGGCTGGCACAGGACAAAGTTGGGGGGAAGGTGCCATATACTTTTAAGCAACCAGATCTCACAAGAACTCACTCATTATCATGAAAACAGCACCAAGGAGGATGGTATTAAACCACGCATGAGAAACTGCCCTCATGTTTCAATCACCTCCCACCAAGCCTCACCTCCAACATTGGGGATTACAATTTAACATGAGAGTGACGTGGGGACATAGATCCAAGCCACATCAGGTGCTGACCTAAGTAACTTTAGAAATGACCAGTCTATAAGACTAAAGGCAAATGGAACTGTATATAAGACTGTACTTTGGGTGATGATGTAGATTTACACAGGGGTACAGGTTAACAATTCCAAAACCACTATACCTGTATTCTGGAATTGAACAATTAAGAAAATGGATGACAGGCCAGACACAGTGGCTCACATCTATAATCCCAGAGCTTTGGGAGGCTGACGTGGGAGAATTGCTTGAGGCCAGGAGTTCAAGACTAGCCTGGGCAACATAATGAGATTTCGTCTCTACAAAACATTTTAAACCTAGCCAGACATGGTGGCACACACCTGTAGGCCCAGCTACTTGGGAGGCTGAGGGAGGAGGATCACTTGAGCCCAGGAGTTTGAGGTTACAGTGAACTATAATCACACCACTGCACTTCAGCCTGGACAACAGAGAGGGACCCTCTCTCTAAGAAAAGAGAAAGAAATGGATGGCAGATGGCAGATGCCAGATTTCTCACCATTGGAGCTGCAGTTTACAGATAAGCAAGGGGAGGTGGCTGGAATGATTCATGTGGTAATGGGTTAGAGCTAAAGACATCAGTATGAACTCATAATTAGCTTAATATAGGTACAGATGATTATATATAGAAATATTTCTAAATTTATAACCGCCTGATGGGTTCTCTTTGCCCACTGCCTAGACAGAGCCAATTTATCAAGACAGGAGAATTGAAATATAGAGTTTAATTCATTCAGTGCTGGCTGTACAGGAGACTGGAGTTTTATTGTAACTCAAATCAGTCTCCCAAAAAACTCAGGGATTGGGGTTTTTAAGACCAATTTGGTGGGTAGGGGGCAGTGAGTTGGGATTGCTGATTGGTTGGGCCGAAGCTGTCCTCTCGCACTGAGTCAGTTCCTGAGTTGGGGCCACAAGACCAGATGAGCCAGTTTATCCATCTGGGTGGCATCAGCCTATCCATCAAGTACAGGGTCTGCAGTCTGCAAAATATCTCAAGCACTGGTCTTAGGTTTTACAATAGTGATGTTATCCTCAGGAGCAATTTGGAGAGGGTCCGAATTTTTAGCCTCCAGCTGCATGACTCCTAAATCGTCATTTCTAATCTTGTGGCTAATTTGTTAGTCCTACAAAGCCAGTCTAGTCCTCAGGTAGGAAGGGGGTTTGTTCCGGGAAGGGCTGTTATTGTCTTTGTTTCAAAGTTAAACTATAAACTAAGTTCCTCCCAAAGTTAGTTCAGCCTATGCCCAGGAATGAACAAGGGCAGCTCAGGGGTTAGAGGCAAGATGGAGTTGGTTAGGTCAAATCTCTTACACTTGTCATAATTTTCTCAGAATTTTTCAATGGCAGTTTGAATGTCTATAAACACATGGCTTATATATCTGTAAACCAAAAAGTCTCTGAGACATGTCTCAATCAGTTTAGAAGTTTATTTTGCCAAGGATAAGGACACGCATCTGGGAGACTGGGTCTGTGACTTTCTCCAAAGATAATTTTGAAGGTTGTAATATTTAAAGGGAAAAGGGCAGATACTGGGGAAAGAGGAAGAAATTTTTTAAAGGTGTGGGTAGATAGGAGACAAAGGGTTGCATTCTTTTGAGCTTTTGATCAGCCTTTCACCAAATACAAAATTTACAGGTCGGGGGCAAGGTAGAGGTCTGGCTCTGTGAATCTGCATTTTTACATACGGTAAAATAAATAAACAATAGGGCCGAAGAAGCAATCAGATAGGCATTTGGTGAGCAGAGGGATGACTTTGAGTTCTGTCCTTTTCCCATACTTGTGAAGATGAGCTATCAACTTACGTTGCCAGGGTGAAATTCAACAGAATAAAACAGGAGGCAGGTTTGCCTGACGCAGTTCCCAGCTTGACTTTTCCCTTTGGCTTAGTGATTTGGGAGTCCCGAGATTTATTTTCCTTTCACGTATCTCTTTGCTCCGTCAGCTAAGAGGGCCAAGAAGTAATGACACCCCTGCAGCCACAAGCACACCTAATGCCCAGATCTTTGTCTCTAATGCCATTCTCCAATAAAAGGAACCAAGGATCCTTGGAGAAATGGCTGAATCTCGGACTAGAGCAGGAAACAATACAAGATAGGACTGTGTTGGAGGAAAAACCGGGTTCTTGTCACAAGATCAGGAAAGAATAGGCTCGCAGTCACTTTGAAGGGTGAGGGAGAATGGAAGTTATTGGGTGAAAAGGAAAAAGTTAGAACAACACAGCAAAGTGAGATGAGGTCCTGCTAACAGGCGGGCTCTCCACCTCACGGATTGAATCCCAGGTTACCACACAGGAACAGGAGGGGCCAGGCTCCTCCCCGCTGCAAACGGGGCAAACTTCCCCGGCTCCACCCCACTCTCCCAGTGCGCAGGCCAGTTGGAGATTCTCCGGGGTCCCCTTTGTATTTGGCTGTCTCAGCTGGAGCATCTTATAGTGCCTGAAATCAAGAAAGTGCTCAAAAAAGTAAAGAAAAATGTTAAAACTCCACAAGGATGTGGGTATATCAAAGGGGTACAGGAACAAAGTGAAAGAGTTCTCTGTGCCTGAAGGTAGAACGATTTGAGCAACAATATTAAGTAGTATTAGATTATAACACAAAACACAAAATAAGTATCCACAAGTCTATAATGGCATAAATAAGTGACTGAATAAATAAATAAATGGGGAGAAGAGACAAGTCTCCTGTGCAGAATTCCATTAATACATGTACATACTCTGCCCAGAATCCCAGTTCTACAAAATACCTGAGGAGTACTTCTCAAAATCGTCAAGGTCAACAAAAACAAGTGATACAGGGGGTAGAAAGAAATTATTTAGGCAGATAGTAGGGCAAAAGAGTCCTCGGCAGAGCTTCCCTTCTAACAAAAAGCAGCCCAAGAAATTATTTTTTTCCTAAGAAAGAGCAGCCTGAAAAATCGAGCTGCAAACATAGATAAGCAAGCTGGATGCCAGCATTCACAGGAGAATGCCAGCAGCTGTGCCAATAGAAAACAGCTACCTGGGAGCCAGGAGTGTCCAACATGGAGGCTCCGTCTTCCATTTGTTTGTTACCATGTGTACGGTAATAAAAAAATGGCGCAACTCAGGCAGAGAACCTACCTCCATAATAAAAGATTAGAGTGGGGGCTACCAGATATTCACGCCCTATGCAAATGGCACACCTGGTCTAACCAGTCTTCCTCCTTACCAGCTCATCTATAAAACCCCCGGCATTTCACCACAGATCAAGCAACCCGTTTTCCAGCACCCCACTCTGCAGAAGAGAGCTCTTCTCTTTCTTTCGCTTATGAAACCTCTGCTATCAACCTCACCCTTTGTGTGTGCCTGCCCTCGTTCTCCATGGACATGAGACAATGAACCTCGGGTGCTATTCCAGACAGTGAGGCCATTTCAAAAGGAAAATCTGAGAAACTGTCACAGCCAAGAAGAGCCTAAGAGGATATGATGACTAAAAGTAATACGGGATTCTGGGTGAGACCATAGAACAGAAAAAGAACATTAGGTAAAAATGAAGGAAATATGAATAGAGTATGAATTTTAGTTAATAACCATATATCGATATTGCTTCGCTAATTACGACAGATGTGCCACACGAAATGTAAGATGTTAGTCATGGAGGAAGCTTGGGGTAGGATATATAGGAACTCTGTACTATATCTGTAATTTTTCTGTAAATGTAAAACTCTTCTAAAATAAATGTGTATTTTTTCAAAGTAAGCTAGGTTAGAAAAGTCACTCATTAGCTGAGTGACTTTTTTCTGTAAATGTAAGAGAGTAATTTTTCTGTAAATGTAAAACTCTTCTAAAATAAGTGTGTATTTTTTCAAAGTAAGCTAGGTTAGAAAAGTCACTCTAGATTTCATTAGAAAAGGAAATCTGCCTTTGGAGGAAATTATTACTTAACTATTACTATATACCAAACAATTAAAAATTTATTCCTAAATCTTAGCCCTATTCACAAAATTACAGCACAGCTGAATAGATAGGTCAAACCTCCTATTAACAACGCACTATTTAACATTTGCTAATTTGGAGAAGCTGGGAAAGAAATTGCATACTTTTAAGTGAAAATAAGACATTCACTAAAGGGTCTTAGCCAAAAGAAAAGATTTAAAATATTTAAAATATAGATGTAATTATAGTATAGAGTGCTATTTATATTTATTCATCAGAATTAAATAAGGTTTTAGGTGTCGCAGATAGCAAGGAAGAGTGATTAATGAGTCAATGAGAAGGACTCAGTATAAACTGTATTATTAAGAGTTTTGGCCAGGCACAGTGGCTTATGCCTGTAATCCCAGCACGTTGGGAGGCCGAGGTTGGTGGATCACGAGGTCAAGAGATTGAGACCATCCTGGCCAACATGGTGAAACCCTGTCTCTACTAAAAATACAAAAATTCACTGGGCATGGTGGCACGCACCTATGGTCCCACCTACTCCAGAGGCTGAGGCATGAGACTCGCTTGAACCCGAGAAGCAGAGATTGCAGTGAGCTGAGATCACGCCACTGCACTTCAGCCTGGGCAACAGAGGGAGACTCTGTTTCAAAAAAAAAAAAAAAAAAAAAGAGATTTTCATGATTTTTAAATCAAGTGAAAGAATGTATGTATATTTTACAGCAAAGACCCAGACTTGGCCACCCTTTTCCTTCCCTGGCATATGTAAACAAGACCAAATTGCCTACTTCAGCTATAGCGACATGTGCAAAACTCTGATGCTCCTACCTGATATCCTTGCTGAGACTATGAGACACTGCTTGGCCTTTTGTTTTAACATTGCATTGTGCGGATTTATTATAGGCTAGATCTTGGGTAGAACTGAAGCATTGGAATGATGCTGTACTAGGAGAGTCATCCTGTGGGAATAACTTTTAAGCGATGCCTATGTGTAAGGAGGTCTTTCAAAACCAAAAAATTGGCCAGGTTTGATGGCTCATGCCTGTAATCCCAGCACTTTGGGAGGCCAAGGCGGGCAGATCACCTGAGGAAGAGGTTGCAGTGAGCCGAGATCGCACCACTGCCCTCCAGCCTGGGCAACAAAATGAGACTATATCTCAAAAAAAAATTTTCTGTAGAGAATAGTTTGGTGGTCAAGTCCACTTAAGTGTAAATGGCTTACTGTAGTATTGCATCCTGATCCTAGACAACAGGGAAGTCACACCATTTTCTAGGTTAAAACAAGGCCCCTGGAGGGCATAGTCCTATTAGAACCACGCATTGTAAGTGAATGGTATTGACCCTGCTGACTACAGAACTGAACAAGAGAGAACCAGCCTTGCCCAAGCTACAGATTGGTGCTATTTCATCTGAAAAACTAGGAAAAGGAACCTGAGCTTCTGCTCTAGAAGAGAGGAGAGGGAGAGCAGGTCAGAATGACCCCACAGTTGCCTGGGATACCAAGGTTACCCAAGTGTCCTCACAGTTTATGAAAGAAAAATGCACGGAGTTTATGTCAACCATGACTAAGTAAACAGCTTTTGAAAAGGCAGGCAGGACATGGATAAGCTCAAGGAAGCAACCAGCAATACAAGGAGGCGGCAACCATGGAGAAGGGGTATACCATTGGCCGGCTAGATGAGAAGTAGCCATGTGGTGGTTACCTGTGGCAAAAGAACACCCACGATGCTTAGGGCTTACAAAGACTCTGGCTTGTGTGTTTTCTTTGTGAGTTGACTCTTATGTTCTAAACCATCCATAAGTAAACAGCTTCTCCTCACCACAAAGCTTGCATGTCTGCTGTTTCCAAGTTGAAGGAGTCATAAGACTCTCACACAAGCCATCCAAAAGCTGCTTCAAACTGCAAATGACTTTGAGTTCATGGAGGCAAGGATCCTTGCCACTAATTTCCCCAAACCGTAGCAAGAGCACTAGGTACCAGTTATGATCCACCATCTTAAGGGGCATGTCCTTTTAGACGAGATCCTTTTAAGCCAAAGTTCCATAAGAAGCAGGCAAAGGGCAGAATCTTTGGGGAGCATGCTGAATACAGCGCAAATGTCACCAGCGATCCAAGAATTCTCTGCAGCTGTTCAGCCTTTACAGACATGGGTCCTCTTGGATATTTCTGGGTCAGAATTAGCACCCATGATCCCTACAATCCCTTACATTGTTTGGCTGACATTCTTCCTGCCCTTTCTGAGAAAGTGTTTGACCTGCAAGTGTGGGACAGAAAGCCAAAGAGCTTCTTGATGTGTTAGTCCCCTAAATAGCTATGCTTTCCCTTTAGACTTGCAAAGTCACTGGGCTACACAGCAACGGTGGACCATAGTTGACCCTAATAAAGGAAATTACTGGACTAGGCTAAGCCTACTCCCTTAACTCTAGATCTAAAAATGCAATGGATGACATTACCATTTCCATACCTACAGTAGTCCTCAGCTCACAGTGAAAAGAGGGCTGAGCTGAGATTGGAGCACTTGGCTTCCTACCATTGCTTCTAACCTTGTAACCCTGGAAAAGTCATCTGAACTCTCTGAGCCTTCATTCTTGCTCTCTTTAAAACAGGGGAAGGCATGTATTTGCAGGGTGGAGCAGTCCCCTGGCTCCTCTAGCTTCACTCTCCACCTTTTGCGATCTACTTTCCGTCCTCGGAGGCTGACTTGTAGGAATGACATCACAGGGCTCTTTTGCCCTGTGGCTTCCAGTTTGCCATCAGGGACTCCCAAGAAGAGATTAGGAGGGAATCCCAAGAGTGAGGGTGGGGTACTCATCTGCCCCCTGCTCTGTTCCTGTGGGATCTCCTGGGAGTAGCAATGTCCCTCTCCTGAAGTTCCCTGCTCTCTCGAGGCAGCCCTGTCTACCCAGTCCTCCCCTTTCAGCTTCTGGTAATGGGTCCCTTGCCAGGCCCCTCAGCCCAGCAGGATAACAACTAGCCCTGGGTTATTATACCATCCTGTATGGTTCCCTATTCCTGCCTTTGTGGATGGTTTAGTAAGTTTAGACCTTCCTTAAAGTCCCTCAGTTTGAGAATGCAAACTGTTTCCTGCTGAGACCGTGACTAATACAATGAGCTAGATTTGAGGAATGCTGAGCGTCTTCGGGGGCCTTCTTGGATTCCATTTGCACTTTGATTTGAATTTTATGACTGCCAGATCTGATGGGAGATTGAAACCAGCTTCCATAGCTTCAATTATGAGTTTTGGATTTTTCACAATAGTTTTACTGTTCTCACTGACCGATGCTAACACAAATCAACAAAATACATTTCCACTTGCAAATACGCCTCATTGGAAAAATGCCACTTTATTTGTTTCATGTATCAGGATATCGTCTAAATTTTATTGAAGAAAAAAGGGAAGAGGGACTTTACTGCTTTAAAATGTTTGGTAACCGCAGGTTACCAAAACGCAGGTGGATGGCTTCTGGGATCCTTCCCAGATTCTAAGGCTCTAAAGCTCACATTGTGAGGACTTGGGAAATGCTTAGCCTATCTCAACTGTGCTTCCGGGCAATAAAACAGGGGGTGACACCCCCTATAGGTGAAAGTATAGGAATAATTCTGGGCTTCCTCCCACAGACCATACCCACCCTGCCCAAGGTGCCAGCCACTGGGGCCTGAAACCTGGCAAAGGTGATGGGGTGTAACAGTGTCTCACCCTCCTCCCCTATTCCCTCAGCCTGAGTGGTTCATTCTTCTCACTGATATCTCTCTTATGTAAACCAAAAATAAAATTCTAAGCCCCCCAACCATCTGAATGGACCCCTCCTCTCGGCCAAGGCCATTCCAAAATTAACCTGGAAAACCAGTTCAGGCCATGATGGGAAGGGGAAGTTGGACACACCTCATGATACCCTCCCTTTTGGGATTACTAACTCTTTAAGTCTGATAGAAACGTTTACACTCTATTCTCTCTGAAGCCTGCTCTACCTGGAGGCTTCATCTGCGTGACAAAACCTCAGTCTCCACAACCCCTTATCATAACCCAGGTATTTCTTTCTATTGATTCTGGGTCTTTAGATAATAACTCCTTCAACCAATTGCCAATCAGAAAATCTTTGAATCTGTCTATGGCCTGGAAGCCCCGACCCTTGCCAGTTGTCCCATGTTTGTAGATGAACCAATGTACATCTTACATGTACTGATTGATGCCTATGTCTCCCTAAAATGTATAAAACCAAGTTGTAGCCCAGCCACCTTTGGCACATGTTCTCAGGATCTCCTGAGGGCTGTGTCACAGGCCATTGGTCACTCATATTTGGCTCAGAATATATCTTTTCAAATATTTTACAGAGTTTGACTCTTTTGTTGACATTTAGTAACATAACATTACTCATAGCTGCCTACCATTTCCTGATAGCCTACTATGTGCCAAGCACTGTGCTTAATGCTTTATATATGTGACTGGTAACTGATAGACTGGTAGTTTCCCACGCTGTGATGCCATGAGCCCAATTACGCTGACCAGCAGAAGGTCCAGCCCCTGCCCATCTGATTCCCTCATATCCAGGAGGAATCTGTTCACTCACCCATGTCAGGAGGAGATTTTCAGGCTGTCCTGCCTGCTTCAGTCTCCTTACACCAAAACTCAGTCAAAATGAAATGGGAGAGTTCCCTGATGCCCTGGCAGGATGTGCCACAGGGGTGTGGCTTGTCTGTTCTGCCTCCACCGCTGCTCAAACCCCTTACAGGAGGGGGAGCATGCAGGTGGGCAGGTGCAGGAGCCAGGATGAGCACTTTTGAGCTCCAGCCGCACAGTGGTGTCTAGGGGTGTGTGCCTGTGACTTTGAAGCCCCGGTGGGCATGCTACAGTGCTCTTTTAGCTCTGCCATCTGCAGATAGCTTAAGTGTTAACCATCTCAGTGTCCTCTTGGCACCCATGTATCCACACACGTACCCAGGTTCTTGTCTGGTGTCCAGGAAGAATCAGGTCACACATGGACTTGAAGGATGGTGAATGCAGGGATTTTACTGGGTGACAGAGGTGGCACTCAGTGGGATGGATGGGGGCTGGAAAGGGGATGGAGTAGGAAGATGATCTTCCTTTGGAGTTCAGCTGTCCCGTGGCCGATCTACTCACTGACCGTCCCAAGCCAAACTCCTCTCAAAACTCAAACGCTCCTTTTCTTCTCTCCTTTTCTGGTGCGCCACTCTTCTGTTCCTCTGCTCTTCTGTTCATCTATCTGTCTGCTCATCAGCTTGTGGAGCCTAGGGTTTGGGGTTTATATGGGTACAGGATAGGGAGGTGTCATAGGCCAAAAATGCAACATTTGGGTGCAAAAACAGGAATGCCTGTTCCCATTTATTGCCACAGGTTTCCAGGCTTGGGGATGGGGCCTATGCCAGGGAACTGCCCTCTTCTGCCCAGTATTTCCCTGTCCCCTGTCCGTATCAAGAAGAATTTCACTCTAAGCTATACAAGGTCTTTCTTTAGGCAATTCCCCTGAGCCACTCCTCTAAGGCCAAAGTCTGTCTTCAGGAAGGCTAGGTAGGGACAAGCAGAAAATGGGACTGCCTCTCAAGGGACAAGGGCCATCTGATTCTTCTCTCTTCACTCACTCAAGGCCAAAGGCACCCACCACCACGATCTCCACAGCCCACTTCTTTCTACCCTGTTGGTAGTTTTATTTCAGGGCCCTCCTCACCCTGACCCTGCTCAGCGTCCTCCTGAACCTTCCTGAAGACTGTTCTGAGCTTCAAATCTTAGGGACAAGAGGTTAGAATCTTAGTCCCTTCTTTCTTAGAAAGTATAGAACTCCTCATACAAACTGTTGAAGGTTCACCCCAGTACTTTGCTTTTCAAACCCTATGAGGTGGGAAGTGATTTCCCTCCCCAACTTAACCCCAGTAGTAACTCAAGTCTTCACCAAAGTGACATTTGTGGTCTCTACCAAAAGTAGCTGGCCAATATTTTAGCACCCAATTCACCAAGCACTGCTGAGTGTGCATACCTGGTTTACTCACCTCTATCATTCGATGCTTACAGCTGAGAAAATCAAGACTCAGAGAAGTTAAATAACTTGCCCAAGATCTCTCAGCTAGATTTTGAAACTAAGTTAATTAAATTTCACAGCCCAAGCTTGATCCAGGTGGTAGCTCCATTCTCTACGCATCCCTTCTTTGTTTCTTTTAATAAGGTCACAACCGTTGAATAATCGTGATGATGGAGCTTCGGAGGCCGCAACTTAGGGTAGCCCTGGCCCTACACCCTGAAAAGGTTCATCTGCATTTTCTTTTTGTAGAGTGAAAGAAGATGCAAACAATGATTCCTATTTCAAATTTCTGATATGAAAAGAAATCTCTGGAATAAATCCTGCTGCTCTGGTTTTAAATTAATCTTGTATTGTCAGGAGACCATGAGTTTAAAACTGAGCACTTGGGGAGCCAGGGGTAATTTTTAGAATCACAGTGAATGACAGAGCAAACAGAGGCTCAAAGTCAGAGTCAGGCACATGTCTCTGATGAATGAGCTAGCAAAAAAATGTTGTTCTACTACAGTTCAAACCGCCAAAGTCAGATGAGGCTGTTTTTAGAATATATAAAGGTTCTGCTAAGTTCATCTCAAGTTCAGCAATGTAAAAGAAGTGCTCCATTGGCAATACAATACAGAAGGAGGAGCTCCAACCTTGGAGGCAGAAAAGTGGGCTTCAATCCCAGCCCGGCCTTGGGCACAGTATCTAACTTCTCTGAAGCTCAGAAGCCTCATCTATAAGACGGAGACGATGGTGCATACCTTGTTGTAAAGAGTCAAAGAGATAACATATCCCCAGCCCCAGAACAGTCCTGATACATGGAAGACACTAAGTATTCAACATTCAGATGAATGACGGGATAAAGCCCCTGATATCAATCACAGACACACTCAGTGAGGATTAGTTCCCTTCGCTCAGTCAACGCCATGAGTGTGGTCAAGATCATCTGGGGGAGAATAAGGAATGAGAGGTGAAGGAGCCAAGAGGCACACCAGGAGACATCAGAAAGACTCAGGAGGAACTGGAAGGAGGTGGGTGGCAAGCAGGGGAGAGGGAGACGGGAGCCCAGAGGGAAGGGGCTTATAGACAGGGAGATGTCCACAGTTAGATGCTGAAGATAAGCACTGAAATATATCCAGATAAATCATGGATTAGGCAGTCACTGGGGACCCTGGTCAGGGTTCCAGCAGGAAACAGATGACAGCTCCAAAGAGAGTTGAATGAGGAAAATGTACGATGCTCTGAGCAGACTCAGGGGAAAGTGGCTGGGGTGAAGTGCCCTGGGGTGGAAACAGCAGGAATCCACCACAACCCCTAGCCAGAAGGAGTGAGTTGGGCAGGTTCTCCAAGCCCCAGTGAGACCTGCATCCACAGGTGGCCATCAGTGGAGCTGGGGGCTTCAGAAGAGGAGGCAGCCATTGCCAACCCTGCCCTTCAGGAAGGGGCAAGAAAGCAATACTGATGACTCTCTGCTCCCTGCCTCCCATCACCTCCCCCAACCCTGCCATCTTCCACTAGAAACCAGAAATCCAGGTAGCTGCTGTCTACAGAGGTTGGCCTCCTGGGGAACAGAGCATGGGGAGAAGGGTGAAGGTCAGCATATCCAGCCCCCTGGGTGAGAGCAGACAGTTTGAGTAGCAGGGTGGTTGGGATGGGTCGGGAGAAGGGACAGCAGGCCCTCTACTCATAGTGACTCCATCAATAGCTTGAATCCTATATACACATCTGAAAAATAAAATACAACACAATGCCACTTCTTTTAAGATAGTCTACTATTCAGAATTCCCACAAAGTCTAACTGGCCTTCCCCCAACTGGTCCAAATTGAATTGTACTGCCTGCTGTCACATGGGGAGCTGCAAAGCCACACATTTCAAGACTGTCTAAAAACACCTCCATGGCTCTATCAGATGGCAGCTAGCCACAGCACTACTTCTTTTAGAAACCACAATTCCCAAATCTGAAAACGATTTGAGAAAGTACTACAAAAATGGCTATGTCTGCTCTGCTTCTCTCTCTGCGTCATCCTTGTGCAGAGAAAAGAACAATTTCAGCTCCTTTTGGGGATACAGATGTGCCCTGACCTACCTTCCCTCCCTGACTGGCCTGAGCTATCTTTGAAATTGGGTCTGCACTGGGGCCGGCGTGTCCTCAAAAGTCTGAGCGATCTGACCATCCATTAAGGACTGAGGTATTTGGCTTTTGCTTTTCCAGCCCCTCCCATCAGGCCTGTCCACCACCTCTGTCCACACCCCTCCGACCCACACACACCTGCACACACACCCGACCCACACACACCTGCACACACACCTGCATGCACATCTGCACGCACACACACACACACACACACACACAGACGCATTTCACAGCACAGTCTGCAGCCCTCTTCAATGTGGAAAGCTTGAGTGCATCACTCCACCTAGGGCAGGAGCCAAGCTTCCAGGTGAAACTGGAGCTGCAAATTCTTTCCCTTCTGGATGCCACAGAGCAGAAAGCAGACTCTTGGAATCACAGATCCCAGTGCAGGAAGAGGACTTACACTGCCTGGGCACCCTGAACAGTGCATAAAACCTCCACAGCCACTGCCTGGCTCATGGCAGCAATTCTGACAACCTCTTGCTTGGTCCACTTTCCTCCAGAACTTGTGCTGTCTGAGACCTTCAGAATGTGAAGTGCAGTGGGGAAACTGGGAGGGAAGCAGGTTAAGACTCATCCTCCCTCTCTTTAGGAATTCTACCAGTTAGCATATGGGTTGAGCCATATGGAAATGCTGTTATGCTTCAGTCAAAATGATGTTAAGATCCTCTTGTAGCTCCTAAGTGTGACGATTGGGTTTTCAGGCTCATATGTGAGATGTGCCTCCCTCAGATCTTGTTACGATGTTGGCACATTACCCATCTGATGTGAAAAAGAAGTGATGTTGAATGTTGGCATTCATATAATTCAACCTAAACCATAGAGAACCAATAGTCAAAGTACCACACTCATGAATGGGTTGGAAAATGCCCAACAATATCACTAAGACAAGGCTGTCTGTGTAAATTGGACTAGAAAAGGAGTATAATTGAGGCCTAAGTGGAGTTTCCAGTTGCCTTTCCCTAGAATGGATGATGACCATGGCTGCCAAGCAACTTTCTCTGAGGCAGAGGGGGAATGGTGGTCCTCCCCAGCCAAAGGAGGGCTCATCTAGGTGTACTGGTTGGGGACACCAAAAGAGATGCTGTGAGGCAGGGAGGGAGAAGGGTTGCCCCTTTTCCTCATTATGAATCCTAAAAAGTGGCCCCCCACATATTGTCCTGCATTAGCTTATGATGCAGACATTGTCTTAGTCCATTTGTGCTGCTGTAACAAAATATCTGAGACTGGGTAATTTATAGAGAGCAAAAATGTATTTTCTTACAGTCCTAGAGGCTGAGAAGTCCAAGATCAAGGCACCAGCATTCACTGTCTGGTGAGGGTCATCTTACACATCAGAAGGTGGAAGAGCAAAAGGGATGATCTGTCTGTCTGGAGGCTCATTTATAAGGGCATTAATCCACCCCAAAAGATCCCACCTCTTTGCAATCTTTGCATCTCTACAAAGTAGATTGTGTTTCAACATGAATTTTGGAGGGGACGTCAACATTTTAAACCATAGCACACATCAAAGTAAATCTGGAAGCACAACATGGTTGTGATAGTGAATTTTATGTGTCAATGTGACTGGGCCACAGGGTGCCCAGGTGAAATATGATTTTTGGCTGTGTCTGGGAGGGTGTTTCTGGATGAGATTAGCATTTGAATAG
Source organism: Homo sapiens (assembly GCF_000001405.40). Lineage (NCBI taxonomy): Eukaryota > Metazoa > Chordata > Mammalia > Primates > Hominidae > Homo > Homo sapiens. Next base: position 97,886,794 of record NC_000013.11, read on the forward strand.
GTGTACTCAGTAAAGTACATGGCGCTCCTTCATGTGAGTGAGCCTCATCCAATTCTTTGAAGACCTGAATAGAACAAATGTCAGAGAAAGGAAAAAACATTTGCTGCCCCCTTTTCTTGAGCTAGGACATCTCATCTCATGTTCTCCTGCCCTCAGGCTTGGATTTATACCATCAGCTTCCCTAGTTGTCAGGCCTTTGGACATCAGACTGAATTATACCATTGGCTTTCCCAGGTATCCAACTTGCAGACAGCAGATAATGGGACTTCTTAGCCTCCATAATCATGTGAGTCAGTTCCTCATAACAAATCTCCTTTTAGATAGATAAATAGGTGATGGATGGATGGATGGATGGGTGAACGGATGAATAGATAGATAGATAGATAGATAGATAGATAGATAGATAGATAGACAGACAGACAGAGAGATAGAGTAGGGGTAGAGACAGAGATAACCCCTATTGGTTCTGTTTCTTTGAAGAACCGTAACTAAGCCAATGGTTCACCTGATGAGCACCCTAGTATTTTGCTTGCTCAGGCTATTTGTGGCTCCCAATAACATAAGCAGAACCGAGACATTCCCATAGTCCCCAGGGGAGACTCAGGAGGCAGCTAAATTCAAAGAATCATAGGGCCTGCCACACTGAAGGGAAAAATAATCAACACCAGAGGCTTGGGGTGGCCTCCTTTACCAGGAGCCAGGTGGACACTAATGCAGAAACCCAGAACTCACAGAGTACCAGCAAGAATCAAGGGAAGGACAGGTCATCCAGAGAGGGCTAGCAGGTTCTGCCTAGGCAGGAGGAAAGATAACACATTTTCCCCCCAAGATTATAGAACAGGCCTTGGCCAACATGCTGGAACCAGGAGAGGAAGAGAGCTATATAGAGCAGGGCCACCACAGTCAACCCTCAACATGAGACAAAGCTGTCTCAGCTGACTTGTAAACTCATAAGAAAGAAATACACGTTTCCTGGGGTATGCCATTGAGATCTTGAGGTTGTTCTGCAGCTACATCTGACCAATACAAAGACAGAGTTTAACGTGACTTGATCATACCTTGTGACATTGTCTGTCAACACGAGCCACAAACACAATATTAGAATTTAGAGGCCAGGCGCGGTGGCTCACACCTGTAATCCCAGTACTTTGGAGGCCAAGGTGGGCGGATCACCTGAGGTCAAGAGTTTGAGACAAGCCTGGTCAACATAGTGAAAGCCCATCTGTACTAAATACAAAAATTAGCCGGACACAGTGCTGTGCACCTGTAGTCCCAGCTACTTGGGAGGCTGAGGCAGGAGAATCACTTGATCCCCGGAGGTGGAAGTTGCAGAGAGCCGAGATCATGTAACTGCACTCCAGCTGCTCAACAGAGTGAGACTCTGTCTCAAAAAAAAAAAAAAGAAAGAAAGAAAGAAAGAAAGAAAGAAAGAAAGAAAGAAAGAAAGAAAGAAAGAAATTAGAGTATATTTCATGATATCTCTAACCAGCCCAGTTGGCACTGTTGGTACAGGGGAAATGATACATCTGAAGAATGGAAACAGACTGTCAATCGAGAAAAATGATAAGACAAGTCTCAATCATTTTAGAAGGCTTATTTGCCAAAGTTAAGGATGCACACCCAGGAGACAGGTCTATGCCTTTCTCCGAGGATGATTTTGAGGGCTCCAAATTTAAAGGGGAAATGGTAGGATATTGAGAAATATACAATTTTCATGTAAGAGGGGTATAGGGAAAAATAGTCATTCATGCCTTTGTCTGGCTCTATTAATTTGCATTTTTTTGCATAAGATGACATAGACAAATGGGCAGAGGAAAAATACAGGGAATCTGCATTTGACATAAGATAACATAGACAAAATGGGACAGGGGAACAATCAGATATGCATCTGTGTCTGGTGGGCCTGGGGTGACTGCACCTGTAAAGAGAAGCTATCATTTTACATTGCCATGGTGAAATCTTCACAGAAACACCTTAAAAGATCTTGCAGCTCACTAGGAATTTTCTTGTGGGCAAATTATGGGGGAGGTGTGTAGCTTTTTATCTCGTAGCGATCTTATTTAGGAACCAAAAGGGGGAGGCAGGTTTGTGTGACCCGGTTCCCAGATTGACTTTTCCCTTTGGCTTAATGAGTTTGGGGTCCTAAGATTTAATTTCCTTTCACAAGACTATAAATAAAATTTCTTTGCTCCCCCACCACTGTCACAATAAAAATAAATCTGTGACAGGAACTTTCGCTTCACTAGAAAACAAATTAACAAAGGAAGAACAGCTATCTGAACTTCAAGCTCTTCCAAATGAAGGATGCTATTTTGGGGAAGCAGTTAGCTCAATGAAACCTCATTATATAAACTCACTTTGCAAACTCTTCCCAACCAGGCAATCTTGGTGATGATATGTGGTTTGGTCCAGAAATGAAGGCAAAAAAGTATTAATTTTTAACATGTAAGACCCATTTTTTAAAGTCTTAAGGACTGAAAAACCCTAGTTTTAATGTCTTTCTCTATTTAATGAAACTTGACACGGGAACAATTCTAAGTGAGAAGAAAGAGCAAATATCTTTTAAATTTACTCTTTCTTAGTAAGGGTGGTAGCAACTGTACTTCATCAGGTTCTGGAATGTCTTTTCCAAATCTTAATAAAATGCAGCATTATCATAAGTTCAAATACAAGCAAGAAAACAAGTACATGGTAGGTTTATTAATAGTAGGTTAACCCAACCAGGTGGAATTTGAGATTACCTTTGGTTCAAAACTGTTTCAGAAACAAAAGGAGACAGGGAGATTGTAAATTCCAAAAGAAATGGAAACTCACAGTCAAAGGCACCTTACTAAAATCCATTTTAAATCTACTGAATCTCAGCAAGTCACCTATTAAAGGCCACAGTTTCACTTCTAATGAACAGAGATTAAACCAGTTTTGACCACCACTATCTAATAATGTCTTTATATTTTACCTCCCTTGTCAGAAAGAATTAATTCATGCTTTATTCATTCAGCAAATATTTATGGATTGTTCATGTTCCACCATGAGTTCTTGTAAGTCCTGGAGGGAGTATTGACACGAATAGTGCACAGTTCTGTCCTCAAAGAGCTCATAGTGGAGGAGCCAGATAAGACAACTGACAACCCCAAGAGAACACCAGCAGATTGTAATCTATGAGCACACAGATGAGGACAGCAGACCCAGCCAGCAGGGTCAGGAGAGGCCACTCAGAGGAACTGAGACATTGGAACTCAGGCCTGAAGGATGATGGCAGGAAGCCCAACAGGAGAGGCCATTTCAGGGAAAGGGAACAATATTATGTTTGAAGGCAAGGCAGGGAGAGCTTGGAGTATCTGGGGAATGACAAGTGTTTCAATATGTATGAATTTGGCAATGGGGAAGATGAGGCTGAAAAATTATTCAGGGCCAAATCAAGAATCCCCATGCATGAGAAAGACATCTCAAAGAATGACTTCCTTTTTTTTTTTTTTTTTTTTTTTTTTTTTGACAGAGTCTCACTCTGTCACCCAGGCTGGAGTGCAGTGGTGCAATTTCGGCTCACTGCAACTTCTGCCTCCCAGGTTCAAGCGATTCTCCTGTCTCAGCCTCCCAAGTAGATGGGATTACAGACAGGCACCACCATGCCTGGCTAATTTATTTATTTATTTATTTATTTTTGTATATTTAGTAGAGATTGGGTTTCGCCATGTTAGCCAGCTGGTCTCGAACTCCTGGCCTCAAGTGATCCACCTGCCTCGGCCTCCCAAAGTGCTGGGATTACGGGCATCAGCCACCACCCCCAGCCTCAAAGAATGACTTTTGAAGGAGATAAAAGACCAGCGTTGAGCCAGTAGAGAGCAGAATTTAATTATGATTCTGCAAATCCACATTTAAGGTCATGGCGTCCACAGTACTATTACTCTAAAAAAAATGTTTTTTTAAATCAAGATTCAGAAGGAAGTGCTACAGATGTTACTCTGGGCAACCTGGTTCCATCAACTGGTTCTAATTAAACCAACACCTGCATTTTACGCAGGAATGGACTTTTCGGGAATAAGGATCCAGCTTTTCTCAAAGAATAATAAAATAATAGCACTCATTTGCTGTGGACAAAGGGTGCGGTAATGTGGAGCCAAACTGCAGAGGAAGTTTGTAGAGAAAAGGGAGGTCATGGTTTTTAGGCTGAGCAGACAGGTAAAAATTGTCTTCAAGGTTATAAAATTAGCAAATTGCAAAGCCAGGATCCAAAGCCATTTCTCCTGGTTCCAAACCCAATGTTCTTCTTGTTGTCTTCTTCTTGCTAAAGAAGCAGCTTAGCTGACAGTTCACTGGCCTTAAGTCAAACAATCTAAGTTCAAGTTCTCATTCTGCCACTTGATATTTTTGCTATATTTGCTGAATGAATAAAGAATGAATTAATTCTTTCTGACAAGGGAGGTAAAATATAAAGACATTATTAGGCAGTGGTGGTCAAAATTGGTTTAACCTCTGTTCATTAGAAGTGAAACTGTGGCCTTTAATAGGTGACTTGCTGAGATTCAGTAGATTTAAAATGGATTTTAGTAAGGTGCCTTTGACTGTGAGTTTCCATTTCTTTTGGAATTTACAATCTCCCTGTCTCCTTTTGTTTCTGAAACAGTTTTGAACCAAAGATAATCTCAAATTCCACCTGGTTGGGTTAACCTACTATTAATAAACCTACCATGTACTTGTTTTCTTGCTTGTATTTGAACTTATGATAATGCTGCATTTTATTAAGATTTGGAAAAGACATTCCAGAACCTGATGAAGTACAGTTGCTACTACCCTTACTAAATTTCCTTGTTAGCCTCTTCATGCAACTCAGCCTCCTTGTGAATAAAATGAAGGGGTCTGGGCCCGGATCTGTGCTTACACCATTTGCCTAGAGATCCACACATGTCTGGGTTATCAGTTAGGTATTATCGCCTCTGATTGTGGACATATTTGCCTCCCACCCCTACTCCTTGAGAGATATAAAAGAGAAGCCTCCAGATGGTCCAGAAATGCTGTGTGTTCATGGGCACATGGTGGCCCCAACCTCAGCTGCTACAGTTCCACACAGGTTTCACTAGGAAAAAAGAGTTCATTGCTTAAAAAGGAAGAAGAAATAAACAAGTCTGTCAAACACTGGCATGTATGAGCACTAAGATCATTTCCAGCTAAAAATAATTGACCTTCTAATGTTGGGATGATAAAGGAAACTTAGATGATTAAATATGAGATAACTCTTACTGAATGCTACATGCCTGGCATTATGCTAAGAGCTTCATATGTATTAATTCATTTTGTTTTTTTTCTTGAGACGGAGTCTCTCTCTGTCGCCCGGGCTGGAGTGCAGTGGCGCAATCTTGGCTCACCACAACCTCTGCCTTCCAGATTCAAGCGATTCTCCTGGCTCAGCCTCCCAAGTAGCTGGGATTACAGGCGTGTGCCAACACACTTGGCTAATTTTTGTATTTTTAGTAGAGACAGGGTTTCGCCATGTTGGCCAGGCTGGTCTCAAACGCCTGACCTCAAGTGATCCACCCACCTCAGCCTCCCAAAGTGCTGGGATTACAGGCATGAGCAACCGCACCCGGCCAATTCATTTTATCTTTACAACACTCTTGGAGGTAGCTACCATATCCATTTTACAGATGAGAAAACAGAGGTGCAGAGAAATTTAACTACTTGCCTGAGATAACCCAGTTAATAAGGGTGAGACCTGGGATTGGAACCCAAGTATTCTCACTCCCATCAGAATACACTAAACGTGGCCCTCACAATTTACTCAGGCAACCATCACATCCTAAAGAAAATGTGTTAAGCTTTTATTCACCGAGCACACTCTCAAGTAAATGTGACTCTGTAGAACTTCAGAGTCAGATCACCTTAAGTCCATTCTGTTTTCTTAACTAAATCCTTTTCCAATCCACAACTTGAAATTACCTTCCAGAAGGAAAGAAACTAAGTTTTTTATTTATTCACATGCATAGATCCACCACTGATCAACAACTTGGAGCATACAATGATAATGACATTTAAACACTCAGGATGTGTAAAGCATCATGACAGATACAGGTCATGAGTCATCTCATTGAACCTCACAGGACTCATATGAGGCAGGTCCTAGTAACAGAACTCTTTGGTTGCAAGAAAGAAACACCAACAAGCATAAGCAGGAATGACGCTGCAAGACTGCTTCCCAGAACCCGGGAGAAGGAAACCAGCAGAGCCTCTGGAAACAGTGACAACCAGGAACTCGGAGAAACTCCCCAGCTCTAGTCTCCACTTCTCCAGAGAGGATAGGGGATGTGGGGAGGAAGTAAAGGCACAACACTATGTGAGAACTCAGGAGTTCAGCTGTGGCTGAAGTGTGTGGCATGTGTGCCTGTGTGTGCAGGATGGGTGGAACAGTAAGCTGGTGAGATCAGTAGGACAAATTACAAAGAACTTTATAATTTGTAATTAATAAATTATAATTTGAGTTAATTTATAAATTATAATTAATAACTGTATATTGTATTTTTAAAGTATGATTGTGACATACTTAAATATTTTTGGAATGTTTCCACCTAAACATGTACACACACACACAGACACACACATACATACATGTAAATAATGAATAACTTTTTTTTAAAACCACCTCTATGCCAGGCACTAAGTGCTATTCACATTACTTAGTCTTCATAATCACCCTATGAGGGGATTATATTACCCTTCTTAATCCACATTGTCTTAGTTCAGGTTGCTGCAACAAAATAACAGACTGGCTAACAGAAATCTATTGCTCATAGTTCTGGAGGCTGGGAAGTCCAAGATCAAGGCGCTAGCAGATTCAGTGTCTAATGAAGGTTCACTCTCTGCCTTATAGTTGGCACCTTCTTTCGGTGTCCTCACATGATGGAAAAGAGACACAAGCTCCTTCAGCCTATTTTATAAGGTCACTAATCCCATTCAGGGGGACAGAACCCTCGTGATCTCATCAATTCCTGAAGTCCCTACCTTTTAATACCACCACACTGGGGATTAGGTTTCAACCTACAAATTTTGTGCAGGCCCAAATATTCAGATCGTAGCACCCATTTTACAGGTGAAAAAAAATCAAAAGTTCAGAGTAATTAATAACTTGCCCAGAGCACACAGTTACTGCATAGTGGAGCTCAGATTCCAACCCAGGCAGTCTGACATTAGTTTCACGCCTACTCCCTGCTTCACTTGAATGAGGAAATAAAAATGCTACAACATGCTAAGAAGCCAAAGACATCTTACCAAGGAATCGGAATGTCGAGACAGATGGTTAGTAGGGCTTGTCATCGTTATCAAAACTCACATTTGTATTGCACTTTATAACTTTAAAGTGCGCTCACATCTGTCTCATTTGGTTCCCTTGACCCCATGAAGTGAGAACAACGTGGTAGTTTAGGGTGAGTTCTGTACCCTGCTTTCCCTCATGCCAGTGCAGTAGGCTGCATAATTGAGCCTCCGCACTGCCAGCAAGCATCCAGGAGAAGTATCACCTGCCCATGCTCAGTGCAGAAAGTGCAAGAGCACTTCCAAGAGCAAGAGACAGTGCACTCTCTCTGGGCTTTGTTCAGCTCACTTATGCTTAATTCTCACCCAAACTCTATGAGACTTTTGAAATTTATCCAGAGACCAAAGTGATAGAAATGAGCCTAAGTTCTCAAACCCTCCTCCAGAAAGGCCAGGCCTCTGGCTCCATCTGGCATTGGAATTCCAGGAGCCACCATGCTAAAGGTCACCCCTGGCCTGCCCGCATCCTGAGCTCTGGATCATTCTGAAGAGACGTCCTGAGATTAAGCAGATGAGAACCCATGGACAGTGTAGGAAAATCATATGTTGTATGGAGCCTTGGAAGAGCAATCTGAAACAATGATGCAAAGAAGGAGGCCAAGGAGTGAGGAGTGGGCAAGGAGAGTCTGCAAAGAGAACCAGGAGCTGGGGCTGGGAACCTTCTATGCACATGGACAATGGGATGGGTGGAGCCATTCTGTGACTGGTCAGAGTTCTGGAGTCATCAACCTTGGCTAGAAATCCTGCTTTATCACCTACTGGGTGTATGATAGTGGGCAAGTTACATAGCCTTGTATCAGATTCCTCTGCTGTAAAATAGAGATGACGCTTACTTCCAGAGGTTACACTGGGAAAGAAATGAAAACCATATTCCAAGAACCAAACATACTTAACTGGCACATCACACTTCATTATTGATAGTTTCCATGATATTAAAACATTCCCTCGGGCTGTGCATCTGAATTTCTCCTCTTTATGGACAATAATGAGCCATCAGGAAAACAGGAGGTAACCCTCACAATCAACAAGAGGCAAATCATTAAGTAAACTAGTTGTCCTAGCGACACCAAACTCAGCGGAATATTAAGAAGCCATTTTAAAGGATAAATATGAAGGACATAACCTTTTAAATGATTAGTTTAAAAAGACACAAAATTCCAAATGTACTCTCATTATAATTATGTAAATATATGGGCCTTACTGAAAAGACACGTGGAAAACTAAAAATAGAGTAATACATTTATGTATTTTTAAAAAATATTCATATCGTCGGGCATTGTGGCAAATGCCTGTAGTCCCAGCTACTCCAGAGACAGAGGTGAGGCGAATGACTTGAGCCCAGGAGTTTAAGACCTGCCTGGGCAACACAGCAAGACCTAGTCTCAAAATATATGCATATATCTCTATATATGTATTTATTTAATATATTTATCTTAATAAATATATAATATTTATGCAAATATACTATGTATTTATTATTAGAATAATATATATTTTATGTATTTTATGAATATAAGATATATATTTTAAAATATAAAAATATATATATAAATAAATTTATGTGGTGCTCAACATCATTAGTTATTGGGGAAATACAAAGTAAAACTACTGTAAGATACCATTACACATCTACCAGGACACCTAAAATTGAAGGACAGATAAAACCAAGTGTTGACAAAGATGAGGAGCAACTGGAACTCTCATACATCTGTGGAAGGTTCAGCCCTTCCACTAGTTTGAAAACCATTTGGCAGTAGCTGCCAAGCCAAATGGAGTTATGCCCTATGACCTGGCATTTTCATTCTTCGGTGTAATCCCAACAGAAATGAGTGGTTATCTTTACTAAAAGAAAGTTTAAGAACATTCATAGAAGCATTACTCAAAATAGTTCCCAAACCAGAAACAACCTTTGTCCATCTACAGGAGAATGGACAAATAAATGTAGTGCATTCATACAATGGAACACTACACAGCAATGGAAAAGTACACATTACTGCTATAGACAAGGAAGAATCTCACAGATATAATGTTGAGCAAAAGAAACCAGCACAAAAAAGCTCAAAACAGGCAAAAGTAATCTGTGGGGCTAAAGAGAAGCCAGAGAAGTGGGTGTTTTGTGAGGGAGCATTGACTGAGAGGGAGTATGAGCCTTCTGGGGTACTGAAAGTATTCCAAATATAATTTGAATGATGGTTACACAAGTGTATATAATTCATTGAGCTAATGCCTTAAGTAAGATTTATGTACTTTGCTGTACATGAGTCATACTTCAACTCAAAAAGCAGAAAATTTTTAATATTAGTATTAAGATTTTTAAAAATTCAAATCAGGCAAAAATTTAAGATAAAATCTGATTGACTTTCTTTCCTCTCTCTATTCCCTTGAAGTTTTTAGTTTGGAGAATTACCTGATGTACTCAGTGAGAATACATTTCTAAGACAAAAACAGTTAGATATTTTAAAAATATGATGCAAAGCATAATGCAGTTAAATCTATTTTTGGTGTCTGTTTTTCATTTTTGTTGTGTAACATTGAACAGTCTTTTCCTTTCCAGATCCCTCTGAGCTATAGTTTGGCCACTTATAAAAAGGTTGAGAATTTTCCCTGCCTCATTTGAGCCATAAGAATATATGAACAAAACCAAAAAGGTTGAGAATTTTCCCTGCCTCATTTGGGCCATAAGAATTTATGAACGAAACCCTGCCGGCACTTAAAAATATTGAACACTCTTAAATATTTTAAATGCTTCATATGGTATTCCACACGAGATGAGCCCATGCACTAGATGTATCTGTGGGACCCTTTATATTTAACCATATCCCTTTTCTTGCAAACATTTCTCCTTATTTAACTTCTGTCTTTTGAATGTATACTGTATTCTGAAACATAAATGCTTAAAATGAAGTTTCTAACAATTTATTCAAGTCACTGATACACCTTTAGTGGTTTCTTGAGCTTGAGCTTCACTCCTGGAATGAAATTTATGTTGAATGCTGTTTTCATCTGTTTGGAATGCTATAACAAAGTGCCATAAACTGAATGGCTTATAAACAACAAAAATTTATTTCTCACATATGGAGGTTGTGAAGTCCAAAGTCGAGGAACCAGTAGATTTTAAGCTTGGTGAAGGTCTGTTTCCTGGTTCATAGATGGTGTCTCCTGTCTGCATCTTCTCTTGGTGGAGGGGGCCCAGCTCTCTGGGGCCTCTTTTATAAAGGCAATAATCTCATTATAAAGGCTCTACCCTCGTGACCTAATCACCTCCCAAAAGTCCCACCTTCTAATACCATCATCTTGGGTGTTAGAACTTCAACATATGAATTCTCAGGGGTCTCAAACATTCAGACTATAGCAAATGGAGTTCCAAAGAGATACCTCAAATTTCAAATTGTAGATCATTATTATCTGTGCAGTTTATTTTTTATTGTATTGTATTTTCTACCTTTTTAATAAAAGCCATTTAACTGGGGTGAGATGGTATCTCATTGTAGCTTTGATCTGCATTTCCCTGATGATTAGTGATATTGAACATTTCTTCATATACCTTTTGGCCATTTGTATGTCTTCTTTTGAAAAATGTCTGTTTGGATCTTTTGCCCATTTTTACTTTAGATTATTTGGCATTTTTGCTATTGAGTTGTTTGAGTTCCTTCTATATTCTGGTTATTAATCCCTAGACAGATGAGTAGTTTCCAAATATTTTCTCCTATTCTGTGGTGTATTAGTCTGTTTTCACACCACTATAAAGATACTATCCAAGTCTGGGTAATTTATAAACAAAAGAGGTTTAATTGACTCACAGTTCCACATCGTTGGAGAGGTCTCAAGAAACTTACAATTATGGAGGAAGGAGAAGCTGGCACATCTTACGTGGCAGCAGGCAACAGAGACAGTGTGAGAGAGGAACTCTCAAACACAAAACCATCAGATCACGTGAGAACCGTCAAACACGTATAAAATCATCAGATCTAATGAGAACTGTCAAACACTTATAAAACCATCAGACCTCATGAGAACTCACTCACTAAACAGCATGGGGGAAATAGCCCCCATGATCCAATCGCCTCCCACCAGGTTCCTCCCTCAACACCTGGGGATTACAATTCAAGATCAGATTTGGGCAGGGACACAAAGCCAAACCATATCACGTGGGTTGTCTTTTTACTTTATTGTTTCCTTTGCCATACAGAAGTTTTTTAGCTTGATGTAATCCCATTTGTCTATTTTTGTTTGGTTGTCTCTGCTGTTGAGGTCTTGCACAAAGAATATTTTCCCAGACTAATGTCTGAGACCATTTCCTCAATGTTTTCTTCTAGTAGTTTCACAGATTCCTGTCTTAGATTTAAATATTTAACTCATTTTTGGGCTGGATGCAGTGGTTCACACCTGTAATCCTAGCACTTTGGGAGGCCAAGGTGGTAGGATCACTTGAGCCCAGGAGCTCAAGACCAGCCTGGACAACACAGTGAAACTCCATCTCTACTAAAATACAAAAAAAAATTAGCCAGGCGTGGCAGCGGGTGCCTGTAGTCCCAGCTACTCGGGAGGTTGAGGCAGGAGAATCACTTGAACCCTGGAGGCAGACGTTGCAGTGAGCCAAGATCACACCACTGCACTCCAGCCTGAGCAACAGAGCGAGACTCTGTCTCCAAAAAATAATAATAATAATAATAATAAAAAATATTTAACTCCTTTTCAATTGATTTTTTTATACAGTGAGATGAGGTCTAGTTTCATTATTCTGCATATGGAAATCCAGTTTTCCCAGCCCCACTTATTAAAGAGACTGTCCTTTCCCCCATTGTATATTCTGGGTACCTCTGTGAAAAATGAGTTGGCTATAAGTGTGTGGATTTATATCTGGGTTCTCTATTCTGTTACATTTGTCTATGTGTCAGATTTTATGCCAGTACTATGCTGATTTGGTTACTATAACTTGGTAGTATATTTTGAAGTCAGGTAGTATGATGTCTCTAGCTTTATTCTTTTTGCTCAGGGTTGTTTTGGCTATTCAAGGTCTTTTGTGGTTCCATATAAATTTTAGGACTCTTTTTTCTATTTCTGTGAAGAAGATCAGTGGTATTTTGATAGGGATTGCATTGAATCTGTAAATTTTATTGGGTAGAATTGTCATTTTAATAATATTAAGTCTTCCAATCCATGAGCATGGAATATATTCCCAGTTTTCATGTGTCCTCTTCAATTTCTTTCATCAATATTTGATCATTTTCCTTGTATAGATTTTTCATTTCTTTGGTTAATTTCATTGCTAGATATTGTGCAGTTTAGATAGCTTTATGGATTTGATAAGAAGTTTGTCTTGTTACCACGTCATTGTGTACTATGGACTTGCCCCTTCAGGGTCTGCCCAGAACGTTCTCAAGCCCAGGAATCCCTTTCAGAATCCAGCTCCACCATTCCAGGAAGGGGGAAGAGTGAGGAAGCCTCACTTCTGCAGATGTTCTCTGCCGATTTGGGGGTGGGTATGTGCATACTGACTGCAGTGACCTCACCCACAGATGGGCTAACCAAGCTATAACTGTTTATTAGAAACTAGAATGGTTCCATGAATATGTCATTCACCATTTCTTTAGTAAATTCAGTTTACATCATCATCTGCCTACAAGATAAAGAATACTTTATGCGTAGTATCAGCTCACTACAACCTCTGCCTCCTGGGTTCAAGCGATTCTCATGCCTTATCCTCCCTAGTAGCTGGGATTACAGTGACCAGTTTTCTTAATGAAGTATTTTTCCTACTGGGAAAAAGAAAACCAAGAAAGCTTTCCCTCCACAATTGGTGGGGAGGACGCTCATGTTCTGGCCTTTCTCCACTTTCCTACCTGGCATTCGTCATTCTTGGAACCTCCCGCCCCTTCTTCTGCGTCACTGCTGTTTCTGTGAGCATTATAAGCTTGCAGTTAATTCACCATATGACCTAAAGTCAGAATAATGACATATGGAATTTCAGGCTGATTTGCTGTACAAAGAGATCTAAGCATATGCCTCTTGAGAACAGGCATTGCTGTTACACAGCACCGTGAACACATCCATACTGGATTAATTTGGAATTTGCAAAGTTTAAAAAGAAACCTCTCAAGAACTATGACCATGATTATAAAAGTCAGACCACCAGACTATGATCTGTATCCAAGGAATGGTACTGAAGATTTTCAACCCCACTGAGCCTGTTATACGGATGGCTAACAGAGTCTGGGCTGAAGAAGAGATGTATACATTATCTTTTTTCTGTAGGTTTCTCAGACACCACCTGGGCAGCTGACCTATTTCACTGTCAGAAGCAATGACATGAGTCTCATATGTGATACTTTTCCAACAATTCTAAGCTTCAAAATAAACAATTTTGAAAACCTGCAGCTCAGCACTTGGCATTTCACCAGAACTTTCCCAACTCCCCAAAGCCAAATCTGTTTTTTTATTCTACCATGGAGTGCCTCGTTTATCTTTCCCAGGAGAAAATGTAAAAAAAAAAAACCACCTACAGAATTTGGTTTGGAGGGTATATAATGAACAGATAAAATGATCCTAGAACAGTAGTCCCTTAAAAAAGTTATATCAGGCCTAGATTCTTCTAGGAATATGTATATATAAATAATAATAATCTAGTATCCCAATTTTTATTCTCTTTGATCTCATTAGTAGATTTCTCAAATACCAGGTAAGAGAGAGCAACCCACATAAAATAGACAAACAAAAGACAGCATGTATTTTAGAATAATTACAGAGTTCCGAGTATAAATATCCTAGTGTTGCTAATATCATACTTTCTAATCAACAGAGGACATAAAGATTTAATGCTGTCTTTATAGCACATGAAAAATTTATTTTTGCTTACTGAGGAAAGAAGTATAAAAATTGATTTGATACAGTCCATTTTTAAAAAAAAAGATAAGTCTTTACTATGGAGGAAAATAAAACCTCAATGTTTGGTCATATTTACATATGTTGACTTCTAGAAGTACAGATTTAGACTGACCTTGAATGGCCAGATTTATTTCTGTAAGGCGAATCTGGAAAACTTCTCTACAAATGTAAACCATCAGGGAAACGGGTGGCATCAGGCCTGACAGGGGCTTGTTGATTTTAAATATGGCACATGTGTTATTTTAACCAAAATTTAAAATGCTATCAAAATGTTTTAAAATGTTCAAATCAAAGCTGAATTATTATTTCCAGGCTGAGCACAGTGGCTCATGCCTGTAATCCCAGCACTTTGGGAAGCTGAGGCAGACAAATCACCTGAGGTCAGTAGTTTGAGATCAGCCTGGCCAACATGGTGAAACCTCGTCCCTACTAAAAATACAAAAATTAGCCAGGTGCATGTCTGTAATCTCGGCTACTCAGGAGGCTGAGGCGGAGAACTGTTTGAACTCAGGAGGCAGAGATTTCAGTAAACAAAGATCGCACCACTGCACTCCAGCCCAGGCAACAGAGTGAGACTCTGTCTTAAAAAAAAAAGAAAAGAAAAAAGAAAAGAAATTATTATCATTCCCGGTTAGGCCTACAAAATGGGATGCAATAATCACCCCTGTCTGCTTGTCAAATGCAGCTGTTACATCCAGCTGTGGTGGCAAAGAGTCTTCCTTTATAAGTGTTTGAAAGCATCCCCTGAGATGAACCAGCTCACTCAGACATTGGCCAGTCAAACAGCTACTGAATTGCTTAAAGTGGCCAACTACATTCAGGCACAGAGCAAGAAAAGCAGAGAGCTGCCAGAAAAGGGGTATCCCCACTGAGACTGCCGGTCCTTTAAGCAGGTGTTTATAAAGTCACCACCTTGGTGGAGAACAACAAGGCTCACCTGGGGATGACTGCACATGTGTGGATTCCACTGAGCTGGTTGTTCTTCCTGCTGCCTTGGGCTCTAAAATGGGAGTCTCCTAGTTCATTATCAAGAGAAAAGCCAGACTGGTGGGATGTTTCCTCCACAGAAAGACCTGCACCACCATTGCCTTTACACAGGTTAACTCAGAAGACAAAGGAGTCCTAGCTAAGCTGGTGGAAACTACCAGGACCAATTACAATGACAGACATGACAAGATCTGCTATCATTGGGGATAACATTCTATCAAATTTATGGCTCTCATTGCTAAGCTCAAAAAGCAAGGCTAAAGAACTTGTCGCCAAACTGGGATAAAGGTTTAATGTTACCTTTACTGTACATAAAAATAAAAATTAACCTTCAAACATATTAATCTCATTAAAATACCTTTATTCTCCAAATTTGCATTGTACTATAGCCTAGAACGCACAGACTCATTTACTATTTACAGCTCGTGATCTCCCCAAGCCAATGAAATATTCTTTGTCCCTCTACCTTATATTTTAATTTCTTGGGTGCCTGTCCTTGCTCTCCTAATAGATAGACTGCAAGCTTATAGAAGAAAAGAAGTGTATGTTTCTTCTCCTTGGACTGACTTGATTTAGGTCTAAGATCGCTTTATTGTTGTTGCTTACATTCTTACAGCTCCCAGCACAGTTCTGCACACATGGAAACAGTACAGAGGCCAATGAGCGATGCACAATAGGGCCCCTGGGAACTCAACCGTGCACCCACATCTACAGCACATATCAGTCTCTCTGCTTCTGGGGATTATCTACACACTGCAAGTGGTAAATTGGTTAGTAGTTACCAATTCTGTCACAATCGAATGTTTGTGCTCCTCTAAAATTCATGTTGAAACTTAGTTTCCAATGTAATAATATTAAGATGTAGGGCCTTAAGGAGGTGATTTGCTCATAAGGGCATCTCCCTCTTGAATGGGATTAAGGCATTTATCAAAGAAGCTTCACCAGGATTCTGCCCTTTTTGCCCCTGCACCTTCTGCCATATGAGGACACAGTCACAAGGTGCCATCATGCAAGCAGACAGCACAGCCCCTACTAGACACCAAGTCTGCTGGCACCTTGATCTTGGACTTCCCAGCCTCCAGAACTGTAAGAAATAAATTTCTATTCTTTATGAATGACCCAGCCTCTGGTATTTTGTTATAGCAGTGCAAATGGACAAACACATACAAAATACCAGAGCCTGGGTAATTTATAAAGAACAGAAATTTATAACTATGGATAAAAGTCAGTATAACACTAGCCCATGCTGTGGTAACAAATAGACACCCAAATCTCACTGGGGTGTCACAGCACAAGTCAACTTCCACTATTCACAAAATGTCTAGTGCAGGTAAAGAGCTCTCCAGGGATGTTTTTTTGATGTAATGACTAAAGATAGAGGCTGCTTCCGTTGTGTGGCTCCTCCATGTCAAAATGGTCACACAAAAGAAGAAGATGATGAAAAGCCTATGCCTGTTTTTAACTGTCTCAGTCCAAAAGTGACAAAAATTCATTTTTCTCATGGCCCATCAGCCTGATCTAGATACATGGCCCCAGTTCAACTATGAGTGAGATGAAGAACTAGGGGAGCCCATGGAATATTTAGTGAACATTACTGTCTCAAGCATACAACCAATTTTTTTTTTTTGAGACAGAATCTCACTCTGTCACCTAGGCTGGAGTGCAGTGGCTTGATCTCAGCTCACTACAACCTCCGCCTCCTAGGTTCAAGTAATTCTCCTTCCTCAGTCTCCCAAGTAGCTGGGATTACAGGTGCATGCCACCATATCTGGCTAAGTTTTGTATTTTTAGTAGAGACAGGGTTTCACCATGCTGGCCAGGCTGGTCTCGAACTCCTGACCTCAAGTAATCTGCCTACCTTGGCCTCTCAAAATGCTGGGATTATAGGCGTGAGCCACCATGCCTGGCCACAACCAAATTTTTTTAATGGAACCAGAGGACCAGTTACAGAATGCCACTTGTATAGTGATACAGCTATACCAACAAGGCACATAACAATATATTTTATTGTGTAAATTAATTAAGAGCTCCACATATTTATATTAAAATAAAATCCCTATTCATGCAATTGATCTTTATCATTTTCAAGGAAAGCAAGTCCTGTAAAGAAAGTGTGTTTTTATTTCGTACAAAGCAATGAGGTGTTATGACTTGGCTTTGGAAGAAAGTTCTTAAAATAATACATCAGGCTCATCTGTTGAGGCCGTCCCTTCTGCTGCAGCTTGCTATTGCCCAGTTTTCTATCTCTTATAATAGTAACCAGCTTTGAAGCCAAAATAAACTCTCTAGTTCTCTAGAACACCCCATCTGCCTCATCCTTCAACACCAGGAGTCCTTCCAAAGCTCTTAATGGCTGAGGCAATGCATACTATAAATTAATTGTCATGTGGCTTCATTCCATCAAGGCTAAAAAGATGTGCCCATTTCATCATTGTTGCAAGAATAAAGTTTTTAATTTCACACAGCAATCTTTCCCAGATCACTAGCTTAAAGACTATCTTTGGTATGGTAAATGAAATAGTCATTCCGCACGTGAAAAATAATCTGAGACTCTAAAAACATTCCATTGGGATCAAAATAATATCAAAAAAGAATGGTCACAAAAATGTTTTACCTCCATTAACAAAGGCATCTATTCTATTTGTTAGCACACAATCATAATTTCGTTATAGCCCTTTCTTTGTATCTCTAGGAAAATAATAAGAATTGCAAAGTGTAATTTTTGTAACTTATAAATAATGCTTTTACAAATTAGAATTCTGATAACCCCTTAAAGGTTATGACCCCCAAAACTTATAAAAATTACATTGGGCTGGGCACGGTGGCTCACACCTGCAATCCCAGCACTTTGGGAGGCTGAGGCAGGCAGATCACCTGAGGTCAAGAGTTTGAGACCAGCCTGCCCAACACAGTGAAACCCCGTCTCTACTAAAAATACAAAAATCAGCCGGGCATAGTGGTGGACGCCTGTAATCCCAACTATTCGGGAGGCCGAGGCAGGAGAATCACTTGAACCTGGGAGGCAGAAGTTGCAGTGAGTTGAGATCGCACCACTGAACTCCAGCCTGGGCAACAAGAGCAAAATTCTGTCTCAAAAAAAAAATTGCATTGACTTTCTCTCAAAACTAGAAAAGTTTTGAAGTATGAAGTTAAAAATATAATTGGAAGATGACATATAGTCAACTCTCCTTACTCTTATGAGTTCTCCCTAGAGATACAAATGGAACTTTGGTTCTTCTAGTATCTCTCCCATGTGTTACATCATGGCATCATATTCAAATCAAAGAACTAGAACTGGGAAGTGCCAGCAGCTAGCAATAGATACCAAAATAGCTTCTCTTTTTCAAATTTTTACAATCACTAACATTGAGAAATGGTTACCCAGTACAGAGTTAGGTGAAAACACGTACACACATATATAGACATTTATTTAATTACATGTATACCCTACCACAAATATCTATGTGGTCTCTTGTCTTTTTACTAGATTCACTACAGTATAACATAAGATACTTTGGGCTGTGAATTGGAGAAAAGAAAATCCTTATTGTCTTAAATGATGGGGAAATTAATTGACTCACATAATCATTGAAGTCTGTAGCAGTGTTTCTCAAAATATCTGTGGACAGTTGTTCTTGAATTGATTTAATTTTTCAATTCAGTGCAGATTGCTACATGGTTATAAAGCACAAGATTTGTACACAGTTTGCACAACTTACAACTCATCCATTTGTTGGACAACACCCCAACTAGTCTAGAGCCTATTTGGCTAGATAAGTGCATTGACCACACACTTGGAGGCGATTGCAATATCAAATCCCTACAAAAATTCCTAAGCATGTCTCTCAATTTCTATGTCTATGTCATCATAGAATGGTAACAAACAGTTCCCAGACACCCTACATTTTGAGTGGCCCTGGTCTAGAGATAGGTTGGGCATTCACAAGGTTCTTGTTCCATCTCCCTGGCATTTTTTAAGTTTTCCTCCTTTGTGTGCCAGCTGCCTCCTCGGGCTGGAAGGAAGATGTGTGCAATGGTCCCAGTCTTAATATGTGACAACATCCAGAAGAGATAGGTCACTTCAAAGCAACAGCAAAAGAGCAAAGAAAACCTCTCCTGGGAGGCTCTAGCAAACTTTCTGCACATCTCATTGTCCTTAATTGGATCACGTGTCTATTCCCGAACTTATGACAGGCAAGAAAAAGGGGATTACTCTTGGAGCAATTGGGCCCCCTCCTGGAGCTAGGGGTGGGAATCCATCCTTGGGGCATGTGAGTTGCATAATAGAGAGTAGAGAGTGTGTTGCATTAAACATAAAATTGGGTTTATGTGGTAAACGTGGGAAGGAGGAATGGATGATAGGGAGACAATCAACAATGTTGGAAGTATTTTAACTAGGCTTTTGTATAATTATTAGTCAATCAAAGGATATTATTAAGTAGTCATTAATTTAGTAGCTTTGTATCGAACTTGGGCACACAGAAAGCCTGACTTACCCTAACATTTCCAGCACCTGAGGAAAGAATCCTATCGACCCTATGTTCTCCAATCATTGTGACCAAGAGAAAAGGATTTCACAGAACAATTCTGGCTGCTTAAGAGAGGAATTGGCAGGGTATCCTTATGGATTTGAGAGTGAGCAGTTACTAGGGAGGGGGAGGTCATGTGAACTGGGCAGATGCTTCAGAAAATGTCCCCACAATCATTTAAAAATTAACTCCATAACTCTCTCCTCCTTAAGTGTGAGTTTTGCACAGTGACCTCCTTTCAAAGAGTACAATGTGGAAGGGAGGGGAGAAACTTGATAGTGGAGAAATCTCACAAACAGCACTACAGCCAGGTGGTCAAATTCAAAATCAACAGTGATAGATCACGTTGATAGTATGTACCCTTGATGTGATATGATGACAATGGTACTTAGCATCTGTGGCCTTCCTCCCAATAACCCATTACCTCAGTCTAATCATGAAAATATCAGACATCCATGTGTGGGCAGGAAATGAAATAAAATATTTAAAAACTAAAAAATAAAATAACAAAAAAGAAAACATCAAACAAATCCCAGCTGATGGACGTTCTACAAAGTAACTGACCAATAATTCTCACAACTGTCAAGGTCATAAAAAAAGTCTGAAAAACTGTCACAATGAAGAGCACCCAAGGAAACGTGACAAATAAATGTAATGTAGTGTCCTGGATGTGTTCCTGAAAGATAAAAAGATAATTAGATAAAGACTAAAGGCACCTGAATTAAGTATGGGCTTCAGTTAATAATAATTTATCAATATTGGTTAATTAATTGTAGCTAATGTACCCTACAAATGTAAGATGTTAATAATGGGGAGATGGGAACTCTGTACTGTGGGCTTAAATTTTCTGTAAATCTAAACATACTCTAAAAAACAAAGTCTACAGCCTGGGCAACATGGCAAAACCCTGTCTCCACAAAAAATACAAAAGGCCAGGTGTGGTGGCACACACCTGTAGTTCCAGTGACTTGGGGGACTGAGATGGGAGAATCGTTTGAGACTAGGAGG
The DNA here is from genome assembly GCF_000001405.40 of Homo sapiens. NCBI lineage: Eukaryota > Metazoa > Chordata > Mammalia > Primates > Hominidae > Homo > Homo sapiens. The sequence goes on from NC_000013.11 coordinate 97,907,505, forward strand.
TCAAGGCTGCAGTGAGCCGTGATCATGCCACTGCATTCCAGCCTGGACAACAGAGAAAGACCCTGTCTCAAAACAAAGTCTATTCATTTTTCTAAATTGCATGCTACTAAATAGGTGTTTAAAATTATTTTTTGATGGGTATAGAGTTTCAGTTTCAGATGAAGAAAAAGGTCTGGAGATGGATGGTGATGATGGTTGCATGACAATGTGAATGTAAGTAATGCTATAGAGCTAGTACACTAAAAATGGTTAAAATGGTAAATTAAGTATATTTTACCAAAATTTAAATGTATCTTAATAAAGTATACAATTATATTGGTGTTACTACCCAGTTTAATGACAGGTTTCATAGGTATGTGTTCTCTGTTCCGAAGGAATTCCAATATGTTGAGCATGAATATCAATGTAGAGTCCAACTATAAGTCAAAATCTCAGTAAGTTTTGGTTAGTGAAGGTGATATGATTTGGCTCTCTGTCCCCACCCAAATCTCATGTTGAATTGTAATTCCCAATGTTGAGGGAGGGACCTGGTGGGAGGTGATGGGATCATGGAGGCAGATTTCCCCCTTGCTGTTCTTGTGATAATGAGAGAGTTCTCACGAGATCTGATGGTTGAAGAGTGTGTGGCATTTCCCTCTCTCCTGTGCTCCCATGGTTTGATGTGCTTGGTTCCCCTTTGCCTTCTACCATGATTGTAAGTTTCCGGAGGCCTCCCAGTCATGCTTCCTGTTAAGCCTGCCCAACTGTGAGTTAATTAAACCTCTTTTCTTCATAAATTCCCCAGTCTCCGGTAGTTCTCTATAGCATTGTGAGAACAGACTAAAGCAGAAGGATGGGGAAACTTTCCAGAAAAGGTGTAACTTAAAATCCTTCTAGAAGAAAGGGAAGAATTTAGCTGAGAGGAATATGGGTGATATTTAATTTCACAACACTGGAAAGAATTAGGCTTCTAACTGATATTGGATTTCAATCTGCTTGAGGTCCACCACCCTGCACACTTTTGTAAGTAAACCTTCTTCAAATTATCCAAATTTGAGTGAGTCACCTGTTTCTTGTTGGGACCCTGACTGATATTTTCTTGGGAAATATTTTCTTGGGAGTCGATCTTGGGAAAAATTAAAAAGAAGACTATGGGTCAAATGACGTTTGATGAGAAGCCTTTGGAGAGAATCATACATTAACATATAATTTGGAAGCTCAAAAAGGTGTTCGTTATTGTCCTTCTCAATAACATGAGAAAACAGAGACTGTCCATATAGGTTATCCCTGTTCCTACTTTGGAGCTTAGAGCAGAATACAAAACAGTGGAAAATGGATCTGGAAGGGCAAATGAAAGCTATTTAACACATTCGATAGGTCTCATCACTCATTCTCCTTCCACTGAAACAACCCCTCTACCTCCTCCCCACAGTTTAGGGAGGACCTCAGCTAATACTGGGGAAATGATTGAGAAAAATGTTACAAAAAAAATTGTAGGTGCATCAATTGTGGTACTTCTGACTATAAGAAGAGTAGACCCAACTAATAGAAGTTAAAATAAAAGATTATTTTATAATAAGTCCAGAAGAAAGACAAGTTCAAGCCTAGGTAAATCCATGATCCTACTATGTCCTCAAGAGCCAGGGGCTTTTTCCATCTCGGTAGCATGAGAGCAAAATCTCCTCTTGGCTGCAAGATGACTGCAGATGTTCCAGGTCTCACACACTAACTCAACAACCTCTAGTCAAAAATAGCAGCATTTCACCCTAGGGTTTTCTTTGTTTTAGTGAGGAAAATCTCTCCCCAAATCTTCAAATAAGATACCCTCAGATCCCATTAGCCAGAACTCAGCCTCAAACCATTTCCTAGGAATGTGAATGAGGTTGTCACTTAAGTCAATCACAATTTACCTCCTGGGACTGTGAACGAGCCACAGATTCAAAGTTTCTACCAACAAGGAAAAAGGTGGTAATTGCTGCAAGGTAATATCCAACATTTCTGTATCGAGGGAGGGAAATACAACACTTTTTCCTCAAAGAACCAAAGAACAGGCTTTCGTGTAGCTTCTTCCTTCTTCCCCCATAAGCTGGAGAGATCGCCAAAGTAAAATTTTTAGTAAAAGGAGCACCAAAAATTTATCTTCCTTTCCACATCTCTGCCTTTAAGAAAATATATTATGGTGATTTTTGCTTTTGTTCTTTACTTTTTTGGCTGTTTACCACCTTTGGGGATATAACAATAAATAAACCAAAGCCCCTGAATTCTAGGAGCTCATGAATGATGTCAAGAGAGTGGTAAGTTTTTAATCCTTCTTGAGTTAATTTTTGTATATGGTGAAATGTAAGGGCCCAGTTTCATTCTTCTGTATATGACTAGCCAGTTACCCTAGTGCCATTTATTGAATAGGGAGTCTTTTCCCCATTGCTTCTTATTGTCAATTTCAGTGAAGATCAGATGGTTATAGACCATCTATAAAAATCTAGAGTCTAAAACTATAAAAATCCTAGGAGCAAGCCTAGAAACTACCTTTCCAGATATTGGCCTTGGTAAAGAATTTATAACTAAAAGTCCCCAAAAGTAATTGCAACAAAAACAAAAATTGATGAGTGGGACATAATTAAACTAAAGAGCTTCTGCACAACAAAATAAACTATCAACAGAGTAAACAGACAACCTACAGAATGGGAGAAACTACTTGCAAACTATGCATCTGACAAAGGTGTAATATCCATAATCTATAAGGAACTCAAACAATTCAACAAGCAAAAAACAAATAACCGCATTAGGAAAAGTGGCAAAGGATATGAACAAATATTTCCCAAAAGAAGACCTACATGTGGCCAACAAACATATGAAACAAATGCTCAATATCTCTAATCATTAGAGAAATGCAAATCAAAATCATACTGAGATACCAGGTCATACTAGTCAGAATGGCTATTACTAAAAAGACAAAAATTAACAGATGTTGGTGAGGTTTCTGGGAAAAGGGTACACTCACACAACGTTGGCAGGAATATAAATTAGTTCAGCCAGCGTGGAAAGCAGTTTGGAGATTTCTCAAAGAACTAAAAATAGAATTACTATTTGGCCCCGAAATCCTATCACTGGGTATGTATCTAAAAGAAAATAAATCATTCTACAAAAAGATATACGCACTGGTATGTTTATCACAGCAATATTCACAATAGCAAAGACATAAAATCAACCTAGGTGCCCACCAATGGTGGCTTAAAGAAAATATGGTACATATACACCATGGAATACTACACAGCCATAACAAAGAATGAAGGCATGTCCTTTGCAGCAACATAGATGGAGTTGAAGGCCATTATCCTAAGCAAATTAACACAGGAACAGAAAACCAAAAACTGCCACGTTCTTACTTATAAGTGGAAGCTAAACATTGGGTCTACATGGACATAAAGCTGGAAACAATAGACACTGGAGACTACTAGAGGGGGAAAGGAGGAAGGAGGCAAGGGTTGAAAAACTACCTATCAGGTACTATACTTACTACTTGGGTGATGGGATCATTTGTACACCAAATTTCAGCAACACATGATTTACCCATAAAACAAACCTGCACATGTACTCTCTGAACTTAAATTAAAAGTTTAAGAGAGAGAGGAGAGGAGAACACTCTGTGTACAAAGGAGAGACCAGTGACTGAAGTCAGGAAGTGAGCAAAGGGGTCAAGAGCTACCTTCTGCTCTGGAGAGCTGGGTGGTGCATTGGCTGTAAACAAAAGGAAGCCCAGGAGACATCTGCTTAAGACTTATCTTAGACACTGACTTTAGAAGGAAGAAGCAAGACCTTAGTAAGGTAGGAAAGTGCCAGGGAAACAGGGCAAAGCTTCTTCAGGCAAAGCTTGTCTGTTTGACAGAAGCCCTCCCTGAGCTGTCTCAGGAACTTGAGTGAAACAGCAGTGACTCACACAGGACACCCCCTCAAAACAAGGCAGGGAGAGGCACTGCTGGCCATCCCAGCCAAGGGACATCACAGGAGCAAAGAATCAGGAGCAAAGGTGAGAATCCCAATGCCAAATCTGTACATATGAGAGATGGGTATGGAATGGAGACAATTGAAATCCAGAACTGCACCACATGCCATTAGTTCATAAGAGAACAATGCTAACGATGACTGTGAAGATGTCAGTGATGATGAAGACAATGACAACAATCGTGTGATGGCTGTGGTCACCTTGACACATCGGCTGGGTTAGTGGAGGTTATCCCTGCAGTGCCACCTGCAGGTAAACTCGAGAAAGACCTGGCCCTTTCAGTCCCTTGACCCACAAAGAGAAGATCCAAGTATCAACCTGAAGTCTTGGTTGATACTTTTAGAGCAAGATGTTGTTAAATATTTAGCTAAGGATTTGCAGTTGGATTTTCATCCATACCAACATGACTGCTACGGTTCTGTTTGAAATGTTCACAGCTCAGAAAATTGCACCACCCTACAAGTTAATCAGCTTTTCTATACATAGTTTCTTCTAGTGTGTAATTACTGGCCGGGCTTTATATTATTTTAGGATAGTGTCAGCAGCTAATTGTGGTACAGTCTGAATGCTTTGAAATGAGCTCGGCTGACTGTGAGAATAGCTCAGCAAATTTAAGGCTGTGTGTGCATCATTTAAAAAGTCTATTGTTTAGCAGGACACTGAACATGGCAGATTAACGGTGGAGTCCAATTCAAAGGCAAGTGATTATGGAATCCGACCTGCCGCACACTTCACTTTGAACTTCCTAAGCTGCTCATTCTTTGCTACCTACTTACCACACTCAACTCCCAGCGAATGTTTGTGCTGGCCCACATGCACAGGAAAGCCTCCAGCCCTGGAGAACAGCTGAGCGTCAAACATGGCTACAGGCTCACAAAAATCAAGTCATTTGGACTGCGTAGGAGGGAGTGTCATTCTTGCCTCAGGTTTCTTTTAAGAGAAGGAATTTCCTTTCCATTACCCTGGAGGCAAAAATGTAGGAAGAATCCTTCTGGCCCCTTTTGGCTTCCTTAGCTACTATTCTATTTTTGGTTTGTTTGTTTGTTTGTTTGTTTTGGGGTTTTTTTGGGTTTGGGGTTTTGTTTGTTTGTTTGTTTGGTTTTGGCACTGAGTCCCCCTCTATTGCCCAGGCTGGAGTGCAGTGGCACAATCTCAGTTCACTGCAATTTCCGCCTCCAGGGTTCAAGTGATTCTCATACCTCAGCCTCCTGAGTAGCTGGGATTACAGGCGCACACCACCACAGCTGGCTAATTTTTGTATTTTTACTAGAGATGGGGTTTCACCATGTTGGCCAGGCTGGTCTCGAACACCTGACCTCAAATGATCCACCCGCCTTAGCCTCCCAAAGTGCTGGGATTACAGGCCTGAGCCACCATGCTGGGCCTTTTAATTTAATTTTATTTTATTTTATTTTATTTTATTTTATTTATTTATTTATTTATGTTGAGATTGAGTAGCTCCAGTTCTGTAGGGTATGGATAATGGATGAGAGCACCGTATCTGATGGATACATTTGGGAAAAGGAAGGAACATTAGTGATTCAGCCACTTCCACTCACTCTATCCATATTCTGATTTCAAGATACAATTGTTTTCCCCTTCCACATTTCAAGCAACTTGCCCCCACAGAGGAACCCCTGCACGGATTCAGGTCAAATGGTGTTGTCCAATAGTTTTCCCAATAATTCAGAAAATTACATAAATTCTACATATTGATTTAACCAAAATCGTAATGTCACTCCAGTGGGAGGATGGGAAAGAGGAAGCAGTACAACAAAGGTAAATACTTAACTGCCATAATAGGAAATTAATAGGTAATGTCTAAAATTAATGAGTCAAAGGATACTATTGAGAAATCTAGAACAGGATATATGCCAGAAGAAACAGCCAAAACTGTCTTAAGAAGTTGCCAGCAGGGAAGGGAATGAAATGGACTGGAGAACAGTGGGTGTCTTAGTCAGCTGGGCTGCCATAACAGAATACTACAGGCCGGGTACAAACAACAGACATTTATTTCTTGCATTTCTAGAGGCTGAGAGTCCAAGATCTAAGTGCTGACAAGTTAGGTTCCCAGTGAGGGTTCTCTCCCTGGCTTGCAGACAGCCATCTTTCTCCTGTGTCCTCTCATGGCCTTTCTTCTGTATTTGCAGAGAGAGAGCCAGCTCTGGCATCTCCTCCTCCTCCTAATGAGGACACCAGTACTATGGGATTAGGGTCCCACCCTTAAGTGTGCAATGCCAACAGATTGGTGTTTGCTATTGAGTGAAAGGGGTGCCAGAGATGTATAGATGTTAACAGAAGATAACTGAGAAGGACTTCCCCTTAAACAAACTTTAGTCATTTCTCAGCCCTCTTCTCAACTAGGTCTTGGCCTTGGCCTACTGAGCCCAGTTTTAGCAAAGAATCCTGCTAAGTCAGTTTATCAAGAATATCCCCATCCTGATATCCAATCGAACTCCTTTTCCCTCACCCTCGAAACTAATCAGCTCCTCTCTCTTGTTCCCTTGATACCTCACAATTCTCTTAGTCATTTTCCATCCTTGGCCTCACCTTGCCCATCGACAATAAATCCTCACTTGTCCCTGCTGTATTTGGAATAGAGTTCATGCTCTCTCCCCTGCTGCAATAGTCATGAATAAAGTCTTCCTTGCTATTTTTAACAAGTGTCAGAATAATTTCTCTTTGCTTTAACACAGTGTACATTCTCTATGCTTTAACACAATATCTATACTTTTAAATTGCCATTCGGTTTCATCCAAGTGGTAAGAAATAACATTTCAAGCTTGTAAACTAAATTTAAAGTAGAACAAATTCTCTGTCACCAAATAACAGCTCCCCTCCCCAGCCCATATATGCCCATCTCTTGCTTTCCTTCTGTGTAAACAGCTTCTAAAATGACTCCCAGTGATCCCCACTTCCTGGTATTCACTCCCTTGTGGAATCTGCTTCTTTTGTGTGGGAGCTAGAACTAGCTTCTAATAAAAAGAAGATGGGAAAAAATATGGAATTTATTTCTGAGATGGGATTATAAATGCCTATGACTACTGTTTTGAATGCAGCCTCTTGACTGCTTTCTTGGTTGGCTTGTTTCAATAAAGCAAGTTGCTGTGCTGGAGAGGCCCATGTGTCAAAGAACTGGGGGTGGCTGCTGACCAACAGCCAGCATGAACTTATGTCTCTAGCCAACAGCCCACAAGAAACTGATCCTGCCAACAGCCACATGAGTGAGCTTAAAAGTGTGTGCTTCCCCAGTCAAGCCCTGAGATAGCTACAGCCCTGGCCAACACCTTGCTTACAGCCTGTGAGAAATCCAGAAGCTGAGTACATGGCTAAGCCTTCCAGATTCCTGAACTGCAGAAGCTATGAGATAATAAATGTATGCTTCTTAAACTACTACACTGTGGGGTGATTCGTTACAGAGCAATTGGTAACTAATACATCTTCCATGGCCTTCTTGTCATTGGTCAACTTTTGTGCATAACTTAAAAATAGAGACCAGTGTGACACACAAATTTTGGATAGTTTAAGGACACATAGAATCCACTGCACTATCCTGGGCAGACAGTGTTCTGATTTAAACTTGACTTTTAAAAGATGTTCATGCAGATTTTTGTTTCCAGTATTTCAATATCTTCTCCAGTTCCTTCTGAATATTGCCTGCTTCCATCATGTGGAAAAGCATATTCCAAAACAAGGGTATGAGGCTGGAGGAGTGAATGCATAAAAAATGTTTAACATCCCTCTAATACCTACAAGTCACCCCTCCATCCCTGCTTTTCCAGAATTATGTTTATTCATTCAACATTTATTAAGCACTTACTATCCTGGCACTATTCTGGTACTGCCAGGATAGTAAACACAGCAATGAACAAAAGAGGTAAGGTGTCTGCCTTCACAGGAGTCATGTTTTAGTGAAGGGGGCAATAAAAAAAATACATAATATAAGGTCAGATAGTGAGAAGTGCTATAAATAAAAAATAAAATGCAGTAAGGAGGATGCTGAATGGTAGAATCACTCTGGAAGGAAAGGTAGGTGTTTTAGGTAGGGTGGTCCAAGAAAAGAGCCATACTAGGAAAATGTTTTAGATAATACCTGAAATAATGGAGCGAGCCATGGGAAAAATCTGACCAGAGTATTCCAGTCTAATGAAAGAGCAAGTGCAAAAACTCTGATGTCAGAACAAACTCGAGATGTCAAGAAACATCAAGAAAACCAGCACAGGCTGGCTGTGGTGGCTCACACGTGTAATCCCAGCATATTGGGAAACTGAGACAGGAGGATTGCTTGAGTCCAGGAGTTGCAAAACAGCCTTGGGAACATGGCAAAACACTGTCTCTATAAAAAATACAAAAAAAATTAGCCAGGCATGGTGTCTGTAGTCTCAGCTATTTGGGAGGCTGAAGTGGGAGGATGATGGAGGCTGCAGTGAGGTGGAGGCTGCAGTGTGCCATAATCAGGAAGTGGAGGCTGCAGTGAGCCATAGTCATGCCAATGTACTCCAGCCTGGGTGACAAAGTGAGACCCTGTCAAAAAAGAAAAAGAAGAACGAAAAAGAAAGAAAGAGAGAGAAAGAAAGAAAGAATGAATGAAAGAAAGAAAGAAAGAAAGAAAGAGGGAGGGAGGGAGAGATGTAAGGAAGGAAGGAAGGAAGAAAGGAAGGAAGAAAACCAGCATAGCTGGAGCAGCATGAGCATTTAGAGGTGAGGCTAAGGTTGGAGTGAGGAAAAGGGCCTGGCTGTAGAGCTTGTTGACCAGTGGACAAGTTCGTGTTTTATTATGAGCATGATGGGAAGACTGTAGAAAGTCTGGGTTTAGATGATTCCAGATTATGTGTATGGAGGGAAATGGGTCACTGACAGTCTAAGATACCTTTGGAAGAAGGGTAAATTGGGATAGAAACATTGGCGAGTATATTAGTCCGTTCTCATGGTACTAATAAAGACATACCCAAGACTAGGTAATTTACAAAGGAAAGAGGTTTAATTGACTCACAGTTCAGCATGGCTGGGGAGGCCTCAGGAAATTTACAATCATGGAAGAAGGGGAAGCAAACATGTCCTTCTTCACATGGCAGCAGGAAGGAGAAGAATGAGAGAAGTGCAGAGAGAAGAGGGGAGAAGACCCTCACAAAACCATCACATTTCATGAGCACTCACTCACCATCATGAGAACAGCATGACGGAACTGCCTTTATGATTCAATCACCTCCCAAGAGGTCCCTCCCTCAACACGTGGGAATTATGATTTCAATTACAATTCAAGATGAGATTTGGGTGGGGACACAGAGCCAGACCATATCAATAGGTGCTTAAAAAAATAGAAAATGTGCACGTTCTACAGCCTGGTCATTCCATTTCCAGTATATAACATACAGAAGCCACTATGCATTTGCACAAGGAAACATATATAAGGATGTTTATTGCAGTATTGTTTATAATAATGAGACTGTTAAAGATGGAAACTGAATAAAATATGGTACATTATAAAGCTGTTAAAAGCAATGAACTAAATCTATTTGTATGAACATACTATGTTTGAAAAACAATGTTGGGTGGAAAAATCAACATACAGATGAATATGTCTTGCATGACACTACTTATTTACACTGAAAGCAACAACCAACTCACAAAACAATATTACCTACTGGTTGTATATATATATATTTATTTATTTATTTATTTATATATATATATATAAATACAGACACACACACACATCCATACATACAGGTTGAGCATTCCTTATGCTTGGGACCAGAAGTGTTTAGAATTTCAGACTTTTTCAGATTTTTGAATATTTAGGATTCTGGAATATTGTACTTACCTATTAGGCATCTCTAACCCCAAAATTCAAAATCTGAAATGCTTCAACAAGCATTTCCTTTGAGTGTCATGTCAGCCCTTGAAAAGCTTTGGACTTTGCAGCATTTTGGATTTCAGATTTTTGGATTAAGAATACTCACAATTTAGGCCGGGCGCAGTGGCTCACGCCTGTAATCCCAGCACTTTGGGAGGCCGAAGCGGGTGGATTACCTGAGCTCAGGAGTTCGAGACCAGTCTGGCCAACATAGTGAAACCCTGTCTCTACAAAAATCAGCTGGACATGGTGGCAGGCGCCTGTAGTCCCAGCTGCTTGGGAGGCTGAGGCAGGAGAATCTCCTGAACCCGGGAGGCAGAGGTTGCAGTGAGCTGAGATTGTACCACTTCACTCCAACCTGTGCAACAGAGTGAGATTCCATCTCAAAAAAAAAAAAAAAAATAGAATACTCACAAGCTGTATATGAAAAGAAATTATAGAATTAATTGAAAGGATACCTACAAAACTCATGGTAGTGGTGGTGGGAACATGAATGGGACACAAGGTCAAATGTCGCTTAAGGCAGCGGTCCCTAATCTTTTTGGCACCAGAGACCAGTTACACGGAAGACAATTTTTCCATGGATTGGGGGAATGGTTTGGGGATGAAATTGTTCCACTTCAGCTCATCAGGCATTAGATTCTCATAAGGAGTGCGCAACCTAGATCCCTTGCACACAGTTCACAATAGGCTTTGCACTCCTACCAGAATCTAATGCCACCGCTGATCTGACAGGAGGCGGAGCTCAGGAGGTAATAATGCTCACTCGCCTGCCACTCACCTCCTGCTGTGTGGCCCCCGTTCCTAACAGGTATCGGTTTGTGGCCTGGGGGTTGGGGAACCCTGACTTAAGTTTTCCCCATAATACTTCCTTTCATTATAAAAATAAAAAGATACATATGACAAAAATATCCTACATTAATTCCAGGTGGTAAGAAACTGGTGCTTTTTATACTGTTCTTTCTACCTTTATATCCATGTAGGAAAAAGCTCAGCTATTCTACAACAATTAGTTGGAGCAAAAGGAAAGCCCTTTTGCTTATTTATGGCCATATAAAATTATTCTGCCTTGAGGAGATAAAATCAGATCTCTATTTTGGACTCAAGAAGAAGATTAAAATGTTTCCCTGGTTGTTTTTGTGGGTAAAATAGGCCACTTATAATTCTTCAGCAGTTTCTGCGGCCTCAGGCCTTTGCAGTCTGCTCTTCTTAACACTCTTCAGCAAAGCCACAAGGCTCCAGTCTCACAGCCAGGGTCAATATCACTTTTATTATTTTATGTGAAAAGGTCTGTTCACACAGTCCTTAAACCTACATCCAATCAGTTCATTTAAAAGAAAAAAACCTCTCCATCCCTGGGATGAGGTCCAAGGACTGAGATATCCTGTGAGCTGAGAAAGAAGAAGTTTAAACCAAAGTACAGATTTAAGCTTTTAATCCATTGATTTCATTAAGCTAGGCGGCCTGGATCGAAACCAGTCTCATTGGCTGTGAAGACTAGAAATAAATAAACAAATGTAATTACATGTTTATCACCAAGCAATTGTCAGGTATAATCTGCTGATACTTGAGGGGAAGGTAATGTAGGGGAAGCAGGGTGGGATGGATTGTTGCCATTTTCTTCCTCCTGATGGGGATTTTTGCAAAACTTAGAATTTACCTACACAGTTTCAACTGATATTGATGTCATAAATCTGACTTCATATTCCTTTTCCCTTACCTCAGCCACATTGTTGCCAGATCCTAAATTTCTTTATGCTACGATTTCAACCTCCAAGTCTGTCCTCCACTGGAAAATTCATCGCATCAATCCTACCCTCAAATCCTTTCCTCCAGGCTCTGAAAAAAAAAATGGGTGCAGTGGCTCACACCTGTAATCCCAGCACTTTGGGAAGCCAAGGCAGGAGGACTGCTTGAACCCAGGAGCTCGAGGCCAGCCTGGACAACACAGTGAGACCCCATCTCTATTTTTTTAAAAAAGTTTCCTTCTTGATATAGTTTGGCCATGTCCCCACCCAAAATCTCATCTTGAATTATAATCTCCATAATCCCCACATATTGAAGGAGAGACCAGATGAAGGTAATTGAATCATGGGGGTGGTTTCCCCCATGCTGTTCTCATGATAGTGAATTCTCATGAGATCTGATGGCCTTATAAGGGGCTCTTCCCCCTTCATTCAGCACTTCTCCTTCCTGCCGCCTTGTGAGGAAGGTGCCTTGCTTCCCCTTTGCCTTCCACCATGATTGTAAGTTTCCAGATGCCTCCCCAGCCATGCGGAACTGTAACTCAATTAAACCTCTTTCCTTTATAAATTACCCCACTTTGGGGCAGTTCTTTATACCAGTGTGAAAATGGACTAATATACCTCTCCTTTTCTGTGGCAAAATGAGAATTTTATTCTTCAGTACTCAAATATGAGAAACTTCACATTTCTTCCTTTTTCTAAGTCAGATAAACCCACTACACTGTGAGTTGCCTCACCCACTCCCTCAACATGAGAGAGGATCTCTTCCTACTTTTCACAGAATTGTATAAGAATCTTGGTGCCAGAGAACCAGCAGGAGGGCTGAACCTTAGTCCAGAGCTTTCACCTCATGGCTGGGGCTCCCTCTGGGCTGCTGCCCAGGTCCTCTGGCATTGGATACATTCTAAATGTCACACAGGTGCTGGGGTCTCTCAGTGACCCACCCTGAAGAGCACAGATGCCTCCCCAGAACCTCTTGCTGCTGCTGGCCTTGGTGTACACAGGTTTTCTACAATGATTCCCAATGTAAATGGTAACAGCAGATCATCTGACCAAGTCACTCTCTCCTGGCTGCTTATTGCATTTAGAATAAGGCACATGATGCAACCCTATTCTGGGAAATGCACTACCCCTGCCCCCTGTCCCCCACTCCCACCGCTCACCCCAAGCTCCAGCAAAGATCCACTAAATGCTCTCTATGTCTAACTGCTTCCATCTTTCACCTGCTTTAGGTTCTGCCTAGAACACCACCTTCTCTACCCTCCATCTTCCCTCTTCTCCCCCGACCCCCAGCCTCACCTGTGTTAATAGTGTTAACACAGATGGGCTCTCAAGTCAAAATGCTTGGGTTTAAACCCACCTATATCTGTGTGTGACCTTGAGCAAGACACTTGATATGGTTTGGCTCTGTCACCACCCAAATCTCATCTTGAATTGTAGCTCCCATAATTCCCACATGTTGTGGGAGAAACCTGATGGGAGATAATTGAATTACTGGGGCAGGTCATTCCCATGCTGTTCTCATGATAGTGAATAAGTCTCACGAGATCTGATGGTTTTATACAAAGGAGTTCCCCTGCACATGCTCCCTCTCTTACCTGACACCCTGCAAGACATGACTTTGCTCCTCCTTTGCCTTCCACCATGATTGTGAGGCCTCCCCAGCCATGTGGAACTGTAACTCAATTAAAACTCTTTCTTCATAAATTACCCCGTCTCAGGTATGTCTTTATTAGCGGTGTGAGAACAGACTAATATAACACTTAACCTCTGTCTTAGCACCCTTGTCTGTAAAATGGACAAAACATATTAATAAAACATTAATTGAATTAATAGATTACAAATAAATTACGACAATATAGCACCTATCCATAGGGGTGGTGATAAGAATTAAATTAGCTACTACTAATAAGTGTTTGGAGTAATGGCTGGCCTGTGGGAAAACCACACTAAGCAAGTATTGTTACTGTCACTGCCACCCAGCTGAGCACAAGCTTTAGCTCCTCTGAGGAGTCTCCCCTCACTCCTCCAAACTGCCTCCAGCATCTCAGGGCACTCCCTGGTTTCAACGTACTCTGGTGACTTTCTTAACATAAGACAGTGGGTTTCCCCGGTTCAGTGACTTCTCTGTCACTAGCCCTATGCCCATAGCCGCTCATATTACCGTAAATACAGCACAGATATTGGAGTTCAACCAAACCATGGTTTTCAACCCCACATTAGAATCATCTGGGGAGCTTTTAATACACTGCCTGGGCCCCAAGCCAGACCAATTACATCAGGATCTCGGAGCATGGGGCTCAGACTTCAGTATTTTCTTAAAATACTGAAGTTATATATACCAGGTGATACTTATATTCAGCCAGTGTTAAGAACCACTGACCTGAACCCACATTGAAATCTCAGTTCTTTCACTTCCCAGCTCTGTGACCTTGGGCAAGTTATCAAGACTCTCTGAGTCTATTTCCACATCTGTAAAATGTGCATTAAAATATCTGACTGCACTAGTCACATGCAGAGTGTGTCACCATGGCCTGCACAGATCCGAGAAAGACAGAGGGAGGTCGAGGTTCCCTGTCTTCCACTCTGCCAGGCCATCACAAACATCTTGAGTCCCTCCACCAAGGGACACACTGTTGGGCAGTCCTCTCCTACAGACAGAGCTATTTTCTCCATAGGACACCCATAGCCATGCCCTTCCATGGCATCTGCAGATGCAGGGGTGGGAACGCCTTCCCACTCTTCATCCCCACGGTCCTTTACTCTGCCTTGTGGGTTTGCCTTCACTCTGCCCACCCTTGTATAAATAATTCCTTTATTAAAATCTCCCACGCTCTCATCTGAGTGCGCCATTTGTAATCCTGCTGTGATTACAATAGCAGACCAATTGCACTAGAAAGAGAAGAAAAAAGAGAGAACTGAAATCTACAGGTAAATTTTTAGAAAAGTTAAAAAAAAAAAAACACCTCAATCCTACCTTTACTGGCAGAATAACCCCATGGAACCCTGGAAAGCTTGAAAAGACTTCTGGGTATCTGTGTTTTGTTTGAGAAAAAACACAGCAAACTAAACCATATTCCAAGTTTTTCTGAGACTGTGTCTCATACCACTATTTTTCTAGTTGATGATATTCCTTCCGTCAAAGCCTTCTTGTTCTTTTCAAATTGGCAGAAATCATTCACAGAATTGCTGTGAAGATGAAATAAGGCCAGGCATGGTGGCTCATGCCTGTAATTCCAGAACACTGGGAGGCTGAGGCAGGTAGATCACTTGAGTCTAAGGGTTTGAGACCAGCCTGGGCAACATAGTGAAACCCCGTCTCTACAAAAAATACAAAAATTAGCCAGGCATAGTGGCACACAGCTGTAATCCTAGCTGCTGAGGAGGCTGAGGTGGGAGGATCACTTGAACCCAGGAGGCAGAGGTGGCAGTGAGCCAAGAATGTGCCACTGCTCTCCAGCCTGACAGAGCCAGACCCTGTCTCAGGAAAAAAAGAAAAAACATTAAATGACATGCTCTATGGAAAAAACCTATCCCATCAAAATGATATAGTGGAACAGGCTCGGGCTTTGGTGTCAATTTTTTTTTTTTTCTTGAGACAGAGTCTTGCTGTGTCACCAAGGCTGGAGTACAATGGCATGATTTTGGCTCACTGTAACCTCTGACTGCGGGTTCAAGTGATTCCCATGCCTCAGCCTCCCGAGTAGCTGGGATTACAGGCATGCACCGCCACGCTCAGCTAATTTTTATATTTTTAGTAGAGACAGAGTTTCACCATGTTGGCCAGGCTGGTCTCAAACTCCTGAGCTCAGGTGATCCACCTGCCTCAGCCTCCCAAAGTGCTGGGATTACAGGCATGAGCCACCGCGCCCAGCCTGGTGTCAAATTTACGTGCCAAAGTAGACCTAAATTTGCACCCCACTCTTCATTCTGTAACTATAATAAAACAAATTGTTTATTGCGTCTGAAAATTAGTAGTAATTCTCACCGGGTTGTTGTAAGATGTTATATAATGATTATTATGAGTTATTATTTTGAGCACTTTCATGTATCAGACAATTTAATAAGGACTTTATATGCACTATTTCATTTAATTCTCACAAAAACTCTCCAAAGTAGGTGCTCTTTTTAATCCTTATTTTACATATAAGGAAACTGATGATCGGAAGTTTAAGTAATTTGCCCAAGGTTGAACAGCTAGTAAATAACAGCATAGGAGATGATGTATGATGTAAGGTGCCCAGAGTGTATATTAGGTACATGATAATGATATCCTGATAGTTTGATAGTGATTAATTTTCTTGTAAAACAAAATACAAGGAGAGTTCAGAATCCCATCATAATCTAGTAAAGTAGTTCTGAGCTAGGTAAGTGCCCCGATTGTCCAGAATTCAAGGTTTCTCTGTCTAGGACTTTTAATGAGCATAATGTCCTGTATTTTCACTCCTAGGAATTCTCCCAAGAAATATATATCCACAAAAAGACATATACAAGAACATTCAGGCCAGGTGCAGGGGCTCACGCCTGAAATCAACACTTGGGAGGCCAAGGTGGGCGGATCACTTGAGGTCAAGAATTTGAGAACAGCCTGGCCAACATGGTGAAACCCCATCTCTACTGAAAAAATGAAAAGTAGCCAGGTGTGGTGGCACGTGCCTGTAGTCCCAGCTACTTGAGCGGCTGAGGCAGGAGAATCACTTGAACCTGGGGGGTGGAGGTTGCAGTGAGCCAAGATCGTGCCACTGCACTCCAGCCTGGGCAACAGAATGAGACGATCTCAAAAAAAAAAAAAAAAAAAAAAAAGACTGGAAGATAAGGTTAACCCGAATTCTGGAGAACCTTTAATAGCAGACTGAAGAATTCGAGCTTAATATAACTATCAGGAAGCAAGGCAGTAACCTAGTGGAAATTACGGTTGTATACAGCATTGAGAGAAAGGCATGGATTTGAAATCTCTGGTTCTAGGCCTGGTTAATCTCACTGCAAACTGTATGAACTTTGACAAGTCTCTGGGCACCATTTCCTTATCAAAAAAGTGAAAAGAATAATGAATAATCTCAAATATATTGTTAATGAGAATTGTAAAACGGCAATGATATTTATCATTTATCTGTATTTATCAAGAACTTGTTAAATACCTGCAATAAAATGTAATAATGTAATAATTAAAAATAAGTGAGACTAAGAACATGAGTCCATTCAATAAGCTGCTGTAGAAGTCTTCCTACCAATGTTATTCTCTAAAGGTCATTCCTGGCTGTGCAACTATACTTTGACTAAACTGAAACCCAGGAACCTAAGTTTTCTACACCCTTAAAAGATGCATTTACTCATGTTTTCGTGCATTCAATAAAGACAGTACAGGGGAGTATGAAAGGTTTTCTATCATGACTTAACTCTGCTTCTTGCTTTCCCGCTGTGCCTAGATTTAGTTATCAAGACAATTTGACCCTCACTCTTGTAGCAGAAATGGTACAAAAGGCGGCAAGAGGAGAAAGATGCAGAGCAGCCCTTTTCCCTTGCCTTTTCCTAGATGATTTAGAATTTCCTGATTAGGCACTGGAGCCTGAAGGCAATCACATCTGTTCTTTGCTATTTAATACTTGTCAGCATCTCTTTAGGAAAGAAAATCTGAATGGCAAGTTTGTGCAGTTTTTTTCAGGTCACTATGCCCTTCCAAAGTTGAGATGATAATTAAACAAAATCTAGGTATGTCTTTCATTTTATTTATTTATTTATTTATTTAGTCAGGGTCTTACTCTGTTACCCAGGCTGGAGTGTATTGGTGCAATCACGGCTCACTGAAGCCTCAACCTCTCGGCTCAAGTGATCCTCCCAGCTCAGCCTTCCACTGGGACCACAGGTGCACACCTCCACACCCAGCTGGTTTTTGTATTTTTGGTAGAGACAGGATTTTGCCATGTTGTACAGGCTTGCCTCGAACTCCTGAGTTCAGGCGATCTACTCACCTCGACCTCCCAAAGGGCTGGGATTACAAGCGTGAGCCACTGCACCCAGTCCTACGTACTTCTTGATGCTTGAAAAGTTCATTGATATTCAATACTTACTTTTTTTTATAATATAATGGATTGAAGAAAAATAGCCAAAGTCATTGAATAACAATTAAGAAAGTAAGAGTTACAAATGACCAATATATGTACCAGAAAATTCCAACTCTTTCCTAATTGAAAAGATCTAAATTAAGGCCAGGCGCAGTGGCTCACGCCTGTAATCCCAACACTTTGGGAGGCCGAGGCGGGTGGATCACTTGAGGTTAGCCTGGCCAACATGGTGAAAACCCATCTCTACTAAAAATACAAAAATTAGCCGGGCATGGTGGCGCATGCCTGTAATCCCAGCTACTCGGGAAGTCTCACCTGATAACAATATTCCATGGGTGTAGCCTTTTACCTTTTTTTTTGAGACAGAGTCTCACTCTGTCACGCAGGCTGGAGTACAGTAGTGCAAAAATCTTGGCTCACTGCAACCTCTGCCTCTGGGTTCAATCAATTCTCCTGCCTCAGCCTCCCACGTAGCTAGGATTAGAGGCATCCATCACGCCTCGCTGATTTTTGTATTTTAGTAGAGATTGGGTTTTGTTGTGTTGGCCGGGCTGGTCTCGAATTCCTGACCTCAAGTGATCTGCCTGTGTTGGCCTCCCAAAGTGTTGGGATTACAGGCGTGAGCCACTGCACCCAGCCAAGGGTGTAGCCTTTTAATAATTGATATTAAGTTAATGCCATTGCTCATCTTTGTATTCCCAACTTCCCCCACCCCCCACCCAACTTTGTTTCAGATGTTTCTTGTATGCAACAGATAGTTGGGTCTTACATAGCAATTCAATCATTCTTTTTATTGTTATCAGGTGAGATTAACCCACCTCTATAAACATGGGAGGTACGTTTGGTCTTAGTTCCGTCATCCTATTTTGTTACATTTTTAATATTTTCATTGCCTAAAAAATACTTTCTATAGGCTGTGATTTCTTTATAGTTTTGGTGTATGTGCTGTTTCGCTTTGTTTTGTCTTGTTTTTGATACAGGGTCTGCTCTGTTACCCAGGCTGGAGCGCACTGGAGTGATCATAGCTCACTGCAGCCTCAAACTCCTGGGCTCAAGGGATCCTCCCACCTCAGCCTCCCAAGTAGCTAGGGCTATAGGTGGGCACCACCACACCTGGCTAGTTTTTTATATTTGTAGAGATAGGGTCTCATTATGTTGCCCAGACTGGTCTTGAACTCCTGGCCTCAAGTGATCCTCCTGCCTCGGCCTGCCAAAGCGCTAGTGTTACAAGCATGAACTACCACACTTGGCCTGGTGTGTTTTTTATGATAATTGGAAAATCTGGTGGCTTTGTTCTAATGTTTACATTTACAATTTCACCTTTTTTTTGTTATTTTGTGTTTTTCTATTTTCTGGTAGCTAATACATGAACATGGTACAAATTTTAAAAGGTATAAGAATATACATTGAAAAATGTGTCTTGGCTGGGCACGGAGGCTCACACCTGTAATTCCAGCACTTTGGAAGGCTAAGGCAGGAGGATCACTTAAGCTCAGGAGTTCGAGACCAGCCTGGACAGCATAAGGAGACCTCATCTCTACAAAAAATAAACAAAAAATTAGCCAAGAGTGGTGGCATGAGCCTTGTAGTCCCGGCTACTCGGGAGGCTGAGGTGGGAGGATTGCCTGAGCCCTGGAGGTCGAGGCTGCAGTGAACTGAGGTTGCACCACTGCACTCCAGCCTGGATGACAGAGCAAGACTTTATCTCAAAGCAAAAGACAAATATGTTTCTCCTGTCTTCCCAGGTATCCAGTTCTCCATCTTAGAGGCATTTATTGTTACAAAGTTTCTGATAGTTATAATTGTTTAATACTTAATCATCTATTTTTAGACAGCATGAATTACTCCCATTATGAACAATAATGTTAGTGTATTTCTTTTGTTTCTACATCCCCATATTATCTGATTTTTGTTTATTGTCTTTTTTAGTATTTACTTTTATCCTTAAATATATTTGCCATCTATTATTTTTATACCAGATTTCAATGATTTCTTATATCTCAATCTCTAACTATTAAAGAAATCATAGTACTGGCCTGGCGCGGTGGCTCACGCCTGTAATCCCAGCACTTTGGGAGGCTGAGGCGGGTGGATCACGAGATCAGGAGATCGAGACCACGGTGAAACCCCGTCTCTACTAAAAAATACAAAAAAATTAGCTGGGCGTGGTGGCGGGCACCTGTAGTCCCAGCTACTGGGGAGGCTGAGGCCAGGAGAATGGCATGAACCCGGGAGGCGGAGCTTGCAGTGAGCCAAGATCGCGCCACTCCACTCCAGCCTGGGAGACAGAGTGAGACTCTGTCTCAAAAAAAAAAATCATAGTACTTAGGTCACCTCATACCTTCTCACTATCTCATCCTCCAAAATTTTAATAGCTACATCACTTCTACATCATCAGAATTTATAGATTTAACCTTTCATCCTCAACCATATCATGAGATCTGTTTTGGTCTTAATCCTGCAAGTAGAATTGATGTTATACTGCAATTTTTTCATTGAGCTTTTATTTGGCTGAAGTTTGTCTATAGTATTTTCTTTAAGAAGGGCTCATAGAAGCTATAGTCCTTAGGCCAGGTGTGGTGGCTCACGCCTGTAATCCCAGCACTTTGGGAGGCCAAGGCAGGCGGATCACGAGGTCAGGAGTTCGAGACCAGCCTGGCCAACAGAGTGAAACCCCATCTCTACAAAAATGCAAAAATTAGCCAGGCATGGTAGCACACTTCTGTAGTCCTAGTTACTCGGGAGGCTGAAGCAGAAGAATCGCTTGAACATGGGAGGCGGAGGTTGTGGTGAGCCAAGATCATGCCACTGCACTCCAGCCTGGGCAACAGAGCAAGACTCTGTCTCAAAAAAAAAAAAAGCTATAGTAATTGCATCCTGGGTGACTAAAAAATATTTGTATGGAGGCCGAGTGCAGTGGCTCACGCCTGTAATCCCAGCACTTTGGGAGGCTGAGGCGGGTGGATAGCTTGAGACCAGGAGTTAAAGACGAGCCTGGACAACAAGGTGAAACCCCTTCTCTACCAAAAATACAAAAATTAGCTGGGCGTGGTGGCACACACCTAAAATCCCAGCTACTAGCAAGGCTAAGGCACAAGAATCACTGGAACCTGGGAGGCAGAGGTTGCAGTGAGCTGAGATCACACCACTGCAATCCAGCCTGGGTGACAGAGTGAGACTCTGTATTAAAATATATATATATATATTGCCTTTATACTGGAAAATTTTAGCTAGGTTTTTAAAAAATGTTTGTCACCCTCTCCTTCTCTAAAGCTTTGTAAGCAAAGCTCCATTGTTTTCTAACATTGAATGTTTCCTGAAGAGTCAGAGGCCAACCTTACGTTTCCCCCTTAGAGGTGGCTCAAGCATTTCCTCCCCACCAAAATGCCAAGGTCTCTGGCTTCATCTTGGTAGACTCATAACTTTACCAGATGTTACTGCTGTTGATTAGTCTGTATCAATTTTTTCAATAAGATGGATCCCTTCAAACTGCAGATCCATGTCTTCTATTTCTATGAAATAAATATCTGGAATTTTTTTTCTAATTCTGAGACAACTGCACATTCAAATTTCCTTTTACTCCTGGAAATGTTTATTAAACAGTTAAAATATCTTATTTTCTTTTTTTTTTTTTTTTTTGAGACAGACTCTGTTGCCCAGGCTGGAGTGCAGTGGTGTGATCTCAGCTCACTGCAACTTCCACCTCCCAGGTTCAAACAACTCTACTGCCTCAGCCACAGGAGTATCTGGGACTACAGGTGTGTGTCACCACACTTGGTTAATTTTTTTTTGTTTTTTTTAACTAGAGACAGGGCTTCACCATGTTGATCAGCCTGGTCTCCAACTCCTGGCCTCAAGCGATCTGCCCACCTCAGCCTCCCAAAGTGCTGGGATTACACCGTGCCCTGCCTTAACATTTAAATATCTTCCAATTTTTTTCTGTTCCATTATTTTCTCTTTGTCATGTACACCTCTTATGCATATATTAAACATCTTTTGTCTTTCATAGATCAGTTTCTCTCTAATCCTTCTTAAGTGTGCTCATTTACATTACATTTTGTTTGCTTTTCTCAATATGCCATCCATATGCTCCTTTGAGCTACTTTTAATGAGGCTTTTATTTCTGTAATAGTCAATATGTATTTTCTTCTTCTTCCCTTTAGTCTGTTAGTTTATGTTTCATCTCCTTATGTTGCCCTGCTATATTTTTCCTGAATTTCCTATATTTCTTCTTTAAGCTCTTGTTTTATAGACACAATTGAATCAAACATTAATTCTTTTTCCTTTTTAGGTTTTGAATGGTGCTGTTTGGTCACAACATCCACTTGCTTTGAGGTAACGTTTTTCTGATGAGCATTTTTTTAGCCAGCATTAGTGTTCCTCCTTTCCCCATTTTTTTTTTCTTACAGTATTGTTGTATGGTTCTCATTACTATTTGCTACAATTTGTTGCAGGTTACAAGTTACAAATGGTCTAATTTTCCTTAGTAGTCATTGTTGAATTGTTCAGTTCTTTCTATATCAAATAATTGCAGAAATATCATGGGAGAGGGGCCAGGGGATAATTTCCAGAGTATCAGAATCACAATTAGGTTCCCTGAGTGAGGTTTTGGGTTCCAGGAGGGTTTTTCAGTGTCAACTTTTCCCCCAGGAAATCCAGACTGATAACTTTGGCACTGCATGTGATAGTTTCCTCTGCTCTACTGGCAAAGTGCTTCTAGCAAATATGGTGGGTCTGTGTGTTTCCCTGTGTTCCAAATTAGGTATTGTTGGCCTTGCTCTGCTGACATTCTGAGAGATCTGCACTCCAGGCACCTTCTGTGGACATCAAGCTCACGTTTTACCGTCGCCACTGAATTTGGCCACCCTCCCCCCTCTACTGTGCTTCTGCGCTACAACTGTCCCCTCGTTTATTCAAACATGGAGTTTTCTTTCCTATTTATTTTTGTTTGCTGGCATTTTTAGAGATGAGACTGCAGAAGAACTTTCTTACTATGCCATTTTAAACACAGCTATCTCATGATTTTTGTAAAATCCAGATATAATTGTTGTCTTTTTTTATTCTTGCGTAAAGTGTGAAATCTTGCATACCTTCATGGTATTTTGTAATCAGCCCCAGCCTATTTCATCTTCATCTTCTGCTGCTTCCTCCCACAACTTTTGCTTTGGCTACAAGATGATATCATACAAAATCCTCAGTGGCAAATGTGTTTTCTCCTGAAATTCATAACATAAAATAGCCATTAAAGGGTGTTAGTCATACTTGATAACTATTACTGAAATAAAAACAGGACTCAGGCATAAGAGAGAAAAGAGTTTATCAAATGGCAATCAGATCAATGGGGATTGTTTCAACAGAGAAAATATTTGACAAAATAAAAGTGAATTCCTTCCTGAAGACACTGGGATATATAAATCAGAAATCCCAGATTTTGCATAAAAAAAACATGAATTTTGTCCTTTCTCAAATTCCTTTATTAATCTTGGGATTCCCTTTAAAAAAAAAGAAATGTTTTTATTGAAGTATAAAATACATACAAATAACTTCATAAATCATAAGTTTACAGTTCAATGAGTTCTTACAAAATGAACACACATTTGTAATCTCCAATATCAAGAAATAGAAAACTACCAGCCCCCAAGAAGCTTACATTGGCCACCTCCTAGTCATTAGTCCTTCACTGCAAAGATATCCATTGTCCTGATTGTTCACCATACAATATGCTTTCTTCTGTGTTTGGCTTTCTTTAACTTAACATTATGTTTGTGAGGTTTATCTGTGCATCTTCTTTCTGTATAGCATTGTACTGTATAAATATATCACAACTGATTTATCCATTCTACTGTTGGTGGAAATTTGGGGTGCTACGTGTTTGGGATTATTATAAATTGCTGCTGTGTGCCTTATTTCACATGTGTTTTGGTGAGTACGTATACAAATTTCTATTGTGTATACCTAAGAGCAGAACTATTAAACAACAAGGTCTATATGGCCAGCTTTTAGTGATACTACCTCAGTTTTCCAAAGTTCTTGGGAGACCCTTCTGGAAGGATTTTTATGCCTGTGGTGAATTTGCATCAAAAGCATTTATATTGGTTACTTTTGGGGCCATAACAATCCACACTGAAACTTAGTGGCTCACATCAACTCTTTTGTTGTTCATGATTCTGTAGGTCAGCAATCTGGGTGGCATCCTAGTCCATTTTCTGTTGCTATAACTAAATGCCTGAGACTGGGTACTTCATAAAGAAAAGAAATCCATTTCTTAATGTGGTACATATACACCATGGAATACTATGCAGCCATAAAAAATGATGAGTTAATGTCCTTTGTAGGGACATGGATGAAGCTGGAAACCGTCATTATCAGCAAACTGTCTCAAGGACAAAAAAACAAACACTGCATGTTCTCACTCATAGGTGGGAATTGAACAATGAGAACACATGGACACAGGAAGGGGAACATCATACACCGGGGCCTGTTGGGGGGTGGGGGGAGGGGTGGGGGGAGAGGGTGGGATAGCATTAGGAGAGATACCTAATGTTAAATGACGACTTAATGGGTGCAGCACACCAACATGGCACATGTATATATATGTAACAAACCTGCACGTTGTGCACATGTACCCTAAAACTTAAAGTATAATTTAAAAAAAAAAGAAATCCATTTCTTACTGTTCTGGAGGCTGGGAAGCCTCAGGTCAAGGGCTGCATCTGGTAAAGGCCTTCT
Organism: Homo sapiens; assembly: GCF_000001405.40. Classification (NCBI taxonomy): domain Eukaryota; kingdom Metazoa; phylum Chordata; class Mammalia; order Primates; family Hominidae; genus Homo; species Homo sapiens. Next base: position 97,931,880 of record NC_000013.11, read on the forward strand.
TGCTGGTGAGGACTCTGCAGAGTCCCAAGGCGGATCAGGGCGTCCCACAGCAAGGGGCTGAGCAAGCTAGCTCAGGACTCTCTTTCTCCTCTTATAAAGCCACTGATTCCCCATCCTCATGACTTCATCTAATCCTAATTACTTCCCAAAGGTCCCTCTTCTCAAATGCCACAGTCAGATTCCCCACCCTCTTAATATGGTTACAGTGGGGACTGTGTCAACATGAGTTTCAGCAGGGACTAATATTCAAACCATAGCAGGTGGCTATGCCAGTCAGGTCTTCTGCTGAGGTCACTAACGTAGCTGCCGTTATCTGGCAGCTCCACAGGGTCAGATGGGTTAAAATGACCTCATTATGTCTGGTGGTTGGTTCTGGCTCTTGACTGAGCGGCATGTCTCCCGCAGGTCAGCTTGAGCTTTTCACATTAGAGTGGCATTCAAAGAGGAAGAGAGCAGACACTAAGATCTCCTGAGGCCTCATCCTCGTCCAGGAAGCCACCCAGCATCACTGCAGCTGCATTCCACAAGTCAAAGAAGGGCACAGGGCCAGTCCACATGCAGGGAATGGGGAATAAGCTCCACTTCTTTTTTCTTTTTTTTTTTAACTTTTATTTTAAGTTCAGGGGTACAAGTGCAGGTTTGTTTCATAGGTAAACTTGTGTCATGCGGGTTTGTTCTACAGATTATTTCATTACCCAGGTATTAAGCCTAATACCCATTAGTTATTTTTCCTGATCCTCTCCCTCCTCCCACCCTCCACCCTCCAAAAGGCCCCAGTCTGTGTTGTTCCCCTCTATGTGCCCGTGTGTTCTCATCATTTAGCTCCCAAAACTCCACTTCTTGATGAGAAAGTCAGCAAAAAAAAAGTCAGCCATTTTTTTTCCAATCTCCCATCATCTTTCGTCTGACCACAATTATTTATTTTCCTCTCACATGCAAATTATGCTTGCCCCACCCTAGGAACACCAAGTGCCTCATAAGTGCCTCATCCAATTATGGCATCGTGCTCAAGGCTATGGTCTAATCATCTGCATTGTGTCCAAGTGAGGCTCCTGGAGGACTTATCCTCAGGTGTAGCACCCCTCAGTCTGGACACCTACAAAATAAAAAGGCAAGTTTTCCACCCCGCACATACCCAAAATATCATAGTAAAGCGGGATAACCACAATAAATAATCCTATTCAAAAGGGAAGGATGGAGGGACATAGAAGTAATTTTTCCATGGCAATTCTCAAACACAGCTGGACATCTGTTGCCAGGTCCCCCTAAACTGGAAGCCAGGAAAGTTCTTTTTTTGTTTTTTGTTTAGTTTTTGTTTTTGTTTTTGAGATGGAGTCTCACTCTTGTCGCCCAGGCTGTAGTGCAATGGCGCGATCTTGGCTCACTACAACTTCCGCCTCCCAGGTTCAAGTGATCCTTGTGCCTCAGCCTCCTGAGTAGCTGGGATTACAGGTGTGTGCCACCACACCTGGCTAATTTTTGAATTTTTAGTAGAGACAGGGTTTCACCATGTTGGTAAGGCTGGTCTTGAACTCCTGACCTCAAGTGATCTGCCTGCCTCAGCCTCCCAAAGTGCTGGGATTACTGGCATGGGCCACTGTGCCTGGCCCTGGAAAAGTTCTTGATTAGGGTTCATTGCTGTTCCTTTGGCATGGAATCACCCAGCTCATATCTCGGAGTGGTTCTTGGCTCTACACTACACTAGGGGCCCTTAGCTCAGCCCTCTGAGACAACTTTTCATTTCTATAAGAAATGGCCCATTTTGCCACTGAGTAGCTTTCTCAGTCTGCCTCCTACCTAGAGAATGTCGGGAGCCCACAGGTCATTTCCTTTTTTTTTTTTTTTTTTTTTTCATTTTGAACAGTCTGTTCCTTTTAGTGCAAGCTGGCAGTGCTTTTACCAGGAAAATTCTCTTAAAATTTTTGTGGATTTCTTGTGACTTTGCTACAGATCTTCATGTGGCAAAAGTCATATTGATAATTTTTGTTTAGACACTTCTTCTTCTACTTTGGGTCATAAGTCAGGCTGAGTGCAACAATGCTCCTCTGTCTACTGAGAGTGTTCAGGAGACTCTGCCTTGACTCTTTTGGCAAACTTAAATATGATGTCACAGCTGTACAATTAATTTGGGACTTGGGCCCAGGTCTCATTTCATTTTGAGACTCTTCTATGAGCTGTGGAGACCAGGGATGATCAAACAGTTTTATCTTCCAACCCAGCAAATCTTGGATCCTTTCTTTTTTTATTAATATGTCATAGTTGTACACATTTGGTGGGGGTGCATGTGATATTTTGATATATGTATACAATGTGTAATGATTTGGATCCTTTCTGTTTTCTCTGAATTTTACTTGCAAATGAAACAGCTACTTCTTGACTTCATCTCTCTCTTCCTCTACCTTACCATGTATGTATTTTAGACCAACAAGCTGACACTTTCAACATTCTGCCTGGGGACTTCCTTAATGAAATTCAAAGGTTTATTAGTAGCATTTGCTGTCTTCCAAGTTATCGTAGACAACAGTCTTGCAGATTGCTCTGTCATTTACCCCGATTGCTGGAGCCATCTCTTCATTGCTTTTCCAATCTCCGCTAATGCTTGATTTGCCACTTACACACAGCCTTGATGAAAAGTTTTATCACCACTGTCTGTTCTTTTTCTCCATGTCATTTCTCAGGATTGTTTATTCAGCTAGTAACCTTGAGAGATGAGATGGTGTCTCCCCCAGGACAAATAGTAGGCTGCTAACTGCTTGCTCTGAAAGTGTTGGGGTCCCAAAGCTCAGTGCTTCTCAGTGGCATCTCAGACCCACTGCATGGGTGGCATTCATCTAGGTCACATTGCATCGTCCCCATAGGACTTGGAGGCAGAGAAAACCAAAGCAAATATGCTGACGCCCATGCTGCTTGCTCTGCCATGAATAATAAAGGCCTTTATCTCTGACACAGGAATCTTTGTCTAGCGCCAGCATCCGTGAAACAGGCACAGGCTCACTTATCAGCTTGTAAGTAGGCAAAAAACAAATCCCAGATCCAACAGTCTCCATCTCCAGAAGGTATTCTCAGATTAATTTCCAACAAACCTCGAGTTAACACTACCAAAATTTGGACATGACCTGAAAAAAACTCACTTCCCTGAGATAGAATTGGAGGAAAAATTATGTTCATAGCATTTTTAAAAATTCAGAACCATGTCAGAATTCAGAAATGGAAGTAAATCCTATTAACATCTCTGTGCTCATGTTTCTATGTGACCTCAGAGCTAGCCTAGCCTAAGATCAAATGAAATATTATAGCATTGTCAAAAACCACGTATTCTCTTCAGGAAGTTTTATCTTTAGGAACATTTATCCGCCTAGCAAGAAAAAAAATTCCAATAACTTGCCAAATGCAATGCTTTATGTAGTTTCTGAACAAACATTGTAATCTTTAACTCTATGACTCCCAAATAATGTCTGTGTTACAAAATAACAAGTCAGAAAAAAAAAAAGATTAGAGACATAAGGAGGAAAAAAAGATAAGTAGCATTCATATCTCACCTACCACATGCCAAGGAACTGTAGAAACTTTGTTGATATTTATGTAAAACCCTATGATAATTGCTACTGCAACTTAAAATAAAAGTTACATTAAAAAAATAACAATTACATCAAGGATCCGTGGCTCATGCCTGTAATCCCAGCACTTTGAGAGGCCAAGGCAGGCGGATCAGTTGAGGCCAGGAGTTCTAGACCAGCCTGGCCAACATGGCAAAACCACGACTCTACTAAAAATACAAAAATTAGCCAGGTCTGGCAGCACATGCCTGTAATCCCAACTGCTCAGGAGGCTGAGGCATGAGAATTGCTTGAATCCAGCAGGCAGAGGTTGCAGTGAGCTGAGATTGTGCCACTGCATTCCAGCCTGGGCAACAGAGTGAGACCCTGTCTAAAAGATAAAAATAAATAAATAAATAATAACAATTGCTACTGCTTTAATTTCACGATGAATAGTACAGCCTGGTGCCTAGGAACAGACTCTATGACAGACAACCTGGGTTCACAGCTCAGCTCACTGCTAATTAGCCCTAAATGTGGGGGGCAAGTTACTCAGCTTCTCCAAGCCTTTGTTTCCTCATATGCAAAATGGGGATACTATTCATTCCTACTTCCTAGGCTTACTGTGTTATTTGAGGTAAAAGGGTTAACTCCTGTAAAATGCTTGTAAACGTGCTGTTTAATTTCAATGAATAGTATCTAGGTCAAAAACACTGAATGAGGAGGAGAGAAAAAGAAAAAATGTTACCGTGTACAGGAACAGAAATGGCTGGACTACACGCTCAATGATCCAAGAGTCTGGGAAGAAGGAATGCAGTACTTCAATGCCTGGATTTCTGGATGACTGCAAGTTGACTCCAGAAACTTTTTTTGCATTAGCATCTTTCTAAAATACAGAAATCTAATGTCCTTAATCTCAGACATCTAGCCTCAAAAACTATGAGACAATGCATTTCTGTTGTTCAAGCCATACAGTTTGTGGGTCTTTGTGACAGCAGCCCTAGGAAACTAACACAAAACACACTATGTAAATTTGCACTATCTTTTCTGACTTCTTTTCTTTTCTTTTTTTTTTTTTTTTTTTTTTTGAGATGGAGTCTCGCTCTGTCACTCAGGCTAGAGTGCAGTGGTACGGTTTTGGCTCACTGCAACCTCCGCCTCCCAGGTTCAAGCGATTCTCCTGCCTCAGCCTCCCAAGTAGCTGCGATTACAGGCACTTGCCACCACGTCCACCTAATTTTTGTATTTTTAGTAGAGACGGGGTTTCACCATGTTGGCCAGGCTGGTCTCGAACCCCTGACCTCAGGTGATCCGCCCACCTCAGCCTCCCAAAGTGCTGGGATTGTAGGCGTGACCCACCGCGCCCAGCAGACTTCTTTTCTAAACGAAGACACAGTACAGAAGTGCTTATAATAACAAGTAACAATTCCCTACCCCATCCCTAGTCCCTCTCAGTTACAATCTAAAGAGCCTTTTAAATTGCTGTTAAATTTCCTTCTTCTTTAAAGCCTTTCCAACTACCTGGAAATGCAGTGTGGGTTTCTCATTTCTCGTCCATGTACTCTGATATGAATGTTCCACTTTGCAGCACACGAACCGCCTATGCAATGCATATGCATAATACATTTTATTTTTTTTAGTGTTTGAACAACTCCACATCAGACTGCTTTGGAAGGACGTTGGCTTTATGAAAGTCTGTTTTACATGGAGGTGCTGTGGGCAGCTGAAAATAGCCCAGGCTTCACGGGGGGTCCACTGCCTGCCTACTCTACCTCTAGCCAGGTGACTTCAGTGCCCCACACATGGTTGCCTTTTTTTTTTTTAATGGATGTAGGGAGATAATATCTCAAAATATGAATCTCAGTGCTCTTCTTTTCTTTTTTTTTTTTTTTTGAGACAGAGTCTCGCTCTGTCGCCCAGGCTGGAGTGCAGTGGCATGATCTCAGCTCACTGCAACCTTCGCCTCCCTGATTCAAGCGATTCTCCTGCCTCAGCCTCCCAAGTAGCTGGGATTACAGGCACCCGCCACCATGCCTGGCTAACTTTTGTATTTTTAGTAGAGACGAGGTTTCACTATGTTGGCCACACTGGTCTTGAACTCCTGACCTCAAGTGATCCACCTGCCTTGACCTCTCAAAGTGCTGGGATTACAGGCGTGAGCCACCGCACCCGGCCACTTCTTTTCTTATTTTACTGTGAAATACAAAACATTCACAGTTTAACCACTACCTAAGTTAGAAGATAGAACACTGCCCCTCCTCCAGTAATGTTCCACATCACTCGCCATTAAGGAAGTACAAATTAAGGCCATGATGATCTAACACTACACATGTATCAGAACAGGGGAAAAAAGTGTAATAGCAGCAATAGCAAATGCTGGCAAGGATGCAGAGAAATTGCACTTCTCACACATTGCTGGTGGAAATGTAAAATGGTGCAGTCACTTTGGAAAATGGTGTGTTGGTGTCTTTTAAAACTCAGCATACACTTACCATAAAATCCAGCAATTGCACTCCTGGGAATTATTTAAGAAGTAAAAATGTGTATACACACAGAAACCTATGCACAAGTACTCATAGTAGCTTTATTTGTAACAGGCAAAAACTGGAGGCAACCGAAATGTCCATCAAAAGGTGCATCCATACAGTGAAATGCAACTCAGCAACACAAAGGAACAAACTATTGATAAGAACATGTGTTGATCTCAAGTGGATTCTCTGATTGTACAAAGCCAATCTCAGAAGGTCATGCATTACACAATTCCATTTATATAACATTTCCAATGACAAAATTACAGAAGAGGAAAATAGTCTAGTGGTTGTTGCCAGGGTCTAGGGATGGCAGGGAGGGGCTGGAGGGAGGAAACTATGAAGGAGACGCACACGAGGAGCTTTGTGTATGTGTAATCAAATGACACAGAACTAGATCCATACATTGGACCAATGTCAATTTGTACTATCATTATGCATGATCCAACTATTGGGGGAATTGAGTGACAGGTATGCTGGACATTTATGCACAGTGTTTGCATCTTCCTGTGAATTTATAATTATTTTAAAATACATATATTTTTAATTCTAAAGTAACCACCACCTAAGTCAGAAAATAGGATAGTGTCTCCTGTCCCACACATTCCTCCCCACTCAAAATCCTCTTCCTTGCCATTGACACCTTGCTTCCTATTATATATTGACCACCGGTCTTTGTCTGTTTATGTTGCTACAAAGGAATATCTGAGGCTGGGTGATTTATAAAGAAAAGATATTTGGCTCATGGTTCTGCAGGCCATACAAGAAGCATGGCACCGGCATCTGCTTCTGGTGGGGACCTCAAGCTGCTTCTGCTCATGGCGGAAGGGGAAGGGGAGCCAATGTGTGCAGGTCACATGGTGAGAGAGAAGGAGGCAAGACAGAGCGAGCAAGAAGGTGCCAGGCTTTTTTCAACAACCAGTTCTCTCGGGAACTGAGAGTGAGAACTCACTCACTCCCAAGAGAATGGCACCAAGCCATTCATGAGGGATCCAAACACCTCCCACAAGACCCCACCTTCAACACTGGGGATTAAATTTCAACATGAGACTTGGCAAAGCTAAACAAACTGCATCCAAACCATAGCACCACCTACACATGCTTTCCTAAAAATAAATTATTTTTTGCCTAATTTAAACTTTATACAGATGGAAGCAATCATATGAAATCTTTTGACTCTGCCTTTTTTCACTAAACTTTTTCACTAAACATCATAATTGTGAGTTTCATCCATGGTGCGTGTAGCTGTAATTCTGTATTCCATCAAATGAATACACCACAATGAATGCATCCATTGTGTTGCAGATGACTTTTTGGGTTGTTTCTGGTTTGGGGCTATTATGAGCGATGCTATCAGGAGCATTATTGCACCCTGGTGCATCTGTGCATGCAGATTTCCAGAGAATATACCCAGGAAATAAGCTGCAGGCTCCTGGGGTATATTTATTTTCAACTTTACAAGAGAACAATAAATTATTTTCCAAAGGTTTGTACCATTTTTCACCTCCATTGGCTGTGTAGGTAAGTTCTTCTTGCTTTGTTTAGCTTTGAAAGACAGATTTAGCCATTCTGGTGGGTGCATAATTGTGTCGTGTTGTAGCTTTAATTTGCATTTTTCTGATTACTTTTTGGTTGAGCATTGTTTCATTTTGGATTGTCTCTGTTATGAAATGTTGGTTCAAGTTTTTGACCATTTTCTATTGAGTGGCGCATCTTTTCCTTACAGATTTGTAAGAATTCTTGTATATTCTGAACACTAACCCTTAGTCTCTGACTGTCCTTTTCCTTCATTCCCTGCTCTCCTTTCCCAATTCAGCAGGCATGGCCCTTCCTTTCTTCAGCCAAAGGCTTAGGTAAAAAGAAAATCAGTAATAGGAATATAAACAAAACCGAAATACTGTTTATTTTTATCTCCTAAATAAATTCTTTAAACTATATTAGTTACACCCATGATCATAACAGCTCTATTCACAATAGTTAAAATGTGTCTGCAACCAAAGTACCCATCAATGGATGAATGGATAAACAAAATGTAGTATATCCATCCAATGGAATATTATTTGCCTTAAAAAGGAAGGAAATTCTGATACGTGCTATAACATAGATGAAGCTGGAAGACATTATTGTTGCTAAGTAAAACAAACCAGACACACAAAAAATAGCATCTTTGAGCAAAGTCTGTGGGATTCCACTTATATAAGGTACCTAGTCAAATTCACAGAGACAGAAAGTAGAATGGTGGTTGTCAGGGACTAGAGGTGGGGAGAATGGGGAGTTAGCATTTAATGGATACAGAATTTCAGATTTGCAAGATGAAAAAAATTCCGGGCCAGGTGCTGTGGCTCACACCTGTAATCCCTGCACTTTGGGAGGCTAAAGCAGGAGGATCACTTGAGTTCAGGAGTTTGAGACCAGCCTAGGCAACATAGGGCACGGACCAGCCCATCTCTACAAAAAATTTAAAAATTAGCCAGGCATGGTGGTGCATGCCTGCAGTCCTAGCTACTCGGGAGGCTGAGGTGGGAGGATCACTGGAGCCTGGGAGGCGGGGGCTGCAGTGAGCAGTGATTGTGCTATTGCACTCCAGCCTGGGCAACAGAGTGAGACACTGTTTTAAAACAAAAAAAAATTCATCACCACCATGAATGGTGGTTATGGTTGCACAACATTGTGAATATATTTAATGCTGCTGAACTGTACTCTTAAAAATTGATAAGACGGGGCCGGGCACAGTGGCTCACACCTATAATCCCAGCATTTTGAGAGGCCGAGGCGGGCAGATTGCTTGAGACCAGGAGTTTGAGACCAGTCTGATCAACATGGCGAAACCTCGTCTCTACTAAAAATACAAAAAGTTAGCTGGGCATGGTGACTCACGCCTGTAATCTCAGTTACTCAGGATGGGAGGCTGAGGCACAAGAATGGCTTGAACCCGGGAGGCAGAGATTGCAGTGAGCCAAGATCACACTACCGTATTCCAGCCTGGGCAACAGAAACAGACTCGATCTCAAAAAAAAAAAAAAAAAATGATACGATGGTAAATTTCGTCATGTATATTTTATCACAATACAAACTGTATTAGTACGGTTGTTTAAAATAACCTTTTATTAATACAGAGAGAAGTAATATGTGTATTTTTAAAATTAGAAAAAATAAGCAACGTGCTAAATAAATGAATAAAATGTTTTCATTTCTACCACCCTCACTGTGACACTGAATGTAGAACTTCTGATCTGAAATGAGCCTTCTGCTGTACCTGTTTGATAATCTACCTTATTGTATATGTGATTTATACTTTTTTTTTTTTTTTGAAAGGGAGTCTCGCTCTGTCACGCAGCCTGGAGTGCAGTGGCACGATCTTGGGTCGCTGCAAGCTCTGCCTTCCGGGTTGAAGCAATTCTGCCACCTCAGCCTCCTGAGTAGTTGGGACTACAGGCACCCACCACCACGCCTGGCTAATTTTTTGTATTTTTTTTTTTTTAAGTAGAGATGGGGTTTCACCATGTTAGCCAGGATGGTCTCGATCTTCTGACCTCGTGAACCACCCACCTCGACCTCCCGATACATTTTTACATTCAATTTTTTCCAATTGAGCTAAACACATAACAATCGTTTTAAAGCCAAACCTGAGTTTGGCGTTTTGGTACTTGTTTGTTTTGTTTGTTTGTTTGTTTTTAAAGAGTCAAAAAGCAAGGCTCTAAATAGGCAGCCTATAAGATTCATTCTTAAGCAAGAGCTTGGGGCTGGGCACAGTGGCTCACTCCTGTAATCCTAACACTTTGGGAAGCCGAGACATGCAGATTGCCTGATCTCAGGAGTTCGAGACCAGCATGGGCAACATGGTGAAACTCTGTCTCTACTGAAATACAAAAAACCAGCCGGGTTTGGTGGCAGGCGCCTGTAATCCCAGCTACTCCGGAGGCTGAGGCACAAGAATTGCTTGAACCTGGGAGGCAGAGGTTGCAGTGAGCCGAGATCATACCACTGCACTCCAGCCTGGGCAACAAAGCAAAACTCTGTCTCAAAAAAAAAAAAAAAAAGCTCTGGGGGGAAGTTAGAGCATGCTGGGGAGGAAGAGAAAACGGGAGGAGTTGAGAAGAAAAGAAGGTGGGCGGGCCCTACACGCCTAGAAGAGCAGAGAGTGGCCTCAAGATGGCCTGGACCCTGTCAAGGTGAACACCCTTAGTCCCAGAAAGCAAGCTGGGACCTTGGCCAAAGACAGCAACTTCATAGACTTTAGTGAGCACTGCTTGTTGCTGTGCTAATAAACTACAGTGGTTTATTAGCAATGTGCCAGGTGACCCCCAGCAAGAGTGACAGCTATCAGCAACTTCAGACTGCACAGCCCATCTGGACTCTCCCATGGCCCGGAATATGTGTGGATATCACTGAACGTCCCATATTCCTGAGGAAAGTACAACCTGCCACAAAGGGTAGTTTTAAGGATGGAATAACTCATCTGAAAGTATCTGGGACAATGGCAATCTCAGCTCTATGGATGTTTATTGTTCTTGATTTTTTTTTTTTTTTTTTGAGACAGAGTCTCGCTCTGTCACCCAGGCTGGAGTGCAGTGGTGCGATCTTGGCTCACTGCAAGCTCTGCCTCCTAGGTTCACACCATTCTCCTGCCTCAGCCTCCCAAGTAGCTGGGACTACAGGCGCCTGCCACCACGCCCAGCTAACTTTTTGTATTTTTAGTAGAGACGGGGTTTCACCGTGTTAGCCAGGATGGTCTCGATCTCCTGACCTCGTGATCCACCTGCCTCAGCCTCCCAAACCGCTGGGATTACAGGTGTGAGCCACTGTGCCCGGCCTATTGTTCTTGATTTTAAGCAGGCCTATCTCTAACTCCAATTACACAGTAATTGGCATGATCCCATTGTTACCTATGCAATGCATCCTATTTGAAGATAACTCAATAGCTTACAAGAGAGGAAAAGCAAACATCATTAACCACATTGCGTGGCTATAAGAAATGAGGTTGATTTTCCTGAGGGATGGTAATCTGACTCTGGACAGATTCCAAATTCCAAACAGGGGAATTTCCGTGCTCTTTTGAGCAAAGGTGGTACCCCTGGAAAATCATACAGTCTCCCTGCTTGGAAGACCATCTCTCCTTTAAGTGTGTCAACTTTTGCGACTATTGTTCAGTTTCCTAAGTTTCATGATGTCATTGATCTCATGAATACCATGAGATATTTGTTATTGCCTAAGATGCTTTAAATTAGCTTTATGGTTCTCAGAAATCACTAGACCCACACAAAAAAATTCTGTCTGGACTGCAAATTTTCAATGTCCTATTTACATTGAGCAGTTTAACCTCTTCCATTAGCAGGCAATAAATGTCATCAGTTTTTAATGAGTAAATACCAGATGCATGGCATTGTTACAGGCATTAAGGTGTAACAACGGAGAGATCTGACATGGTCCCTTGACCTCTGGTTCTACTCAGAAACATAAGACACCAGACATGGATGAAGCTGGAAACCATCTTTCTCAGCAAACTAACACAAGAACAGAAAACCAAGCACTGCATGTTCTCACTCATAAGTGGGAGCTGAACAATGAGAACACATGGACTCAGGGAGGGGAACATCACACACTGGGGCCTGTCGGGGGGTGGGGGGCTAGGGAAGGGATAGCATTAGGAGAAATACCTAATGTAGATGATGGGTTGATGGGTGAAGCAAACCACCACGGCACGTGTATACCTATGTAACAAAACTGCACGTTCTGCACATGTACCCCAGAAATTAAAGTATAATTTTAAAAAAAAGCAACATAAGACACCTTAACAATGAGAACAATATAGATGTGAGGGAAGTGGCAACTAGAAAAATGCTTAACAATTTTTATAATTAACATAGGCTTTTACAAAGCCAAATTTGGAAGAAAAATACTTTTTATTAATTTTTAATGTTATTGTAAGCTTTGTTCACATTAACCATGATTTCATTGAGCTTTTATTTTTATATTTCTTTACATTTTACTATGCCATATTCATTAAGTTTTTTGTTTTGTTTTGTTTCTGAGACAGAGTCTTGCTCTGTCGCCCAGGCTGAAGTGCACTGGTGTCATCTCCACTCATCGCAACTTCTGCCTCTCAGGCTCAAGCAATTCTTGTGCCTCAGCCACCTGAGTAGCCAGGATTACAGGTTGTCCCACCACACCTGGCTAATTGCGGTATTTTTAGTAGAGACAAAGTTTCGCCACGTTGGCCAGGCTGGTCTCGAACTCCTGGCCTCAAGTGATTTGCCCACCTCAGCCTCCATAAGTGCTGGGATTACAGGCGTGAGCCACTGCACCCAGCCTATATTCATTAAGTTTTAAGAGGAGATGATAAAACCAAAATGAAATGAATTTTAAAAATAGGTATCATAAATTTTCTTTCAAGGAAAGAATTGTTTCAATAACAGCACTTTTGTTGTGAATCATATATAAAATATTGTTATAATATGTGCATTACAGTAATATTTACTTGTTTAATCATTCAGTGAAAACACTGCTTAGAGAGAGGTAGGCAGATTATATGATGCCCATTTTATAGAAAAGAAAATGTACTCAAGAGGTCATGTGACTCTCCCAAATCTTACCATGAGTCATAAAAGCAGAGATTAAGTTTCCTGACTCTCAGGCCTTTGCTGTGCCCACTTCATGCTGTGTTCACTGATTTTAAAACTCGACTCCCTCAGTCTGTTTCCAGCTTCTTTTCATAGCTGATTACAGTTTTGCCTTCCACGGCTCAGAAAAGTGTTTTCATTTGTACATGTTCATGCTTTCTCAAAGGATGCCGACATTCATCACAGGACTTCAGACCTGCAAGGGGTCTTTGAGATCTAGTCCACCAGTCTCATTTTATAGGCGAAGAATCTGAGGCCCAGAATGGTTAAGAAGCTCCAAGAGAGGTAGAAAGGCAAATAATGGCATAAAAATGAATCCTATAAGAAAAGGTTAAAGGCACTGAAATCGTTTCCTCCAAATGGCTAATATAATAATGGCCTTTGAGTATTAGATTTATGATTCAAGACAAGGAAGTTTTTTACTCTTCTCTGTCTCTACCAAAAACAAAACAAGTGTTTATTAGAGTGAGCAAAAAGAAAAATACTAAATATGGGAAAGAATTTTCTGGCAAGACACAGTGGCTCATGCCTGTAATCCCAGCACTTCGGGAGGCCAAGACGTGAGGATCACTTGAGTCCAGGAGTTCAAGACCACCTGGGCAACATAGGGAGACTGTTTCTACAAAAAAAAAAAAAAAAAGTTAAAATTAGCCAGATATGGTGGCTCATACCTGCAGTCTCAGATACTTGGGAGGCTGAGGTGAGGGGATCACTCAAACCCGGGGGGTCAAGACTGCAGTGAGCAGTGATCACACCACTGCACTCCAGCCTGGGTGACAGAGCAAGATCCTGTCTCAAAAAAACAAAAAGTAAAAAAAAGAATTTTCTGGCAGCCAGGAAGAAACCTAGAGAGTTTTCTTTTTCATTCTTTCTTTCTTCTTGAGATATAATTCACATACCATACAGCTCACTCATTTCAAGGACACTTCATGGTTTTTAGCATATGCATAACTGTGCAACCTTAAGTATAATCCATTTTAGAACACTTTTATCCATTAAAAAAACACACCCTTTAGCTATCATTCTCCTGCCCCACCCCCAGCTCCACTGGCCCTAAGCAACCATTTAGTCAACTTTGTCTTTATAGATTTGCCTATTCTAGTTCATATAAATTAAATCATATAATATGTAATCTTTTGTGACTGCCTTCTTTCCCTTAGTGTACTGTTTTTAAAGTTCATCCAATGTTGCCGCATATATGAGTATTTCATATTTCTTTCTATTGCTAAATAATATTCCATTGTATGCATGTACCACATTTTATTTATCCATTCCTCAGTTGATGGACATTTGGGTTGCTTGCACTTTTTTTCTCTTTAGAAACAGGGTCTCACTCTGTTGCCCATGCTGGATTGCGGTGGTGCAATCATAGCTCACTGCAACCTTGACCTCCCATGCTCAAGTGATCCTCCCACCTCAGCCCCCCAAGTAGCTGGGACTACAAGTTCCCTTTTCTCTTGGGTATATGCTAAAGAGCAGAATTGCTGGGTCAAATGGAACTCTGTTTAACTTTTCAAGAAACTGCCAGACTATTTTCCAAATCAGCTGCACCACTTCACATTCCCGCCAGTAGTGTAAGAGGATTCCAATTTCTCCACATACCCACCAACATTATTATTATGACTTTTTGATTATAGCCATTTTCGTTTGTATGAAGTGGTATCTCACTGTGGTTTTGATTTGCATTTCCCTGATGACTAATGTTGGGCATCTTTTTTTTCCCCCCCGAGACAGTCCTGCTCTGTCACCCAGGCTGGAGTGCAGTGACACAATCTCAGCTCACTGCAACCTCCAACCTCCACCTCCCGGGTTCAAATGATTCTCCTACCTCAGCCTCCTGTGTATGGGCATCTTTTTATGGGCTTATTAGCTATTTGTATATCGTCTTTGGAGAAATGTCTATTCAGATCTTTTGCCCATGAAAAATTTCTTTTTAAAAGGTTAGGCCAGGTGCAGTGGCTCATGCCTGTAATCCCAGCAATTTGGGAGACTGAGGCTGGTGGATCACCTGAGGTCTGGAGTTTGAGACCAGCCTGACCAACACGGAGAAACCCCGTCTCTACTAAAAATACAAAATTAGCCGGGCATGGTGGGGTGGCACCTGTAAGCCCAGCTACTCGGGAGGCTGCGGCAGGAGAATCACTTGAACCTGGGAGGCGGAGGTTGTGGTGAGCCAAGATCATGCCATTGCACTCCAGCCTGGGCAACTAGAGTGAAACTCTGTCTCAAAGAAAGAAAGAGAGAGAGAGAGGAGGAGAAAGAAAGGAAGGAAGGAAGGAAAGGAAGGGAGGGAGGGAGGGATGGAGGGAGGGAGGGAGGGAGGGAGGAAGGAAGGAAGGAAGGAAGGAAGGAAGGAAGGAAGGAAGGAAGGAAGGAAGGAAAGAGAAGGTTAAGTGCAGATTAGACTCTTATTCTCTGGGTTGCTTCATATCTAATCCTCTCTTAGATAAATTATGTAAGTCCTAATTGTATCAATTAGAGTTCTTCTGGCCCTTTCTAGTTCAATAAATCTATAGTTTAAAAGAATTTTCATATCTGAAGTTTGATTTTTGTAGAATACAAGCTGAAGACAAAATGCTACAAAATGTCCCCTCTCCCACAGAGATGAATTTTTGAGTTGAGAGTCTGTGGAGATGCATTTCAGGAAGATCCTTTGTTTCAGGGGCAAGTCCTACAGAACAGAACAGGCTTTCAATATTGGTGCAAAACCTGGCACAGATCAGGGCCAGTGGGCCAAGGGGCTTCATTTCCTCTGGCATTTTAGAATGATTGCCTGAAAAAAAATAAACCTTGCTTTTGTCTGAATTACAACATGATGGGCTGATTCATCTTCAACCCCCACTGAAAGGGTGTAGCTGAGTTGCTTCACCAAATATATGATGTAGCATGAAAATATGCGTCCCAGGAAAGGCAGTTCGGCAGGGTCTCCGTATAAGAATGCTCAGCCTTGGTGGAAATGCCAACACTTGGCTTCCAGGCCTTTCCCTTCCTCTCTAAATGAGTTGCTTCATTTATATGTGAACACTTTAATTTTTCTTTTCTTTTTTTTTTTTTTTTTTTTGAGACAGGGTCTCTCTATAGCCCAGGCTGGAGTGCAGTGGAGCGACCTTGGTTTACTGCAACCTCCACCTCCCAGGCTCAAGTGATTCTCCTGCCCTAGCCTCCCCAGTAGCTGGGATTACAGGCGCACAACACCACGACAGGCTAATTTTTGAATTTTTACTAGAAACAGGGTTTCGTCATGTTGGCCAGGCTGGTCTCAAACTCCTGGCCTCAAGTGATCCACCTGCTTTGGCCTCCCAAAGTGCTGGGATTATAGGCGCAGGCGTGAGCCACCGTGCCCAGCTAAAAATATTTTTTCAGTTGGATTTTTTCTTTTTTCTTTTTCTTCCCCCAAGACATGGTCCCTCTCCATTGTCCAGGCTAGAATGCAGTGGGGTAATCACAGCTCACTGCAGCCTCAGCCTCCTGGACTCAAGCGATCCTCCTACCTCAGCCTCCCAAGTAGCTGGGACTACAGGTGTGTGCCACCACGCCTGGCTAATTTTTTTATTTTTTGTAGAGGCAGGATATTGCTATGTTGCCCAGGCTGATCTCAAACTCCTGGGCTCAGGCAATCCTCCTACCTTGGCATCCCAAAGTGCTGGCATGAGTCACCATGCCTGGCCCTAAGTTGTATTTTTAAAGCCTGCAGGCTCAACATTCAAAAAACTAAGACTAATGATATTGAAAGGGAAATAAGTATGTACCTGTTTGTATGTGGATAGATGTGGTGTTAGGTTTAGGAGTTAGAGTAAAAAGTTATGACTACTTCAGGGGCACCTAAAGGCACCACAGTTAATCACTCGAACACAATATAAGCTCATTGAATATTTTAAGAAATAAGGACAAACATTTTTCTTCCTTTCTCTTCCTTTTTTTTTTTTTTTTTTTTTTTTTTTGACAGAGTCTTGCCGTGTCACCCAGGCTGGAGTGCAATGGTGCGATCTCGGCTCACTGCAACCTCCGCCTCCCGGGTTCAAGCAATTCTCCTGCCTCAGCCTCTCAAGTAGCTGGGATTACAGGCACCCGCCACAACGCGCGGCTAATTATTTGTATCTTTAGTAGAGATGGGGTTTCACCATGTAGGCCAGGCTGGTCTCGAACTCCTGACCTCGTGATCCACCCACCTCAGCCTCCCAAAGTGCTGGGATTACAAGCGTGAGTCACTGCTCCCGGCCCCATTTCTCTTCTTTTAAACAAAAAACAATGTACATTATTATCCATCACTAACACGGATACCACTGCCCTTAATAGTATAATGGAATTAAAAGAAATGTCCTAGGCCCAGCCTGGTGGCTCACACCTGTAATCCCAGCACTTTGGGAGGCCAAGGTGGGTGGACCACCTGAGGTCAGGAGTTCGAGACCAGCCTGACCAACGTGGTGAAACCCCGTCTCTACTAAAAATACAAATATTAGCCAGGCGTGGTGGCGGGTGCCTGTAATCCCAGCTAGTGGGGAGGCTGAGGCAGAAGAATCACTTGAAACTGAAAGGCAGAGGCTGCAGTGAGCCAAGATCATGCCACTCCACTCCAGCCTGGATGACAGAGTGAGACTCTAAAAAAAAAAAGAAAGCAAGAAAGAAACCTAAAATAATGTTAACTGAAGGACAACGTATCAACATATCTAAATGATCATCAGAGGGTGGACATTTTAGAAAAAGAAAAAAAAAACAGACAATGGGGTTTGCTGATTATCCAAGATTCTCACAGCCCATCTATGGCTACATGAAGTGAAATGAATAAAAGGCAAATAAGGCCACTCATATGGTTTGGCTGTGTCCCCACCCAAATCTCATCTTGAATTGTAACTCCCACAATTCCCATGTGTCATGGGAGGAACCTGGTAGGAGGTAATTGAATCATGGGGGCAGGTCTTTCCTGTGCTTTCTCATGATAGTGAATCAGTCTCATGAGATCTGATGGTTTTAAAAAAGTTTCCTGGTCGGGCGCTGTGACTCACGCCTGCAATCCCAGCACTTTGGGAGGCCAAGGCAGGGGGATCACCAAATCAGGAATTCAAGACCAGCCTGGCCAACATGGTGAAACCCTGTCTCTACTAAAAATACAAAAATTAGGCCACGTGCGGTGGCTCACATCTGTAATCCCAGCACTTTGGGAGGCCAAGGCAGGTGGATCACCAAATCAGGAGTTCAAGACCAGCCTGGCCAACATGGTGAAACCCCGTCTCTACTAAAAATACAAAAATGAGTCCAGGCGTGGTGGCTCACGCCTGTAATCCCAGCACTTTGGGAGGCCAAGGCAGGTGGATCACCAAAGGTCAGGAATTCGAGATCAGCTGGCTAACATGGTGAAACCCCATCTCTACTAAATATACAAAATAGCTGGGCATAGTGGCACACACCTGTAATCCCAGCTACTCAGGAGGCTGAGGCAGGAGAATCGCTTGAACCCGGGAGGTGGAGGTTGCAGTGAGCCAGGATCGCATCGCTGCACTCCAGCCTGGGTGACAGAGTGAGACTCAGTCTCCAAAAAAAAAAAAAAAAAAAAAATACAAAAATTAGCCGGGCATGGTGGCATGTGCCTGTAATCCCAGTTACTCGGGAGGCTGAGGCAGAATTGCTTGAACCCTGGAGGAGGAGGTTGCAGTTAGCTGAGATCACACCACTGCACTCCAGCCTGGGCGACAGAGCAAGACTTTGTCTCAGGAAAAAAAAAAAAAAAAAGTATCCCTGCACAAGCTCTCTTCTCCTGTCTGCCGCCATGTGAGATGTGCCTTTCACCTTCCGCCATGTTTGTGAGGCCTCCCCAGCCATGTGGAATCATAAGCCCAACAAACCTCTTCCTTTTGTAAGTTGCCCAGTCTTGGGTATGTCTTTATCATCACTGTGAAAACGGACTAATAAAGCCACAATGCAAAATATCCACCATAGTGCTCTCTATATGTGACTTTCTAGCCTACCCTTATCCACCATGGTGATTCCTATTCAGTATTCCACTGGTTGTGCCTGCTGATGAAGAAATCAATGTATATTCCCCTAAATCCTGTCTTTGGTGTAGGTTTGGAATGCCCAAGGATCAGCCAGTGCAGTCAGGTCTGCTGGCACCTTCCAAAAAACCAAGTGATATGGTTTGCCTGTGTCCCCACCCAAATTTCATCTTGAATTGTAGCTCCCATAATTCCCGTGTGTTGTGAAAGGGACCCGGTAGGAGATATTTGAACCATGGGGGCAGTTTCCCTCATACTGTTCTTGTGGTAGTGAATAAGCCTCACGAGATCTGACGATTTTATAAGAGGTTTCTCCTTTCACTTGGTTCTCATTCTCTCTTGCCTGCCACCATGTAAGATGTATCTTTTGCTTTCCACCATGACTATGAGGCCTCCCCAGCCACATGGAACTGTGAGTCCATTAAACCTCTTTTTCTTTATAAATTACCCAGTCTCAGGTATGTCTTTTTTTTTTTCTTTTTTTTTTTTGAGACCAAGTCTTGCTCTGTCACCCAGGCTGGAGTACAGTGGCACAATCTCGGCTCACTGCAACCTCCACCTCCTGGGTTCAGTGATTCTCCTGCCTCAGCCTCCCAAGTAGCTGGGACTACAGGCACCCACGACCATGCCCAGCTAATTTTTCTATTTTTAGTAGAGACAGGGTTTTGCCATGTTGGCCAGGGTGGTCTCGAACTCCTGACCTCAGCCTCCCAAAGTGCTAGGATTAGAGGCATGAGCCACTGTGCCCAGCCACGGTCTTTATCAGCAGCATGAAAACAGACTAATACACCAAGCAACTGGTCAATGTCATAGGCACTGGAGAAACTTCTCGGATTTGTTCTTTTAAAATGTTCTTCAGGAAGGGCACAATGGCTCACCCCTGTAATCCCAGCACTTTGGGAGGCCAAGGTGCTCCCAGCTCACTTGAGGCCAGGAGTTCAAGATCAGCCTAGGCAACACAGTGAGACCCTCCCCCAACGTCTACAAACATTTTTTTAGAACATTAACCAAGTATGGTGGGGCATGCAGTGAGCCATGATTGCATCACTGGACTCCAGGGTGGGTAACAGTGCAAGACTGTCTCTAAAAAAAGAACTAAAAAATAAACAAATACGTAACTAAATAAAATGTTCTTCATACATTTTGCAGTAACCTTGTAACCATTCAATCGCTGATTCTGAATCTATGTAAATTCTGGTATCAGACCCTTGGTAAGATGCTTGAGCAAAATGCCATGAAGACACCTGCCCACAAGCCAAAATGTTAGAAGTCAGGTGCAGTAGCGAGCTCCTGCAGTCCCAACCACTTGGGAGGCTGAGGCAGGAGGATCTCTTGAGCCCATAGTTCGAGACCAGCCTGGGTAACATAATGAGACCCCTGTCTCAAAAACAAAAAAAGAACCAGTGACATAGGATGAGGACGAAGAAGCAAGGAATAGTGCTGAAGAACTTTCAGGATATGCGGGGTGACACTAGAAAGTGCTTAGACATCACACGTTACCAAGAAAAAAATGTGACCTATACAAAGGAGTCTGCCCATGTCCTATGAAACAATTTAAAAATCAAAAATAGGCCGGGTGCGTTGGCTCATGCCTGTAATCCCAGCACTTTGGGAGGCCAAGGTGGGCAGATTACGAAGTCAGGAGATCGAGACCATCCTGGCTAACATGGTGAAACCCCGTCTCTACTAAAAATATAAAAATTAGCCGAGCATGGTGGCGCGTGCCTGTAATCCCAGCTACTTGGGAGGCTGAGGCAGAAGAATCGCTTGAACCAGAGAGGCAGAGGTTGCAGTGAGCTGAGATCACACCAGCCTGGGCAACAGAGAGAGACTCTGTATCAAAAAAAAAAGAAATAAATAATTACAAAAATGGAGTTTGGCTTTAATTAATGATCTGAATTAATAAAAACAACAAAATGCTAGGCCAGCGCAGGGGATCATGCCTGTAATCCCAGCACTTTGAGAGGCCGAGGCAGATGGATCACTTGAGGTCAGGAGTTCAAGACCAGCCTGGCCAACGTGGTGAAACCCCATCTGTACTAAAATACAAAAATTATTCGGGCATGGTGGTGGGCACCTGTAATCCCAGCTACTTGGGAGGCTGAGGCAGGAGAATTTCTTGAACCCGGGAGGTGGAGGTTGCAGTGAGCCGAGATCACGCCACTGCACTCCAGCCTGGGCAACAGAGTGAGAATCTGTCTCAAAAAAAAAAGAAAAGCTAAATGTACAAAGCTAGGGCATTGAGATCCATGAGAATACAGGGCAAAATTGATGTTAATCTGTCATATAAAAATTTAATTACATCCCATAAATATCTGCAATTTTTTATTGTTTATTTTTTGAGACAAGGTCTCACTCTGTTGCCCAGGCTGGAGTGCAGTGGTGCAATCACAGCTCACTGCAGCTTCAACCTCCCCCGGCTCAGATGATCCTCCCACTTCAGCTTCCTGAGCAGCTGGGACTACAGGTGTGCACTGCCACACGCATCTAATATTTGCATTTTTCATAGAGATGGGGTTTTGCCATGTTGCCAAGACTGGTCTTGAACTCCTGAGCTCAAATGATCCTCCCACCTCGGCCTCCCAAAGTGCTGGAATTACAGGCATGAGCCACCCCGCCCAGCCAATATTTATAATTATTACATGTCAACTAAAATAAAAGAAAAAGTAATTTAATCACAAACCCAGTTGACATAAACGTATGTAATATGGAATTTCCTGTTGTTTCCATACAAATTTATCTTTGTCTATTTGAGAGATCAATTTCTCTTTTCAGTATTGAGTAGTGAATAGAATCAAAATCTGTGGGTAAAGAAGCTACTCAGACAGTTTCAAAACTGAATTTGATGACACATTTGTACCCAATCTGAGTGGCCCCCAGCAACATGGGTTTTGAGTTCTCAAAGGCCAATAGATAGCTCCCTTTCCTTTCCACAGCTTTGGGAGCTTGGGCTACCCTGTAACGTCTAAATGCCTGTGCAGTGTGGGCCTGTGAAGCTGGCAGGGTGGGCAGTGTAAATGCCCACTAGCAGGAGCCAGCTGACCTCCTGCGTGTCACAATAGCAGCCAGGTGTCTCCACGGTGACGTCTCTGAGCCAGGAGGTCAGAACTGTGGGATTGATGACCTCCCACAACTGGAGCAGCCGGGAACAGCTCTGACCACAGTAAGTCATCCCAAAACCTCACATTCAGATGAAACCATTTAAGAATTTCATCTGCACTGAGGAACAATTTAGCGTGATACTGGAGGGAAAGAGTTTCCCTGTGAGATCCAGGAGGTCCCTTTAGCTCGTCTCCTGACGTCACCACAGTCATACCCAAGAGGAAGGAAACGTCAGAGACAATGATTTGGAGAACATTCTACACAAAAACCAAGTATGAAACAATGACGATTTCATGATGGCTCATTGTTCTTTGGTATTGTGCCTTACGTGAGCTGGGGACTAACTCTGTATCCTTAAGGAGGCATCACTTGATTAGAGTTGCCCAAAAGAATGTGGGTTATTATCCTAAAGGTCTGTGTTGCCATCCTGAAACAGTCAGAAATCAGTTTTTATTTCACTTAGGTGGTTCCGGGGAGAAGCCTTTCCAGGACCCATGTGTAGGCACAACTGTTTTCCCTGATCAGGATACTTGCGGCACTCAAGTGAGTCTAGAATTATCAGATTTTGTTCTGTCTCTCTTCACTGTGAATTCTATTCTTTATTTCCTTTAAAACAAAAAGCTCCTGCTATTTTCTCCTATAATTATGATATCTGTTTCTTGATCATTTTACCTTCTATTCACCAATTAATTGAAATCCAACCCATCAGGATTATCTACCCTGCTTTCCTATAGGGAGAATAAAAAGTGCTTAGAAGCAGTATGATTTTCACTGCCTTTAATTTCTCAAATCCCAAGATGTTCCATTTAAAATCTTTAGAGTATCTATTTTGTCTTCTGTACATTATGGTTGTATTCCCTCAGAGGCCGAGTATATTTTATCTTAGTTTTCAGAGATCACTAAAGTCAAGTAAATGAAGGAAAACAGAATTCATTTTCATTATGGGAAAACAAAATCAATCCCTAAGTAGTCAAAAGATTACTTACTTAAGGAACCACCTGGTTAACTTCTTCTCCTAGAACTTAATCCCCTAACTAGGGGTAAAAAAGGCTCATTGTCATCTTATAAAGTATTAGATACCAGGGACTTGTCAAATGCTAATGCCTTTATTATAGAATGTTTAATTTAGACCTTCCTAAACAGTTTTGCTTTCTTCCGTCATTTGTCTGTGATGGAACCTCAAAGACACTAACTAGTATGCGAGACAGATTTGTGTTGGAACATTGTGTTAGCTTTCCAGTAGAGTTAAAACTCTGGAATGCAATTATAAACCTCCAAATGAAAAATACCGGCCGGGCACAGTGGCTCACACCTATAATCCCAGCACTTTGGGAGGCTGAGGTGGGAGGATCACTTGGGCCTAGGAGTTTAAGGTCAGCCTAGGCAACATAGTGAGACCCTGTCTCTACAAAATATAGAAAAAAGTAGCCAGTTATGGCAGAATGCATCTGTAATTCCAGGGACTCAGGAGGCTGAGGTGAGAGGATTCCTTGAGCTGGGGAGGTCAAGACTGCAGTGAGCCATGACTGTGCCACTGCACTCCAGCCTGGGTGACAGAGTGGGACCCTATCACGAAAAAAAAAAAAGAAAAATACCTAAGTGGCCAAATACCTTATAAAGTTCATGCATGCTACTCTACAGGAAATATCCTCAGCTGTCTTCTCTGTGCTGAGTTCATATACTCTTGTGCCTAGTTCATACATGCTTGGTCATCTGCCTTCCAAAGCACACAGCAAACCAGATGATGAGAGCAGCTGACAAGTGGAGACAGTTGTCATTTTATGTTGGCAGCTACAATAAATGACACTGTCTGATGGAGAAAATGAGCGGGGAAAACACTTCCAAAACACAGGCAGAAATATAAGAGTTGAAATCCCAGAGTTCCAGAACAATTTCACCTCAGGGCAAGCAAGCCTAAGTGGCCTGTGTATCCACCACTCTACCACAACCCAGTGACATAACCGACTTGATGGTCCTCAGACGCCGGAGCTGGGAGGATCCCCTAGGGTGCTGCCCAACTCGCCCCAATTTACAGATGAGGAAATGGAGGCCTCAGGAAGCATTGACAGCCCAGTTCAGGATCACAGCTAGTTAAGGGGGAAGCTGCAACTACAGTCAGGATCCCCTCATCCCAAGGGCCAACTTCTATCCTATACGCCCCACTCTGGAAAGGTGAAAAATAATTCAGCATTTTGGCCAGGCGCAGTGGCTCATGCCTGTAATCCCAGCACTTTGGGAGGCCAAGGCAGGCGGATCACAAGGTCAGGAGACCAAGACCTTCCTGGCTTAACACGGTGAAACCCCGTCTCTACTAAAAATACAAAAAATTAGCCGGGCGTGGTGGCGGGCACCTGTGGTCCCAGCTACTCTGGAGGCTGAGGCGAGACAATGGCGTGAACCCGGGAGGTGGAGCTTGCAGTGAGCCAAGATCGCGCCACTGCACTCCAGCCTGGGCGACAGTGCGAGACTCCGTGTCAAAAAAAAAAAAACGAACAAAAAAAGTAAAAAATAAAAATAATAATAATTCAGTGTTTCAAAAGGTTTCAAAAGGCCAGTAAGGAATTAATACATGTTTAAAGAATTTTCTTGACAAAATGGTTGAAGGCTCATTGGTTACATTTGAGAATTAAATAAGATAAAGCATAGAAGGTTATCCCTCAAACACAGAAAGAAATCAAAATGTTGTCAGTTATTATTATAACTTAAAAATCTGATATATAAAAAAGTGCTTTTTTACAGAAGTCAGAAGAAAGTAGGTTGAGCATTTTTAATACTAATCTTTTAAATACCTTTGCTCTGCCAGAAAATTAATTTTCATAAAGCAATACATTGTTGGATCTCACCCTTAGGAAGGTCTTCCCTGGGCACCCTATTTTAACAGTACCCCATCACCTCTAGCTCTTTACTTTGATTTCGTATGCTTTATAACCTATTACCATATGAAACTAAAGATATGTATAAAATCTTTTCTCTAAAGCTTCTCCTAAAGTTCACAGCTAAAATACTATGATTTTCTTCTGGTTTTTAAATAGTCCTCTTGTTAGAAAAGATTTAGCCCTTATCCTCAATCTCACAGCCACTAAATAGTCAATTCACACAAGCCAAGTGATTTGTAAAATAGGAGTCTCTGCAAACTGAGTCCAACCAGCTTGAATAATAGCATCATAACATAATGGGATCCCTTTCTGGTGGTAGTGTCCGGGACCAAATACCAAAATTCCTATTTTAAGCTGTATTAAGATTTTCTAAATGTAGCTATGTTTCAAGAGAAAATGCTTGGTCTATGGATAGCTGAAGCCATGTAAAACAAGCATTCTTATCACATGGGTCCAATATCGCTGATTTTACATGGCAGATAGACCTTAAAACGCATTCCTACTTTTCCCACTCCCTCCCACATTCTTTAAAAGGGTAGGGTTTATTATCTCTCTGAATACTCAAATGAAAACTTAAGTGTATAAACAAAACTAGAAAAATCCTTAGATTAAGATGGGAGGAAGATGGTCTTTTGACCTCTTAATATTAGTTTGATCTAACATCTTTTTTTTTTTCTATTTTTTGAGACTGAGTCTCATTTTGTTGCCCAGGCTGGAGTGCAGTGGCGTGATCTCAGCTCACTGCAGCCTCCACCTCCCAGGTTCAAGCGATTCTCCCACCTCAGCCTCCTGAGTAGCTGGGACTACAGGCCTGCGCCACCATACCTGGCTAATTTTTTTTTTGTATTTTTTGTAGAGACAAGGTTTCACCATGTTGGCCAGGCTGGTCTCGAACTCCGACCTCAGGTGATCCACCTACCTCCCAAAGTCCTGGGATTACAGGCATGAGCCACCGCACTCAGCCTGATCTAAGTTCTTTAAATGATCATTCCATATTGTTAAACAATGTTTCTAAGTGAGAGGTAGAGAATTATATTAGTTGGTAGGAGGCCTAAATGCTTGAAGACAATTTAGAGAAAACTAGTTATTTCCTTGGCACAAAGTAAATCCTACTACTCCTGAAGTATAAGAAAAAATAAAAATAAAAACAATAAAAATAAACAATTCTTTGATCAAATAATTTTTTTAATTGACTTGTTCTGATCATTAGGGCCTACTTGTTCAGCCCACTATCCTTACATGCATTAGTGGATTCCTTCTCTTTTTTATCTCTGAAGATTTCAGAAGTAGATCAGTGGATTCCTTAAATGTTAAAGAAACCCTGTCTTCTGTAATCCCAGCTACTCTAGAGGCCGAGACAGCAGAATCGCTTGAACCCATGAGGTGGAGATTGCAGTGAGCCGAGATCGCACCACTGCACTCCAGCCTGGGTGACAGAGTGAGACAGAATGAGACTCTGTCTCAGAAAAAAAAGTAAAGAAAGAAACCCTTGCAATCAGAAAGAAAAAGAGAATTACAACTTAAAGTGACTAATGTTAAATATACTATTATATTTGGACTATATATAAACTAGAAACCTCCAGGGCCTGGCCTCAGGTGGAGTTGTCTTGCAGCTGATTGCTTGGCTCTCTTCTCTCTTCCCAACCTGATGTCATCCACTTCCACAACTTTAAATGCCATGAAAGTGATGGCTTGCCATTTCCAGCCCTGCCCTCTTCCTGGGCTCCATTGTCCCTCTATCCTCAGCCACGTGGCTGTTTCCTGTGTCCCACAAAAGTGCCACGAAGGAAACCCAGCTCTTCTCTCCAGACCTTACCCCAAACACCTCCTTCTCATCTTAATAGCATCATCAGTTGCTCAGTCACAAAACCTGGGCATTCTTGATCTCTCCCGACCTCACCCCCACCATCGGGAGAGGACTCATCAAGAAATTCCAGAAGCTTAAGTGTCAGGGACTCTCCTTTGCTCAGGACCCTCTATCTCATTTTGTGTTACCCCATTGCAGGGTCCTCTATCTCATTTTGTGTTTAGTTTTTATTTTTCTTATGGAAGGCCCTCAAACTGTATGATTTAGGCCTCACAAACCTTGGATCGGCCTCTGCACCCTCTGTCCAGCTCATTTCCAAAAGAAAACTATCTCAAAAAAAAAAAAGAAAGAAAGAGAAAAGAAAACCATCTAAAACCGACCACACAACAGTGAACACTGTTGATTGCTACCACCTCAGTCCAAGCCCCATCCCACCCCACCCCACACTGCAGCCAAGATGATCTTTGAAAGTTGAAAGCTTCTCAGGTCAGATCTCTTTCTTAACCCTCCACTAGATTCCCCTTTCCCCTAGGACAAGTCACACTACAAGAGGCAGGACACGGTGGCTCACACCTGTAACCCCAGCACTTTGGGAGGCTGAGGCAGGTAGATCACCTGAGGTCAGGAGTTCAAGACCAGCCTGGCCAACATGGTGAAACCTCGTCTCTACTAAAAATACAAAAATTAGCCAGACGTGGTGGCGGGCACCTGTAATCCCAGCTACTCGGGAGGCTGAGGCAAGAGAATTGCTTGAACCTAGGAGGCAGAGGTTGAAGTGAACTAAGATCACGCCACTGCACTCCAGCCTGGGTGACACAGCAAGACTGTGTCTCAAAAAAAAAAAAAGAGAGAGAACAAGTCACACTACAGAACCATCACAATGCCCTAGTAGCAGAACATGCTGCTGAACTATCAGGGTGCCCTGGGTGATCTGGCCTCTGCTGGCCTCTCAACCCTCTCAGCTTTAGCTATCCCCTTCTTTCCTTTCTGGAATACCCCAACTTGTTTTTGCCTCTGTCCTTCGTATTGTCACCTCTGCTTGAGAGAGCCTCCTCCATTTCTTTATTTGCCTCATCTTTCATTGTCACCTCCTCTCAAAAGACTGTCCCGGCAGGGCACGGTGGCTCACGCCTATAATCCCAGCACTTTGGGAGGCCGAGGCGGGTGGGTCACAAAGTCAGAAGTTCAAGACCAGCCTGGCCAACATGGTGAAACCCCGTCTCTACTAAAATACAAAAAACAAAAATTAACCGGGTGTGGTGGCGGGCGCCTATAGTCCCAGCTACTTAGGAGGCTGAGCCAGGAGAATTGCTTGAACCCGGGAGGCGTAGGTTGCAGTGAGCCTAGATAGCGCCACTGCACTCCAGCCGGGGTGACGGACTGGGACTCTGTCTCAAAGAAAAGAAAGACTGTGTCCCTAGGGTATGACCCCACTCCAAATCCAGTCATTCGTGATCCCATTATCTTCTTTTTTCACCTATAACTGTATGCAAGTATCTTATCAGTTTACTTGTTTATTATCTGAATTCTTTCAAAAGAGCTAAGCTCCCTGAAGGTGGGAACCCTGTCCGCATGCTCACCGTGGAATCCCCACAGCCTAGCAGCACCTCCCACAGAGGGGTGCCTAATATTTTTCTAAACAAATGAATGAAGAAAATGTTCATTAAACAAATACTACTGCAGTTAAATGTGGCATCAAGCAGTACTACACATAGGATGCATGGAATTGAAGCCTATGAACCATTATAAGGTCCCTTTCATTTGTTCCTCATTAACTGTGGATGACTAAAAATCCATGCTGCCAATAGCTCCAACTATGAGATGCAGATCGATGTCACAATTCAGACTCCATTATGTATGTCCTCACAATGCAGGAGGTGAAATGTGTATGTCATGTGTCCAAATTGTAAGATACTTGCTGTAAGTAGCAAAAAGATGGGAAGGAAAGTCTACAGACCAAATCATATCTGAATCTCCCCATTCTCCCTCTCCACAAATATTGGTTTAGGAATTCTCCGAAGTTTGAAGGTTATGAATGGTTATCACTCAAGGATTCAGAACTAAGGTAAAAATACTGTGAATGATAGGGGGAAAAAATCACTAATTGAGGTCTAAATCAATATCCTTCAGCTCTCTAAGGAAATGTATTTTTAATATAATAGCTTTATTGAGACATTCATACACCATAAAGTCCAAATTTTACTTTTTATTTTATTTATTTGGTTTTTTTTTTTTTTGAGATGGAGTTTCACCCTTGTCACCCAGGCTGGAGTGCAATGGCATGATCTCGGCTCACTGCAACCTCCACCTCCTGGGTTCAAGCAATTCTCCTGCCTCAGCCTCTTGAGTAGCTGGGATTACAGTCGCGCACCACTACGCCCAGCTAACTTTTGTACTTTCAGTAGAGACAGCGTTTCACCATGTTGGTCAAGCTGGTCTCGAACTCCTGACCTCAGGTGATCCACTCGCCTGAGCCTCCCAAAGTGCTGGGATTACAGGCATGAGCCACCTCACCCAGCCTAAAGTTCAACCTTCTAAAGTGTACAATGGAGTGTTTAGTATATTCAGTGGGCTGCACATTCATCACTATCACCCTTTCCTCACCCTAAAAGAAAACTCCATACCTGCTAGCACTCACTGATTCCCCTACCCACCCCATGCCCAGGCACATGGCAAGCACCAATCTACTGTCTATGGATGTGCTGATTCTGGACATTTCCCATAAGTGGGACCAAAAAAATGTGTGGTCTTTTTGTCTGATTTCCTTCAGGCAGTCTAATGAGTTTAAGGTTCACTCATGTTGTTACATGTATCATTACTTTATTCTTTTATTGCGAAGTAATATTTCCTTGTATAGTTAGAAGACATTTTGTTTATCCATTCACCAGTGGATGGACAGTTGAATTGTTTCCACTTTTTGGCTGTGGTGAATAATGTTGCCATGAACATTCATGTACAAGTTTTTGTGTCAACATATGTTGTCTTTTCTCTTGCACATATACCTAGGAGTGAAATTACTGAGTCAAATGGTAACTCAGGCTGGAGTGCAATGGCACGATCTCGGCTCAACGCAACCTCTGCCTCCCAGGTTCAAGTGATTCTCATGCCTCAGCCTCTCGAGTAACTGGAATTACAGGCATGCGTCACCACACCCAGCTTATTCAGACTGTTTTCCAAATTGGCTGTAACATTTTATGTTCCTATTAGCAAAGTATGAGCGTTTGAATTTCTCCACATTCTTGTCAACACTTGCTGTTGCCTTTTTTATTAAAGCCATTTTATTGGGTATGAAGTGGTAACTTACATTGTGGTTTTGATTTGCATTTCTCTAATGATGAATGATGTTGCACATCTTTTCATGTGCTTATTGGCCATTTGTATATTTTCTCTGGAGAAATGTCTATTCAAATGTTTTACCCATTTTTTTAATTGGGTTGTCTTTTTTTAATTGAGAGTAGGGCTTTTTAAATATTCTGGATATAAGTCCCTTATAAGACATATGATTTGTGGCCAGGCGCAGTGGCTCACACCTGTAATCCCAGCACTTTGGGAGACCAAAGTGAGTGGATCACTTGAGGTCAGGAGTTCAAGACCAGCCTGGCCAACACGGCAAAACCCCATCTCTACTAAAAATACAAAAATTAGCTGGGCGTGGGGGCGCACACCTGTAATCCCAGCTAATCTGGAGGCTGAGGCAGGAGAATCACTTGAACCTGGGAGGCAGAGCCTGCAGTGAGCTGAGATCATGCCAATGCATTCCAGCCTGGGTGACAGAGTGAGACTTTGTCTCAAAAAATATACATTATTTGCATATATTTTCTCCCATTCTATGAGTTGTCTTTTCTCTTTCTTGATGGTGTCCTTAAAAGCACAAAGGTTTTAATTTTGTGAAGTTCAATGTATCCATTTTTCTCTTCTGCCTTTTGTGATTTTGATGTCATAGCTAAAAAATGATTGCCTACCCCAAAGCGATGAAGATTTAGTCCTATATTTTCTTGTAAGAATTTTATAGTTTTAGCTCTTACATTTAGTCTATGATCCACTTTGAAGTTTTTATGACGTGAAGTATGGGTCCAGCTTCATTCTAACGCATGTGGATATCAAGTTGTACCGGCAACAATCTTTCCACAGTGAACAGTCATGGCTCCTATATTAGCCAGGGTCCTCAAGAGAAAATGAACCAATAAGAAATAGATGGATGGGCACAGTGGCTCACACCTGTAATCCCAGCACTTTGGGGGGCCCAGGCAGGCAGATCACTTGAGGTCAGGAGTTCGAGACCAGCCTGGCCAACATGGTGAAACCCCTGTCTCTATTAAAAATACAAAAAATTAGCTGGGTATGGTGAGGCACATCCGTAGTCCCAGCTGCTCAGGAGGCTGAGGCACAAGAATCACTTGAGCCTGGGAGGCAGAGGTTGCAGTGAGCCAAGATTGTGCCACTGCACTCCAGCCTGGGTGACAGAGTGAAACTGTCTCAAAAAAAAAAAAAAGGTAGATAGATAGATTTATTTTAAGGAATCTGCTACATAATTATGAGAGATGGAAAGTTCAAATCCTGCAGGGCAGGCTAGCAGGCTGGAAATTCAGGTTTGAGTTGATGTTGTAGTCTTGAGTTTGAAATCTGAAGGGCAAACCAGCAGGTGGAGATTCGGGCAAGGTTTCTGTGCTGTGGTCTTGTAGCAGAATTGTTTCTTCCCCCAGAAACCTCCATCTTTGCTATTAAGGCCTTCAACTGATTAGATGAAGCCCACCCACCTTGTGGAGGGTAATTTGCTTTAGTTAAAGTCAACTGATTATAAATGTTAAATTGTATCCACAGATACTTTCCCAGCAACATCTAGACTGCTGTTTGACCAAACAACGGGGCTCCAACAGCCTAGCCAAGTGAAACATAAAACTAACCATCACAGTATCCTTGTCAAAAATCAGTCTGACAACACATGTAAGGTTTATTTCTGGAGTCACTATTCAATTCCATTGATCTATATGTCTGTCCTTATGCCGGTAACACTTGTGTCTTAATTATTATAGCTTTTTTTTTTTTTTTTGAGACGGAGTCTAGCTCTGTCACCAGGCTAGAGTGCAGTGGTGGAATCTCAGCTCACTGCAATCTCCGCCTCCTGGGTTCAAGCAATTCCCTTGCCTCAGCCTCCCAAGTAGCTGGGACTACAGGCATGCACCCTCACGCCCGGCTAATTTTTTGTATTTTAGTACAGATGGGGTTTCACCATGTTGGCCAGGATGGTCTCGATCTTCTGACCTCATGATCTGCCCGCCTCAGCCTCCCAAAATGCTAGGATTATAGGTGTGAGCCACTGCACCCGGCCATTATTACAGCTTTATAGTAAGCCTTGAATTCAGCAACTGTTAATCCTTTGAATTTTGTTTTTTTCGACTGCTTTGGTTACTCAGAGTCTCTTGCAACTCTAGATGAATTTTTAGAATCAGTTTGTCCAATTTACACTCCCACCAACAGTGTAAAAGCATTCCTATTTCTCCACAGCCTCGCCAGCATCTGTTGTTTCCTGACTTTTTAATGATCACCATTCTAACTGGCATGAGATGATATCTCATTGTGGTTTTGATTTGCATTTCTCTAATGACCAGTGAGGATGAGCTTTTTTTCATATGTTTGTTGGCAACATAAATGTCTTCTTTTGAGAAGTGTCTGTTCATATCTTTTGCCTACTTTTTGATGGGGTTGTTTTTTTCTTGTAAATTTGTTTAAGTTATTTGTAGATTCTGGACATTAGCCCTCTGTCAGATGGATAGATTGCAAAAATTTTCTCCCATTCTGTAGGCTGCCTGTTCATTCTGATGACAGTTTCTTTTGCTGTGCAGAAGCTCTTTAGTTTAATTAGATCCTATTTGTCAATTTTGGCTTTTGTTGCAATTGCTTTTGGTGTTTTAGTCATGAAGTCATTGCCCATGCCTATGTCCTAAATGATATTGCCTAGGTTTTCTTCTAGGGTTTTCATGATTTTAAGTTTTACATTTAAGTCTTTAATCCATCTTGAGTTAATTTTTGTATAAGGTGTAAGGAATGGGTCCAGTTTGTGTTTTCTGCATATGACTAGCCAGTTTTCCCAGCACCATTTCTTTCTTTTTTTTTTTTTTTTTTTTTGGAGAATGAGTCTCGCTCTGTCACCCAGGCTGGAGTGCAGTGGCGCGATCTCGGCTCACTGCAAGCTCCGCCTCCCGGGTTCATGCCATTCTCCTGCCGAGTAGCTGGGACTATAGGCACCTGCCACCACACCCAGCTAATTTTTTTTTGTATTTTTACAAAAAAAAGTAGAGACGGGGTTTCACCGTGTTAGCCAGGATGGTCTCGATCTCCTGACCTCATGACCCGCCCGCCTCAGCCTCCCAAAGTGCTGGGATTACAGGCGTGAGCCACCGCGCCCGGCCTCCCAGCACCATTTCTTATATAGGGACAGTGTGGCGATTCCTCAAGGATCTAGAACCACAAATACCATTTGACCCAGCAATCCCATTACTGAGTATATACCCAAAGGATTATAAATCATTCTACTGTAAAGACACATGCACACGTATGTTTATTGCAGCACTATTTACAATAGCAAAGACTTGGAACCAACCAAATGCCCATCAATGATAGACTGGATAAAGAAAATGTGGCACACGTATACCATTGAATACTATGCAGCCATAAAAAAGAATGAGTTCATGTCCTTTGCAGGGACATGGATGAAGCTGGAAGCCATCATTCTCAGCAAACTAACACAGGAACAGAAAACCAAACACCACATGTTCTCACTCATAAGTGGGAGTTGGACAATGAGAACACATGGACACAGGAAGGGGAACATCACACACCAGGGCCTGTCGGGGGGTGGGGGACAAGGGAAGGGAGAGCATTAGGACAAATACTTAATGCATGCAGGGCTTAAAACCTAGATGATGGGTTGGTAGGTGCAGCAAACCACCATGGCACATGTATACCTATGTAACAAACCTGCACGTTCTGCACATGTATATCGAAACTGAAAAATTAAAAAAAAATCAGCTTGTCCATATCTGAAAAACAAAGGCAATTGGAATTTTAATTGGGATTACCTTGAATCTATAGATTAAGGGAGGGAGGTATCACCATCTTAATAATATTAAATCTCCCAATCCATGCGTATAGACTGTGTTTCCATTTATTTAGATCTTCTTTAATTTCTTCCAACAATGTTTTATAATTTTCAGCATACAAGTTCTACAGTTCTGTGAAAGTTACTATTACTTTGTTACTGAGTCTTATTCTTTTTTGATGCTATTGTAAATAAAACTGTGTTCTTAATTTCATTTTCAGATTGTTTATTGCTAGTGTATGGAATTACAATTGATTTTTATATATTGATCTTGTCTCCTGCAACCTTGCTGAACTTGTTTTGTTTGTTCTAATAGTTTGTGTGTGTGTGTGTGTGTGTGTGTGTGTGTGCTTGTGTGAATTCCTTAGGATTTTGTCTATACGAAATCATGTCACTTGTGAATAGAGATAGAATTTCCAGGCCGGGCACGGTGGCTCACGCCTGTAATCCCAGCACTTTGGGGCGGCCGAGGCAGGCGGATCATGAGATCATGACAGAGATCAAAACCAGCCTGGCCAACATGGTGAAACCCCATCTCTACTAAAAATACAAAAATTAGCTGGGTGTGGTGGCTTGTGCCTTAATCCCAGCTACTCAGGAGGCTGAGGCAGGAGAATCGCTTGAACCAGGGAGATGGAAGTTGCAGTAAGCCGAGATCTGCACTCCAGCCTGGGTGACAGAGCAAGGCCCCCTCTCAAAAAAAAAAAAAAAAAAAAAATAGAACTTCCAGTAAAATATTGAGTAAAAATGGTGACAATAGACATTCTTGTCTTGATCTCAGGGAGAAAACATCCAATTTTTCTCAACTAAATATGATGTTAACTGTGAGTCTGTCACAGATGGCTTTTATGAAGTTGAGGAAATTCCTCTTTATTCCTAGTTTGTTGAGCGTTTTAATAATGAAAAGGGATTGGATTCTGTGAAAAGCTTATCCTGCATCAATTGAGATGCTCATATAGTTTTTACGCTTTATTAATATGGTATATTACATTGATTTTCATATGTTATGCCAACCTTTCATTCCTGGGATAAATTTCACTTAATCATGGTAGATAATCCTCTCTATATGTTGTTTAATTCAGTTTGCTAGTATTTTGTTTATAATTTTTGTGTCGATATTGGTCTATAGTTTTTTTTGTTTTTGGCAGCAGGGCACAACTGGCCTTATAAAATGATTCATTACGTGTTCACTCTGCTTCTATTTTCTGACAAAGTTTGAGTAGGAATGGTGTTAATTGCTTTTTAAATGTTTGGTAAAATTCACCAGTAAAGTCATCTGGTCTGGGATTTTTCTTTGTGACTTTTAAAATTACTAATTCAGCTGGGCGCAGTGGCTCACGCCTGTAGTCAAAGCACTTTGAGAGGCCGAGGGAGGTGGATCACTTGAGGTCAGGAGTTCAAGACCAACCTGACTACAGTGAAACCACATCTCTACTAAAAACACAAAAATTAGCCGGGTGTGGTGGTGTGTGCCTATAGTCCCAGCTACTTGGGAGGCTGAGGCAGGAGAATTGCTTGAACCAGGGAGGCGGAGGTTGCAGTGAGCTAAGATCACGCCACTGCACTCCAGCCTGGGTGACAGAGCAAGACTCTGTCTCAAAAAATAATAAAATAAAATAAAATAACTAATTCAATAGTTTTACTTGCTGTAGATCTATTCATATTTTCTATTTCTTCGTGAATCACTTTTGATTTGCGTTTTTCTAGAAATGTGTCCATTTCCTCTAGGTTATCTAATTTGTTAGCACACAATTGGGTACAGTATTCTAATTCTTTTTATTTCTGAAAGCTGGGTAGTGATGTCTCCTCTTTCATTCCTGATTTTAGTATTTGAGTCTCCTCTTTTTTTTCCTGGTCAGTACAGCCAAAAGTTTGTGAATTTTGTTGATCTTCTCAAAGAAACAATTTTGGGTTATTTTTATTTTCTCTTTTTTAATTTTCTATTTCATTTATTTCCTTTTAGTCTTCTTTCTCTTTTTCTTCCTTTCTCTTTCTTTCTTGCTTTCTTTCTTTCAGCTTGTTGTGGATTTAGTTTGCCCTTCTTTCTTTAGTATCTAAGGAAGTAGGTTATTGATTTCTTCTTTTCTAATTGATAAGGACAGCTCTAAGTGTCCCTATGAGCATTGCTATCACTGCTATCCCATAAATTTTGGTATCTTATATTTTTGTTTTCATTCATCTGAAAGTATTTTCTGTTTGTTTGTTTGTTTGTTTGTTTGAGTCTCGCTCTGTCGCCCAGGCTGGAGTGCAGTGGCTCGATCTCAGCTCACTGCAAGCTCCGCCTCCCGGGTTCATGCCATTCTCCTGCCTCAGCCTCCCAAGTAGCTGGGACTACAGGTGCCCACCACCACGCCCGGCTAATTTTTTGTATTTTTAGCAGAGACGGCGTTTCACCATGTTAGCCAGGATGGTCTTGATCTCCTGACCTTGTGATCCGCCCACCTCGGCCTCCCAATATGCTGGGATTACAGGCATGAGCCACCGCACCCGGCTCAAAGTATTTTCTAATTTCTCTTGTGATTTTTTTCAATATAGAGAAGGGGTCTCACTCTGTCTGTCACCCAGGTTGGAATGCAGTGGTGCGATCATTGCTCACTGTAACTTTGAATTCCTGGGCTCAAAGGATCCTCCCACCTCAGCCTTCCAAAGCACTGTGATTAGAGACATGAGGCACCGTGCCAAGCCATCTTGTGATTTCTTCTTTGACGCACTTGTTATTTAGGAGTATGCAGTTTAATCTCTTGTGAATTTCTCAAATTTCCTTTTGTTCTTGATTTCTAATTTTATTCTGTTGTGGTCAGAGAACATACTTTGTTGGTTTCAATCCTTTAAAATTGACTGAAGCTTGTTTTACAGCCTAACATATGGTCTATCCTGGAGAATGTTCCATATTCACTTGAGGAAAATGTTTACTCTGCTGCTTTTGGGTGGAGTGTCTTACACTTGTCTTGTAGGTGTAGTTGGTTTATCTTATTCTTTGTCTTCCATTTATTATTGATCTATCTAGTTATCCTATCCGTTACTGAAAGGTGGGAACAGAAGTCTCAAACTATTTTTGTTGAATTATCTATTTCTCCCTTAATTCTGTCAGGTTTTGCTTTATGTATTTTGGTGCTGTTAGGCACATGTGTTTAAAACTGTTCTATCTTCCTGATTGAATTTTTTATTATAAAAATGTCCTCTTTATCTCTAATGACATTTTTTGTCTTAAAATCTATTTTGTCTAAAATTAAGAGAGCCATTCCACCTGCTTTTGTTTTTTTGTCTTTTTGAGATGGAGTCTTGCTCCGTCACCCAGGCTGGAGTGCAGTGGCACCATCTCGGCTCATTACAGCCTCTGCCTCCCAGGTTCAAACAGTTCTCGTATCTCAGCCTCCCAGGTAACAGAGTACAGCCGCCTGCCACTACACCCAGCTAACATTTGTATTTTTAGTAGAGACGGGGTTTCACCATGTTTGCCAGGCTGGTCTTGAACTCCCGACCTCAAGTGATCCACCCACCCTGGCCTCCCAAAGTGCTGGGATTACAGGCGCCTGCCACTACGCCTAGCTAAAGTTTGTATTTTTAGTAAAAACGGGTTTTCTCTATGTTGGCCAGGCTGCGTATCTGCTTTTGAATACTGTTTGCATGGTGTGTCTTTTTCTATCCTTTTACTTTCAACCTATTTGTGTTCTAAGAAAAATCATTTAACTTAGAAATGAAATCTTTCTGCTAAGTATATATATATATATATATATATTTTTTTTTTTTTTTTTTTTTTTTGATACGTAGTCTCGCTCTGTCACCCAGGCTGGTGAGCAGTGGCGCGATCTCAGCTCACCGCAAGCTCTGCCTCCCAGGTTCACACCATTCTCCTGCTTCAGCCTCCCGAGTAGCTGGGACTACAGGTGCCCACCACCACGCCCAGCTAATTTTTTTGTATTTTTAGTAGAGACGGGGTTTTACCGTGTTAGCCAGGATGGTCTCCATCTCCTGACCTCGTGATCCGCCTGCCTTGGCCTCCCAAAGTGCTGGGATTATAGGCGTGAGCCACTGCACCCGGCCTCTGCTAAGTATATTTTTATTTCAGGTATTAAAATGCAACAAATGATTTTTAAAAATCCATTTACCACTTTTAAATGAAAACAACATCAAGAAAAGGTATTTTTATTTTCTCCAACTCTTAACCAGTCTTTGATTTAACTGATAAGGATTTATTCTTCAAAATCAGATGTGATTTTTAAGAATATCATCTTCAAAATTAAGTACCATCTAATGGTCCACCATTCTGTTTCTGTCAAATCAGCAGAGGAAAGAAATTCCTAAGGGAACACTGCTCAGAAAGTACTGCAGCATGTCTTCAAATGCCTGAGGATCAAGTTGGAAAACTAGAAGCAACAGAAAACACAATAAGGTAACTGATTTCACCTGGGGAAAAGTCACTTCCTGTTTTGTTTTTTTTAAAAGAGACAAGGTCTCGCCATGTTGCCCAGGCTGGTCTCGAACTCCTGGTCTCAGGCAATCCTCCCACCTCAGCCTCCCAAAGTGCTGGGATTACAGGCGTGAGCCATCACACCCAGCCAAAAGTCACTTCCTAAATGTCAATGTACAAAGTATGTAGGACACCTATGTGTAGCTAGTTGGCTATTTTATTCTCCAGCAAAGCACTGCCCAATCGAAATATAATATGAGCCACAAATACAAATCACATATGCAATTTTAAAATTTCTAGTAGCCATATTTTTAACAAGTAAAAAAAAGTGAAATTAATACATTTAACAATAGTTTATCAATAAATATAACTATTTTATTTAACACAATATATTAACATTTCTACATGTGACCAATATAAAATTGTTATTCTTAATTTCCTACTAAGTCTTTGAAATTTACTGTGTATTTTACACTTAAAATATATCTCAGGCCAGGCTCAGTGGCTCACGCCTGTAATCCCAGCACTTTGGGAGGCCGAGGCGGGTGGATCACGAGGTCAGGAGTTCGAGACAAGCCTGGCCAAGATGGTGAAACCCCGTCTCTACTAAAAATAAAAAAAAATTAGCCGGGCATGGTGGCGGGCGCCTGTAATCCCAGCTACTTGGGGGGCTGAGGCAGGAGAATCGCTTGAACCCGGGAGGCAGAGGTTGCAGTGAGCTGAAATCGTGCCACTGCACTCCAGCCTGGGCGACAGAGTGGGACTCCGTCGCAAAAAAAAAGAAAAAAGCATACCTCAGTTCAAACACGCCATATTTCAATTGGTCAACAGTCATAATGGCTAGTGGCTACCATAATGAGCATTGCAACTGTAGCATTGAAAGCCAGAAATAGCCTTTAATAGCTCTGTGATAATCAAATCAAACTTGATTTTTTTCTTAACCACAATTATGATGCATTCCTGTAACATGACCACTTATATAATGAGAATATAAAAATGCAATAGTCTAACAGGTAGATGTCCAATCAAAATTAAAGTTACAAATTTTAGAGGTTGCAATCTGTATTAGCAATCACAGCCACTATCTATTAAGCATTTACTCTGTGCCCGGCACTACTGCCAGGTATTTTAATCAGTAGTAAAAAATACTTCTATTACACCCATTTCAGAGAAGAAGAAACTGGGCTTGAGACAGGTTACCTTGGGCAAGATCACACAGCATGTAGGCTGTGAAGCTATCATTTGAACTTGCACATTGGCCGGCTCTGGAGCCTCTGCTCCCAGCCTCCCTAAAATGAGTCCCTCCATCTGCAGATATCCACTGAATCTCAAATATAAAACTAAGAAAGGGCGCAAAAGAAAACAATCAAGTCAAAATTTCCCTGCCTGTGTTCCATTCCACAATTTACTGAGGGCCTATTGTGCACAGTGTCCTTCAGGATTGTTAGGGTCCCACTTGCCCCTGGCTGAGGTGCACTGACTGTATGTAACAGACTGCTTCAGAGCAGGAACTTGAAAGTTTTGATAAAAAGCAGTTGAAAAAAATGTGAATATTTCAGCATATTTTCAATAATTTTTCAACCATTCAAACTTTTTTTGCTGGCTCTTATCTAGGCAACAGAAAACATCAGTATTAGAGTCAGAAATCTTACTTATCAGCCAAGTGTCTATTGAATATCTGTAATCCATTCCATACACTATTTCACTCTGCACAATTGGGAGACTAATAGAAAATACGCAAGTAGATTTTATATAAACACAAATGTGATGCACATGACTATGCATCAGCTGCAGCCTTAAGAGTAATTACTTGTTTAAGGCCAGGCGCGGTGGCTCAAGCCTGTAACCCCAGCACTTTGGGAGGCCGAGGTAGGAGGATCGCTTGAGCCCAGGAGTTCAAGACTGTCCTGGGCAATATAGCAAGACCCCATCTCTAAAAAAACAAACAAAAAGAGTAATTACTTGTTTAAGGTCACATTTAACTCCCAAATCCATCTTACTAATAAAAGAGATAATTATTGAGTATCTACTTATGCAGACACCATACTATGTGAATTTACATATATTATCCT
Source organism: Homo sapiens (assembly GCF_000001405.40). Classification (NCBI taxonomy): domain Eukaryota; kingdom Metazoa; phylum Chordata; class Mammalia; order Primates; family Hominidae; genus Homo; species Homo sapiens. The sequence continues at coordinate 97,971,921 of NC_000013.11, forward strand.
AACTTTCAAAACACTCCTATGAAGAACTATCATTCCAATTTTACAGATGAGAAAACAAAGCCAGCATTCTTTTTCATTGTACCAGGTTAATTATTAACAAAAATAATAATGCCATCAGCTTACATTGGTGTAGTTACAGATTATAACACTTTGATTTATACCATCTAAATTGACCCTCATAATAAATTGTGATATCAAGAGCATAGCGCTTACAACTACCAAGATAAGGAGTCATAGAGACCCGAGACAACTTAAAACAAAATTAGATTATTCACTTGGGAGAATCTTATGTTATTTGCATTCAGCACTCTGCAAACCAGAAAGGGCAGACAAAACCAAATTCTATCCCAGCTGAGAAAAGCTTTCACAGAGGTCTTACAAGCCTAACTTCTCCAACCTTCTCCCACTTCCAGAACACTCCCATCAACATGGGAGCCCATAAAACTAAGAGCAGTAGTGGGAGAGATTCTGATGCTCTCTAGTTAAGGAGCCTGGTCTCCTGCAGTATTACAAATAGGTCATGCCCAGGCTGTGCAGTACTTCCTAACAGCAAAAATCCTAAACTACCTAGATTTCAAGTAGCAGTTGAGAGAGACTTTGTTTTCTTTCCCCCAACCTCACCCTTTTCGTAAAGGGTTGCAAATGCTCCAAGCAAATTTGCCTCCAGCACTTAATGGAAGTAGTGCCAAGTCTAATAAACTGCAAGGGAAAGGAGCTGGCCATTCACAAGATAAACCACTAAGTACATTACTTCGGGGCAGTTTTGTTTTTGTTTTTTTATTTTAATGCGGCCAAAGCAATGGCAGCGAATACGGAGTAAGCAAAACTCAAAGTTTTCTATCCTTGCATTTTTACTTCCAATTATAAGTTAATGCTAGAAGAACTTTTATGATTAATAATATACTTTTTATTATCCCCATTTTATAGATGAGAAATTGAGGCTTAGCGACATTAAGCACTCAAGGTTACACAGCTAGTAAGAGACTAAAGATACAAATCCCCTAGACTCAAGTTCAAGGCTCTTTACCTTCCACCATTTGATCTCCTTGGGAAATAAATAAATCTATAATCCTGCAGGCTGTTTTTATGGAATATCTTAGTTATTTTCTTTTATCTTCTTTTTTTTTTTTTTTTTTTTTTGAGAGGGAGTCTCACTCTGTCACCCATGCTGTAGTGCAGTGGCATGATACTGGCTCACTGCAACCTCCGTCTCCTGGGTTCAAGCGATTCTCCTGCCTCAGCCTCCAGAGTAGCTGGGATTACAGGCATGCGCCACCATACCCAGCTGATTTTTTTTTTGTATTTCTAGTAGAGACGGGGTCTCGCCCTGTTGGCCAGGCTGGTCTCAAACTCCTGACCTCAGGGGATCCACCCGCCTCCCAAAGTGCTAGGATTACAGGCGTGAGCCACTGCACCCAGCCCCTGAGTTATTTTCTTATAAGAAAATGATACTCTTATAAACAATAAGGACACTGTCTATGGGAAATGGGCTTCTAAGTGCAGTAAACTTCCCAGAAGGCTGAGCATTATAAACTCTTCAAAATGGCAAGCCTGCTACCGAAAATACAGTCCCCACTTAGGAGGTTTTCTGGACACCAGAACCAGTCTCCATTGTCAGGACATCTGCTATCTACCCCAAGTTTACTGGAATTTCTCCCATTTTGGGTGGCGGGGTGGTCTCTTCATTCATTAACCTTAAAATTCTTCTCCTTCCCTTTTGATTGGATATTTAAAATGTTAAAATAAGGCTGGGCTGTGATTTCGTGTTCTAGCAGTTGATGTCACCACTAATACAAAATTGTTTTGTTTTTAGCCTGCCTGAAATAATCTTAGGTTTACGCTTTGCCTCGTTAAAAAACAAGCTCCTAGCCGGGTGTGGTGGCGGAGGCCTGTAATCCTAGCACTTTGGGAGGCCAAAGTGGGAGGATCGCCCGAACTCAGGAGTTTGAGACCAGCCTGGGTAACAGGAAGACCCCATCTCTACCAAAACTGGAAACATTAGCCAGGTGTGGTGGCTTGTGCCTGCAGACCAGCTAGTTGGAAGGGCTGAGGTGGGAGGATCGCTGGAGCCCAAGAAGTGGCGGCTGCAGTGAGATCACACCACTGCTCTCCACCCTGGGCAACAGAGTGAGACTCTGTCTCAAAATAATAATAATAACAATAATAATAATAGTAACAAATATCTGCAAACTTGATTGGAATTTCTATTATTTAGTAACTATTAAGCAAATATATGTAACCTACAGACTCATTGCCAATAGAAACACATATCGCAACAGGTGTTAAAAAGTAACTGGAGATCGGGCCATGCCCTAAGCAGCCTCTAAGCAATTTATCATATTTCACTGTTAACCTAGTCATTTGAATGAGTTGTTTTTGTCTGAAATTCTTTTTTTTTTTTTTTGAGACGGAGTCTTGCTCTATCACCCAGGCTGGAGTGCAATGGCACGATCTCGGCTCACTGTAACCTCCACCTCCCAGGTTCAAGTGATTCTCCTGCCTCAGCCTCCCGAGTAGCTGGGATTACAGGCGCCCACCACCACCACACCTGGCTAATTTTTGTATTTTTAGTAAAGACGGGCTTTCACCATGTTGGCCAGGCTCGTCTCGAACTCCTGACCTCAGGTGATCCGCCCACCTCGGCCCCCCAAAGTGCTGGGATTACAGGCGTGAGCCACCTTGCCCGGCCTGTAATTCTTAAAACCTTAATAACCTTGGCTGATGATGAAACCTCCTCAGAATCCAGATACCCCAACGACCCACAAAAAAAAAAAAAAATCAAAATCAAACAAAAAAAAGCTGCCCCAAAGTAATGTGCATAGTGGTTTGTCTAGAAGAAATAACGTGGCATAAGAATGAAAACTTGTCACATCTAAGAAATATAAATTCAACAAAGATAGGTCTGCAGACCTCCTGTAGAGAACCCATCATTGTCATGGCCCAAAACTTTCTAAGAGAATTTTCTCTAGGAACCAATTAGAATCCTTTAGAAAAAAATCTTGGCTGGCCATCCCAATTGCACGTGGATCCCAGGGCTCAGCCCAGATTCTAAACACAGTGGCCAAGATTTAAAATCATTCACCAAAGAGCAAATGTTTTGACTTTCAAAGAGCAGAACTGCAGCAGAATAGCCAACAGGAAATTAAATTCCCTAAGTTAAATACTATGTACTGCCAGCGGTGTAGAACTACTCTTCCATCTCACCCAGTATGAAACCTCCTCACTAGAGATGTAGTGTCCCTTTGGGGCAGAAATGAATTGTTTTTGTAGCTGGGCGCAGTGGCTCATGCCTGTAATCCTAGCACTTTGGGAGGCCGAGGCGGGGGGAGGGCGGGGGGGGCTGGTATCGCCTGAGGTCAGGAGTTCGAGACCAACTGGGCCAACTTGGTGAAACCCCGTTTCTACTAAAAATACAAAAAAGTTAGCTGGGCATGGTGGAACATGCCTGTAATCCCAGGTATTTGGGAGGCTGAGGCATGAGAATTGTTTGAACCCGGGAGGCAGAGGTTGCACTAAACCGAGATCGCGCCACTGCACTCCAGCCTAGGCGACAGAGCAAGGCTTCCACTGACACCCTTAGCCCAATGTATTGGATACAACAGGGTCTCAACAAAAGTACCCTCTGATTTGTACACTGCTCTCTGCCTTTGGCAGCCCCAGGAGTTAAAGAACATCGCGTGTATTATCTGCGCATTAGAATGCTGAAATTGAAATTACGCCTCTAGGTTCCTAGACTGAGATTGAGATAATCAGCCCTGTAAACCAGGGCTCCTTTAGGAAGAAAGGTGTCTCTCTTGACGTTCCCCAATCATTGCGAGAACAGAATCCCTAAACAAGGGATTCAAGGGAACAGTCACAGATCCTGGGGTGGGGGCATGTTTGCTACGTGTACATCCGAAGACGACCGCGGGCTGGGGACGGGCGGCCTGGCGGGACAGCCCCGGGCTGAGTAACCCCTCTTCCGGGCAAGCCCCAGGCGTGAGTCACTGGAGAGCGCGACGGGAGGAAGGGGCGCCCTGAGTCCACAGCCCTGGGGGAGGTCGGAGGGTCTGAAAGCGAGAAGTCCGTGAGTAGAAGGTACGTAGGAAGTGGGTCTAAAGGGACTGCCTTCCTGGGGGTGGGTGAAGGGCTGGATCCCAGGGAGCGAGGGACCAAAGGGGTGGGGCCTGCTCCAGCGGCCACGGGGAGGGGCCGGGGGTCGCTAGAAGGAGGCCGACCAGCCCGCGGCGCCGAAATCTCCCGCGCTCAGCAGCTGGCCCCTCCTCCCCGGCCAGGCCTCAGGCCCCTTGCCGCGGCCGGGCCCGCCGGCCGGCTCCTCCCGCTGTCCCCGCGACGCAGCCCTGGCCCCAGCCCAGGCCTCGACCTCGACCTCAACCCCGACCCCGACCCCGATCCCAGCCCTGGCCCGGCTGCGAAGCCGCCAGCCTACCCAACCGGCGTACAGCCGGCGGCCCCCGATGCGCGGCCACTGACGGCACCGCAGGGTGCGTGGCCAATCAGCGCGGCCCCCGAGGAGGCGTCCTCGGCCCCGCCCCCCTGCGCCCAAGGCCAGTGAGGCGCCGGCGCCGGCGGCCGCGGCGGGGTGAGAGGCCGCGAGGCCCCGCCCCGTCCTCCCCTTTCCCCTTTGCCCCGCCCTTCCCGCGCGGCCCCCCGCAAGCCCCGCGCCGCCGCTGGTGCCGGTCCCCGCGCTGGGCCCGCCCCCGCCCCTCCCGCGGCCCGCGAGCGCGCCTCACGGCTCCTGTCTCCCCTCCCTCCTTCTCTCTCACGCCTAGCGCAATGGCGGCGGCCGCGGCGGAGCAGCAACAGTTCTACCTGCTCCTGGGAAACCTGCTCAGCCCCGACAATGTGGTCCGGAAACAGGCAGAGGTAACCGAGTTCGCCGCCCCAGTCTTCGCGCCCTGGCCGGCGCGCCGACCCTTTACCGACGCCAGCCGCACCGGGCCTCGGCCGGTCCGCGGCGGCCGCGCAGGCTGGGCCCGGCGGGCGGCGGCCGCGCAGCCCACGTGTGAGGCGGCCCGCGGCTCCCGGTCGTGCCCCCGGGCTTTTCCGGCCATTGCTGCCGCGGCGCCTGGCACCAGTTACCTCCCCGCCGCCGCTCGCACCCACGTGCGGCCGCTCCCGACGCGCCCCCGTCCAGGTGTGGGGTGCCGGGCGGGCCCGGGGCCCCAACTTCGCTGGCCACCCCGCTTCCCAGCTCCCCGCTTGCCCCTTTCCCGCTTTCTCCCAGTGGGAGCCCCCACTGCCCTTCCAGCCGCTGTCTCCACCCAGCCTAGCGCTGTGGGTCTCCCAAACCCTGGCTGCTACCTGACCCGTCACGCCTGCTTCTACCCCTGCTCATCTCCCACACCGTCTGTCCCTCTCTTTTTAAATATGTGCCCTGCCTTGTCCCTACTGCCTTTTTCCATTTAGTTCTTTCTCATTCTAGTTCCTAACATCAGAAGCCAGATTTCCCTACCCCCTCCCACCTCCAGTTTTGTGAAGTTGCCTTTAGGGTTTCTTTCTATGCAGTTTCCACCTTACTCTGGGCTTATAATACACTTACTCTGCTCTTCAGACAAATTTTCTTTGCTCTCTAGAGAATCGTGGGATAAATGGGATGTAGTGGGACTTCCGTTGTTTAACTGGGCCAGTACCATATGTTTAAGTCTTCAACTTCATTAAATCTAACCGTAATCTCTTTTTTTCAAACCACCTCTTGTTCCTGGCCTCCAAAATGTGGAGAGACTTTCAAGTGACAGTATTTTAAATATATCTGTAAGCTCATTTACCAAGTTCACTAGAAGACTGATGTTACATTTTCAGCGTTGAGACCACGATTCTTGTGGGATACTTCCAGGGGAGGGAGAAACTTTCCAGTTTCTTAGCTGACCGCCAAACTTGGTTATATATGGGGTTTTTGCAACCATGCGATTGTAGAGTTTCATAAGATTAAGTGAAGGATGTTCAGCCAGATATTTTTAAATAACAAAAATTAATTTTACATATAGCCAATGAAATTGACTGCAAGTCCTCTTCTGAACTCAGGCCTGAAGACTTTTCCAGGTGTCTTTGAAACGACGGTGGTAATCGTTGTTTTGAATAGATGGTGGATATGCTGGTTACACTTAGGGGTTTTATATTAAGTGAAGTAAACACACCCAAAATTCGGTTCTATGTGAAAAAGCATTTTCTACTATTCACTTCATTAAGTTTTTATTTATTATACATGTAATACATGTTCAGGGTAAAAATTCAAACAGTGAATCGTTTCTTATCCCGTTTCCCAAAGGTGACCGCTTGTGTCGTGAATCTTCGCTGAAAATTTAACATACACATTCATTTTTTACTTAATGGGCTTATAATACTATTTACACTATTTTGCAACTTGAATTTTTCACTCTATATTTCACATTGCCTCATAAGTGAGGTTTTGGTCAGCTATAGATTATACATCATATGGATAGATATTTATATAAGCAACCCTCTATGAAATGGATATTGCGGTTTCCAGTGACCTGCTCTTTTAAAAATAGTACTATGCGCAGGAGTACATGTATACCTATCTTTGCATACTTTGCCAGGTTTGCTTGTAGAATACTGAAAAGTAGCATTTGTTCCTAGAAGTGATATGCATGTATTGCACCAGTTTGCCTTGGGGATATGATGATGCTTTAAAAAAAAAAATTAATGCTTTCTGGTAACTCTTGAGATAATTTTTCGCCAAAATAACTTTTTAATCCCAGCATGAAAATAATAGAAATTTTCATGTGTTACAAAGCAGAACAGCATTGTAATTAGTAAGCTAGTTTAATTCTCTCTGTTCCCTCCAGTTGCTTAAGTCTCTATTGTCAAGCCTAGTGGGGAATCTCTCTTCTATTGAACTAAATACCAGTGTCTGGTTTAGCTTGAATTCCAATTGGTGCCTGTTGTAAATCTTTTATCACTTACATCACTTTGGGGATAGTTATCAGCATTCAGCACATTTTCTCATAAAGAACAATTGGAAATAAGTACTGTTATTCTCTTAGTCTCTTTATTCCTAGTGAAAACATTCAGATACTAGGTTTTTACTTTCTTTGTATATCCTGAGAATGTATTAATATGTAAACTAAGTACTGTGATACAGAATTTTCTAATTTGACCTCCAAAAAAGTAAATGTTAAGAGAAGCTCTCTGGTGCCATAGAATGCCCCTTTCTTTTTTGCCTAATGAAATAAGCGTTTTATAAGAGATCAAATGAAATAAAATTAGCATTAAGTCTGATACAGCAAATATAGAAATATTTTCTATGAACTGAAAAATTGGCCAGGGCTCAGTAAATATCTTTGTAATTTACTCATTCAAAATAAAAATACTTAGTCGACACATAAATACCAAACTGTTGACTAAGGTGACTTTTGTATTCAAATATGGTTATATATTTGGTTGAAATCATTGAAGAGACGTCAAAACTCTAAAAAGTTAAAACTTTTTTCGTCGTATATGCCATTTAGTAGGCTTTATAGTTTATTTCTATTTTTAAAAATCTGTAAGGATATTTCTCTTTAACTTTATAGAAAATGTTTCTCATTTGAAGAAACGTATGTGAATGTCCCTGAGTCTCAGAATACAATAACGTGAATAAACCATTGAATAAATAGTTGACAAGTAGTGCAAAGTACAGTATTCATGGTATTTATCACTAGACATTTTTATATGACATAAGCTTAAGTATTTATTAATCATATGCATGGATTTTATTTTCTTACTAAGGTTCTCCATACAGAATTTGTTCCTCATTGACTCTAATAGAGAATTTCATTGAGTGTTTTTTGTAGAGACAGGGTCTTGCTGTGTTGCCCAGGCTGGTCTTGAACTCCTGGCCTCAAGTGATCCTCCCATCTCCCAAAGTGTTGGAATTACAGGCATGAGCCACCACACCCAGCCCATTGTTGAGATTTCAATAGACAGAGGATAACATTGAAAAATATACCTGATTGTTGAGGAACCAGGGTGTTAATAGATAAAAGTCATGTGTCCCCTCTTTTACTTTTCCTCATACAAGGTAGGCTCACTATAAATATTTATGGAATGAGATGAGTACATATGAGCATTTCTTCTTCGTGGGCAGGGAAGAGGCGGAGGAGAAGTCTTTGCATTGTGTAAATTGTATAAGGTGGAATCAAATCAAATTGAAATTTTGTTTGCCACAACTGATAACATTCACTGAACCTAACTGGACTAGTGCTAGGAATAGTATTAGAAACAGTCTTTATAATTCTTATACACTAATATGCTACGTACTTAGATACAAAGATAAAAAGTTACCATCCCTGTCTGTGTGGAACTTAGACTGTTTAACCATTATCCTTGACCATTGTGATGGTATTGATGTAATACTATATTTGGATTACCACAGTGGAACATATCACATGGAGAGAACCCTCTCTCAACAGACATCATCTGTCACTCGTACTAAACTCTCCCACCATTGGCTTCTAATTCATTATGGAGTAGAGTTTAATATTTGGCCCAATGTTAAGTTGGGTCAATTGTTAAGTCTACTAGAGTTAGCATAGTCACACCAACAGTTCCGCCTGGGCAAGAGTAGGGAGCCTCAGGATTTATATTAGGTTTTCTGACAGTGATAGCCTAGTAGAGAAGTTTATGGCTGGGCGCGGTGGCTCATGACTGTAATCCCAGCACTTTGGGAGGCCGAGGCAGGTGGATCACGAGGTCGGGAGTTCAAGACCAGCCTGGCCAAGATGGTGAAATCCCATCTCTACTAAAAATAAAAAATTAGCCGGGCGCGGTGGCAGGCGCCTGTAATCCCAGCTACTGAGGAGGCTGAGGCAGGAGAATCTCTTGAACCTGGGCAGCAGAGGTTGCAGTGAGCCGAGATCGCACCACTGCGCTCTAGCCTGGGCGACAGAGTGAGACTCTATCTCAAAAAAAAAAAAAAAAAAGTTTTTGCAAAAACTTGATTTAGACCACTGAAAATTTAAGTGTTAAACATTGATCACATTACCAGTGTTTAAGTGGCTAAGCTGGGTGCTTTTTATTGTATAGTGAGATACTTTTTAAATGAAAACATACTACTGGTATAAGGAGTTGCTTTGGTAAATATTAAGTGAAAAGTCTCAAAGGTACATAACCATTTTTGCATTCAGCTTGTGAATATCTTTACATAAATTATCTCTTCTGGATAAATAAATTCAAACCATCTTCTCTCCTCGGCTGTGAATACTTTTTGGCACAGTTTTCAGCATTGTTAAGATCCTATGTGCTTTTTACTAGAATGGGAACTTGAGGTTATCAGAAGATCTTGAATTCTCCTTTCCCCCAAAATCTGTTCTTCCCCAGACAGATATGTTTGAAAAGTTTGAAACCTGTGTAGCACTGCATAAATAGAACTGGTTGTTTAATGAAGTGAAACAGAGCTTTCAGTACCAGAGAGATTTTGAATATGGTTGGCCTTAGAGGACCAGAGTTCTGTCTGCTATTCATTGTCTATGATCTTAGGCAAGTCATTAACTTATAAGCCTTTATTTCCTTATCTGTTAATATCTCATGGATGCCATGGGGCACTTAGTAAAAGGTTTAAGCTAGATGTGGATTCAAAATAGCCTTGTTTTTCCTCCCTTGTCACTTTGTTCCAGAGAAGCCACGTATAGAGGTATGGTAGCAATGAGAGCAGGTAAGCTCTAAAGAAATCAATGTTACCCACATTAGACTCAACTCTAAATTGCTAGATAAGAATGGATTATCTATTTACTAAGAGGCTTCTTAGAGTAAGCAATTCCAAGTGTACTTAAATTGATTTCTTTTCCACAGTGAACAAATACCATCAGAATTCTTGCATATGAATCTGCACTTCTCTGGACAGCATATAGTTGGTTCTTGTTTTTTAATCTGTTCTGATCATCTGTCTTTTAATTGGTGTCAACTTTTTATTGTTAACCAATTTGTTGTGATTTTACATTATTAGCAGAGGATAGAGTGTCCTGAGTCACAAACCTCTTGCTAATAGATCTACAAAAGACGATAAAGCCTCCTGGCCGAATTTATCCTGACCACATTCATTTATCTATGTAGTAAGGTTTTAGTATGATCCTTGCTTGGAAGAAAATGTAGCATAAAGGATTTGAATACTTTGTTTCTCTGACTTACTTCCAGGTGTGTGTCTGGTGGTTCTAAGCAGTGGTAATTTGAACCAGTTGTACATCATCCAGTCTAAAAATGTTAACGAAACAGTTTCTCATGATGTAAGGTGATTTTAAGTGAGCCCTAAAGTTTGCAGCACAATGGCTTAAGTCACATTTGGCAATTTTTTGGCCCTCTTAGGCCTTGAGTTTTGTTAACCAGGGAGCATAAGTTGGGAAAACATGCACACACATTAGAAACATTTGTTTAAGAGATATATGTAGAAAGGAACTTGATAAGTAACCCTTTGGACATCTCTTCCCTAACATATCTGAAGTGTATTTCATGTCACAGAAGGTGTTAACACCAGACCTAGATTAAATAATTTCTCATGCATCCTTCCCACTGTTTATTTCTTTCACTGGTTTACTCATGAAGTTTCCTAACATTCTTTCCTAACCATTTTTTTTTTTCCATGCAGGAAACCTATGAGAATATCCCAGGCCAGTCAAAGATCACATTCCTCTTACAAGCCATCAGAAATACAACAGCTGCTGAAGAGGTACTACCTTAATATTTGTGACTATTACATTCTTAGAAAATAAGTTATTAGATGATGATCATAGTAGAAATTAGAGAAATGAGAATTGTGATTAACCACATAGACTTTACTAGAACTTTGTACTTATTATTTGCTAAAAGCTACTTAGGAGTTATAATGTAATTTTTTGAAGTACTTTGTATTAAGAATGAGAGTTGCCTTTTTTCCGCATAAGATAATGTGTCCAGGGTAGATGAAGATTAATGGTTTTATAAGTAATTGCATAAGAATTATTAAATTAAAGTGATTTGATTTGATTGATTGATTTTGAGATGGAGTTTCACTCTGCCCAGGCTTGAGTGCACTGGCACCATCTCGGCCCACTGCAACCTCTGCCTCCTGGGTTCAAGCAGTTCTCCTGCCTCAGCTTCCCGAGTAACTGGGATTACAGGCGTGCGCCACCACACCTGGCTAATTTTTGTATTTTTAGTAGAGATGGGGTTTTGCCATGTTGGCCAGGCTGGTCTCGAACTCCTGACCTCAAGTGATCCACCCCCTTCAGCCTCCGAAAGTGCTGGGATTACAGGCATGAGCCGCCACGCCCAGCCTAATTTAAGTGCTTTTTGCAGCTAAAAGTTTTCTTTCCTTGAAACAATTTATTCTAAAGAAGTAAATTAGTTCAGTGTTTTGATGTGTTATCAATGTTTTGAAAAAATATTTTTTTCCCATCTTTAAAAATTTATGCTTATAACCATCTCTGGATGAAGTGTATGTACTAAAGATATACTTAGGAACAGAGACATTTTCTAGAATATTTTATTAGAATCATGGTTTTTAGCTAATTACCTAGTTCCTATACCAAATTCAAATTTGTTTTAATTTTAAGAATTACTTTTCCCTATGGTAAAAACAAGGCTATTTCCTAGGATTTTATAGTTTCCTACTACTGATTGAGGCATTTTGTAGCTAATTCCACCCCCCCCCCCCACCGTCCCCCCGATTATAAGTTAATATCCTCATAAATATTGAATGCCATTGAATATCTGTTTACTTTGGAAAAGGTATAAAAATACCCAAGTCTAGAAAACTATTCTACCTACAAAACATTACATTTAGAGTTTGTAGTGTAAGACTTTTTTTGCTAGCAAACTGTATATAAAATGCTTATCCTTGATGGAAATAAGTCACACTAAACTTTTACATTATGTTTCACCTGACTTCTTCCAGTCAGTCAGTTTAGACTAGCAACTTCATGTTCTCTCAACCACTTTAAAAGCCATATAAAAGTATCCCAATTTTTTTTTTTCTAGATGACAAGAGGTACTTCTTTGCTTTTGTAACCTGTTCTTTTCTGTAACTCAAAATGGATGTCAAATATGAAGAACCCTATATAGGGTAACTTCTTTTTTTTTTTTTTTTTTTTTTTTTTTTTTTGAGACGGAGTCTCGCTCTGTCGCCCAGGCTGGAGTGCAGTGGCGGGATCTCGGCTCACTGCAAGCTCCGCCTCCCGGGTTCACGCCATTCTCCTGCCTCAGCCTCCCAAGTAGCTGGGACTACAGGCGCCCGCCACTACGCCCGGCTAATTTTTTGTATTTTTAGTAGAGACGGGGTTTCACCGTTTTAGCCGGGATGGTCTCGATCTCCTGACCTCGTGATCCGCCCGCCTCGGCCTCCCAAAGTGCTGGGATTACAGGCGTGAGCCACCGCGCCCGGCCTAGGGTAACTTCTATCACTAAAAACAGATGACTGTTTTAATTCTTGAAGATTAGTGCAAGTTAGTAAACAAATTTTAAAGCCAAGAATACTGAATTTTTTTAATAACTTGTATTAAGCCTTATTTAAATCTTAACTAGATTTAAGAATTAGATGATTGTTGTGAATTAGTGACAGCATCTTGATTGTGGCTTTATAGTTTTTGGTATATGTGTGAGAAGAATTGCACATGAGTTTTAACCACTTTTATAAGAATTGTAACCATTTTGAATTCTTTCTAGAACATGTTAAATATTTGTAAAGGTTTCTACCTACCATAAATGTTTCAGTAAAAAGATTTCTCGGTGAAAAGTAATGGAGGAAAAAAATAGCCAATTTTATTTGTATAGCTTAACATTTTTTTTGGTCAAATTCCCAAAGTAATTATAGTGATAATGAGTAACATCAGCTTGGGGAAATCGAGAGCAGGAAAGATTAGGTTCAATATTCCCAATAGCTTATTGGCTTGATTTGATAAAATTTTAGAATGGCATTTGTCTTAGCTTTTCTTTTGATAATCTCAAGAAATGTTATACAGAAAATGCCAAACTTAATTACACAGATTTGAAAATGAAAATCCAAGAATACACATGTTGAGATGGATTAGCACTTTTTAGGTATCGGGAACTCGTAATGTTTGTTTGCATGAAAGAAGCATTTTATCTAAGATGCTAATGAAAGGGCGGTTATGTAACAAGTTAGGTCAGGCTGGGAGCCTAAGGTTGGGTGGGAAAGGCGCTTGATATTCTAGAATGAGACCAGACAGAGAGGTAGGAAAAGAGCATTCATTATAGGGTTTACAATTTAAGATTTGTTTTTCTCCCAAATAATGTGTTAAAAACAGGGATTAAAGACAGGTTTATCATTGCTAAAATATGTGTTCCTAATTGAATTGTAATGTGATTAGAAGTTCTCCTCACCTTAAGTACAAATGGCTTATTTTGTGGCACTAACAAAATAAGTCTGTATAATAGACTAATGTAATTAGAAAGAGTTATATATTTACTTCTTTAGAAAATTAGGCGCTTTTGAAATATAAAAATACAACAGTGAAATACATCAATGGCAGAGTGAATCTAGTTATTAACAATGTTATCTGTTTATAGGCTAGACAAATGGCCGCCGTTCTCCTAAGACGTCTCTTGTCCTCTGCATTTGATGAAGTCTATCCAGCACTTCCCTCTGATGTTCAGACTGCCATCAAGAGTGAGCTACTCATGATTATTCAGATGGAAACACAATCTAGCATGAGGAAAAAAGTTTGTGATATTGCGGCAGAACTGGCCAGGAATTTAATAGGTGTGTATGCAGGTGCACTCATGTTACCAAGAACATGGGTATATCCTTCCTTTTTTTTTTTTTTAATGGAATCTTTTAGAGTAAGATTCATAAGTACCTGAGTACCATTTATTCTGTTTAAAATGAATGTGCTTATGGATTTTGCATTTAGAGCCAGAAATTACAGATAGATGTTTGTGAAATCCAGTCATAGGACTCACCTATTGGTATTCAAAATACCCATGTGAGGCTAGGCACAGTGGCTCACACCTGTAATCTCAGCACTTTAGGAGGCCGAGGTGGGCACATCGCTTGAGTCTAGCAGTTCAGGACGAACCTGGGCAACATGGCAAAACCCCGTTTCTACAAAAAATTAGTGGGCGTGATGGTGTGCACCTGTAGTCCCAGTTACTTGGGAGGCTGAAATGGGAGAATCACCTGAGCCCCAGAAGCTGGAGACTACAGTAAGCGGTGATCACGCTACTGCACTCCAGCCTGGGCAACAAAGCAAGACTATGTCTCAAAAAAAGGAAAAAAAAAATCCATGTGGAAAAATAATTTTGTAATTTGCTTGAAAATTGGCAGTTACATTTTCTCCTAAATCTATAATGTTTTAGAAGCACAGGCTAATTAATGGTATGACCTACTTTGTACATTAAACTTGCCAGTTGAACTAAAAATCAGAGACTCCAGTGCTTTTGCTGTTGTATATGTGTGGTGACAAATATATACATATACTGTTACGTAGCTATACTATGTATATATATATTTTTTTTTTTTGAGACGGAGTTTCGCTCTTATTGCCTAGGCTGGAGTGCAGTGGTGCAATCTTGGCTCACCGCAACCTCCGCCTCCCAGGTTCAAGTGATTTTCCTGCCTCAGCCTACCAAGTATCTGGAATTACAGGCATGCGCCACCACACCCAGCTAATTTTTTTTGTATTTTTAGGGTTTCTCCATGTTGGTCAGGCTGGTCTGGAACTCCTGGCCTCAGGTGATCTGCCCATCTCGGCCTCCCAAAGTGATGGGATTACAGGCATGAGCCACTGCGCCTGGCCTACTATGTACATTTTTAATGCCCAAAAAATATTTTTTTAAGTGAGGTAAAAGGCAAACATCATAAAAAAATGCATTTTACTAAAGGTAAAAATCCTTTTTAGTCAACTAAAAATAATAGTAATGTAATTGAACATGCTACTTTTTTATCTTGCTGCAAAAAGCTTTATTTCCATTTGGTCTAGTGCCTGGGAGAGGGCTCCAGCTTGGTTAAAAAGCTACCTAATGGCTGGAGGGAGAGGGTCAGGCAGAAGCTCTGATACATTGAGGGGGACCCTCAGAGGTCACTGGGCTTTTAGTGTTGTTTGATGATGAGCCTTTTGAAGAGACACTTGCCCAGCTCAACATAGGAGCCAACTAGCCTGCGGAGGTTGGTCACGTGGTCACCCATCTTAATGAGTTTCACTTCCTCATCTAGGAAGTGGCTCTCCAAGAAGTCACAGAGATGGGGATCTGTGCAGGCAGAACCCAGGGCATGAAGATCCAACAGGGCCTGGTTCCTGGTACAAGTTCTTCTCCAGGGCCATGACAGCTTCCATGGTGTCTTGGGTTTTGTCCCACTCATCTTCATACTTCCTGCTCGTAGAAGAGAGTGTAGCCACCACTTTTTTTTTTTTTTTAGACAGGGATTTATAAGTGTGGTTGTAAGCGCAGCTTGTTTAGATGGCATTTTTAATAGTTGAAATGAAGATCAAGGTTACATGGGAGATTACTATTGATTGAGCTTACTACATTATGACACTAATTTTAAAATCTCATCAACCAGTAATACAGTAAGTCCTTGTTCAATTCAGCTAGCAGATTGTATCCTTTCTTATGTCAACCATTTCTTAGAAACTAATGGGGAATGTGTCAATTCTTTATATTTTAGATGAGTTCAAATTAATTTTTTTAGACAGTTTTGTTCTGTTGCCCAGGCTTGAGTACAGTGGTGTGATCATGGCTTACCGCAGCCTCCACCTCCCAAGTTTAGGTGATTCTCCTGCCTCAGCCTCCCACACGCCCAGCTAATTTTTGTATTTTTTTAGTAGAGATGGAGCCAACTGGGTTTCACCCTGTTTGCCAGCCTGGTCTCAAATGCCTGACCTCAAATGGTCTGCCCACCTTGGCCTCCCAAAGTGCTGAGATTAGAGGCATGAGCCACAGCGCCCAGCCCTAATTTTGAATATTTTTAAATTGTTTAGAAAATTCTACTTTCCAGTTTTAAGTATGCAGATAGGAATTGTTATAGGTGACATCATTTCTCATTCAGAAACACTTAACAATGCAAACCTTTCCAAAGTATTCAAAGTGCTCTCATAGATTTTTTTTTTTTAAGCTGCTATTTTATTTCCCCTCAAAGCATCATCTTTAGGTTGAAGAAACATTTAATGTCAGCTTAGCAGCACAATTGTCATTTCACAAAAGTTCAAATATCGGGGGACGTTTAAAAAGAAAACATCTGTAATTCATCTGTAAGTTGTATAACTCTTAAGGTCTTTGTGACAATATAACCAGAGTCTTATAAGTGGCACAGTAGATTTTTGTGGTCACTCATTTTTATTATAAAGTATTATTTAAAATCTCTTAATCTTGTTAAATAGTAAACATATTAATAACATCCTCTGGCACTATTTGAACCAAACTGCAAAGTGTGAGCACCCTGTATGGGTCCTGAGATTCTAACCCTGATGTCTTCTCAAGTTCCAAAGTAGTTGTTACTTTGGTTTCAAGACCTTGCCACCAAATACTAGCTTTGCCTACTTTTTCAACTCTTTAATAGCAATGGTATATATAAAGGAGTCAGTCAATCAGATATTTGTACAGTTAAAAGTGCTGCCTTCTCTTCAAATTCCACTCCTTAGAAATAACCTCTGCCAGCCAGGTGCGGTGGCTCACGCCTGTAATCCTAGTACTTTGGAAGGCCAAGGCAAGTGGATCACCCAAGGTCAGGAGTTTGAGACCAGCCTGGCCATCATGGCCAAACCTCGTCTCTACTAAAAATACAAAAATTAGTCAGGCATGGTGGCAGGCGCCTGTAATCCCAGCTACTCGGGAGGCTGAGGCAGGAGAATTGCTTGAACCCTGGAGGCAGAGGTTGCAGTCAACCGAGATCGCGCCATTGCACTCCAGCCTGGGTAAAAAAGTGAAACTCCATCTAAAAAAAAGAAGAACCTCTGTTAATATCTGATTATCTAACCCAAATACAGAGTTGTTTGGTTTGTTGGTTTGTTTGGTCTTTTTTTTTTTTTAACATGATTGTGATGCCATTTTTATGGCTAAAGGACAGAATTTTGTGGAGTTTTTAAAAATAGCAAAAGTGACATTTTTCACTACTCCAGGTTTGAATGAGGCTTATGAAATGAAAGGATTTACTCCTAGTATATTGAAGTTCTGACTTACACAACTTTATGTCTGGATTTCTTTACTTTCAGATGAGGATGGCAATAACCAGTGGCCCGAAGGTTTGAAGTTCCTTTTTGATTCAGTCAGCTCTCAAAATGTGGGACTGCGGGAAGCTGCCCTTCACATTTTCTGGTATATACATTAATCTAGTTTTTTGAGACATTTGATTTAATGAATGCCCTAAACACCTTTTAACTGATTATTTTAGCCTAATTTAACCTTATACTTAAAATGATAATAATGCCTTTACATAAGTTTTGTTTGTATTTGTATTGGAAGCAATTTTTTTTAAAAGGGCCTTTTATTTCACATTATGATCTTTTTTGTACACAAAGGTTCTCTACAGCTTGCTTGCTTTCTCTTTGTCTTTTATGATTCTGAAAGTTTTATTGAACAGTTTCCTCTCCTTTATTTGGAGATTAACACAATACTGGATGTAGCTTTTCAAAAGCCACATTAATAATGGTGTCTTGAAGAGGAGAAGGAGAATGCAGGTGAATCCCCATTATGTTTTCTGGGTCTTGTGTGACCCAATTTTATAATATGTTAAGAAACCTGTATATTTATAACCAAATAGTCTAAGTTTAGAATTAAGTGATTATTCTTTGCCCCACTGTGCTATATTTTTTTACTACACCTAAAATGTGCTCAAGATCATACACATTTTAGGCTTTGTATCATTTTGTACTTTAGTTGTCATATATATCTTTGTTTATATCAGTAATTCAGATTAGAGAATGCAGATGGCCGGAGAGCATAGTTCTTGTAGTTTTCATCTGAAAACCTGTGGTTGCTCTTGTCCCATCCTGCACTCCAGGTCAGCTTTCGACTGAGACAGAGTAATAAGGATAAAAGCATGTAGCTGGGAATGGGCTGCTGAGTAGCCTCTACTCCCAGCCCAGACTTCTCCAGTATGTTTTCATTCACTTAACCCAAAAACAGGATTGCTTAGAGAATGGGTAGATGATGTTCAACCTATGGATTAATGCGTACTGAGTCAGGTAAACAAACAGTTCATTAGAGATTCTAGCTCATACTTTACCAAGATATTAATATAATGTAGTTTTTAAAGAATGTTTGGATTATCTTTTAGGAACTTTCCTGGAATTTTTGGGAACCAGCAACAACACTATTTAGATGTCATCAAACGAATGTTAGTTCAGTGTATGCAAGATCAGGAACACCCGTCGGTAAATAATTTCAATCCTATTAATATAACCATCTATTTTAATCTAATTTGCGAAAGAAATTAGTATATTAGGAGGTTGTTTTCACTTTTATACTTTAAAATACAAACACCAGTTTTACTGATAAAGAATAATTTGATCTTGAGTAAGAAAACTTGAATTTGCGTTTATCAAAAATTTCTCATGTTTGACATTTTTTCCTCTTGATTTTAGATCAGGACGTTATCTGCTAGAGCTACAGCTGCATTTATACTTGCAAATGAGCATAATGTTGCTCTGTTCAAACATTTTGCAGACTTGCTACCGGGATTCCTACAGGTATGAAAGCAATATAGAATAAATCATAATTATATCTTATTTGGTTCTTTAATGCATTCAATCATTTATGCAATAAATTCATATTGCCTATTATGTTCTGGCGCTAGGCATACAGCAGTGAACAAAACATGCAAATCTCAGTCTCCATTAAGCTTATGTTTACTGCCTTTGAAAGACATTTTTAGTCTCTTACAATATTTATAGTTATAAAATTTTTCTGTAATGTAAATGTTGTAAGCAATTATATGCTTATTGTTGAATTTATGGTCATGTAGATTATTTCCATTAAATCAACCAAATAACCTGTGAGATTTAATGCCCATTTTACATAAGGAGAAACTACTCTTAATTACAGGGTGTGTAATAGTTTGTATTATAATGTAAGTTTATGGTTAATTCACATTATCGTTAAGGATGTTAATTTTTAAGAATACTTTCTGCTTTAATCAGAAAGCAAAATAAGATGAGACAAGATAGAGCATATATTCAGGGCAACTTGAATCTATGCTCCTGGGGAAAAAAATTTTATATTAATTAAAATTTAAAAGATTGGACAAGTTAGTGGTTCCCAACCTTGTCAGACTCCAAACTCCTTTTTTATGGCAATCTTTTAGTAATTTTTCATGTACTCTTCTAAAAATGAAATGCATAAGTAATGTAATATATATGCATAATTTTTTAGAATATTAATATATGGCCTTAATACAAAAAAGAAATGCAAAGAAACGTATAATAAAATGGCTTGCTTCTCCTTATGTAAATGGTCAGACAAGACTACACTGGAAGACATAATAGACTAGGTGGCTTCCAAGTGATCTGTACAAATGCAATAGCTAAAACTGGACTAATAGCAAAGATATTGGCAAGTCAAACACCACAGTTCCCATTAGAATTGGTGATAAGATTTCCTAAAATAGTAAGGTTCTGAACAAAGCAAAGTAGAGGTTGAGTGTCTCTTATTCAGAATGCTTGGGAGTAGAAGTGTTTCGGATCTCAAAATCTTTTCAAATTTTGAAACACTGTATTTGTGTTATACTTACCAGTTGAGCATCTCAAGTCAGAAATCCGAAATACTCAAATGCGCATTTCCTTTGAGTGACGTGTCTGTGTTCAAAAAGTTGAGGATTTCAGAGCATTTTGGATTTGGGATGTTCCACCTGTATGTATCCATTCTTGATTGATACAGTAGTTACATTGGAGGGGGGGATAACAGTTGTTAAAACCAGGCAAAAAATAATTTGTGAGTTAGTTTCTAGGTTCAGATCATTATAAAGAGTTTTCTCCTTTTTATAAATGTCTGGGATTTGTAATAATGTGAAATGCATAATGAGAAGATCATGTAAGTCCCTTGTGCTTGTGTCACAGGTGCAGGACATTTAGTATCCATGGCCTTTGCCCATCCTCAATCGTGTGACCATCAAGAAATATCTCCTGGGTGAAAACCATTCCTCTTGAGAACCACTGAGTTAGAGAGGATTTAGAGGAGCTAAAATTGAAGGTTTCCACATGATAAGTTATTTAAAGGATTTAGTGAAACTTCTCTCCCCCTGCTATCACAATGAAAAGATAGTTTCGTGACAGAACATAAATTGTAACATACTATTGCTTTAGTAGTTTATTATCTGAAATCTCTAGTTACTGTTGAAATCTAATCCCGGTTTTCTTCCTCTGGATTTAGAGTAAGTTAAAATGTTTACCACAACTTTTAAGAGTTGTTATTCTGAAATAGATAATGATAAACACAAAATGCATACTTTAATACCACAGTGACCAGACTTAACATCCAAGATAAATAAAATGGGTAATATTGGACACTTTAAATGTATTACAGGTTCTAGTACTTACTATGCGTATGAGAAAAACTAGGGCATGGATATAAGAAAGGACAGAAGAGCCAGGTGTGGTGGCCACACATGTTGTCCTGGCTACTCAGGAGTCTGAGGCACAAGAGTTGGAGGGTACTGTGAGCTATGATTGTGCCACCACACTCCAGCCTGGGCGACAGAGCGAGACCTTATCACTGAAAAAATAAAAGGACAAAGGAAAGGGACTCCTGGTTATAAAAAAAAGTAATTCCTTGGTAGCCTTAAGTATTGTAATGGTTATTATAGTTTCACTGATTTTCATTTTGACTTAGATGTAAATCTGTTTTGAATGTTTCTAGTTAACATCCATCAGAAGGAAGGTATACATGTGCCTGCAGGTAGAACATTTGCATAATATAGATTGCTAAATTATTTAGTGAAAAATAGTTTAGTAATATTTCTCTATTGTCAGCATCTTAGGAATCTTTTGGCTAATGAGGCATTATAAAGTGAATCTTCAGCACCGACTTTCTGTTTCATCTTTTCTAGGCGGTAAATGACTCGTGCTACCAGAATGATGATTCTGTCCTAAAATCCCTCGTTGAGATTGCAGATACTGTTCCAAAGTATTTGCGTCCTCACTTGGAAGCAACTCTACAGCTAAGTCTAAAGGTAAATTAAGTACGTTAGTAAACGTTCTGTTTGTTATTTTCAGGGACTAATCTAAATTATTAAATGTATACAAATATGTCTTCTTTGTAGTTGTGTGGAGACACTAGCCTCAACAATATGCAACGCCAGCTTGCCCTTGAAGTGATCGTCACCCTCTCTGAGACTGCAGCTGCTATGTTAAGAAAACATACCAATATTGTTGCACAGACTAGTAAGTCAATGGTCTTCAGATAGTTTATGTGTATTGTGGCCAAATTTTTGGATAAATTTGCTGAGGGTTGTGTGATTTCTCAGATTGTTGAGAATATAATGAATATCCTTTTAGAATCAGATGAATTTGGGAAAATGCATCTCAATACATGCAAGCGTGGACCCCCACATTGTGGTTATGCCTTTAAGACTTTGCAGACACCCTGAAATCTGGTGTTAAAAATAACATTTCTAGAGTGGAGTGTGACAGACTCTATCATTTATATGTTAATATTGGGCACAGTTAATAGAGTCAAAAACAATTCAGCGGGGATATATAGATGCACAGTAGCGAACTACAAACCAAAATAGCATGTCTTGCTTACCAGTGAAGCCAAGATTAGAAGAACAAGGTCTAACACTAGTCATGGCTCTGTTCACTATATTACATTGCTTTTGTTTTATAGACCCTCGTTGCAGCAGAAACTTAAATGGCTATTGTGCTATGGAAATACTACTTTAAGTTTCATTGTGCTGGGATAAGGACTTGAGAACTAACCTGATCATTTTCTGGCCTAGCCATTTCTTAATGAGCTAATGAGTACTTGAACACTTAATTTAGAGGGTAAATACGTCACCAGATTTATTTTGTAGTGGTACCTACCTTTTGTCTTACACTGAGGTAGTGGTTGGAATTTTAGAAACATTCCCATTTAAGTCAGGAACAAGAAAAATATCTCCTTTATCACTGTTCATGTTGTACTGACTGCCCCAGCTGATGCATTAAGAGATAAAAATAAGTTATAAGCATTAGAAACAATGGCTGGGTGCAGTGGCTCATGCCTGTAATCCCAACACTTTGGGAGGCCGAGGCGGGCAGATCACCTGAAGTCAGGAGTTCAAGACCAGCCTGGCTAACATGCTAAAACCCCGTTTCTACTAAAAATACAAAAAATTAGCCAGATGTGGTGGTGCACACCGGTAATCCCAGCTACTCGGGAGGCTGAGGCAGGAGAATTGCTTGAACCCGGGAGGTGGAGGTTGCAGTGAGCCCAGACCATGCCATTGCACTCCAGCCTGGGCAACAAGAGCGAAACTCGTCTCAAAAAAAAGAATTAGAAAACAAAAATATTGCTTATTTGTAGGCTATGTGGTTATTGTCTACAAAAAGTTTTAAAGACTCAACAGATAAACTGCTAATCAAAGGGTTAAGCAAGATCCTTAGATATGAGAACATTTTATTGTAAGTGTTCCATTATTCATAATAATCATTTAGAAAATTTTATAGGCATGAGTTATAGTAACTGGGAATAAATCAAAAGATGTACAAGACATATGGGAAAGTTGAATAACATATTGAAAGACTAATAGAAGAACAAATTATCAGTTCTCAAATTAATCTAGGGTTATGATAGAACAATCCTGAAATTCTTCTGAAAGAACATAGGGCCTGGAGTAGCCAAGACAATTTTGACGAATAAAGTGGAGATCTTGTTTCATCAACTCTGTGAATTTAGAATGCATTGATGATGCAGGTGTTGACAATGGATCGGATGGAACAAAGGGTAGAGTGTAGGAGAAGATCCGCTCACATGGGAACAAAGCCATTTTTAAAAAGATAATTGATCAAAAGTTCTTGGGGCCAGGCATACTGGCTCAGGCCTGTAATTCCAGCAATTTGGAAAGCCAAGGTGGGTAAATTATGTGAGCTGCTGAGTTTGAGACCAGCCTGGGCGACATGACGAAACCCTTTCTCTGCCAAAAATACAAAAATTAGTCGGGCATGGTGGCACACGCCTGTGGTTCCAGCTACTCAGGAGGCTGAGATGGAGGATTGCTTGAGCCCAAGAGGTCAAGGCTGCCGTGAGCCAAGATTGCACCATTGCACTCCGGCCTGGGTGACGGAGTGAGACCCTGTCTCAAAAAAAAAAAAAAAAAGTTTCTGGGATATCTTTCTTTCATTCTTTCTTTCTTTGTTTTTTTTTTTTTTGTTTGTTTAATAGGTTTATGGGGAACAGGTGGTGTTTGGTTTAGTGGTGATTTCTGTGATTTTGGTGCACCCATTACGGGAGCAGTGTACACTGTACCCATTGTGTAGTCTTTTATCCCTCACTCCCCTCCCACCCTTTCCCCTGAGTCCCCAAAGTCCGTTGTATCATTCTTACACCTTTGCATCCTCATAGCTCAGCTCCCACTTATGAGTTGAGAATATAACTGGTTATTTCTATGGGGAAAAAAATTCCAACTCTAGACAGCTTATTAAAAAAACAGGCCGGGCGCGGTGGCTCACACCTGCAATCTCAGCACTTTGGGAGGCCGAGGCAGGTGGATCACGAGGTCAGGAGATCAAGACCATCCTGGCTAACACTGTGAAACCCCGTCCCTACTAAAAAATGCAAAAAATTAGCCGGGCGTGGTGGCGGGCGCCTGTAGTCCCAGCTTCTCGGGAGGCCGAGGCAGGAGAATGGCGTGACCCGGGAGGCAGAGCTTGCAGTGAGCCGAGATACCGCCACTGCACTGCAGCCTGGGCAACAGAGCAAGACTCTGTCTCAAAAATAATAATAATAATAATAATAATTTGGGGTCTACTCAAGACCTGAATATTACCTTGCACGCTGGAACTAGTTAAAAAAGTTAAGGGCTAAATATTACAGATATATTTTACAAGTAATGCTTAATAGTAGATAATTTTCTAAGACTGAATCACAAACCATTGATGTAAACATTGCCAAATTGGCAAATGCGAAAACAATTTTTTGACCAATCAGATACACCATAAATGAACTGAAAAAATAAGCCACAAACTGGAAGAAAATAATTACAGTGCACACAATCAACAGTTTTGTTATCTAGAGAATACACAAAGGCTGAGAAGAGGAAATTCATTGCTTTTTTCTTCTTTAAGATGGGGTCTTGCTCTGTCATCCAGGCTAGAGTGCAGTGACATGATCTCAGCTCACTGCAGCCTCCCAAGTAGCTGGGACTACAGGCACGCACTACCACACCTGGCTAATTTTTGTGTTTTTTGGTAGAGATAGGGTTTTACCATGTTGCCCAGGCTGGTCTTGAACTCCTGGGCTCAAGGGATCCTCCCACCTAAGCCTCCCGAAGTGCTGGGATAACAGGTGTGCACCAGCAGGCCCAGTCAGGAAATTCGTAAAAGAGGGATCTGAAATAGCTAATGAACCCTGCTAAGTCTCAATAAAAACAAGTGTAATTGTGGAATACAAGTTGTCCAGAAGTTTGACAGTATCAATTGTTAATAAAAGATGTGGAACTGAGAGGACGCTTATTCCACCCCCAGGGCACTTCACACATTTTTGTGAAATAACGGAGACCTCCACTTAAACTTCACATAGTTTATGCAACAGCTGTGCAGAGCGCAGCTTGTTTGGTAATTTTCTTTTTTTCTTTTTTTAGACAGAGTCTCGCTCTGTCGTCCAGGCTGGAGTGCAGTGGTGTGATCTTGGCTCACAGCGAGCTCCACCTCCCAGGTTCACGCCATTCTCCTGCCTAAGCCTCCTGAGTAGCTAGGACTACAGGTGCTCGCCACCACACCCGGCTAATTTTTTTGTTTTTGGGGTTTCACCATGTTAGCCAGGATGGTCTCGATCTTCTGACCTCGTGATCCGCCTGCCTCAGCCTCCCAAAGTGCTGGGATTACAGGCATAAGCCACCGCGCCTAGACTTGTTTGATAATTTTTTAGTACTATTTGAAGATAGTAATAACAATTTCATGCCTAGACTCATGCTTGTCAAAGAAAAGATGTAATAATCTCATCAAAGCAAATTTTATAGGAGGAAAAAATTGGAAACAACCAAAATGTTTATCAGCTAGACAGTGGGTAGTATGTTTATATAATGGAATGCTATTAAATAAACTGAAATCCTTATGTGTTGAGAAAAAAGCAAATTGCCGAGGTACATATATTATGAAACCATTTATTATATAAAAAATCAAATCTTGAAATAGTACTATAATTTTGTATAGAGATATGGAAATCTGTAGTTCAAGTGTGAAAAAACAATTGCGGAATGAGAAACATTTGTGATGTTGCTTCTTACCTCTGGTGATGGGGAGAATGTAATCGGATTTGGGAATTTCATAGGAGGGTTTGACTTAATGAATGTTGCTTTTTAAAGAAACGATAAAAGCAAATATAACAAGGTTAAAATTTAACAAACCAGGTTTTGGGGGCACAGACAAATAATTGTTTTGTCTTGTTCTCTTACAGGCAAAGTAAAATCTTAAAATTCTTGTTTATAAATAGTGATATGGATAAGATAAAGTCACAGTCTTCGGGTATGAAATAATTGTTTACTTTAGTTCCTCAGATGTTAGCAATGATGGTTGATTTGGAAGAAGATGAGGACTGGGCAAATGCAGATGAACTAGAAGATGATGATTTTGACAGGTAATCAAACATTGTGTCCAGGGTGGCAGTGAAAGCCCTAGGGCTCCACGGTCCATCTCTTCACTATTGCACCCTGTAACCTGAAGGTAAACTTTTAAGCCTGGAATATGGGGCACTTTGCCTTGCTGTTGTATTTATTGCTGTGTCACATGTTATAAGTAGTATTTTCTTTAGTTTTCATGTATAATTTATATTAATAAAATTTATGTTTCTTGGAAGTTCATAAAAATATTTTAATAGTTAATACATAAAGTTGTATTTTATAATCAGGAACTGAAAGATACCTACAACAACAAACAAGGAAGTTTTTCTTTTTTAAAAAAAAGTATGACATGAAAACAGCAAATAAAGTAGCTATGTTTTTTGTTTGGTTTTGAGACGGAGTCTCGCTGTGTCGCCCAGGCTGGAGTGCAGTGGCGCGATCTCGGCTCACCGCAAGCTCCGCCTCCGGGGTTCACGCCATTCTCCTGCCTCAGCCTCCCGAGTAGCTGGGACTACAGGCACCTGCCACCACGTCCAGCTAATTTTTTGTATTTTTAGTAGAGACGGGATTTCACCATGTTAGCCAGGATAGTCTCGATCTCCTGACATCATGATCCGCCCGCCTCGGCCTCCCAAAGTGCTGGGATTACAGGCGTGAGCCACCGCACCTGGCCAAGTATCTATGTTTTTAACTGTCGTACTCTAAATTATTTCCAAGTTTTTTGTTGTTTTTGTTTTTGTTTTTAGTTTGAATATCTTTTAAAACGTGTATAAAGCAGCTTTTTTGTGATAAATGCTTTTACAGGCAGAGACTTCCCTTAGAATAATTGTTTCAACAAAATTCCCTGCAATACACATCATATTTTCCTAGTAAAAAGCAGTTTAACTTTAGGATAGGCAGCATCCAGTGGTGAAAAGATGAGAGTCAACTGGGTAGAGTATTACTATTGTACTTATTTATTTCAGCTTAGGAAGTCCCATGAATACAGGAAAAGTCAACCAAAATCTGTATTCACTGTGCAGTAGTAATGATGGCCCCTTACATGTATGTGAAACATAGCACCTCTGAGCTCTGTTACTTTAATCAACTTTATTAGCAGTCCCAGAGGTGTATTATATTACAGTTGCAGAAAGGGAGATTGAAGATTGAGTGATTTGTCTGAGGTTATGTAGCCAGTTAATGGACTGGGGTTAATTACCATTGTTTTCATTCTTCCCAGTGCATTATACTACCACCTTTTCTTTAAAAAAGCTGAAATTGGCTGGGTGCAGTGGCTCACACCTGTAATCCCAGCACTTTGGTGGGCAGAGGCAGGCAGATCACCTGAGGTCAGGAGTTCGAGACCAGCCTGACCAACATGTTGAAACCCCGTCTCTATTAAAAATACAAAAATTAGCCGGGCCTGGTGGCAGACACCTATAATGCCAGCTACTCGGGAAGCTAAGCGAGGAGAATCTCTTGAACCTGGGAGGTGGAGGTTGCAGTGAGCTGAGATCACGTCATTGCGCTACAGCCTGGGCAACAGAGCAAGACTCCATCTCAAAAAAAATAAAAAGCTGAAATTATTCTCCTGAAAGACTTGGAGTCAGTATAAACTACTAGGTTAATAAAAGTAAAAATTAAAGATTTTTGGCTTTAGAATATATATGCATTTTTGAGACTTAATCCCATTGTTAAAAATGACTGATTTCTGGCTTTAATACTGTCTTGAAGTATATGAAAGTAATCTTTCACTGGAAATCACCTGATAACGGCTGAAGAGAAGACCAGGGCTAGGTCGAATTTCCTTTTTGGTTCAGTTACTGTAATGTGCTGCTACCTGTCCTTTCATTTGCCCTGCAAATGGCACTTAAATTTATACAGTTTAAGAAACTTTGTTTTCTAAACTAGATGAATAAGATTTTCTCATTTGTGAAACAGCATAAATATATTTTCAGGGTGAGATTTTTTTAAGTCTAAAAACCTGTTCTGAAGATAATTTATAGTTTCATTTTTATAGTATTGTCTTTACATAGTAAAGATAATGCACATGAAATACACTACTGATCCTCCAGTTCTAAGCCAGGATAAGTCCAAATGCTTTTATGCCCACATTCCTTTGGCTTTCAGAGAAGACAATAGAATTGAGTTTCACATAGCTATGCATAGTTTTTGGCAGTGCAGTTTGCACCCCTTTAAGGGTGAATAAACTCACAGTGGGGAAGATTATACATTCTCTGCACCCTTTTCAGTTTTCTATGTTCTGTTCATTGATAGGTTTGAAGACTGTATTTCTAGGAAATGAAATACATGAGGCTCTTTCAATACTGCTTTTACTGGAGTGTTGAAAGTGTCAGAAGCTATTTCTGAGAACAGTTTTTAGCCAGTAGCGGGTGGGGGTGGTCTTGAAAAATAAGATTCAGGCTGGGCACAGTGGCTCACGCCTGTAATCTTAGCATTTTGGGAGGCCCAGGCGGGCGCATCACAAAGTCAGGAGATCAAGACAATCCTGGCTAACATGGTGAAACCCCGTCTCTACTAAAACTACAAAAAAATTAGCCAGGCGTGGTGGCGGGCACCTGTAGTCCCAGCTACTCGGGAGGCTGAGGTAGGAGAATAGCATGAAGCTGGGAGGCGGAGCTTGCAGTGAGCCGAGATCGTGCCACTGCGCTCCAGCCTGGGTGACAGAGCGAGACTCTGTCTCAAAAAAAAAAAAGAAAAATAAGAATCAGGCATGACTTTCTAAACTATGGTGGATCATGATAAAAACATTTACTCTTTTTTCTTTTCTAAGCTGCAGAGTTTTTAACCCCTAATTTCAATTCCACATTTAAAGACAGCTTGAATTCTTTCTCAGTCTTAGTTTAATAATAATATGGTTAGAAGTATGTCTGTAGAGTATACTATTTCTTTTGTGTTTCAGATATATTGAGTACATAATTCTGTTTATGTGTTTAGCAATGCAGTTGCAGGCGAGAGTGCTCTAGATCGAATGGCTTGCGGACTTGGTGGAAAGCTCGTTCTGCCGATGATCAAGGAACACATTATGCAAATGCTTCAAAATCGTAAGCTGTGTCCTTCAAATGCTAGAAGAGTGAAGTTGTGCCCTTTCTAAAGCTTAAATTCTAAGATATGTTTAGACTGTTAAAAATTAATCTTTGTCTTTTTATCATCCATATTTAACCCAATTCATTTATTTTACCGATAAAATTGTCAATCCCAAAGAAAATGTACAGATTTACTTCCTAGCCAAAAGTATTTAGATTTGAATTTGAAAATGATGTTATTATTTGAATTTTTATGGAATATTAGAATGTTTGAATCATATACTCTTCTTTCACCCAATATCTTTTATTTTTAAAAGAAGAAACTCTATCTAATGTTATCAAAAGAGAAACCACTTCTTTCTTTCTGTTTTTGCCCCTGACGGAGGTGATGGTGGAAGCCCACCTGCCCTGGAGGGCAGCTGTTGTTGTTGACACAGGATTTCGCCATGTTGCCCAGGCTGGTCTCAAACTCCTGGCCTCAAGCAGTCCTCCTGCTTCAGCCTCCCAGAGTGCTTAGATTATAGGCATGAGCTACCACACCTGGCCATCCTTCCTTTTTATTTCTATGAATATTTCAGTTACCTTTGTACCTGTAATATATATATCAATCCCAAAGTTTATTGTTGTATGTGTTTTATTTTCATTTGTGTTTTTTAATTATAAAGTTAATGTGTTCTTTTGTTAAATTAAAATTCAGAAGTATTAAGTTAGAAATTTGTTTGTTTTTTGGTGGAATCTCGCTCTGTTGCCCAGGGTAATGTGATCTCAGCTCACCGCAGCCTCCACCCACTGGATTCAAGCGATTCTCCTGCCCTAGCCTCCTGAGTAGCTGGGACTACAGGCACATGCCACCACGCCCAGCTATTTCGAGACAGAATCCCACTCTGTCAAACAGGCTGGAGTGCAGTGGTGCAATCTTGGCTCACTACAATGTTCACCTCCCAGTTTCAAGCAATTCTCCTGTCTCTGCCTCCCAAGTAGCTGGGATTACAGGCATACACCACCACACCCAGCTAATTTTTGTACTTTTAGTGGAGATGGAGTTTCTCCATGTTGGCCAGGCTGGTCTCAAACTCCTAACCTCAAGTGATCCGCCCACCCTGGCCTCCCAAAATGCTGGGATTACAGGCATGAGCCACTGCACCCGGCCTAATTTTTGTATTTTTAGTAGAGACGGGGTTTCGCCATGTTGGCCAGGCTGGTCTTGAACTCCTGACTTTAAGTGATCCACCCGCCTCAACCTCCCAAAGTGCTGGGATTACAGGTGTGAGCCACCGCGCCTGGCCTGATACATACTTTTAGAATCAAGTAGTCACGCACTTTTTCTGTTCATTTTTCTAAAAAGTAAATATACAAATGTTTTGTTTTTTGTTTTTTTTGTTTGTTTGTTTCTGTTTTTTTTTTGAGACAGAGTCTCGCTCTTTCGCCCAGACCAGAGTGCAGTGGCGCGATCTCGGCTCACTGCAAGCTCCGCCCCCCCGGGTTCACACCATTCTCCTGCCTCAGCCTCCCGAGTAGCTGGGAATACAGGCGCCTGCCACCGTGCCCGGCTAATTTTTTGTATTTTTAAGTAGAGACGGGGTTTCACCACGTTAACCAGGATGGTCTCGATCTCCTGACCTTGTGATCCGCCCGCCTCAGACTCCCAAAGTGCTGGGATTACAGGCGCGAGCCACCGCGCCCGGCCTATACAAATGTTTTTATATTATATATACATATACCCTTTTCAAAAAAGTTTTGTTACTCTTTTCCAAATAAGAACTTTTATACATCTCCCTCTACCAGAATGACATGTTTATAGTGTGTAATTGCTATTCCATCTGTAATTTTTTTCGGTAGCTGACTGGAAATACCGGCATGCAGGATTGATGGCCTTATCTGCCATTGGTGAAGGGTGCCACCAGCAAATGGAAGGAATTCTAAATGAGATCGTAAATTTTGTTTTACTTTTTCTCCAGGATCCTGTAAGTACCAGTAAATATTTGATTCAAAATGATTAGTGTAGCTTCATGTGGAAACCTTCTTGCTTTTACTAATGAAAGGGAACATTTTCCAGCATCCAAGAGTAAGGTATGCAGCCTGTAATGCCGTGGGACAGATGGCTACAGATTTTGCACCTGGTTTCCAAAAGAAATTTCATGAGAAGGTAAGTAACAAGTCCTCAAACACTTAAATCAGACTTTAGGAAGAAGGGTGGACATTTCAACATGTGTGCCCATTTGGTTTCATTTCACAGGTGATTGCAGCTCTGCTGCAGACCATGGAAGACCAAGGCAATCAACGTGTGCAGGCCCATGCAGCTGCTGCCCTCATTAACTTTACTGAAGACTGTCCCAAGTCACTACTTATTCCATACTTGGATAATTTGGTGAAACATCTGCATTCCATTATGGTACTGAAGCTTCAAGAGGTAAGTTTTAAGATCTGTAGGCTGCTTTCTGTTTGTAGATTAATTTGGGTTGATTTGATGGGTAAGAACTGGAGAAAGAGGGACTTGCAGCATGACCATAAAGAATATAAAGTACAAAAACTGAGGAGGCTATTCGGAGTTGTGGAATGATGAGTAGAGAAATTCAGATTGACCAAAATGTGGGCTGATAATTGGAATTGGGAAAGATACAGCTAAAGGTCAGGTAAAATCAGTGTATATGGATCACCCTGAAAATAAGGCAGAGAAGTTTTTGAACTCTGATTTATGTAAAGTGTGAAAAACCATTCTGTGTTCTTAAATGCTGCAGGAAATTATCATATGGTAAAAAATTAGTGTGGTAGCATTGGGTGAGGCATACACAAAAAAGGGAGAAGATTTAAGGCAAGACCATCATACTGTCATCGTCCAGGGAGCTTAGATAGTAATAGTGGAAGAGGTGATTCTAAAAGACATTTCATGGGAAGCATTAACAGTTTGTTTCTGGCAGTTTGAATTTTAAAAGATGAAAGGGCCCGGCACGGTGGCTCATCCCCGTAATCCCAGCACTTTGGGAGGCTGAGGCAGGTGGATCACCTGAGGTCAGGAGTTCGAGACCAGCCTGGCCAACATGGTGAAATCCCATCTCTCCTAAAAATACAAAATTAGCCGGGTGTGGTGGTGCACGCCTGTAATTCCAGCTACTCGGGAGGCTAAGAGGAGAATCACTTGAACCCGGGAGGCAGAGGTTGCAGTGAGCTGAGGTGGTGCCACTGCCCTTCAACCTGGGCAACAAGAGCAAAATTCTGTTTCAAAAAAAAAAAGATGAAAGAGAAGAAATTAAAAAACATTGAGTATTCTAACCAGAGTGGCAGAAATACAGAAGTTGTAGAAGCAACATCATTTTTGAGTATCCAAGTAAAAATGATTATAGTTACAGCTGAAATAAGGGATGCAACCTGAAAACAATTGAATGATGTTAGTCCAGCACAGTGTGTGAGAGATGTAGATGCGAAAAGCAAGGATTTTAGCCCAGTTTATTGTCAAATGTTTATTGTCAAATGCAATGAAAATGGATTACTACTATAAAAATGAAATGAATAGAAGGCATAGAAAATAAAAGATAAACCTGCTCTCAAATTGCTATAAAAGTTTCTAATGCCCTCAATTCCTATACTTAATATGAACTGGTAGCAAATAGTTAACAAACCACAGTTTGCATAGCACTGGCAATTGGTCAGAGAGCAAGATAAACAAGAAATGCAATGTCTCAGAAGCCAAAGACAGAGGACTTATAAACAAAGGCCCAAGTGCTCAGTATCAGATGACAGCAGACTAAGAATATGATAAAGGAAACATTCGTGTGCCCGAAGGCAGACCGAGGTGGACCCAAGTTGAAGGCAGATTGGTTGGTTGGTTAAATCAGTAATGGATGGATCCAACATGACTTTACAGGTTTGGGTGGATGGCTGTGGTATGATAGTCTGTGTGTACCCCTGCCCTTCCTTCCTGCAGTGAGGCACTATATGGGTTTTTAAAGATAAGTGGAAGGAGTTGTTGGGATGGGATGGTAGGAGGACAGTGTTCACGAGGAAGAGTTGTACGAAGAGAAGGTAGCCTAGCAGAGGAGGAAAGACATTTCCTCTGGGGCCAGCAGCACAGTCCACACTAAACATGGAGCAGAGGTTGAGGTACAGAAGCAGAAAGTAAGATGGCTTTCTCAAGACATAGTTGAATGTGTAACACAAGTTAAAGAACTCTGCTGAGAGTGTGGGTGTAATTGACGTGGGGAATTATGAAAATCTGGAGTAGTAACTGGCTCAGGTTCATATGAGTTAATATTTTATTTTATTTTATTTTATTTATTTATTTATTTATTTTTATTTTGAGATGGAGTCTCGCCCAGGCTGGAGTGCGATAACGCACTCTCTGCTCACCGCAACCGCCGTCTCCCGGGTTCAAGCCATTCTCCTGCCTCAGCCTGCCGAGTAGCTGGGATTACAGACGTGCACCCACCACACCCGGCTAATTTTTGTATTTTGAGTGGAGACAGGGTTTCACCATGTTGGCCAGTCTGTTCTTGAACACCTGACCTCAAGTCATCCGCCCACCTGGGCCTCCCAAAGTGCTGGGATTACAGGTGTGAGTCACCGTGCCTGGCTTCTTTTTTTTTTTTTCCCCAGACAGAGTCTTGCTCTTGTCAACCCAGCTGGGATGTAGTGGCGCAATCTCGGCTCACTGCAACCTCTGCCTCCCCAGTTCAAGCAATTCTCCTTCCTCTGCTTCCGGAGTAATGGGATTACAGGGGTGTGCCACCACACCTGGCTAATTTTTATTTATTTATTTATTTATTTATTTATTTATTTATTTATTTAGTAGAGACAGGGTTTCACCATGTTGGCCAGGCTGGTTTTGAACTCCTGACTCAGGTGATCCGCCTGCCTCAGCCTCCCAGAGTCCTGGGATTACAGAAGAATTATTTTAAAATATTGCTGGTGACAGGACGGGCCCAGCAGCAAATAGTTAGTAAGCATTTGTTACTAGCTGGGTCAGAGAACACCAGATCTTTGGTGCAGAGAAAAAGGTCATCTCATCTGTTTCAGCAAGACAGATGCAAGAGAAGGCAGCAGGGTTCCTTCGTGCGATCTTCTGGGGAGAGGGGGTTAGAAGATAAAGGAAGGGGCCAAAGAGGGAATTTTCTTTATGACGTAGTAAGACAGCACAAAATATAATCATAAGTAGAGGAAATCAGTGAAGAAAAAAATGAGGATGAAGTGTAGGCATTAAAGTTGATGAACACAAAAATTTTGATTCCGTATCTGTACTCAAGAATTAGCTGTGCTTTGAGATGAGACTAACATGAGTTAGAGGTGTTGTGTTAATAGAAGAGAGAAAAAAAAAATCTCACATAAATAGTTCAACATAGATTCTTTTTATAGAAATTTCCTCCAAAACCTACAGTCTCTGCTTCTGGAGAGGTGGTCTCATTCTGCTGTTTCAGAAAAGCATTCAAGAACTTGAAGGGAGTAGTAATTGTAAATTTAAATACTTCTTCCAGTTTTCCTTTGAGGTAATAATTTGTGTCTTCCTTCTAGCTGATTCAGAAAGGCACCAAGTTAGTTTTGGAACAAGTTGTGACATCCATTGCATCAGTTGCCGATACTGCAGAAGAAAAATTTGTCCCCTACTATGATTTATTTATGCCATCACTGAAGCACATCGTTGAGAATGCGGTTCAAAAAGAACTGAGACTTCTGAGAGGAAAAACTATTGAATGCATTAGCCTCATTGGTCTGGCTGTTGGGAAGGAAAAAGTAAGTAATTTTTTTTTTTTTTTTTTTTTTTTTTTTTTTTTTTTGAGACAGAGTCTCGCTCTGTCACCCAGGCTGGAGTGCAGTGGCACGATCTCGGCTCACTGCAAACTCTGCCTCCCAGGTTCATGCCATTCTCCTGCCTCAGCCTCCCGAGTAGCTGGGACTACAGACGCCCGCCACCACGCCCGGCTAATTTTTTGTATTTTTAGTAGAGACAAGGTTTCACTGTGTTAGCCAGGATGGTCTCAATCTCCTGACCTCGTGATCCGCCCGCCTCGGCCTCCCAGAGTGCTGGGATTACAGGCGTGAGCCACTGTGCCCGGCCTGTAATTTCTATTATGTTAAATTTACTGTACCTAACTTGGCTGTGGAGGCATTGAGAGTACTAGAGGGATTTTTTCCTTCTGAAAAATGGTTTTCTGGATGCTTGTTTTTTTCCTTACTCCTTTCACATTGCTCCTGTTTTATATACAAATTCTTGCCTTCATCTTTTCATTGTTTGTTTGTTTGGTTTGGTGTTTTTTTTTTTTTTTTTGAGACCAAGTCTCACTCTATCACCCAGGCTGGAGTGCAGTGGCATGATCCTGGCTCACTGCAACCTCTGCCTCCTGGGTTCAAGCGATTCTCCTGCGTCAGCCTCCCAGGTAGCTGAGATTACAGGCACCTGCCACCACTCCCAGCTGATTTTTGTATTTTTTTTTTTTAGTAGAGATGGGGTTTCACTGTGTTGGCCAGGCTAGCCCTGATCTCCTGACCTCAAGCAGTCTGCTCACAGGTGTGAGCCACCGCGCCCAGCCCGTCTTTTCATTGTTAATATTAAGGTTTCTTTTTAGCTCAGCTGTGCTCCTGATGCCTCCTCCTTTCCCCACCACACACAGTGCATCTCGTGGGAGGTGTGTGGAAGTCAGTATCCATGTTCGTTCCCTTTAAATATGTGCTTGGAAACATGTCACTTGCTTTCCTATTAATCTAAAATGCATCAAGTGTTCTAAGAGAGAAATCTATGCATATAGATCTTCAGAAAATAATTACCAAGGACCATTGGCCAGTGTGTTTCTCAGCCAACATCTCAGAATTGTTCAAGCTAATGCAAAAGAAGTTTCTCTGTCATTGAATCCTCATGTTCTGACCCTGAGAATTATCAACAGAGAAGCTCTGTCTTGCCTTCTTCAAAACCAGCATCAGTATTAATTTATATTTGGAACTGGTTTCTGTGAGACGCTGACCACTAAAACATTGGTATGTTTTTTACCAATAAAATATTTGTATGTCCCATACTCTATATATCTGGCTTTCAATGTCTCTTTAAAACGCTGCCTGTTTATACAATGGAGATTACCAGAACTGCAAAGAGTTAAGTGAAAATCATAGACAAAATTTTATGCAGTGAATTCTATAAACAATCTAAAATTTTCTTTCTGAATTTGAATTCAGTTTTACTGCTTGAAATGCGTAAGCCATAGACTAACACCTGATGCCATTAGAAGTACCTTTATACTGTAGTTCCCTGCCCTTCAGTGGAAAATATATTTTTCTAGAAAGTGAACTAAATCTGTCACAATATAGATGAGAATTTTTCAATATGATAGTTTATCTATGAAAGTTATGACCTATGTGGGCAATGTAGTCGATTTTTTGGCAAAGCTTTGCTAATTACACAAGAAACAAAATTCGGTATCAACAAGTGTGTCTCTACATATTTTCCTCTAGTTCATGCAGGATGCATCAGATGTGATGCAGCTTTTGTTAAAGACCCAGACAGACTTCAATGATATGGAAGATGATGATCCTCAGGTAAGTGGTCTTAATGCATTTGCTTTGATCCGCTAATGAGTTGTGGACAGCACATGGTTCAATATATTTAAAACAAAAGGAGTGATAGGTTTCTTGACATACTATCAACCCCTGCTAGCAGAGACATTCTTCACTGATTTTCCTTCTGTTTCTCAAGCTACTTTTTCTCAGTCTGTTGTAGGTTGCTCTTGCTTTCTGTGACTCTCACTCAAGTTTTGGTGTTTGTGGGTTCTATCCAAGGCTCTCTTCTCACTCCTGTGGAGCAGTGTCACTCACAGACATGGCTTCCGGTTTCCTCTGTGTGCTTGCAACTTTCAGATCTTCAGAATTGAAGATTCATTTATCCAACATGTAATAGACATCTCCATTTGGGTGTCTCCTAGCCCTTTGAAGGCTGCATGATCTCCCTCCCCTGGCAGAAAATACAGAACCCAAGAATCTCAGGACACACTGCTTGCCTCTCCGCCAACGAACAGACAAAGGCATTTCATTAGGAGGAACCCCTGCCTCTCGACACACACGCACATACACACATAGGTATACATACCCAGCTAACGCTTGCTCACAGTTCTCATCCTTTACAAGATTTTCCTGATCTGCTCAGTCTCAATGGTGGGCAGTTCCAACACTGTTATAGTAACATCATAAATGTTTGTCATATCTTGATGGTATTCCCAATGCCTAACATATAACAAGGCACTCAATAAATAATTGTTGAATTAAATTTTGACTTTACATTGCCACACTGTAATAGTTTAAATAGGAAAACATACCATTTTGCAAAGAAAGCATGTTTTGTTGTTGTTTGCTTTCTTTGCAAAATGATATGCAAATATACATGTATGTTTTGTATGTACAGAGATAACAGGCAGGAGGGATACTTAGCAGACTGCTGACAGTAGGGAGACTGAGGGGACTGTAAGCTGTAGGGAGGGGTGGTAAGGACGAGGCGTGTTGCTCACCTTTGTATCAGCCAGCATATAGTTTAATGCCTGGCATGTGAGAAACACCCAGTACCTATCTGAAGAGCGGGTGGACTTTTACATATAAAATCATTAAGAGGTGGGGCATGTGTCCATGCATGCTCAATAGATAAATAGGTAGGTGGATGACAGATATCAGGGGATAAGAATCACTTTCTAGGTTGCAGGGGTGGTGAATGGAACCAGATTCTCTAGGTAATTTGCAGATGATAAAGTCTGTGTAAACACAGTAATAGGAGAAGAGGTGTTTTAAATATACTCAGCCACTTATGAGAAAATTATAACAGCTAAGAGAAAAGGATGTTTTGTTTCTTGGGTTTTAATAAATGTTTAATGAATGGAGTGGCAGGCAATAGGGATACAGAGTCAGATAAAATACATTTCTGTCTTCAAAAAATTTGTAACTGGGAGTTGATGAAGTGTTTGGTTTTGTTTAGGTGATTAGTTTCATTTAGATGATTCAGATGCTAAGAAAGAAAACCATTATCACTTACTGAAAGTAGAAAGAAATACCCAAGGTTCTGGTCTTTGTGTTTTGCCTCACCTGCTGTCCATATCCCAGTGTAGTGAGTTCACAGGGATTTCATTATTGATTCTGAACCTTTTAAGTACATAACCTTTAGAAATGCTCTTACTGCTTAAAGTACTGTGAACATATCAATAAAACATTGTTTCTATGAAATAAGGAAATGGCTTTCTTTATCACGTTTACCCATTGTTTTTTAATCTATTTTAATTTTAAAATTTTTCCCCAGATCTCTTACATGATCTCAGCATGGGCCAGAATGTGCAAAATCCTTGGAAAAGAATTTCAGCAATACCTTCCAGTGGTTATGGGGCCTTTAATGAAGACGGCTTCAATTAAGCCCGAAGTAGCCCTTTTAGATAGTAGGTGTCTTTAGAAGGAGCTATCGGTTATAATAGTTCTCTCTTTGTTATTATTTTTCATATGCATTTGTTTTCTTCTCCGTTAATAGCCCAAGACATGGAGAATATGAGTGATGATGATGGTTGGGAATTTGTGAACCTTGGAGATCAGCAAAGCTTTGGTATTAAAACTGCAGGACTAGAAGAAAAATCAACTGCTTGCCAGATGTTGGTAAGAGAGCACTGTTTTTACTAAACTTTTATTTTACATCTTATATACATTTCATATGAGTGCTTTTAATAGCTGCTAAAGAAATTACTTTGGAGAGCCAGTAATATGTTCCTTAAAAAGTAAAGTTTTCTTTCCATTTTAAAGAAATCGTATGGATAAACCTTTCATTATCAGTGCTGTTTTAAATAGCAAAAAACAACAAATAGCCCAAATTCCTGTTAGTGGGAAGATGAATTACTGTGCCTTGGAGTAATATACAGCCATTACAAAAAGTTTATAAGCTACATGAGGGAAGGATTTTTGTTGGTTTTGTTCTTAGTCTATAGTAGGTGGCCATGGAATGTTTTTTAAACAAATGAACAGAAGTGTGTTCATGCTATTTAATGTGAAACAAAACTTGTATGATTTCAATTGTGTAAAAAAACAGATATGGCAGGAAAATCAAAATGTTCGGTTATTATCCCTTATGGTGTTTGTGGTGTGCATATGCATGTTTAGTTCCTAGTTTTCTTTTTGTTTTCTTTATGAGCATGCGTTTTAAAGTGAAGGATAATCCTTTTTTTTTTTTTTTTTTGAGGTGGAGTCTCTCTTTTTCACCCAGGCTGGAGTGCAGTGGCACGATCTCGACTCACTGCAACCTCCACCTCTGGCGTTCAGTTGATTCTCCTGCCTCAGCCTCCCGAGTAGCTGGGATTACAGGCGCCTGCCACCACAGCTGGCTACTTTTTGTATTTTTAGTAGAGATGAGGTTTCACCATTTTGGCCAGGCTGGTTTCCAACTCCTGACCTCAGGTGATCCGCCTGCCATGACCTGGGATTACAGGCATGAGCCACTGCACCTGGCCAATACT
Source organism: Homo sapiens (assembly GCF_000001405.40). Lineage (NCBI taxonomy): Eukaryota > Metazoa > Chordata > Mammalia > Primates > Hominidae > Homo > Homo sapiens. The sequence goes on from NC_000013.11 coordinate 98,011,076, forward strand.
TACTTTTAAAGTTAGATTTTAGAAATTAATGTATTTCTTATTGTCATCTTCAATACTTAGTATCTATAAATTATAAACACTTTGGATTTTTGTGGGTTTTTTCTCTCAACTGGAAAGCAAATACAAATAATAACATCTTTAAACAGAATTAATCTTTAGATGTAGTAGAAGAGAATGAAACAATTGGGTTTTTGGGGTTTTTTTTGTTTGTTTGTTTGTTTGTTTTGCTTTTTGAAACAGAGTCTTACTCTGTCGCTCAGGCTGGAGTACAGTGGCTTGATCTCAGCTCACTGCAGCCTCCGTCTCCTGGGTTCAAGTGATTCTCCTGCCTTAACCTCCCGAGTAGCTAGGATTACAGGTGCACGCCACCATGCCTGGCTAATTTTTTGTATCTTTAGTAGAGACGGGTTTTCACCATGTTGGCCAGGCTGGTCTTGAACTCCTGACCTCGTGATCCGTCTAACTCTGTCAGCCAGGCTGGAGTATAGTGGTGCCATCCCGGCTCACTGCCACCTCCACCTCCTGGGTTCAAGCGATTCTCCTGCCTCAGCCTCCCAAGTACCTGGCATTACAGGTGCCCGCCACCATGCCTGGCTAATTTTTGTATTTTTAGTAGAGACGGGGTTTCACTGTGTTGGCCAGGCTGGTCTCGAACTCCTGACCTCGTGATCTACCAGCCTCAGCCTCCCAAAGTGCTGGGATTACAAGCATGAGCCACCGTGCCCAGCCATGATTTTTTAAAAATACAAAATAACAGAAGCGTTTTCTACAGATTTACAAAGTAAATGCTTCAATTAACTGATGGTTTCAGGGTTTTTTGTATCTTTTAGAATGATTTTTCCTCAATTAAGTGATACATTTTGTTTGATGTATTGCTGAAACTTGCTGAATGGAATACGAATGATTCCAGCCTTTGAAGGGACAATATATACGACAATAATTTCCTTTTTTTTTTTCTTTTTGTCACTCACCAATACTACAATCATTTCATGACCCTTCTTTTAAGACTCTTTTTAGTTGGAAGACTAATTTGACAGTTCTACATGCAACTTTAAATGTAGTTCTAGTCAAAATACAACCTCCTGTGGTCCTTATGATTTTGCTGTTTGTTAATATTAATGCTTGAAGACTAACATGAATCTTTATTTCCTCCCAATACTTTGGTTACAGGTTTGCTATGCTAAGGAGTTAAAGGAAGGCTTTGTGGAGTACACCGAACAGGTTGTCAAACTGATGGTCCCTTTACTGAAATTTTATTTCCACGATGATATCCTACAACTTCTGAATACAAAACATGTCTAGATTTAGTAAACTTGTAGTTTCTTGGAGTATTAGACAGTGTTGACTGAAGTAGACTTCACCATGATTGTTTGTATTTGCACTAAGTGTACTCTTAGGTGATAAACTCGGTTCTCTGCATGTGCCTTTGTTTCCACTTGTGCCAAAACATGAAAAAGAAAACGTGACCTATCCTATGTTTGTCAGCTTTCTGTGGCCCACTTAAGGATTTAAGGATAATTAGCAAATGATTACAATTATATATAGTTGCTACTTTCCCCAAATATCTTTTGGTAAACGTTAAGAAAATAAGACTTTTATTTTAAGAGATGGTGTCTCACTCTGTCACCTAGGCTGGAGTGCAGTGGCGTGATCAGGACGCACTGAAACCACAACTTCCCAAGTAGCTGGGACCCAGGTGCACAACACCAAGCCCAGCTAGATTTGATTTTTTTTTTTTTTTTTTTTTTTTTTAAGAGATAAGGTCTGCCTATGTTGCCCAGGCTGGTCTCAAACTCCTGGGCTCAAGCAGTCCTCCTGCCTTGGCCCCACAAAGTTATGGGATTACACACCTGAGCACTGTGCCTGGCAAGACCTGTCTTAATAGATTAGAGAACCACTGATAGATGGTCAGCTTTCTGTAGCAGTGAGAACCCTACATTTCAAATGTGGATAGCACCTTTGCGGGGAAACATCACTTGGCACATCTGCATTCTTTTTTGACACAGGGTCTCACTCTGTTGCCCAGGCTAGAGTGCATGGCACGATCTTAGCTCACTGCAACCTCCACCTCCCAAGTTCAAGCGATTCTTCTGCCTCAGCCTCCTGAGCAGCTGGGATCACAGACATGCGCTACCATGCCCAGCTAATTTTTTGTATTTTTTGTTTGTTTGTTTTTGTTTTTAAGTAGAGACGGGCTTTCACCACGTTGGCCAGGCAGGTCTCGAACTCCTGACCTCAGGTGATCCACCCACATCTGCGTTCCAATATCTTTCTCAACATAATGATAGCCGTAATTAATATTTTCCAGTACATTTTTATGCCTTTACACACGAGAGTGGTAGACAGACACAAACCCAGATCTGTCTGACTCCAAAGCCCGTTTGTCATCATTCCTTTTACGGTATCCTATAGTGGTATCCTTTACAGAAGACAGCTTTTACCCAACAAAGACTTAACTTCCCAGGATGCCAGAGGACAAAGCGGGATTGCTTTTAAGAGGAAGTTATCAAGACCTTATTTTATAAATGAGATTAGATAGGGAAAGGCAATTTAATCTTTATTAAAAACTGAAAAGGCCAGCATAGGAAGAGGTCCTCGGTGGTCTTTTTCAGGGAAATACTTCAGTTGCTTTTATTAGAAACAGATAGTACCTAAGGTTTTGAGGTAGGTACAGCTTAAGGCATGCTAATGGTCATGGGTCCTTCCATAGTCATTTTTGTATTTTGGTTTACATTTGAGCAATAGGCAGCCCTTCACTGCTGCTGGACTCATTCCTGCCACTATTACAGGTGACAGAGGAGACAGGAGGTATGTCTTTTCTATTTTTATACATGCTTTATATTTAACACAAGCTCTTGGGTATCTTAGATAAACAGAAGTTGCCTAGCACTCCTTTTAGTGCATTGAACCCTTTAACATTTAAGCAAAATAATAAACAGTCTTTTGAGGTTCCTTAACAATGAAACGTGTTCGAGTGGCAGCAGCGGAATCCATGCCTCTTCTCCTGGAGTGTGCAAGAGTCCGTGGTCCTGAGTATCTCACACAGATGTGGCATTTTATGTGTGATGCTCTAATTAAGGCCATTGGTACAGAACCAGATTCAGACGTCCTCTCAGAAATAATGCATTCTTTTGCAAAGGTGAATATTTTTCTCTTAAAAAATATGTATAAGGTTGTATGTTCATTTATTAGTCTTGCTAAAAGTAAAAAAAAAAAATTTGAGACAGGGTATTGCTCTGTCACCCAGGCTGGAGTGCAGTGGCGCAATCGCAGCTCACTGCAACCTCCACCTCCTGGGTTCAAGCAATTCTCATGCCTCATCCTTCCAAGTAGTTGGGATTATAGGCATGCACCACCACACCTGGCTACTTTTTGTATTTTTAGTAGATGTTCCTCAGGTCTCAAACTCCTGGCCTCAGGTGATCCACCTCGGCCTCCCAGAGTGCTGGGATTGCAGATGTAAGGCAGCTAAATAAATTTTTATATGCTATAGTGTATGATTTGTTAAAAAATAAAAATGTTAAATTTTTTGTTTTAATATTTTGGTATTATTATGTTTGTTTTAAAGAGGGTAAATTTGCCTTGGAAGGGCAGTATAGGTAGAGGGAATGATATGGGCAGCAGCATGGAAGCATGCATTCTTTGGAAAAAGAGAAGAAATTCTGAATACTCTAGTATTTTAGTCTTGCACTTAATAATCCAACTATAGAAGCTTGGGTATCATCTCCAGTTTCTGTTCTTTACACTTTCCTCAATTCTTCTCTTTTTTTTTTTTTTCATTGCCCCATCTCTTTTTCATGCCATTGAAATAGCCTCACTTGGGCTACTCCAGATGTCTCCTTTCTTTTCCTCTCAGTTCATTCTCCTTTCCTCAAGCACTGCCTTCCTCTTCATTGAGTCACTTCCTTTCTCATACAGTGTCACTCCCATTTTGCACAACTCTAGTTTGCTCCAATCTTGATTGAAGATTTACAGTTTCTCAGCATCTTTATATGTCCTTATTTACACTCCTGTAATTCAGAATTGCTTCTGATTTTCCAAAGACAGCATGCTTCCATACCTTTGCCTATATTTTATTTCTTCTACCTCTAATGCCCTTCCTTCAGTGTTCTTGTATGTTGTGTGTACGGAGTATGGATATAGCAATTGTGTTCCTTAGGAGCTGGTTGTGTGTGTGTGTGTGTGTGTGTGTGTGTTTTCCATCTTTGAATCCTCAGTACCAAGCATGATGCCTGGCACCTAGGTATGCTCAGTAGTGTTCAAAAGAAAATATTTTTTTCTAACTCCAATCTCTAAAATGCTGTCATTCTAACAAATACAAGCTAAGCATATGTAAATAATCTTCCAGGATACTGAACTGTGTTCATTTTTCCATATGATTCTTAGTGGAGTTTAACTTTGGACTCCAAACACCCCAAATCTTATGGATTGCTTTCTTTCCTCAACCTCATTAGTGCATTGAAGTAATGGGAGATGGATGCCTTAATAATGAACACTTTGAAGAACTGGGAGGTATATTGAAAGCAAAGCTTGAAGAACATTTTAAAAATCAAGAATTACGACAAGGTAAGTTTTCCATGCTTTTATTTCTGAATATAATCCTTGACCATCTTGGCAATCATTTAAAACATTTATTTGGGTGTGTTTTAGTTAAAAGACAAGATGAAGACTATGATGAACAGGTCGAAGAGTCACTACAAGATGAGGTAAGTTATTCCCTTTGGAACTTACTTACGTGACCACTTGCATCTGAAAGACTTGTAAATGCCTCAATTTCTGATTTATGTGACTTGTCATTCTGATGTAATTATCAGTCTTTAGCAGAGGAGTCAGATATATTTCCTCTCTTAATTTATGAATAAGTAATTTGAAATTAAACTGATATGTCTTTCGGTGCTATGTGCATTTTGTTGTAATACCTCACTCAACAAAACACCTTGAGGTTTACCTAGTTCATTTACATACTGCTCACAACAACCATTTGTATTTTGTGGTGCTTTCACTATATTAAAGATGAGTAACCTAAAATTCCAGTGTTAAATGATTGCCTAGAGTCACACTGTTGACGGTCTGGGGCCTTTTTCACCATGTTACTTAGTTCTCTCATCAAACCACCTAGGACTGTCAAGCATACTTCATTGTGTGTTTAGAGTCCAGCATCTCATATGTGGCCACTTGGTGGGCCAGTGCTACCGTGTAGGTAGTACCAGCTTCCTGAAGGTGCCCACATGCTTGTAGGCCCAAATTGCCACTAACAGCGAGACCCCATTCTCCCCACCATCCACCCCGAAATGAGGATTATTCTGCTGAAAACAAAGTAAAAATAGTGAAAACACCTTTGTTTCAGAATGTAGAAATTAGAGATAATTTTTCAACCCATCTATTTTAAGTATGTTCCAAGGAAAATCTTTGCAATAAATACAGTTCTTGCCACACACCTTTGTCTTTCGAGGTAAGACTGGCCTTTGATTAGTAAGAGACATGATAACCCACACTTGAGGGTTACTCCGGTCTCTAGACTCTTGATTTACCCTTAAAACAGGAATGAGAAATTGATTTTCTGCATTTTTTAAGGTTTTTATAAATGTTACTATTGATAATAGAAAATATACTTTTTAATCCATATGAGTGTTTATGTGTATGTTTTTTTTAGGATGATAATGATGTTTATATTCTGACCAAAGTGTCAGATATTTTACACTCAATATTCAGTAGCTACAAAGAAAAGGTGTTACCATGGTTTGAACAGCTGCTTCCATTAATTGTCAACCTCATTGTAAGTGTTACCTCTCTTAATAGTTGTTTTGCGTAGTTTACCTGGAATTCTTTTCACTGCAACGTAAAATCTAATGCTTGAAGTTAAAATGGGTCTCAGAAATGATTGTTTCCATTGTACATCTTTGATTTTATCAAGTTGACTGCATTACCCTGGATATTTTCTCATTCATTATATGCTTGAAGATTCCTAACTTGGTTTTCCATAGGCCAATTCAGTTCTAACACATCTGAAAGATATATAAGTGATTTTTTTTATTATTTCAGATTATCTGTGCCCTCCTAAATTAATAAAAGGAAACAGAATGGTTACTTCTTTTTTAGTGGACCATAGATAATTCAATTATCTTTGTTATGTACTACCAGCAATCATGGATTATGGATAATGGGCATATATATATATATATGTATTTTTTTTTTACCTTCTCTCACCCTTATATTTGATTTTTTTAAAATGTTTTATAGACTTCTTTTTGTTTGTTTGTTTGTTTGTTTTTCTCAAGATGGAGTCTTGCTCTGTCGCCCAGGCTGGAGTGCAGTGGTGCAATCTCGGCTCACTGCAACCTCCGCCTTCTGGGTTCAAGCAATTCAGACGCACGCCACCACACCCGACGAATTTTTTGTATTTTAGTAGAGATGGGGTTTCACCATGTTGACCAGGCTGGTCTCCAACTCCTGACCTAGTGATCCACCCGCCTCGGCCTCCCAAAGTGCTGGGATTACAGGCATGAGCCACTGCGCCCAGGCCTACGCTTCCTATTTTAAAGCAGTTTTAGATTCACAACCAAATTGAACAGGAGGTACAGAGATTTCCCATGTGCCTCTGCCCCTGTGCGTGCATGGCCTCAGCACCATTAACACCCCCCATCACAGTAGTAGATACATGTGTTTCTGTTATGGACCTACATCAACACATCATATAATGGCCTATGTGTATTCAGTTTTTTTGTTTGTTTTGTTTTTTTGTATTTTTAGTTGTGTTTTTTTGTTGGGTTTTTAGTAGAGATGGGGTTTCACCATATCGGCCAGACTGGTCTCAACCTCCTGACCTTGTGATCCGCCCACTTTGGCCTCCTAAAGTGCTGGGATTACAGGCGTGAGCCACCTCGCCTGGCTGTGTATTCGGTTTTTAAAAAATATATTATAAATTAGCAGCTATCATCAGATGTTTGGAATTTTTCTTTTTGGCTTTCAATTTTGCATTTTATTGTATTAAGTAGTGCAGTACATTTTTTAAAAGATTCGGGCACACATGACTTAGCCTGTTGAATAAATGCTATAAGTTAAGATCTTTGCAGCTTTTATTATTATTGTATTTTTTTAATGTAGCATTACCATTGTCTTTTTTACAAAGTAAATTTATATACAATGCTTCCACTGTCAGTTCTTCTGTGTGATAGTGTCAGATTGTAGAGTTCTGTAACAAATCATACAAGTCTTTGAAACCTAAATTTTATTAAATCTGTGTATTTGATTGAATATCGTTGGTCACAAGAAGTGGTTGTTACTATGTTTTCTTTTTTCTTTTGCCTGTATGAGGAATATCAATGTAAGCAGATAGTCTATAGTGAATATTTCTTTACATTCTTTGTGTACACCAGTATTTGAAGCTTAAAAGAGAATTTCTTTTGTAGTGTCCACATAGACCATGGCCAGACAGACAATGGGGATTATGCATCTTTGATGATGTCATAGAACACTGTAGTCCAGCCTCATTTAAATACGCAGAATATTTCTTAAGACCAATGCTCCAATATGTATGTGACAACAGCCCAGAAGTCAGGCAAGCAGCTGCATATGGCCTGGGAGTCATGGCACAGTACGGTGGAGATAATTATCGCCCTTTTTGTACAGGTACGTTTGCTTATTCCGTTACGTGCATTTCATTCCAGACATCCTGTGAATCCCTACTTTACTCTCTTTACCACACTCCCAAACATTATTTGCCTATTTCTGCTGTAGTCTGTTTTCAGACATCTCATCTGTAGCATTTAGGATTTTAGATGATAAAAAGATGATTTATTCTCATAGAAATAGAATCAAAGACATCCCCTGCCCCCAGCCTTCCAGGGTGCATTTCTCTTTGCGTTTTGGCAATATACAACAGCCTTAGAATAGGACTTTTTTTTTTTTCTTTAATTGAGGCCCAGGCTGGAGTGCAGTGGCATGATCTCGGCTCACTGCAACCTCCGCCTCCCGGGTTCGAGCAATTCTGCTTCAGCCTCCTGAGTAGCTGGGACTACAGGCGCATGCCACCACGCCTGGCTAATTTTTTCTATTTTTAGTAGAGATGGGGTTTCACCATGTTAGCCAGGATGGTCTCGATCTCCTGACCTCGTGATCGGCCCACCTCAGCCTCCCAAAGTGCTGAGATTACAGGCGTGAGCCACCACACCTGGCAGAATAGGACTTTTAAAACTTACTGGGGAATATAGTTAGGCAGCTTTTAAAGTTTAAGGACCCTCGGGTGATGTGATGAGTACTGTAAATCTGGAGGCCACTAATCTCTCTGGGTCTCTAAGTTAGTAGAGGGCTAGTGCTCCTGTCCATGCTGGGGCAGTCCCCCCTCTGTTGCCATTCTGTAATGACATAGCCAAGAAGACAACACTTCCCATACACTTTAACATTTCTTTACCATAATCAATATCTGAACCAAATACAAAAATACATATATTCATTTGCATGAAAATGTGAGGTTTTAGCTGAACTTCTTTCAAATGCTTATTTTAGAAGCACTTCCCCTGCTGGTAAGAGTTATTCAGTCTGCGGATTCTAAGACCAAAGAAAATGTCAATGCTACAGAGAACTGCATCTCAGCAGTAGGGAAAATCATGAAGTTCAAGCCTGACTGTGTAAACGTTGAAGAGGTCCTTCCACACTGGTTGTCTTGGCTTCCACTACATGAAGATAAAGAAGAAGCTGTTCAGACTTTCAATTATCTGTGTGACCTGATTGAAAGGTAGGAAAGCAGACTGTGACCTTATTTCCTTCTCCTCCACAGTGCTTCCTGGTTTTTCTTGCCTAACATCAGTCTTTTAAGGTTTAACCACATGATCTCTGCACAGTCCTCAGTTGTATAGGTTTATAATAGTGCTGTCTTTATAAATCATATTAAGAAACCATATCACAGTTAACATTGCCCTTATAATAAGGTCTAATTTTGAGTTATTCTTTATGAAATTAGATTCAACAGATGAGGCACTTTAATTATTTATTTCTTTGTTTTTAAATTTTTTTGGTAGCGACAAGGTCTTAACTGTTTTGCACAGGCAGGTCGCAAACTCTTGGCCTCAAGAGATCCTCCCACCTCAGCCTCCCAAAGTGCTGGGATTACAGGCATGAGCCACCAAACCCAGCCTAAGGGAATGTTGTTTAGTGTCTGTTTTCTAAGTCCAAGTTCCCCCCAAATATCAGTCAGATCTAAGCTCTGTCGCTATTATTATTTTTAGGTTATGAATAAATTCAAGGGCTACAACCACTGCCACTATTGTAGCAATAGGCCAACAGGTATATTCTCCATACTTGTTTAAGTTCAGGTTCACATAAGAAATGGGTTTGAGTCTTCCACTGACCATATCATTAAGGAATGTAACAGCCATCCTGCAGACTACATACTCCTGACCTGCTCCTACATCTGAAATGACCAGGTCTTAATCATGCTATTTGATCATCTTCCTTGGAAACGACTACTCTGAAATTCTCTTAGTGACAAAGACTAGAATTCTTAAATTCGCTATCAGGTTTTTTCCCATTAAACTTGCCTGAGTTTATTTCCCAGTTTATTCTTGAAATGTTTATATAATTTTTTTGAACTTCAGAGTTATTTTAGAAGCTATTTTGTAGTAGCAAAATAAAACTTGTGTTAAACTTATTTTTAATAATACAAAACATTTTTTTTAACACATCACAAATTATTTATAAGGTATTTAGAGCATTCTGTTGTTTGGCCCTTAAAACAATCCTGAGAGATGAGCCCAGTATTTTTTTTTTCTAATTTATGTAGAAAGAAACTAAAGAGTTCATATATAAGATTGGCTGGTTTTCTTCCTACTGAATTTAAAAGGCCATTGATTTTAGTGAACACATAATCATATTTCTCCTTATAAATTTCACTTACTAAGGTTTTCTTCTCATTTGTCAGTAATCATCCAATTGTTCTTGGCCCAAACAATACCAATCTGCCCAAAATATTTAGTATAATTGCGGAAGGAGAAATGCACGAGGCAATTAAACATGAAGATCCTTGTGCCAAACGTCTGGCCAATGTCGTTCGCCAAGTACAGGTAAGCTGATTTGGTTGAATTGGGGAGGGGGAGATAAAACCTTTTTTTCTTTGTAGTCCTCTATGAGAAGAAACTAGAAATCTAATGAGCTAAGGAATTTTATTTTTATATTTTCATAGTCTCTTGTCTCCAAGCCTCAAATGGATTATACTTAATGTAATCCATCCGTATGTACTTATTATTTATTAGAATTAAAACCTTCATCTTAGGACATTTTGAGCTTACCAGTTGGTGCTTAACACAAGCTTATGTGTAGTTTTTCTGCCTATCTTAAGAAAAAAAAACAAGATTTAATAATAACTTGTCATCTGCCAAAAAACTTTATATGATTTTTACTTCCTATATTCATGTGGTATATGGGTTACTTTAAGATGTTACCTGCTTAGTGTAGCTTTTTCAGTGCAAAAATGAAGAAAACTTACTGGAAATGAAATGAACTTTAAAAAAATGAACAGATTTCTTGCTTTTACAATGATACTCATCAAAATAATGTACCTAGGGAGAAGGTATTTTGCCATGATTACAGTTTACCTATGATGATGATTAAAATCCTTCCAAATGAGCATTTCGTCCTAAGTCTGTGAAAATGTTTCTTTCCCTAGACTTCTGGAGGACTGTGGACTGAGTGCATAGCACAGCTCAGTCCTGAGCAGCAGGCCGCCATTCAGGAGCTCCTGAACTCTGCGTGAAGGGCCTTAATGTCACCCACCAGAAAACTAACTCCAAATAAACGCTTACCCTTTCCTTTAGGTTTCTTTGTTTTGTTTTTGAGCAAAAGAGATCGGTAGTGTTGTGTGTAGGCCATTCTTCTGGAGAGCCACAAGCAGGAAGAGCAGCGCTGTGTTGCAGAATGGAGTTTCCATGGATTTCTACCAGACCACTGAAGGAGTTCCTGGAAGCCCTGCGGTAGCTAGCACTGAAGACTATTTTTCTATTGGTATAACCCGCCCACCTGAAGGGGAAAGGGAAATCAAATTAATTTTTCTCGTTAGACATAAGGAAATTTAAGGAAAAACAGCTTTAAGAACAGTTACTCAGCGTAGATGTGTGTTCACACAAATTGCTCTGCATTCAGTGTTCATTGTGAATTGGGAGTGTGAGTCTTTCTGTAGGGTAGAAAGAAGCCTCCTACCCAGCAAACCAGTAGACCCAAAAGTTGAAAAAAACTGATGACAGACAACAAGCATGAAGATGGCATATTTGATGTCACTTTGGTTCTTTTTCCCAGAAGGCTTATACAGTGACTCAGTCGGGAAGCTTTCCAGCTTCCAGCCCTTGAATGTGAAGTGTCATTGGCATGTCTGGCAGTAGTCTCTCATTCACTCCTCAATAAACAACATTGAATACAAAAGAGGCTTGTGTAAAAACTCAGTACTGTCTGGCTTGGATTCATTTCATGTTTTTAATATAAGAATGATCTAATATTTTTTTAAAGTAATAGCTATCAGTAATAGCTGAGTGTTTTTTCCCCTAATATTTTCCTTGTGCAATTCAGACTTAAGCATCGAGTTTTTACCATCTTCCACTTTAAGCTAAGTTATGATACCTATTCCATTCACAATTGGTGTTCTTTTTAAGGTTTGCAAATTTCAGCCAATTTTGTAGCTAAGATTGTTCTGATCAGCTCAAAAAGATTTGGCTTAGTGTTTTCATTGCAAATTATAATTGCTGTAGAGCCACACACAACTTTTGAACTTTTAATTATAAGTGTTATGGCTAAAGTTATTTACTGAAAATTTCAGTAAAATGTGTGAATGTTTCTTTATGTATTAACCTCATAGCAGTAAATGACTTGCTGTTGTTTAATTTTTCTAAGGCATCTTAATAGACTTCTGTTGAAAACTTCAGTGTTAACATTTTTATAGTTTGTACTAAATTTAACCGTGATATAAAAATGAATTTTATGCATAGATCAGAATTTTAAATTAAAGGTTTTTTCTTTAAATGATTTGTATTACTTTATTAAAACTAAATCTGAAATGGAATAGAAAATAGAATGGATTACATACAGATGGTTTCCTTGTTAGCAGATGCCCTTCAAATATATTTTACGTTTGCAGCACAACACCATTGCCCGGAGGCTTCCGAATCTAGCAAAGCAGCATATTAAATGACTCCACCTGCGCAGTCCTTGTGTTCAGTGGATGAATACCTGTGGGCTCTTGTAATGTGTGGTAATATTTGGAGCTTTATAGCCTGTATTCCTTGGGAGAAAAAAATGGGAATTGGAGTAAAAAGTGTGTCAAGACAACCCCTTTCTGCTTTCTTATGTAGCATCTGCAAAGCCGATTCATGTACTGATGCCAATCAGCTAGAGCAATGTAGGCTTTTTTTAATTTAAATTATTACTACACTTTATTACTACACTTGCAGAAAAGAAACATGTTAAAATCATGGCACACCTGCAGAATTTCAGATGACAGTGTGGTCAGAAGATGTTTTTTGGGAGAACCTAGTGTTTGCTGGGCACTATGCTAAGCACTTTGGGAGCAAGAACCTCCTACCTTCCAGTTTAAACACTAGTGGTATTGTCAGATGCCGTTAGTATCTGAGATGTACTTACAGCAGGGTTCTAAGAGCTCTGAAAGAAGCGCTCTGTTAGATGCAGACTGGCAGCATCCTCCTTGATAAAAGCAGAAAAGCAAAGAGGTAATTGGAGTTGAATCAAGTTAATAGGGAAGGTTGGTAGTAAATGCTGTTAGTGTGACATGATTCTGAAACCCAGAGCTCAGAACTAACTGTGAGATGTACCATGAACTAACAATTCTTTGAAAGGACCTGCAGAAGCATTTTTAATACCTCATTCTGTCTATGCAAGATGAAAATCCATGGAGTTTTTTCTTGGCTTTTGTACCAAATTTAGGGGTCTTGCATGTCAGCAAGTGATATATATTGTTTATAAATGCAAGCTATTTCTGGAGGGGAAAAATGTGTGTGGCTCTTACGTTTTCTGGGAATTTTGTAACAAGTTACACGCACAAGTGTTAGAAACTTTGGCATAACTCAATTTGGAGTATTTTTTAAATGCTGTATCTTTAAAGAAAAGTAAAATTGTCTTAAATCTAATTGACACTTCTGTAATGAGAGGCAACCTTATAACTCTGGAGTTGTAGTTTGACAGAACCATCAGTAAAGACATAAGCAAATAAATGGTCTTGGTGCACCTGGTCTGATAATAAATAAGGGGGGTGCTTACTTACAGTCTTGCAAGCATTATATTTTTATGATCTAATCTTTTGAGTGAGTGCCTGTTTAAGCAACGTGAAAGGCTAAGGAGCTAGCTAAATGTTTTAATAACTGCTTCATTCTGCCTAGGAGGATTGTTGGGTCAGTTTTCTCTGCTGCACAGAAATCACTTTGCAGGTCGGGCGCGGTGGCTCACGCCTGTAATCCCAGCACTTTGGGAGGCCAAGGCAGGCGGATCACCTGAGGTCAGGAGTTGGAGACCAGCCTGGCCAACATGGTGAAACCACATCTCTACTAAAAATACAAAAAGTAGCCAGGTGTGGTGGCAGGCACCTGTAATCATAGCTACTCCAGAGGCCGAGGCAGGAGAATCACTTGAACCTGGGAGGCAGAGGTTGCAGTGAGCCGAGATTGTGCCATTGCACTCCAGCCTGGGCAACTGGGTGAGACTCCATCTCAAATAAAAATAAAAAAAAAAAAACGAAATCACTTTGCTTCTCTTAACCTTCTTTGCCACAAAAGATTAACAGCCAAAACCTGCCATGTTTGCTATTCCTAAGCAGATTTTCTTTCTCGGCCCTAAAAGTATGAGTACCACTATTAGAAGAAGAAAGTGAATGATCCACAATGTATGCACATCACACTTGGGAGGAAGCATGAATATTTATTTCCAGCACTTGGAACTTCTGAATGGTGGTGCTGAGGAGCAGGGGTTAATTCTAACAACATCCTGCCCTAGACTTAAACCCTTTTTTCCCCACACAGCTGTAACCCTTACAGTGTATGCCAGACAACATTTGGGCTGATTATTTCTATGTATTTATTATATTTGGATGAATACAAACATTTTAAAGATAAATTATAGCTATATTATTCACTTCTCAATGAATCCAAAAGTGGTACAATATAATTTTTTGTAAAACATTACAAAAAATTTTTTCTAAATTCCACTAAGGCAGCAGAGTATAATTATGAAATCTGTTCTTTCATGATTCAGGAGCTTTCATTGTGTATTTCCTTTTGATTGATCTATCATTTCTGTCCTCTTGACTAGCATTCAGATTGTAATGGAAACCAGAATAGTGCCACTTGATATGAATCAGAAATTAGTTCCCCTATTTCCCCTAAAAGTTTTGTAACAGATGGGTAGAAAATGTAAGAGTTTGGATCAGCCCGACAACTTGCTCCTGTGATCCTAAGGTGCACCATAAAAGACCATGGTGCTGTATGGTTAAGACCAGAGGTTGGCAAATGTGTTCTCTAAGTTCGAGATAGTAAATATTTTAGCACTCGTCACCGAACAAGTATGTGTTTGCAAGTTATAGGGTCTCACAAACTGCTTAGCCGTTGCAGTGCGAAAGCAGTCATGGACCATAGTAAACAAACGGGTTTGGCTGTATCCCAGTGAAACTTGACAAAAGAGGCTAGCCATAGCTGCTGACCTCTGAATCAAATCACTGTGTCAGTTAAAAAATCCCAGTCTACCATGTACTCAGCTTACCTAACCTCTGTATGCCTTAGTTTCCTTCTCTGTAAAATGGGAACAATAATAGTACATACCTTATAGAGGGTTCAGATGGATTTAGAAGCCAGGCACATTAAGCATTAGCTATCAGAATTACACCTAAATTCTATTAATACTTACAGATAATTTAAGCAAACTTTTTTTTTTTTTTTTTTTTTGAGATGGAGTCTCCCTCTGTCACCAGGCTGGAGTGCAGTGGCGCGATCTCGGATCACTGCAACCTCTGCCTCCCAGGTTCAAGTGAGATGCCTCCCAGGTTCAAGTGATTCTCGTGCCACAGCTTCCCGAGTAGCTGGGACTACAGGTGTGAGCCACCATGCCCAGCTAATGTTTGTATTTTTAGTAGAGACAGGGTTTCACCATGTTGGTGAGGATGGTCTCTTGACCTCGTGATCTGCCTGCCTCGGCCTCCCAAAGTGATGGGATTACAGGTGTGAGCCACGGTGCCCAGCTGCAAACTTTTTTTTTTTTTCAAGTTCTCTAATCAGCCTTGGCATTAGGAGGAAGCCTAGAAAGTTGTGGAAAATATTGGGAAACTTTGCAAAGTCAGTGAAGTTGTGCCATAAACGTGGTGTATGTGGACTATTTTACTTTCTTGACACTGTGATTCTGGTGTTTGAAGATGCCTGATCTGCATAAGACATGGCCCTAAATGCACCCATTGCCTCATCTGGAGCTCCACCCTAAAAAGCAGCAGTCTGTCCCTGTTTGGAGAAGACATTCAGTTTGCTGCAAGAGCTGGTTTGTTCGGTACACTGAACTGTAGGTCACCAGGGACTTTTGCCCCCATGCTCACATGAATCTGGCATCTATGTAGGATGAGATCACTGTCAAGGCCATTGTACAGGAGTGGACAGCTGGAAAGCTTTGCCCCCTGGGGTCACACTTCCTGCCTGGCTGTGGCCCCTTGCGGGAGCTCCTTAATCTCTTACATAAAGTTAACGGCTACCACACAGGGTTGTTGTAAGGCTTAATATATGTATAAAGCACCTAGAGCAGTGCCTAGCATTGTAGATTTGATATTATGAGTACACATGCTGAAGAGATGGAAGTACATTTGGATAGCATTTCTTTTTGTTAGTGTCAACCTAAAAGAGGATCTCAAAAAGAAAACGTTTATTTGGGAGTAGAGCATTGCAATGGGAATGTACATGCCATCATAGATGATGAGTATATTGAGGGAAAAAAAGGTTTTTGTGGGTTTTTTTGGTTTTGTTTAATTTTGTGATGACAGAGTCTCCCTATGTTACCCAGACTGCTCTTGAACTCCTGGGCTCAAGTAGTCCTGCTTCAGCTTCCCAAAGTGCTGAGATTACAGGCGAAAAGAGAAAGGTTTATAAAGGAAGAAATGAGGATTACATCGTTGTTTTGAGATAATTATCCCTGACTGCACAGGTCAGTAACAAGGGTGATGCCAGTCCAAGGTTGACAAGCAGTTGGATGTGTGCTTGCAGAAGTATTTTTTGTGTGAGGTTGCAAAGGCCTTTGTGCAAAGTTGTGATTTTTGTGGTCTTTGTCATCATGCGTACAAACATGAGAACCCTCTATGACCTTTCTAGCTGTTTGTCCGGGTGTTCTTAACATTAGTGACTCCTTTTTTTTTTGAGACGGAGTCTTGCTCTGTCACCCAGGCTGGAGTGCAGTGGCGCAATCTTGGCTCACGGTAACCCCCACCTCCCGGGTTCAAGTGATTCTCCTGCCCCAGCCTCGTGAGTAGCTGGGATTACAGGCATGTGCCGCCATGCCCGGCTAATTTTTGTATTTTTAGTAGAGACGGGGTTTCACTGTGTTGTCCAGGCTGATCTCGAACTTCCAACATCAGATGATCCAGCTACCTTGACCTCCCAAAGTGCTGGGAGTACAGAGTGAGCCACCGAGTCTGGCCTAGTGACTGACTCCATTTTGATTCTGACAATTTTCAAATTAGTTACCTATGGCATAAAACATGCAAACCATGGAAAACGGAAGTACTTGCTAATCAAGAATTTGATTGACTTTTATTAAGCTATTGACCAAAACTACGTTAGGCTTGCATAATAAAGGGCTGAGTAAAACACATGGTCTCTGCTACAGGGGACACATCATTAAGGAAAAGTAAAGGGTGCACTGGGTGTACCCTTTGATGAAGAAATCAAAGAAGTAAATTCACTTAATATTGCAAATAGGATGTGCATTGAGCTGCCTCAGTTTCAGCATTATAGCAAACTGCACCAAAGATAAAAATACATGTGCTCCTGGTCATTGAGAAATCCCTCCCCAGGTGATGCATTTTCCAGCCTTGCTACTCACAATTGGTTGTTCTTGGGCTGCTGCAGAGGTGACCCAGAGTGGGGCATTTGTGACCAGACAGGTCACCGGATGTGCTCCCTTGGAGGGTGAAGGAGCCAGACAGGCAAGCAGGAAGTTTTGGTCTCCCAAACTGCCTTACACCCAAACCCAGATCCTTCCTAGGGGCAGTATTGCTATGAGATAGTCCCCTTTCAATTAACTGACAATTGGGTTGGCAATGAAGAAAACCTGCCAGATTATTTGTAGCCATTTAGAAAGTTGGCCCCAACCCCCAGAGCAGTTACTGTCTTGTTTCATCCGTTCCTAGAAATCTCCTAATGGGGTATGTGGTCTTGTTTGGTGTGTCTGTTTCTGTCCCGAGTGTGCTGCTGCTGCTTAATCACACTCCTGAATTTTCTCAAATCTTCTATGATTTAGGGATTAACTGGCATGTTTTATCTAGTTTTAAGAATTTAGCCAGCCGGCCCAGTGGCTAATGCCTGTCATCCCAGCACTTTGGGAGACCAAGGTGGGTGGATCACAAGGTCAAGAGTTCGAGGCCACCCTGGCCAATATGGTGAAACCCCCGTCTCTACTAAAAATACAAAAATTAGCTGGGCGTGGCGGGAGGCCAAGGCAGGAGAATTTCTTGAACCTAGGAGGCGGAGGTTGCAGTGAGCCAAGATCACCACTGCACTCCAGCCTGGGTGACAGAGCGAGACCCCGTCTCAAACAAAAAAAAAGAATTTAGCCATTGAGGCTGGGCGCAGTGGCTCACACCTGTAATCGCAACATTTTGGGAAGCTGAGGTAGGTGAATCATTTGAGCCCAGGAGTTCAAGACCAGCCTAGGCAACATGGAGAAACCCCATCTCTACTAAAAATGCAAAAAAAAATAGGCATGGTCGTTCAGGTGTGTAGTCCCAGCTACTTGGGAGGCTAAGGTGGTAGGATAGCTTGAGCCTGGGAGGCTGAAGCTGCACTGAGCCATGATTGCATCACTGCACTCCAGCCTGGGTGACAGAGTGAGACCCTGTCTCAAAAAAAAAAAAAAAAGCCATTTAAATAAAGTCCCTTTTGATTAAGAAATATTGAAAGTGAAAATATTTAAGCAGTTAGGACCCTATTGCATTTTCTAATTTGAAAAAGAATGTACAGTTTATTACTGAAGGGTCAAAGAAGATAGATGTGTTTGAAGAAAAATATAGCCCATCACTATCTTGAGTGTTCTCCAATTGGTTCTCATGGGAAAAGGCTGCCATTATTACAAATGGTCAATAGCCAAAAAACAAAGGCTCACATTGTAGCTGATATTTCAAGAAGAATAAAAATACAAAACAGCAACACTAATGTGGAGACTGGCGATGGGCAGAGACCTCCTTCTGGAAGGAAATTAATGAAATGCCTACATGTCTTTCTGATGGGTAGGAACTATTCTAAGAAACCAACTGCCCACCTGGTTAACCCAACCTGAATTCTTTAACCAGACATTATATAAGTCAACAATGAGGCCGGGCGCGGTGGCTCACGCCTGTAATCCCAGCACTTTGGGAGGCCGAGGCGGGCGGATCACGAGGTCAGGAGATCAGGACCATCCTGGCTAACACAGTGAAACCCCGTCTCTACTAAAAATACAAAAAATTAGCCGGGCGTGGTGGCAGGCGCCTATAGTCCCAGCTACTTGGGAGCCTGAGGCAGGAGAATGGCGTGAACCCGGGAGGCGGAGCTTGCAGTGAGCCGAGATCGCGCCACTGCACTACAGCCTGGGCGACAGACAGAGCAAGACTCCGTCTCAAAAAAAAAAAAAAAAAAAAAAAGTCAACAATGATTAACTACATTTATTTTTTGCCTCTAAAATATCTCTACAACAAAATCTTTGAAATTTAAGTAAATTTATAACACTCTTGACTAAATTATCTGAAAAGGGTTTTTTTTAAAACGTCCTCCCATAAGGAAAGATGATCAATTCTTATGTATCGTTCTAGGGATATAAATATTCAGGAGGCTTTTCAGAATAAAAGTTAAATCATTTTAG
The DNA here is from genome assembly GCF_000001405.40 of Homo sapiens. Classification (NCBI taxonomy): domain Eukaryota; kingdom Metazoa; phylum Chordata; class Mammalia; order Primates; family Hominidae; genus Homo; species Homo sapiens. The sequence continues at coordinate 98,030,147 of NC_000013.11, forward strand.
CTGGGAATTCTCAAAATTTAACCCTGTTAAAGATGAAAGTTGGCGGGGCGCGGTGGCTCACGCCTGTAATCCCAGCACTTTGGGAGGCCAAGGCGGGTGGATCACGAAGTCAGGAGATCGAGACCATCCTAGCTAACATGGTGAAACCCCGTCTCTACTAAAAAAAAATACAAAAAAAAAAAAAGATGGAAGTTAAATATCTTTTGCCCTTTTCAATAAATGACAACCTATAAATTAGTATGGCCAGTGCTGGTGATCATCAAAATGTTGAGAATAGCATCACCATACTGAGTTAGAACCTCATTTCATCTTAAACTAAGTGGCATTGGGCCAAGTCTCCTTTAGTACAATTCAGCATATGAAGTTCTATTCTCATTGGGGAGCATATTTTCAAGTATGCGTTTTTATAAATTATAACAATTGCTTATTTTTTTAAATGTAATAACATTGTTCTGTTTTTAACATTTATTTTATGGTTACCTTCTATTTATGACAAATGAGTCAGGCTCGGTGGCTCATCCCTGTAGCCCTGTAGTCCCAGCATTTTGGGAGGCTGAGGTGGGAGGATTGCTTGAGCCCAGGAGTTCCAGGCTGCAGTAAGCTATGATTGTACCACTGCACTCCAGCCTGGGTGACAGAGTGAGACTCTTGTCTCCAAAACAAAAACAAATACCAGTTTTTCGTTTGTAGTAATGATTTAAAATTTTCTTTTCAAACACTTCAAAAAAAATAAAAGTCAGTGAGTTGATTTATTTTTAATGTAATGTAAACAGAGCTACAGTTCTGAGGACGTGGCAAAAATCATGCAGATGATACTGATGATGGAAGTTCAGGAAATCCTTTTTCTTGGCGGAGGGTAGCCATGCAAATATGTCTCTCAGAAGTTTTGTTCTACTTAGTTTAAAGAGATACAATGACTCTGTGGGACTGGATGAACAAGGCTCAGTCAGCAAGAAGAATCTGTCTCTGCCAACTCTCCCCATTAAACAGTAACTTCCCACCCACCACCCAGGCTCCTGGCAGCCCCCATTCTACTTTCTGTCTCTGTGAGTTTGCCTACTCCAGATACCTCGCGTTAAGTGGAAGCATACGGTATCTGTCTCTTCGTGTCTGCCTTATTTCACGCAGCATTATGTCCTCAAGGTTCATCCTGTTACAGGATGGGTCAGAACTTTCTTTTTAAGGCTGAATATGTTGCCTCTCTTTTATTTTTCTCTCTCTCTCTCATCCTTCTAACATCTGTATGACCAGTTTGCTCTATTAAATCCCTGTTTGAAATACCTAGTATGGTCTCTGTTTTTCTGATTAAATCTTGACAGATACTAAATGTACACAACAATTTATTTAGTGTATTCGATGTGTATATTTTTATGAGTAAATTAATAAGAAAAATACATTTTTTACTCTGTGATCCTCAGTTTTGACAAGTTAAACATTCCTTAACATACTCGTAAGAAGAAAACAATGTATTCAAGGAGGAAATGTTCATTTAATATTTTCAAGAAATGAATTCATTATAACAAGTTTTAGTTAATCAGTTCATTTGGTGAATTCAGATCATGGATAGTGGGCAAATCGATCTTTTAGTAACATAGCTTTTGGCAAATTAATGTTTGGTAAATTGGCCCCACTATTCTCTTTCACCCCAGCCTGGCTCAAAAGTCATTTCTTTTGTTGTTGTTCTTTTTTTTTTTTTTTTTTTTTGAGATGGAGTCTTGCTTTGTCACCCAGGCTGGAGTGCAGTGGCACAATCTCGGCTCACTGCAACCTCCGCCTCCCAGATTCAAGTGATTCTCCTGCCTCAGCCTTCCAACTAGCTGGAACTACAGGCACATGCCGCCACGCCCAGCTTATTTTTTATACTTTAGTAGAGACGGGGTTTCACCATGTTGCCCAGGCTGGTCTCGAACTTCTGAGCTCAGGCAATCTGCCCACCTCGGCCTCTCAGAGTGCTAGGATTACAGGCGTGAGCCACCGCGCCTGGCCCCAGCCTGAATTTGAATTGCATGTATATTCTCTATTTCCAAATCTCTGGATTTGGAAAGTGGACTTAACATCATTTTCTGCCTCAGTTCACTCATTGGGAAATGGAGAAACGCCTCCTTGGTATGGTTGCTGAGAGAATTGAGTGTGGACAGGAATGCAGAAGGCCTGGGAACCACGGGCAGACGCCCTGTGCTGTGCTGAGCCAGCAGAAGGCCTGCCTGGCCCTTGTACCTTACATCTCCATTCCCTTAAGAAAAGGAGAGTTTCGCAATTTCTAAAAATTAGCATCTACGGTGTCTACTAAGTTATTTTATCTCAGAACAAAAATGTAACAGAAAGGTTGATAGTGTACACAGTAAAATAATAAATGGAATTTGTGGTGACTGATTTATACTGTGATTATCTTAAAACCTAAGAACATTATATTTTAAAAGTTTTGCTCTTTTATCTGAAAATGCAAAATGTGTTTTTTATTATATATTTTAAGGATTCATCATCCCTGAATTATGCTACAGGAAAGACAATTGCCACCCCACAAAATCAGTATATGGAAAGTCTTATTACTGGGTTTTTTTCATAATTCAGACTATCAATAGTTTGTATTCTGAGCAGCTTATGTGTGGTTTTCATATTGTATTTTGAATGGCCTTTTTGGTTATTTAAAAATGTGTCTCAGCCGGGCGCGGTGGCTCACGCCTGTATTCCCAACACTTCGGGAGGCTGAGACGGGCGGATCACAAGGTCAGGAGATCAAGACCATCCTGGCTAACATGGTGAAACCCCGTCTCTACTAAAAATAAAAAAAAAATTAGCCAGGCGTGGTGGCGGGCGCCTGTAGTCCCAGCTACTCAGGAGGCTGAGGCAGGAAAATGGCGTGAACCCGGGAGACAGAGTTTGCAGTGAGCCGAGATGGCGCCACTGCACTCCAGCCTGGGCGATAGAGCGAGACTCCGTCTCAAAAAAAATAAATAAAAATAAAAATGTGTCTCTCTGGCCAGGCGCAGTGGTTCACGCCTGTAATCCCAGCACTTTGGGAGGCTGAGGCAGGCAGATCACTTGAGCCCAGGAGTTTGAGACCAGCCTGGCCAACATGGTGAAACCCCGTCTCCACTGAAAATACAAAAATTAGCTGGATGTGGTGCCAGGCACCTGTAATCCCAGCTACTCAGGAGGCTGAAGCTGGTGAATTGGTTGAACCCTGGGAATTGGAGGTTGCAGTGAGCTGAGATGGCGCCACTGCATTCCAGCCTGGGCAGCAGAGCAAGACTCCGTCTCAAAACTAAACAAATAAATAAATAAATAAATAAATAAGCCTCTCTCTGGAGAAAACTGAGAACCTTGAGGGGGCAGCAGAGGAGCATCACTCACTGCTTTAAAAAGTTAGAGAACGACGGCTTCTGGAGCTTCACCATCTGAGGGAAAAATGCTTATGTGGAAGCATTTCTAAAGAATATACCAATTAGATGAGAAATGCGTCAAAGCTGAGGACTTCTCTCCAGGTGTACGGCGCGGCTGCCGTTTCAGCTGCTGGTCAGGGCCCTGCCTTCATCCTTCCATGCTCAACTGAATTCAGAGGGCAGACAGGTGAGAATGAAGCTCATCATGAACAATAGAACCCTAGGGGCAAGAAAGGTACAAATGATTCTCTAACAGAGCCATCCTGGGTTAATTATTAGTGTGTCTCCCACGAAGCCCGTCCTGGGTTAATCATTAGTGCGTTTGTACTGTCTCTTCTGATCCCCCTCCCTTGTTGGGGAAAATAATCTCACTAACAACATAAAATTGGTAAGGCTTGAGGTCTGAGCTATTATTTAATTAAAGTTATTTTGAAATTTTTGTTGTTGTTTTTTGAAACAGGGTCTCACTGTCACCCAGGCTGGAGTGTGGTGGCACGACCTCCGCTCACTGCAATGTCTATAAGCCCGGGCTCAAACGGTTCCCCCACCTCAGCTTCCCGAGTAGCTGAGACTACAGGCATGGCCACATCCCCCGGCTAATTTTTTTTTGTTTTTTGTAGAGACAGGGGTCTCAGTATGTTGCTCAGGCTAATCTTGAACTCCTGGGCTCAAGCAATACACCCGCCTCAGCCTCCCAAAGTGCTGGAATTATAGGCATGAGCCACCACACCTGGCCTGAAAGTATTTTTAATTGGGAGATACTTTAGAAACCTTTCTATACATTCAGTGCCAAATAAATGCAGTCATTAACGTGACAAATAATTAATAGCTATTTGATTATCTAGTGTTATTTTTTAAGTGCCTTTTTCTTTTTTCTTTTGAGACAGGGTCTCACTCTATCACCCAGGCTGGAGTGCAGTAGCGTGAACACAGCTCACTGCAGCCTCGACCTCCCAGGCCCAGGTAATCTTCCCACCTCAGCCTCCCAGATAGCTCAGACTACAGGTGCACCACCACGCCCTGCTCATTTTTTATGCTTTCTGTAGAGACAGCGTTTCTCACTATGTTACCTGGGCTGGTCTCGAACTCCTGGACTCAAGTGATCTACCTACTTTGGCCTCCCAAAGTGCTGGGATTGTGGCCGTGAGCCACCACACCCATACTTTTTTTTTTTAAGAGATAGGATCTCACTCTGTCACCCAAGTCTGGAGTGGTGCAATCATAGCTCACTGTAGCCTCAAACTCCTGGGTTCAAGCCATCCTTCCACCTCAGCCTCCCAGCAGCTAGGATTACAGGCATGTAGCGACACACCCAGATAATTTTTTCATTTTTTGTAGAGATGGAATCTCGCCGTGTTGCCCAGATTGGTCTCAAACTCCTGGCCTCAAGCAATGCTCCCACCTCAGCCCCCAAAGTGCTAGAATTATCGGCATGAGCCACGGCACCCAAACTTAAGGCAATATTGAGATTCCAGATTCCACATATTCCCACTAGAATTATGGCCTGCTACAATATGGTAAGCAAATGAGTAAGAATTTGGAGAAACCTTGAGAGTTTTAGGACCACAAATAATAACATAGTAGGATTAAGGGAAACATTGAGGATAAATATTAGAAAATATGAAAAAAAGAACTGTTACCCTAAAATACAGGTTAAGCTAGCTCTATGTACTTAACACATTTCTGAAGAAGAATGCATGTTCCATATGGTGAATACTTTTTATATTGTTATAAATGTGGCACATGCCCATGGAGAGAATGATAGCCTTTATGCATGATGAAACCCGTCATTTTGACATAACTCTGGACTTGCTCAATTATGTCTTTTGCCATTACTATCCATTTTAATGCATTTAGCTCTCCCACTCAAAGTGGGCAAAAAGAATGCTCAATTTATTGATTTCTCTGTATAACCAAAGGCAGACATGGGGGTGCGCACCTGTTACCTCAACTACTTGAGAGGCTGAGGCGAGAAGGTTGCTTGAACCCAGGAGTTCAAGGCTGCAGTGAGCTATGATTGTGCTATTGCACTTTAGCCTGGGCAACAGAGCAAGACTCTGTCTCTGGGGGAAAGAAAAAAAAACTTGTGTGTGCCAAAATATGTGGCCGTGTGGTGGTTTTCTTTAGAGCAAAAGGGCAGCCCCATGACTTCAAGACTTCAAAGGTAAGCACGGAAATTTCCCCTGTGTGGAGTGAGCATTTTCATTTCCATCACCCTGAAAAAGGCAGGTCCTAGATTCGGAACTGGGGACTGGCGAAGCAGGCTTTTGATGAGAAGGTTTGGGACCTAGTCATGTGGGTCTCGTCTCTGACTGGCCCAAGCCCACGCAAGAGCACTTTCCCACTGGAAGCTCAACCAGCCTTTGCCACATGGAGCCAGCCCAGATATCAGGGAGACTGTGTTTCTTTTGAGATGGAGTCTCGCTCTGTAACCAGGCTGGTGTGCAGTGGCGCGATCTCAGCTCACTGCAACCTCCGCCTCCCAAATTCAAGTGATTCTCCTGCCTCAGCCTCCTGAGTAGCTGGGACTACAGGTGCACACCACCACACCCCGCTAATTTTTTGTATTTTTAGTAGAGATGGGGTTTCACCATGTTGGCCAGGATGGTCTCGATCTCTTGACCTTGTGATCTGCCTGCCTCGGCCTCCCAAAGTGCTGGGATTGTAGGTATGAGCCACCGCACCTGGCCGAGATTCCGTCTCAAAGGGCCCCGGGATTGGTTCTGCTCACAGTAGCTGGTGGACTGATGTAGGTGAGCACTAGGATGTGCTTCCCTCCGTGATTTCCAAATTGTAAGTGTAGTTGTATCCAAGGCTGCAGTCTGGTCCCTGCTCAGCCACTTCTAGAACACCACCACAGAACAACCCCACTGCAGGGGTTGCTACCTGTGCCATAGTAGAAGGTGAGAAAAACAGGGAGTTACCACCCAACCGTGGACTCCGGAGTGACACTGCTTCGGCTGTGTGCAGACAACAGGGAGCTGAGGCCAGGCTGCTCTCTCCAGACTTGTTCTGCATTCAGGTTCTGCCCCCACAAAGTATGGACCTGACCTGCTGCTGCCTCTCACCCCACTCGCTTCCACTCTCAGTTCAGACCCAGTGTGAAGGCATCAGATTGGTAGAACTCAAGTTCCATCTGAAAACCTAGCTGTGGCCGGGCACAGTGGCTCACACCTGTCATCCCAGCACTTTAGGAGGCCGAGGGGGGTGGATCGTTTGAGGCCAGGAGTTCAAGACCAGCCTGGGCAACATAGCAAGACCCCATCTCTACTAAAAGTACAAAAATTAGCTGGGCATGGTGGCACATGCCTGTAATCCCAGCGACTTAGGAGGCTGAGGCAGGAGAATCACTTGAACCCAGGAGGTGGAGGTTGCAGTGAGCCGAGATTGTGCCACTGCACTCTAGCCTGGGCGACAGAGTGAGGCTCTGTCTCAAAAAAAAAGGCCTACATCTAGGCCTGAGGTTGTGCTATAGGCTGTTTATTTCTCCCCAAAATTCATGTTGAAACCTAATCTCAAACGTGATGGTATTGGAGGTGGGGCCTTCGGGAGGTGATTAGGTCACAAGGACAGAGCCCTCATAGATGCGATTCGTGCCCTTATAAAAGAGAGCTTGTAAGGGAGCTCCTTCACCCACCTGCCAGCAAGAAGACAGCTCTATGAAGCAGGAAGCAGCCCCTCTCCAAACACTGAGTCCACTGGTGCCTTGGTTTTGGACCTTTGGACCTCTCAGCGTCCAGAACTATGAGAACTAAATTTCTGTTGTTGATAAGTCACCCAATCTGTGGTAGTTTTTGGGGTTTTGTGTGTGTGTGTGTGTGTGTGTGTGTGTGTGTGTGTGTGTGTTTTGTTTGTTTGTTTTTTGTTTTTGAGCTTTGCTCTGTCTGTCGCCCAGGCTGGAGTGCAGTGGCGCATGTCAGCTCACTGCAACTTCTGCCTTGCATGTTCAAGCGATTCTCCCACCTCAGCCTCCCAAGTAGCTGGGATTACAGGCACCCACCACCATGCCCGGCTCGGCTAATTTTTGTATTTTAGTAGAGACGAGGTTTCACCGTGTTGCCCAGGCTGGTCTCGAACTTCTGACCTCAAGTGATCTGCCCGCCTTGGCGTCCCAAAGTGCTGGGATTGCAGGTGTGAGGCACCACACCCAGCCTATAGCAGTTTTGATACAGCAGCCAGAACAGACTAAGGCAGGTGGGGAGGGTGCTCCAGGTGGAAGGAAGTGCACAGGCAGAGGCCTGGCAGTGGGACCACGTGGTGCGCTCCAAGAGCTGAACTGGTGTCGGAGCTGGACAGAACAGTAACGTCAGGGCAGGCGTTTCTGTTTCCAGCTGGACAAAGAGAAGTCATGGGCAGGGAGATTCAAAAGACACAATGGTTTTTCTCCCTCTCATGATTAATTTGAGATAGATTCAGTAGCTGAGAAGCTGAGGCAAGCTTGGCATTTTAATACTTACAGAGTGAGTGAAAAATGACCTCCACGCAGAGGGGAAAGCTAACAAATTGAGGGATGATGGATAGCTTCTCTCTCTTCAAAGAGGGGAGCCCCTTGAAAGGTTTCTGACATGAAGGTGAGGTTCTAGAGCTGAGCTGTCCAACCCAGCAGCCACCAGCACATGTGGCCTTGAGCTTGAGCTTGAGACGTGGCTAGCACTTTGGATGGGATGTGCTGCAGGTGTGAAATATATACCTGACTGCAGGAGACAGAGCGTGGGAAAAAAAGGAATCTCAGTAATAATGGAATATATGGATTCCATGTTGAAATGATACTATTTTGGATATATTCAACAAAATATATTGTTAAAATTAATTTTACCCCTTTCTTCTTACTTTTTAAAGTGTGGCTACCAGAACATTTTTCTTTTAAGACAGAGTTTCTCTCTTGTTGCCCAGGCTGGAGTGCAATGGCGCGATCTTGGCTCACCACAACCTCCGCCTCCCAGGTTCAAGCCATTCTCCTTCCTCAGCCTCCCGAGTAGCTGGGATTACAGGCGCGCACCACCACGCCTGGCTAATTTTGATGCACAGCTATTTTTTGTTTTTGTTTTTGTGTTTTTTGTATTTTAGTAGAGACAGGGTTTCACCATGTTGGCCACAATGGTCTCAATCTCCTGACCTCATTATCTGCCTTCCTCGGCCTCCCAAAATGCTGGGATTACAGGCGTGAGCCACCGTGCCCGGCTACCAGAACATTTTTAATTACACACATGGCTAACATTATATTTCTTTTTTTTTTTTTTTTGAGATGGAATCTCACTCTGTTGCCCAGGCTGGAGTACAGTGGTGCAATCTCAGCTCACTGCAACCTCCACCTCCCAGGTTCAAGTGATCCTTCTGCCTCAGCCTCCCAAGTAGCTGGGATTACAAGCATGAGCCACCACACCCAGCTAATTTTTTTATTTTTAGTAGAGACAGGGTTCCACCCATGTTGGCCAGGCTGGTCTCGATATCCTGACTTCAAGTGATCCACCCACCTCGGCCTCCCAAACTGTTGGGATTACAGGCATGAGCCACCACACCAGGCCCTAACATTATATTTCTATTGGACAGTGCTATTTTTGAGTGCCTTATTCTACCTAAACAAAATTCAAAGGAATTTGTTTAAAGTGGTTACCTCTGAAACCCCAGAGCCTCATGCAATTATTTTTCCCTGTAAATTTCAGGTCTGCCAGCTCCCTAGCCCTGTCTTGCTTGAGACTAGATTTTTATGTTATAAACCATGCTTCCAATAATATATCCATCTTTGAAGAATGAATTTTGAAGTTACAGAGTTATGCTTTTGGTAAGAAAGAATACAATTTTAAAATTTTTTATGGGTCTTTAATATCTCGTGATGTGAATGCTGCTCACTCAGGGCTATCGACGCACAAAAAGCAGCTGCTCCACTGCTCCTGCAGCCACATCCCTGGAGCCCTAATGGGCAGTTCAAGCCTTGTCTGCCCACATTGCCCTGGCTCAGGGCCAGCTACAGTGGTCTCCAAGGGAGCAGGAAGGTGGATTCTTCAAGCAGCCATTGCCAAACAAGAATACCTGAGAAGTTGGCTGGGCGCGGTGGCTCATGCCTGTAATCCCAGTATTTTGGGAGGCTGAGGTCGGCAGATCACTTGAGCTCAGGAGTTCGAGACCAGCCTGGCCAACATGGTGAAACCTCGTCTCTACTAAAAATACAAAAAAAATTAGCTGGGTGTGGTGGTGGGCACCTGTAATCCCAGCTACTCCAAAGGCTGAGGCAGGAGAATCGCTCGAACCCGGGAGGCGGAGGCTGCAGTGGGCCAAAATTGTGACACTGCACTCCAGCCTGGGCAACAGAGCGAGACTCTGTCTCAAAACAAACAAACAAACAAACAAACAAAATCCCACAAACCTGAGAAGTCCCTCTAACTGAATTCCCTTCTTCCGGTCACTTCAGTGAAATTCTCACACACACCAGCATTTGACCACCTTCTTCTCTTGTCCTCTTTGTCCCAAAACCGTTGGTTTCTCTTGTCCTCTTTGTCCCAAAGCCCTGGGTTCCCTTCTTGCCCCCAGGAGCTCATCCTCATGGTTCGCCCCACGTTGGCAGCCCTAGACCACCTCTAGGGGTTTCTCACCCTCTCCTCCTTTCCGGCCCGTTGGCTGTACCTTATCCTCCTCATTGCTGCGCACACTTGCCCCTAGATGGGGCATTTTCCAATACAGGCAGCCTTCACCCAGCTGCTCGCGATGGTGACGCCTTACATATCAATAGGACAATATCAAAACCTGGGAACTGACATGGGTGCATTGCTATTAACTAGACCTTATTCAGTCTTCACCTTCTTAAAAAATAATCTTCATTCGTGTCTGTGTGTGTGTGTGTGTGTGTGTGTGTAGGCTATGCAATTTTGTACACGTATAGGTTGTGACTTAACTACAACCACAATCCATTCTGAACATTCCATCAGCACAGAGGAACTCCCTTGGGCCCCCTCTTTGTATTCACACTAGCCTCTCTACTCAGCCCCACCCTGGCAACTAATAATCTGTTTTTCATCTCTATAGTATTATCATTTGCCCAACCGTGGCTCACACCTGTAATCCCAGCACTTTGGGAGGCCAAGGTGGGTGGATCACTTGAGGTCAGGAGTTCGAGACCAGCCTGGCCAACATGGCAAAACCCCATCTCTACTAAAAATACAAAAATTAGGTGGCATGGTGGCGTGCGCCTGTAGTTGGGAGGTTGAGGTACGAGAATCGCTTAAACCCGGGAGGCAGAGGCTGCAGAGAGTCAAGGTCACACCACTGCACTCCAGCAGCCTGGGCGACAGAGAGAGACTCTATCCCCACCCCACCCCCACCCCCCAAAAAATCTATATAGTATTGTAATTTCAAGAATGTTATAGAAATGAAATCATACAGTAAGTAACCTTTTGAAATAGACTTTTTTCACGAAGCGTAATGTCCTCAAAGTCTATCCAGGTTGCTGCTGGTTCATTCCTCTAGTGTTCTGTGGTAGGGATATAACAGAGTTGGTTCAACCACTCATCACGGAAGGACATTTGAGTTGTTGGCTATAATGAGTAAGGCTGATGTGACCACCCGTGTACAGGATTTTGAGTAAACTCAAGTCTTTATTTCTCTAGAAAAAAACATGCTCAATAATGTGATGGCTGGGTTGCATGGGAAGTGCATGTTTCACTGTGTTAGGAACTATCAAACTGTTTCCAGAGCAGCTGAACTATTTTATGCTCCCAACAGCAAAGTATGAAACATCCAGTTTCTTGGCACCCTCGCCAGCATCTGGTGTCATCACTGGTTTTTGTTTTAGCAGTTCTAATAATTGTATAGTAATATTGTGGTTTTAACTTCATTGCCCAGGTGACTAATGATGTTGAACCTCTTTTCATATGCAAATTTGCCCTCTGTGTCTCCTGTTTGGTGAGATATCTGTTCATATCTTTTGCCCATTTTACATTTGAATTGCTAGTTTTTTGTTTTTGTTTTTGTGTTTTAGTGTCAGATTTTGAAAATTCTTTATATATTACAGATATAAAGTCGTTGTCAGATACATGATTTGCAAATACTTTCTCAGTTGGTAGCGTGTCTTTTCATCCTCTTACCAGGATCTTGTGCAACACAAGACAATACAGGCTCTGTATGCTGAAAAGCACAACAAACCGATGAAATAAATCAAAGATCTAAATAAATGGAGACATCTTCTGTGCTCATGGATTGGAAGACTCAATATAGTAATGATGCCAGTTTTTCTCAAATTGATCTACAGATTCAACACTTCTCAAATTGATCTACAGATTCAACACAGTTCCTATCAAAATCCCAGCAAGATTTTTTGTAGATACAGATATTCTAAAATTTATATAGAAAGGCAAAGGAAGTAGAATAGCTAAAATAATTTTGAAAAAGAAGAATTAAATGAGAAGAAATACTCCACCTGATATTAAGACTTACAATATAGCTATAGCAATCAACACAGCATGGCTGGGCGCGGTGGCTCACGCCTGTGATCCTGGCACTTTGGGAGGCCAAGGTGGGTGAATCACTTGAGGTAAGGAGTTGAAGACCAGCCTGGCCAACATGGTGAAACCCCAACTCTACTAAAAATACAAAAATTAGCCAGGCACGGTGGCACGTGCCTGTAATCCCAGCTACTCAGGAGGCTCAGGCAGGAGAATCGCTTGAACCCGGGGGACGGAGGTTGCAATGAGCCGAGATGGCGAGCCACTGTACTCCAGCCAGGGCAACAGAGCGAGACTCTCTTTCAAAAAAAAAAAAAAAAGACAGCATGGCAGCAGAAGAGGGACAGAATATAAATCAATGGAACAGAATGGAGAACCTAGAAACAGACCAGTGCAATAGGCCTAATGAATTTCTAGGAAAGGTGCAAATCAATTCAATAGAGGAAAGATAGTCATCTCACAAATGATGCTGGAAAATTGAACATCTGTAGGCACAAAGTGAAGTTTGACTCAAACCTCACAGTGGATTCAAAAATAAATTTTTTTTTTTTTTTTTTTTTTGAGACGGAGTCTCGCTCTGTCGCCCAGGCTGGAGTGCAGTGGCGCGATCTCGGCTCACTGCAAGCTCCGCCTCCCGGGTTCACGCCATTCTCCTGCCTCAGCCTCCCGAGTAGCTGGGACTACAGGCGCCCGCCACTACGCCCGGCTAATTTTTTGTATTTGTAGTAGAGACGGGGTTTCACCGTGTTAGCCAGGATGGTCTCGATCTCCTGACCTCATGATCCGCCCGCCTCGGCCTCCCAAAGTGCTGGGATTACAGGCGTGAGCCACCGCGCCCGGCCGGATTCAAAAATTAATTTTAAAATGCCATGGTCAGGCATGGTGGCTTTGACCAGCTACTGGGGATGCTCAGGCAGGAGGATCCCTTGAGTTCAGGAGTTCTAGGCCTGCCTACTAGACAACATAAGGACACCTTGTCTCAAAAAAAAAAGTCATGAATGTTAATGGAATACATAAAACACTTTTAGAAGAAGGCATGTGAAGGTGTGTTTAGGACTTAAGGCTAGGCAAAGAGCTCTTTGACATGACATCAAAAACACAGACCATAAAAGAAACATTTTTTAAATTGGATCTCATCAAAATGTTTATGCCCATCTTCTTTTGTTTGTTTTGATTTTTGAAATAGAGTCTCACTCTGTCGCCCAGGCTGGAGTGCATTGACCTGATCTCAGCTCACTGCAATCTCTGCCTCCAGGATTCAAGTGATTCTTGTGCCTCAGCCTCCTGAGTAGCTGGGATCACAGTGTACACCACCACACCCTGCTAATTATTGGTACCTTCTGTAGAGGCAGGGCTCACTATGTTACCCAGACTGGTCTCGAACTGCTGGGCTCAAGTGATCCACTCACTTTGGCCTCCCAAAGCACTGGGATTATAGGCGTTGGCCACCACACCTGGCCTTTGGCCTTTTATTTTATTTTAAAGATAGGATCTCATTCTGTCACCCCAAGCTGGAGTGCAGTGGTGCAATCATATCTCACTGCAGCCTCGAATTCCTAGGTTTAGGCCTTCCTTCCACCTTAACCTCCCAATAGCTACAGGCATGCAGCACCACACCCAGCTAATTATTTTATCTTTTGTAGAGATGCGGTTTCACCATGTTGGTTAGGCTGGTCTTAAACTCCAGCCCTCCAGTGATCTGCCCACTTCAGCCTCCCAAAGTACTGGGATTACAGGCATAAGCCATCGCTCCTGGCCCCCATTTTCTTTTGAGAAACCGTTCTTTTTCCTCTCTGAATATGGAAGCTGTCATTTCTTAAGTGATCCCATCTTTACAGGACATCAGACCCAAGTTGGGCCAATTGAAGTACCTATTCCCCTAGTCATGGGACTTGGTGCAAAGCATGAACACAAGATGCAAGTGTTAAAGGAAAAAGAAAAAACCTATTTGCATTTGTTAAAGCACAGAAAGGAAGACTTTATTCACGACCATCACGATAGGTGAGACCACAGCAATGGGATTTTGCTGTGGGAGAGAGAGAGTGAGCTCACCTCCAAACACAGCATGGGCAAGTAGGAAGTTACAGCCCAGGAGCAGGGGAGGAGTCAATGGATGGAAAATTACTAAAGAAAAATCAGGGTAAGAAGTAGATTCTGACTAAAGCCACCTAACAGAGTTCTTGCTGAGGACAGGCCAGGGCAATGAGACATCATCACCTGGCAGGAGGTAGAGGCTGAGGACCCTGACCAGATATCAAAGGTGATTAGATACTGGTGGTCAGGGCGTGGGCGGGGGTGGGTCTGGCTAAACTGACTTAGCAGGGTTCTTGCTAAAACTGGATTTTATAAGCAAGTGCAGAGATGGGCCTAGGAGAAGGTTCGGGAGGCTGACTAAAGTTTTGTCAAGCAGAGAATCTTTGCCACAAGCCAAGCCAATCAGAATGGCCCTGGGAGTGCTCTACCTGGAGCCTGGGGAAGCAAATTCCTTTCTTTTCTAACCACAGGCTGTAAAGACAGGAACCCAAGCGGTGTCAGTGGTCACATGAGACAGCAGGTCTGTGGTGGCAAAGAAGCTGGCAAGCCTAGGAGAGCAGCGTGACCGTCCTGCACACGTCAAGGGGCCTGCCCTGGTTTGCCCGCCCGCTCCCTGGGGCCAAGGGGAGGAACCTCCCAGCACACGTGTAGCCCAAGTGTGGTCCACTGTTCAGGAAGCTCCGCAGTAGCCGGCAAGAACCCCTTTTGTGTGTAGGCTTTTGGGATTGGGTTTCTGTCACTTGCAATGGGGGAATTCTGACTCCTTTGTGGGGCAAAGACAGTTTGGGGACCCAAGGCCATCTGGTTTCAAAGGCTGTGCCCTTCCCCACCACATGACAGGCTATCTCCCGCATGTATGCCCTCAACATAGAACTACATTTCTGAGAGGTTTTTTTGTTTTGTTTTGTTTTGTTTTGTTTTTTATCTGCGAAACTCCCTTTCAGGGAGGTCATCATTTGTTAGTCTGTCATGGTTTTCATGACCTTTTCAACTATAGCCAAGGCTCCTGTGAGTAAAGAATATTGGCCAGGCGTGGTGGTTCACGCCTCACCCATCGTGGCTCATGCCTGTAGGCTGAGTTGGAAGGACCACTTGAGTCCAGGAGTTTGAGACCAGCCTGGGCAACATAGTGAGACCCCATCTTTACCCACCCCCCAAAAAAGAATATTGAGGTTCAGCTAACAGTCGTTGATCATTTATAATGTGCCACAGATTATGCTTTTTCATATAATACTCAAAGGGATTCTGTGATGTCATAGTTTCTGCATTTCGCCAATGAGGAAACTGGGGCTCCATGAAAGTGAGGAACTGGCCCAAGGCCATTGGTAATTTCCACCTCACTGACACTCCAGTGTTCTCTGTGGGCACTGCCCTGAATGAGCTCCAAGACGTATATGCCTGTCCCTGGTGCCTTTCCCTTTTTTTTTTTTTTTTGAGATGGAGTTGCCCAGGCTGGAGCGCAGTGGCACCATCTCAGCTCACTGCAAACTCCCCTCCCGGGTTCAAGTATTTCTCCTGCCTCAGCCTCCCGAGTAGCTGGGACTACAGGCACACACCGCCACACCTAGCTAATTTGTTGTATTTTAGAGATGGGGTTTTGCCGTGTTGGCCAGGCTGGTCTTAAACTCATGACCTCAAGTGATCCATCTGCCTCGGCCTCCCAAAGTGCTGGGATTACAGGCATGAGCCACAGCATCTGGCCACCTTTTTTTTTTTAATTGAAAAAAAAAAACAAAACTATTGGAAACTTCCTATATGGCTGATGAAAATGCAAAATTATTCAGCCACTGTTTGACTCAAAAAAGTTAAACATAGAATTACTATATGACCCAGCAATTCCACCCCTCAGTCTACACCCAAAAGAATTGAAAGCAGGGACTCAAACCAGCACATGTGCACCCATGTTCATAGCCACAGCCAAGTGTCCATCAGTGCAAGAGTGGATGAACCAATTGTAGTATATACACGCGATGGAGTAGTATTCAGCCATGGAAAGGGGCAAAGTACTGATACAGGTTACTATTAGAGGAACCTTGAAAATATTATGCTGAATTAAAGAAGCCAGATACAGAAGGCTGCACACTGTGTGATTCCATTTATATGAAATACTCAGAATCAGTAAATTCACAGGGACAGGATACATGGTGTTTGCCATGGGCTGGCAGAGGTGGGGGTGGGGTGGGAGGGAATAGAGAGAAACCGCTTAATGGAAACTGGAAACAGCTTTATTTTGGAGCGATGGAAATGTTTCGGATCTAGATAGAGGCGTGGTTGCACAGCATTGAAAATACAGCAAATGCCACTAAATTGTTCACTTTAAAATGTTTAACTTTATGGTATGTGAGTTTTGCCTGCACAATATTTTTAAATTTTTATATATGCATACATATTATTACACCAAAATGCATAAATATCATCATAGAATATCTATTATTTTTGGTTTGGTTTTGTGTTTTTTTGGTACAGGCTTTCCCTTTTTTTTGTTTTGTGAGATGGAGTTTTGCTCTTGTTGCCTGGGCTGGAGTGCCCTGACACGATCTCGGCTCATTGCAACCTCCCCCTCCTGGGTTCAAGCAATTCTCCTGCCTCAGCCTCCTGAGTAGCTGGGATCACAGGCGTGTACCACCGTGGCCGGCTAATTTTTGTATTTTTAATAGAGATGGGTTTTCACCATATTGGCCAGGCTGGTCTTGAACTCCTGACCTCAACTGATCCGCCCACCTCGGCCTCCCAAAGTGCTGGGATTACAGGTGTGAGCCACCGCACAGCCCAGCCTTTCTTTTCTTATGTAGCTTGGCTTCTCCCCTGTCCCTTCCTCCCTGTATCCTCACATCAGCTGTCCCCACCACAAGTAACACATGTCCATACACTGTTTCTCTGTGCTCTTATAATCACATACAGACATTGTATATATACGTAGACGAATACAAGAGGTTTTAGTCATTTCATAAAGTGGGATCATACCATACATACCTTCTACATTTTGTCTTTTTCACTCAGAAATTACTGCTGAAATATTGACTCAAGTACTGGTATAACTCTAATTTGCTCTTTTTTTTTTTTTTTTTTTTTTTTTTAGACAGAGTTTTTCACTCTTTGTTACCCAGGCTGGAGTGCAATGGCCAATGGCGCAATCTCGGCTCACTGCAACCTCCGCCTCGTGGGTTCAAGCGATTCTCCTGCCGCAGCTTCCCGAGTAGCTGAGATTACAGGCACCCGCTACCACACCCAGCTAATTTTTGTATTTTTAGTAGCAATGGGGTTTCACCATGTTGGCCAGGCTGGTCTCGAACTCCTGACCTCAGGTGATCCTGCCTGCCTCGACATCCCAAAGTGCTGGGATTACAGGCGTGAGCCACTGTGCCCAGCCTAATTTGTTCTTTTTAATGGCTGTATATTGCCTTACTAACAAACATTGAAGACCCCCATCCAATCGACAGTGTTTACTGTTAGTCCTTATTTTATTCTCCCCTCACAGCTCCCTAAAAGTCCTCTAATCTCGCCCATCTACAAAAGGGCTCTGAAAACCCAAGATCAATGAGTCATGTACTTGTAAACTGGTTTTCCGATCGTGCAATGGACATGCCCATGGTGTTCCATTCCGGCCCGCCAGGGACTGGTGACATGCATTTTTTATTTATTTATATTTTGAGACCGAGTCTCACTCTGTCGCCCAGGCTGGAGTGCAGTGGTGTGATCTCGGCTCACTGCAGCCTCCACCTCCGGGGTTCAAGTGACTCTCCTGCCTCCGCTTCCCGAGTAGTTGGGATTTCAGGCACCCACCACCACGTCCGGCTAATTTTTGTATTTTTAGTAGAGGTGGGGTTTCATCATGTTGACCAGGCTGGTTTCAAACTCCTGACCTCAGGTGATCTGCCCGTCTCGGCCTCCCAAAGTGCTAGGATTACAGGCGTGAGCCACTGCGCCCGGCCAACATACATTTTTAAGATGGCCAAGGTCAAGGTACAGTCTGCGTCAGGAGCAAAGGTCACTTGTCTACACGGGGACTGAACCCAGGGCTTCCGCCTCATTACTGCCATGCTTGAGCTAAGGAGACAGTCGGTGGCTGAAAATAATTGTGGTGCAGACAGCCTCTCTCTTCCCATGGGTCTGTAATAATCAAAACAATCTTTTGAAGCAAATAGAACAAACTCAGATTCTTTTTCCGTGTTGGAATGGAGTTATTTTCGTCAGCTTCCTCCAATATAAGACTTACTAATAAGGATTGCTTAGGTTAGTCGCACAGGTGGTTTAGGGAAAAAAAAAAAAACGAAGAAAGAATCCCTGATTTTGTCATTTGACTTGCTGTCAGTGGAAGCCGTTTTCACTTCCCTTCTGCAGGCGCAGAGAACGCAGGCTGGCATACTTTCTTCTGAGATTTTCAGAGCACATGCAGCACAGTGGGCTGCTTTCATCCCAGGAAGGTGCCAGCCGTGGTGATTGCTCTGAGGAATGAATGAGTGGTCTTCGCTAATGAAGATGGAGCCATGTGCCAGGTAAGTCTGTCATCCTCAAGGGGGAGATAAAAATGAGATGTGGCCTCAGGCTGAGCCTTGCAAAGTGACCTCGGCCTCAGATGTTCCACAGGCTTTCTCTCAATAGATGGAAAACGTGATGTTGCTATTTATCAAAGGCAGGAAAGTAACGACAATGTTTCAGCAGGAGAACTTCCAGATTTTCTGGGGTTTTCAAGTCATGCAATTCAAGGGGGATTTTTTTTAAATAAAATACAAAAATATATTGCCTTTGCAAATTTTACAAAAACTGATGACAGGGGAACACATTGGCAGGGGCCTTGGAAAGAACTCCTGCTGGGAGGGACCCCTGACGCTTATGTTCCACAGGCTTTAGTGTAAATGCACCCTGACTTTTGAGGACCTACTATGTGCTAAATATTTTCACGTGTTCTTTCATTAAACTCTCCCAACAATCTTGTGATGGTATTAGCACCTCCATGTTTTCCGGGTGTTGAGAAAATTACTCGCTTTTTTTTTTTCACTTTCTCTTCTTCTTTATACTTTATGTGTTATTTGAATTTTCTTTCTTTTTTTTTTTTTGTTTTTTAATAGACACTGGGTCTTAGTATGTTGCCCACACTGGTCTCAAACTCCTGGACTCAAGCCGCAGCCTCCTGGACCCAGCTCAGCCTCCCAAAGTGCTGGGATTACAGGTGTGAGCCACTGTGCCTGGCAATATATCTGTTGTTTGTTTGTTTGTTTGTTTGTTGTTGTTTTTTGAGATAGGGTCTCACTTTGTCACCCAGGCTGGAGTAGCTTGGCACGATCCCGGTTTACTGCAGCCTCAACTTTCCCAGGCTTAGGTGATTCTCCTGCCTCAGCCTCACGAGTAGCTGGGACTACAGGCCTGCGCCACCACGCCTGGCTAATTTTTGTGTTTTTAGTAGAGATGGGGTTTCACCATGTTGGCCAAGCTGGTCTCTACTCCTGACCTCAAGTGATCCACCTGCCTTGGCCTCCCACAGTGCTGGGATTACAGGTGTGAGCCATTGTGCCCTGCCTGCATTTAGCTTTTTTTTTTTTTTTTTTTTTTTTTAGATGGAGTCCTGCTCTGTCACCCAGGCAGGAGTCCAGTGGCACAATCTCAGCTCACCACAATCTCCACCTCCTAGATTCAAGCAATTCTCCTGCCTCAGCCTCCTGAGTAGCTCGGACTACAGGCGTCTGCCACCACACCCAACTAATTTTTTGTATTTTTAGTAGAGATGGAGTTTCACCGTGTTGGCCAGGTTGGTGTCAGACTCCTGACCTCAAGTGATCCACCCACCTTGCCCTCCCAAAGTGTTGGGACCCCACCCAGCTGCATTTAACTTTTTATTATAGAAAATTTCAAAGACTCCCCAAAATAGAGAATTCAAAGACTCCCCCAAATAGAGAAAAGAGGCTAATGAACCCCTGTGTAACTGCCACCCAGATTCCACAATTATCAACATTCTGCCACTTTGTTTTATTTTCCCGTCACTTTTTCTTGAGTATTCAAAAGCAAATCCCAGACATGAAACTTTTACTTGTAATACTTTAGTACATCGCACCATTAAAGAGTCATTCTTGAGAGGTTGCTTTTCTTCTTTGAGGATAAATATTTACCAATTAGTGGCAAAAGGTGATCACCAAAAACAAACACAAGATACAAAGTGAAGCCTTGACATACAGACAGATCAAATCTGTGTTGGACTGTGACTCTGGCAGGATGTTTATTTAAGCATCAAATGCCGTCTTCCGTGACTACTGCATGCTGGCACTGTGCCAGGTCCTGGGAGCCAGAAGACAGACAAGTCACTGCCCATGTCGAGTGGACAGCATGGAGGACTTGGTAGAGAAGGACCATGAAGACATGAGCAGCTGCCATAGAGCAACTAAAGACACGCACGATGGACAGAAAAAGCCTGTAAGCCTGTAAGGTCACACAGCTAGCAGCAGATGAGTGGGGCAAGGCTAGGAAACACCATCCCACACCCCATTACCAATTTGGTGCTTGGGAATCAGAGAGGGCATTGGCACCTGGAAGGCAAAGGATTTCCCTCTGCTCAGGGCTGTGCATGATCCAGAATGATGTAATCCAAGAGTAGACCCAGATCCAAAATGGAGCTTTCACGTAAATTAGGCTCGAGAGGATTGCTAATGTGGATGTTGTTGTTGTTACAGAGTCTCGCTCTGTCACCCTGGCTGGAGTGCAGTGGCGCAATCTCAGCTTACGGCAACCTCCACCTCCCGGGTTCAAGCGATTCTCCCGCCTCAGCCTCCCTAGTAGCTGGGATTACAGGTGCATGCACCACCACGCCTGGCTAATTTTTGTGTTTTTTAGTAGAGATAGGGTTTCGCTATATTGGCCATGCTGGTCTTGAACTCCTGGCCTCAGGTGATCCGCCCACCTCGACCTCCCAAAGTGTTGGGATTACAGGCATGAGCCACCAACCCCAGCCAATTTTCGTTTGTTTGTTTTGTTTTTTGATTTCTTTCTTTCTTTCTTTCTTTTTTTTTTTTTGAGACAGAGTCTCACTCTGTCGCCCAGGCTGGAGTGCAGTGGTGCCATCTCAGGTCACTGCAACCCCCGCCTCCCAGGTTCAAGTGATTCTCACACCTCAGCCTCCTGAGTAGCTGGGATTACAGGCATGTGCCACCATGCCCAGCTAATTTTTGTATTTTTAGTAGAGTCGGGGTTTTGCTAGATTGCCCAGGTTGGTCTCAAACTCCCGGGCTTAAGCAGTCCACCCGCCTCTGCCTCCCAAAGTATTGGGATTACAGGCGTGAGCCACTGTGCCTGGCCTGTTCTTTAAAAAATACACACATTCAGCCCAGTGTGGTGGCTCATGCCTATAATCCCAGTACTTTGGAAGGCGAATGTGGGTGGATTACCTGAAATCAGGAATTCAAGACTAGCCTGGCCAATGATGGCCAACATGGTGAAACCCCGTCTCTACTAAAAATATGAAAATCAGCCAGGTGTGGTGGTGCACACCTGTAATCCCAGCTACTTGGGAGGCTGAGTCAGGAGAATTGCTCGAACCCAGGAGGCGAAGTTTACAGTGAACCAAGATTGCGCCACTGCACTCCAGCCTGGACAACAGAGGCTCTGTCTCAAAAAAAAAAAAAAAATACACACATTCCAAGCACTGCACCATACACATGCAAAAATATACTATGTCATTCATTATATAGGATTTTAAGCAATTGCCACAGCCGGGCCAGGCACGGTGGCTCACGCCTGTAATCTTAGCACTTTGGGAGGCCGAGGTGGGCAGATCACCTGAGGCTGGGAGTTCGAGACCAGCCTGACCAACATGTAGAAACCCCATATCTACTAAAAAATACAAAAATTTGCCAGATGTGGTGGCACATGCCTGTAATCCCAGCTACTTGGGAGGCTGGGGCAGGAGAATCACTTGAACTCGGGAGGCGGAGGTTACAGTGAACCGAGATCACGCCATTGCACTCCAGCCTGGGCAACAAGAGCGAAACTCCGTCTCAAAAAAAAAACAAGAAAGAAAGGAAGAAAGAAATTGCCACAGCCACCCCAACACCCCAACCTTCAGCAACCACCACCCTAATCAGTCAGCAGCCATCAACATCGAGGCAAGACCTTCCACCAGAAAAAGAAAATTATGACTTGCTAAAAGCTCAGATGGTCATTAGCATTTTTTAGCCATAAAGTATTTTTAATTAACTCATTTCCTGTTTAGAAAAAAAAAATTGCAGCTCTCCGTCAGTGCTCATTTAATTTGACATAAACATACTCTTTAAGGCTAAAGCAAATCTGACTGATTTTCAACATGAAAATAAAATATAAAAACTATTCTTGGATTTATTTTTAAACAGAACTTGTCTCCAATCCTAATGTAACAGAAATGTATATAAAATATAAAATAAAATATACAAAATATTTTTGGATTTATTTTGGATCCACCTGCCTCGGCCTCCCGAAGTGCTGGGATTACAGGTGTGACCCACTGCACCTGGCCGTATTTTCTTCTTTTTTGCATGAAATTTAGCATTCTACACGTAATCTTTTACTCTTTGATTTTTCTACTTGACAATATGTCCTGGAAGTTACTCCCTACCAGTTCATAGCTTCCTCTCTCTTTTTCACAGCTGTATAGTACTCCTTATGTAACCTACTATACTCAACTGCTCCCCTATGGATGGGCACTTAGGTTGTTTCTGATGCTTTGCAATTACAAACAATGCTACAGTGAATAATCGTGTGCGTATGTATTTTCACATTGTTGGAGGTATATCTGCAGTGTGGGTTCCTAGGAGTGGAGTTGCTGGATTGCTGGGTCAAAAAAGTAGAAGTGCATATGTAGTTTTGTCAGATACTGTCAGGTTCCTCTCCAGAAGGAGAATGCCTGAGTGCAGGCCCACCAGCAATATGTAAGAGTCCCTGTTTCTCCACAACCTTGATAATAGAATATGTTGCTACATTTTAAAATTTTTATCACTTGGATAGCTAAGAAGTAATATGTCAGTGTTATTTTAATTTGAGTGAATTTGGACATTTTTTCATATGTTTCAGGGAAAATTTTATATCCCTTTTTTGTGGATTGTCTGCATGTATCTTTTCCACTTCTTTCTGTTGTGTTTTCAGTCCTTTGTCCCTTAATTTTTAAGTTGTTTTTAGTATAATATATTGGGATATTGGCCTTTTCTGTAATATGTTACAAATATTTTCTCCCAGTTGGTCAGCAGTATTTTTTTTTTTTTTTTTGCTTGTTTTTTGTTTTGTTTCATTTTGCTTTTTTTGAGATAGGGTCTCACTCCATCACCTAGGTTGAAGTACAATGGTGAGAACATGGCTTACTGCAGCCTCTACCTCCTGGGCTCAAGTGATCCTCCCACCTCAGCCTGCCTCCCAAGTAGCTGGGACCATAGGCGCATGCCACCACGCCTGGTTAATTTTTGTATTTTTCATAGAGACAGAGCCTCACCATGTTGCCCAGGCTAGGCTTGAACTCCTGGGCTCAAGCAACCCTCCTGCCTTGACCTCCCAAAGTGCTGGGATTACAGGTGTGAGCCATGGTGCCCAGCCTTGTCAGTTGTCTTTTGACTTTGTTTGTGTTTTGTTATTATTGTTATTCCATTTTTTTAATATAGCCAAGTTCATTAATCTTTACTTATTGCCTCTGGATTTGGGGTCATAATTAGAAAGTCCTTCGTTATACCAAACTTAAAGAGAAATTCACTTCATTTTTTTCACCTAGACTTTGTATGTTTTCATATTTTACATTTAGAGTCTTGATCCATTTGGAGTTTGTGTTTGTGTATGGAGTGAAATGCAAGTTTAATTTTTTCTTCCTCCAAATGGTTATGTAATAGTCCCAGCACCATTTATTAAAAAGTCCATTCTTCCCCCAGTGATTTGAGATGCCACCTTTGTCGTATACTAAATTTCCCTGTGTATTTGAGACTAATTCTGGACTTTTCATTCTATTCCAATTGTCTACTTACCTATTTATGTGTCAGCACCACACTGTTTTAATTACAGTGGCTTTAGCCTATACTTTAATGTCTGATAGAGTGAATCTACCCTTTATTTATCACTGTTTCCCTGCTATTCTTGCATGTTTGTTTTCCGTAGAACCCGAATCACATCGTTCAACTCTATAAAATAGCTTGTTGGTATTCTTATTGGGTGGGCTTGCATTGAATTTGTAAATTAACTTAGGCAGAACTGACATTTTAAAAATGTTGAGTCATCCTATCCAAGCACAGGGGATGTCTTTCTTTTTGTTCATCTATTTTCGTGTCTTTCAGGAGTTTTTTAAGAATTTTGTCATATAAGCCGTGCACATATCTGTTCTGCTCTCCTCCTGTTTACCCCATTGGTGAAGAAGGGATTCCCTGCCTTAAACAGCCTGTGATCACCAAACGTGTCACCCTGACACTGGACAGATGAGCAGGGGAGCAGCTCATTAGTCACATATGCTCACAGCCCAGGGGAAGAGGACACTGCCTGCCATGCAGAGCCACCCGGAGCTGCCCGCAGGAACAGCGAACCAGCAGGGACTGTGGGAGGCAGACTTCACAGTAACAAAGGGTGGAGGTGCCCCCTGGTTCCCATGGGAGGATGTGATCGGCTTGTTTGGGTGAAGATGGGGAGCCTTTGCAAGATAAAGGGAACTCATGGTGGAGCCTTTGAGGCCCCTGAGAACCAAAGATCTCAAGGCAGTGTGGAATCGCAGTCCTACATGCAATGTCTTTTTTTTTTTTTTTTTTTTTTTTTTGAGACAGAGTCTCGCTCTGTCGCCCAGGCTGGAGTGCAGTGGCGCGATCTTGGCTCACTGAAAGCTCCACCTCCCGGGTTCACGCTATTCTCCTGCCTCAGCCTCCCAAGTAGCTGGGACTACAGGCGCCTGCCACCACGCCCAGCTAATTTTTTGTATTTTTAGTAGAGACGGAGTTTCACCGTTTTAGCCAGGATGGTCTCGATCTCCTGACCTCGTGATTTGCCCGCCTCGGCCTCCCAAAGTGCTGGGATTACAGGAGTGAGCCACTGCGCCCGGCCCCTACATGCAATGTCTTGTTAAATTTATTCCTAAGTTGTTTCTCTTATTTGCAGCTTTATAAATGGGGTTGTTTTTACTGTTATGTTCCGTAGCTAAACAATGTTTTTAAAAGGTTAACACGGGCTACAGAGTAAAGCAGCTACCATTCAGAGACACAAAGACAATAAAACCTCAATTTTACAACTGAAAAATCAGAGAAGATATTTACAGAGCAATTAGGACCAAGCATTACCATCCCAGGTCAGCTCCCTTGTCAAGCTGTTCTGCTTTGAAAGTAGAAGAGCAACCTTTATAAATCCTCAGGAACAGAAAGGGCTACCATTAAAAATCATTCATTTCAAGGATCATTAAAAATGGACAATTTAATTTGCATTTCAAAAGTAGACTCAGAAAAGATAAATTTGTCAGGATGACTAGTGGGAAAAGTTTCATGGTGCAAATTATCTTTCGTCTTCATGGAATATATGGTATATAGCAACAAGGTATAAAAAGGGAACTAAAGAGATATAAAAGCCTTAATTATTTGACAAAGATCAGGGATAAGATGATGAAACCAACTATCCCTCAAAAGGAACTTCAACCATTTTTTTAAATCCATAAATAGCAACACGAATGTCTCACTCATTTATTTATTCTGCAACCATTTATTGAGTGCCTTCTAGCAGCCGGTGTTCTTTCTAGGAGCTGGCACTCAGAGGTCAAGTTTACAATCTTGGTCCTCAGGTTGCTCACAGGACTTACAGGGAAGATGAACCAGCAAACAGATGTTACAGGTAACAGGTGCCACAGCTAACAGGTGCGATAGGGCTCTACTTGGGCTATAGGAAGAGGTGAGGAACGGATCAGGAAGAAAAGATTTCCCAGTGGGGTGGAGGGGATTTTAACCAAAATTTCAAGGGTAAAGAGGAGGTATCCAGGCAATGAAAGAGGAGAAGGGAATTTCTGGCAGAGGGAGGAGGGTCAGCATTCAGGGACATGGGAAGTGAGGCGGGTGGCTGCGGCTTAGTACAGAAGGAGGCTGTGGCTGGGCAGGTGGGCAGGGTTTGCATAAGAAGGATCTTGCATTTCATGGGAAGACTTTGGATCCAATTCTGAAGGCAGTGAGGAGCATGGAAGGATTCTCAGCAGGGGGAGATAGGGTCAAATTTGGAGTTTTGGAAAAGTCCTCCAGCTTCACTGAGAGGGGCAGGCTGTAGGCTGGGAGGGCAAACAGGAAGATGATGTAGCAGTCTAGAAGAAAAGATCTCAGGGCCTGGAGGAAGAGGGGCTGGAGACCAGACAATGGGACAGAGATGGGTTGTTTTACGGAAAGAGATGCAACAAGACATGGTCATTGGCTAGACTTGAAAGGTGGGGCCCGATAGGGGTGGAGGAAGATTGGCCCAAAGTTTTTTTTACCTGGATGGCTGAGGTTTTAGGGAGCAAAGAAGATGATTAAGTTATATTTGTCATGTGCTGAATTTATTAAACTTGGAAGTGCTAAAAAGTTCACTAGACCAGTGGATCTCAAACTTGGATGTGCTTCTTGATCTCACCTGAAAGATAGGAGTGGCTATACCTAATTTATAACATCTGAAATGTAATACAGATAAAATGAGGTGAAGAAGAATAAACTCGAATAATTGCTTTGGGAGAAATG
Organism: Homo sapiens; assembly: GCF_000001405.40. Lineage (NCBI taxonomy): Eukaryota > Metazoa > Chordata > Mammalia > Primates > Hominidae > Homo > Homo sapiens. Next base: position 98,056,658 of record NC_000013.11, read on the forward strand.
CTTCCATAAATGCTTGGGGTGGGAGGTGAGACTAGAAGAAGCAGGTAAGGAACTGTGGGGCGCAGGCTTTGCCAGGGGACGCCCGCCTGGAAAGGGGAGTGCGATGGTGTGGTGCTGTGGGCAGGGCCTGGAGGCCAGCCTCTCATTCTCCTGATCATCAGGGAGGATGCATGGATCCCTAGTGGTCTTGTTGGGTGGTGGGGAGAGGGGGGACATGCGTGTGCATGTGCATGATTGTGTGTGTGCATGTGTGTGTACATAAGTGTGTGCACGTGTGTGTGCATGTGTGTATGCGTGTGGTTTTGTGTGCGTGTGTGCATGAGTGCATAAGTGTGCATAAATGTGTGCACGAATGTGTATGCGTGTGTGCATGAAGGTGTGCATGTGTGTGTGCAGGAATATGTGTATGCATGGGCGTGTGTGCATAAGTGTGTGTGCATGAGTGTGTGCGCATGAGTGTGTTTATGCATGTGCATGTGTGTATATGCATGTGTGCATGTGTGTGTGCATGAGTGTATGTATGTGTGCATGTGTGTGTGTTTGAGGCAAAGCTGAGTTCTGCATCCAGGCAGTGCACAGCCAAACACGGATCCAGCAACAGGGACAAAGGGCCCGGTGACATCTGAGTTCCATAAAGAACATCTCAACAAAGCAAAACATCCTCAATGATGAAGGATAGCTCCATGTCACAGTTACACAGGAACCAAATTCTCTGAAAAGGAAGAGTCCCCGAGTGGCTTTAAAACCCAAACCCAAGGATATGATGGATCCAAAGACAAGTTTGAAAAAAAAAAAGGCAGACTAAAATCACCCTGAGGAAATGTAAGAAATAGTTGTTTTTACAATGGAATTTTTCTTTGTATATATTTAGGCAGGACCAGCGCAGGTTCTTACATGCATATATCGCATCGTGGAGAAGTCTGGGCTTTTAGTGTCCCCATCGCCCGAACAGTGAACACTGCACACAATGGGCAGTTTTTGAACCCTCACCTCCCTCCCACCTTCTGGAGTCTCCAATGTCTCTTATTTTACTCTGTGTGTCCATGTGTACCCCATTGTTTAGCTCCCACTTGTAAGTGCGGTATTTGACTTTCCTAAGCAGGAGGTTTAATCATGATCTCGGACACAACAGACTTTACACAAAAGCGTGGGGAGCTATCAACAATGACACATCAGAATGATCAAAGGCACAGCAAGTAATGAAAACACAGCATTATGTGCCACACATTTGGTAGCAAAAAAAAAAAATTGATGAAAAGACGACAGATATCTGAGAAGAAATAGAATGAAACTCTACTTGGATTCCTTAGTACCCTGCTTTCAGAATATAGCAAATCAAATAAAAGAATGGTCAAAAATTACAGAGCTGAACACCACCATTAATAAGGTAGAATTAACAACAGCTACAGAGAATTCCATTTAAAAAATTAGAGAATGGCCGGGCGCGGTGGTTCACGTTTGTAATCCCAGCACTTTGAGAGGCCAAGGCAGGTGGATCACTTAAGGTCAGGAGTTCAAGACCAGCCTGGCCAACATGGTGAAACCCCGTCTCTACTAAAAATACAAAAAAATTAGCCGGGCGTAGGGGCATGCACCTGTAATCCCAGCTACTCGGGAGGCTGAGGCAGGAGAACAGCTTGAACTTGGGAGACGGAGGTTGCAGTGAGCCGAGATTGAGCCACTGCACTCCAGCCTGGGCAACAAGACGAGACTCTGTCTCAAAAAAAAATAATAAAAATTAAAAAATAATTAGAGAATGTACCCTTTAAAAATGTATACTCTCACACCCCAAATAATTATATTTTAGGTTAAGAATTTTCAAGGGGCTGGACACAGTGGCTCACGCCTGTAATCCCAGTACTTTAGAAGGCTGAGGCAGGAGGATTGCTTGATTTTTGCTTGAGCGCAGAATTTGAGACCAGCCTGGGCAACAAAGTGAGAGTCCACCTTTACAAAAAATAAAAAAAATTAGCCCAGTGTGTTGGCAGATGTCTGTAGTCCGAGCTACTCGAGTGGCTGAGGCAAGATGATCACTTGAACCCGGGAGATCAAGGCTGCAATATGCTGTGATCACACCACTGCACTCCAGCCTGGGCAACAGAGTGAGATGCTGTCAGAAAAAAAAAAAAAAAATATTTCAAGGAAATAAAAAAGAATATACAGGGCCAGGCACGGTGGCTCATGCCTGTAATCCCAGCACTTTGGGAGGCTGAGGCGGGCAGATCACGAGGTCAGGAGATCAAGACCATCCTGGCTAACACGGTGAAACCCCGTCTCTACTAAAAATAAAAAAAAAAAATTAGCTGGGCGTGGTGACGGGCGCCTGTAGTCCCAGCTACTAGGGAGGCTGAGGCAGGAGAACAGCTTGAACCTGGGAGGCGGAGGTTGCAGTGAGCCCAGATTGAGCCACTGCACTCCAGCCTGGGAGATAGAGCGAGACTCCATCTCAAAAAAAAAAAAAAAAAATATATATATATATATATATACACACAGATAGACCATACGATGATAGAATTAGAAACAGAAGAGCAAACACAAGGAGCATATCATGTAACAGGCATTCTTTTCTGTGTTTACAAATATTAACTCATTTAATCTTCACTATAACCTCACAAAGTAGGTATTATTTTTATTAGCCTTATTTTAGAGGTGAGAGAACGGAAGCAGACAGAAGTTAACTGTCCAGAGGCCTCCCTGGGAAAGTGACAGTCACTGCATGGTGAACAGGTAGGTGTAGCCGCCCAGTTCACAGTGCTCCACTCCGTGACCCCAGTGACCCTCAGAGGCAGGCCATGTCTGTGTTGTAAAACTCTCTTCCCACCGGACCCAGAAGTGGACATCTGACCCAAGCTGGGCCAATCAGATTTCATCTCCAGGAGTTTAACCCTGGCCCAGAGAACCCCTGAGGCTTGAGAAGTCTCCAGCTGAGCCCCATGAAAGCCACGGGCTCTAGTGGACTCAGGCCTCGGGCTGCCAGACACCTGCGTCCTGAGAGCCATTGTTGGGCTCTTCCTTTACTGTTAGGAGCCGCCCAGGGATCCTTCCAGTACTTTCTAGTTTTGCCTAGTTACCCAGTGACCCCAAAAGCCTTAATAGTCACACTAAATTTAAAAACACTTCCCCAATAGCAATGAAATCACAGAGAATATTCACAAACATTAATAACATACCATTTAAGAAGCAAACTCCACCCATCAAAATTCGTGAGTGCAAGGTTTTATCTAGAAGAAAATAGGTTTCTCTAGATACATATGCTGGTAAGAAGGCAAAGAGAGGATATAAACTAGATCTCATTACAGGATTTAGAAAAGGAACAAAGTAAGTTGTTCAACAGAATAGCATTGAACAAAATAGAAACTAACAAAAAATAGAAAATGTAAACAAACCAATGATTAGTTATTCAAAAGATCAAGCAAAATCATATATCATTGAATCAACTTTTTAAAAAGACAGGAAAAAAATTAAGAAAGTAAGAAGGTGATTAATTCCCCAAGAGAGGAAGTTGGCAGTAAACCTAAGCCCACAACTGTGTAATACGAATGTGTGGATTAGCTGCGCTTATATGCTTAAATTACACATTTATTAAATCTGTGTATCCTTAAGCCGTACTGTATCTTTGCTTCTTACCAGCTAATTCCTTTGTTTTTTGTGGGTTTTTTTTTTTTAAAGTGCCTGGCTAAAGAAATCTGCCAGGAATGATAAATCAGAGTTCTTGAATCTCAGAGGATGGAAACAGCTCAGCTTGGGTGACAAAGCGACACAGCTGTGCTCACTGGCCAAGGGCCTGGGGTGAGTGGCCTTTACCGCCACCCAGGCCACTGTCTATGGCATCAAGCTGCTGTAATGTGGAGTCCCGCCCTGTGATGCTGGTGCTATTGGGTTGTCTGCTAAAGGCAGAAATCCCCATACTTCCATGTTGCCCTGTCTCAGGGGAAGCCCAAGGCACCTCTCTCACTTCTGGCTCTCCCAAGCCTCAGAACCCCTTTCTCACTCTGGCTTACTGCCATCTTTTGAGAGCCTTTGGCTTTCCCACATGATGGGATGGGCGTTCTCCCCTGGACACCTGGGATTTCTGCTCTTGGCTCAGGGTCCCCAAAGCCTTTCATGAACCCCTGAAGCAATGAAAGGTAAAATCTTGCTTCTGAGGACTAAGCTCGAATTTTTTTATCTTGCCCAAATTTCTATCTAAGGGGTCTGGGCGAATCATGCCCTACAAACCATAAATTCTCATCAGATGGGTTTTATTTGACCCTTTATGTCGTGACCTACTTTCCAATCTGACTCTGGAATAACATTATGAGACAAGGAAAAAAAATCAAAATATTTCATCCCAAAACATGTTTCTCTGCCACATCTTGAAATGGCCCTGCAAAGCTGTCCTTTGTGGGGGGAAAATCTGCATCTGTAAAGAATCTCTATTAACATAGCTAGATCTTTTTCTTCCAGGCCCTCCCAATCCTGAAGAAATGAACTAAAAGTCTAGCACTTTTTAAAGATCTGAATAGGAAACACTTGTCATCTCTTGTCTCTAAGGGCAGCCACTATAAAACTTCAAAAGAACCTTGGTCTCCACAATCTTTTATCTTACCCTGAACATTTCCTTTCTATAGATCCCAAGACTTTAGACAAACTCAACCAATTGTCAGCCAGAAAATGTTTAAATTTACCTACAGCCTGAAAGCCTCCCTCCACCAACACCCCCGCTTTGAGTTGTCCCACCTTTCTGAACCAAACCAATGTATTTCTTAAATATATTTGATTGATGTCTCATGCCTCCCTAAAATATATAAAACCAACCTGTATCCCGACCACCTTGGGCACATGTTCTCAGGGTCTCCTGAGGGCTGTGTCATGTGCCATGGTCACTCGTATTTGGCTCAGAATAAATCTCTTAAAATATTTTACAGAGTTTGACTCTTTTCATCGATACTTCCTTGGAACAGAAAGAAGGAAAAACACAGCAGCAAGAGATCAACGCAAATTAAAATTGCTGTAAATTATCCTGGTGTGGTCCTAAAGGGTTGCTGATAGGATCCCTAAGCTCCGTGAGAACTACCCCGTTGACGTGAGGCTGTCAGGAGTGATTCCTTGGGCTTAAACCGAGAACGCACGTTCTGGAAAGGAGCCGGGAGAGCTGGCCAGAGAGGTGTTGGAACCCTTGACAGCATGGTTGCCATTCTTGCATGTTCTCTGTTTCATGCGCATCCATGTGAAGGGACCACCAAACAGGCTTTGTGTGAGCAATAAAAGCTTTTAATCACCTGGGTGCAGGTGGGCTGAGTCCGAAAAGAGAGTCAGCAAAGGGTGGTGGATTATCATTAGTTCTTACAGGTTTTGGGATAGGCGGTGAAGTTAAGACCAATGTTTTGCAGGCAGGGGTGGATCTCACAAAATACATTCTCAAGGGTGGGGAGAATTACAAAGAACCTTCTTAAGGGTGGGGGAGATTGATTACCAAGTACCTTCTTAAGGGTGGGGGAGATTACAAAGTACATTGATCAGTTAGGGTGGGGCAGAAACAAATCACAATGGTGGAATGTCATCAGTTAAGGCTATTTTTACTTCTTTTGTGTCTTCAGTTACTTCAGGCCATCTGGATGTGTACATGCAAGTCACAGGGGATGCGATGGCTTGGCTTGGCTTGGGCTCAGAGGCCTGACATTCTATAAGAAGAAAAATACAGTTTTTAAGAGGCCAGTAAATATACCAGCCTAAAGACAAATATATTTTTTCTATTTTTTAAATAAAATAAGTATAGGCCGGGCGCGGTGGCTCACACCTGTAATCCCAGCACTTTGGGAGGCCGAGGTGGCGGATCACCTGAGGCCAGAAGTTCGAGACCAGCCTCGCCAACATGGTGAAAGCCCATCTCTACTAAAAATACAAATACTAGTCAGGTGTGGTGGCGCACGCCTGTAATCCCAGCTACTCAGAAGGCTGAGGCAGGAGAATCGCTTGAACCTGGGAGGCGGAGGCTGCAGTGAGCCGAGATCATGCCATTGAACGCCAACCTGGGCAACAAGAATGAAACTGTCTAAAAAAAAAAAAGAAAAAAGAAAAAAAGTATATTTTAAAGAATAAGTCAAGGTAACAGCTAACTATAATAATCTCAAAAAAAGAAAAAGAAAAAAGAAAAAAGTATATTTTAAAGAATAAGTCAAGGTAACAGCTAACTATAATAATAGCTAAAAATCCGCTGCTTTATGAATTTTCTCTGAGAAAACTGTTGTTTTGTTAGGAATATATTATTGCAAATAGAAAATCATTACTAACGTACGGTTATTCATAACTCTTATTTTTGAAGATATGACCAGCATTTTAGATATTTATTATGATACAACCATTGTGATTTATCAGATTAATAATACTAGACATTCAGATTGCTAGCATTTCGTTAAGGACTTTTGTTTACATTCATAAGGATATTAACCCCTTTTTTTCCTCGTAAAGTCCATCTGGTTGTGGTATCAGGGTAATACTGGCCTTATCTAATCTTACTAAGATCTTCTTGAGAATGTTGAGGGTTTTTTCCTTTTTCGTTTTTTCTTTCTCTCCTCTCTTTCTTTCTCATGAAAAGGCAAAATTACAACAAATTTAGTTTTAGATCTTACTGGCTTCTATTTGCAATTCATGAATCCAGACAGCCTCCAATCTACAAAATAGACCGGGAGCTCCCACCAGGAAATGGCAGGTTTTTAAGTGTGGAACAAGGAAACAGAACAATAGAGGGAAAAAACGGATCAGTTAACATCAGGTTACTTTTCGGAAGGGTTACAGCAGAAGGAACTTCCTTATTACTCAGGTAGACTGAAATCTCTTGTTTTCAGGAAAAACTGATCTGTTCTGGGATCTGTCTACCTTCTTAGAGCTTCAGTTTGATTACGTGGCATTTAGCCTAAGTGACTCCATTTGCTTTGGTCTGGTGGATTGAGGCTTCATGCAGGAGCTCAGTCCAAGAAAATAAGACTATAATCTCCCCTCCCCTCCCCCTCTCCTCCCCTCCCCTCTCCTCCCTCTCTCTTATCTTTTTTTTTTTTTGAGACGGAGTCTCGCTCTGTCGCCCAGGCCGGACTGCGGACTGCAGTGGCGCAATCTCGGCTCACTGCAAGCTCCGCTTCCCGGGTTCACGCCATTCTCCTGCCTCAGCCTCCCGAGTAGCTGGGACTACAGGCGCCTGCCACCACGCCCGGCTAATTTTTTGTATTTTTAGTAGAGACGGGGTTTCACCTTGTTAGCCAGGATGGTCTCGATCTCCTGACCTCATGATCCACCCGCCTCGGCCTCCCAAAGTGCTGGGATTACAGGCGTGAGCCACCGCGCCCGGCCCCTCTCTCTTATCTTATCAGGCAATCAACACAACCCAGTTAGGCTCACCTGGAAGTTCTGTCTGGCTTTCTGTGGATAGTGATTCCTGTCTCCTTTCAGTTTTCAAAGGCTGCAGTGTTGTTTGGGGTCTGTCGCATGCCTAGGTAGCTCCGAGGGGAGCTCAGACCTGTGTGGTTTCATATTCGGGATAAGGGAACCCCTTTTACCCGCTTTCTTCTATGATTGTCTCCACCTTCTTCAGCTGACAGGATCCCTCATCCCCCTGCTCCCAACTCCGGTGCCCAGAAACATGGGATTTTTCTGAGTGTTGACTTCTCGTTCTGCCCCTAACAGAGCTCTGCCACAGATGTTTGCCCCTGGCGCAAAGCCATGAGAGAAAGGAAAAAAACAAAATGGAGATTCCAGCCCCCTTTCCTCTCCCACACACATACACACACTCTTCAGACAGCACGGGCCACTTTTCTAGATGACTTTGGCCGAAATACCGGGAGTCCCTCTGAGTTTAGTCCCACAGCTCCATAACTGGAACTCACCTTCAAGGCAAAGCCATGAGAGAAATGAAAAAAAGAGAGGGGGAGAAAAAAAAATCTGGCAAACTCATCTCCACGTTTCGAGCCCCCTCCACAATCACGATCTGCCTGCCTTTTTTTTTCTTTCTTTTTTTTTTTTTTTTTTGAGACAGAGTCTCACTCTGTTGCCCGGGCTGGAGTGCAGTGGCACAATTTCGGCTCACTGCAACCTCCGCCTCCCTGGTTCAAGTGAGTCTCCTGCCTCAGCCTCCCGAGTAGCTGGGACTACAGGCGCATGCCACTACGCCTGGCTAATTTTTGTATTTTTAGTAGAGATGGGGTTTCACCATGTTGGCCAGGATGATCTCCATCTTTTGACCTTGTGATCTGCCTGCCTCGGCCTCCCAAAGTGCTGGGATTTTTTTTTTTTTTTTTTTTTTTTTTTTTGAGACGGAGTCTCGCTCTGTCGCCCAGGCTGGAGTGCAGTGGCGGGATCTCGGCTCACTGCAAGCTCCGCCTCCCGGGTTCACGCCATTCTCCTGCCTCAGCCTCCCAAGTAGCTGGGACTACAGGCGCCCGCCACTACACCCAGCTAATTTTTTGTATTTTTAGTAGAGACGGGGTTTCACCGTTTTAGCCGGGATGGTCTCGATCTGCTGACCTCGTGATCCGCCCGCCTCGGCCTCCCAAAGTGCTGGGATTACAGGCGTGAGCCACCGCGCCCGGCCAAAGTGCTGGGATTACAGGCATGAGCCACCACGCCTGGCCACCTGCTTTTCTTTACTTTGCAAAGTCCTTGGAAGGTTGCATTTGTTGATGAAAAGGGTCAAACTCTGTAAAATATTTGAAGAGATTTCTTCTGAGCCAAATTTGAGTGACCAGTGGCCAGTGATACAGCCCTCAGGAGATCCTGAGAACACGTCCCCAAGGTGTTTGGGATGCAGCTTGGCTTTATAACATTTTAGGGAGACATAAGGCATCAATCAATACTTTTAAGATATACATTGGTTCAGTTAGGACAGTCAGGGCCACTAGAAGGGAGGTGGGGCTTCCAGGTCATAGGCAGATTAAAGATTTTCTAATTGGCAATTGGCTGAAGGAGTTATCAATAAAAAGGATTGTTTGGCTTAGGATATGGGGTTGTGGAGACCAAGGTTTTATCATGCAGGCGAAGCCTCCAGGTGGCAGGCTTCAGAGAGAATAGATTGTAAATATTTCTTATCAGACTTAGAGTCTGTTCTGTCAGTATTTTCAAAAGGGAGGAGGGTATCACAAGGCATGTCCAGCTCCCCCTTCCCATCATGGGCTGAACTAGTTTTTCAGGTTAACTTCATCTGTTCAAATGGTTGGGGGGTCTTAGAATTTTATTTTTGGTTTACAGCTTTTGTACTCTGTCCAGACTTTTTGCTATTGTTGGTGGCAGAGATAGGTCGTATAGGCTCACTCCATCTTGGCTGGGACCAGAAGCCCGGCCACAGGCTGTGATCTGCTGGCAACTCTATTGCATTTGGCCGATATGCCGGCAATGTTGAGGACCTGGTGGCACTGACTAACCTGGGAAGAATCTGAGTGGTCACAAATACTCTTGTTTTTTTTTTTTTTGGTTTTTTTTTTTGTTTTTTGAGAGGGAGTCTTGCCCTGTTGCCCAGGCTGGAGTGCAATGGCATGATCTCGGCTCACTGCAACCTCCGCCTCCCAGGTTCAAGCAATTCTCCTGCCTCAGCCTCCTGAGTAGCTGGGATTACAGGTGTGTGCCACCACACCTGGCTAATTTTTTGTATTTTTAGTAGAGACGAGGTTTTACCTTATTGGCCAGGCTGGTCTTGAACTCCTGACCTTGTGATCCACCTGCCTTGGCCTCCCAAAGTGCTGGGATTACAGGTGTGAGACACCGAGCCCGGCCCCACAAATGCTCTTTTACCTGCAAGTCAAGGAAGGAAGTTCTTTGTATTGAAACATGTCACAGAAAAGCTCTGTCAGACAAACTTCTAATATTCAAACTTCTAAGTCATGTTTGAGGGTGTTTCACCTTGTAGTTGAACAGTTGCCTTTCCTACAAAGCTCCCAGGCTCATAAACCACACTGATATGGCTTGGCTGTGTCTCCACCCAAATCTCATCTTGAATGGTAGTTCCCATAATTCCCACACATTGTGAGAGGGACCCGGTGGGAGGAAATTGAATCCAGCCACGTGGAACTATGAGTGCATTAAACCTCTTTTTCTTTATAAATTACCCAATCTCGAGTATGTCTTTATCAGCAGTGTGAAAACAGACTAATACACACACCCTCCTTTCTAAGGGACATAGCCCAAGTTTAGCAGGAACCCACCACTTGTGAGGGAGGCTGTGTTTGGCTGTTGCCATTAGTCACCTGTACAAGAAAACTCCTAGGCCCTCTTTCCTTCTGGCAGAGCCTCCTTCACTACCTTCCCGTTGTGGAAGTGAAAATACTTGTTACTTACCTGCATCCTCATAATAAACTCTATTCTTCTTGAAGTCACTTGAGTGAATCTGTTTCTTCCAATGAAGAGAAGCCAACTAAAACAGGAACTCTGCACAATATAAGATGAGAAGAAACAGAAATAAGAGGCATTAATATTGAGAAGGAGAAACCGAATTAATGTCATTTACAGGAAATAATAGCTAACATTCGGAGCTTTCCCTATATGCCCAGCACACCATTCACACTTGCGTGTGTTATATCACTTAATCCTACAGTGCCTCACTGTGCTGTGTTGTGTTTTTGGGTAGTCACTCTGCTTCCTGGGATCATAATTCCATACCTAGAGAGGCTATTCTCCCAATTAGAGTCCACTAAAACATTGTACATTTCTCTAATTTTTTTTTCTTTTTTTTTTTGAGACGGAGTTTCGCTCTGTCACCTAGGCTGGAGTGCAGTGGCGTGATCTCGGCTCACTGCAATCTCCACCTCCAGAGTTCAAGCGATTCTCCTGCCTCAGCATCCCAAGTAGCTAGGATTATAGGCACCCACCACCACCAGGCTAATTTTTGTGTTTTTAGCAGAGACGGGGTTTCACCATGTTGGCCAAGCTGGTCTCAAACTCCTGACCTCAAGCAATACACCTGTCTTGGCCTCCCAATATGCTGAGATTACAGGCATGAGTCACCCCACCCGTCCTCTCTAAAATTTTTAAAACTAACTTTTTAAATAGTAAATGTGTAATATATGCTACTGGCAAAAAAAAAAGTTTAAAACTTTGCAAAAAGGTATTCAGCAAAATATTAAAGTACCATTATGATCCACCCCACCTTGCAAACAAGTTCTTTTCTATCTATCCAGTGAGGTTTCAGGCACATACATGCATTTATATAAATGTAACAGTTTAAGTGTAACTGGATTATTATTATTTTATTTTTACATAAATGGTATATTACTCATACTCTTCTACAACTGTACAAAGCAAATCTTAGCATATTTGGGCCAGCTTTCCATACAAAAAATTTAGATCTAATTTGTTCCTTTAAAAAGCTGTCTAGTAGGCCAGGCGGTGGCTCATGCTTATAATCCCAGCACTTTGGGAGGCTGAGCTGGGTGGATTGTTTCAGCCCAGGAGTTTGAGACCAGCCTGGGCAACATAATGAGACCCCATCTCTACAAAACATTTTAAAAATTAGCCAGGTGTGGTGACATGCACCTGTAGTTTTAGCTCCTGGGGAGGCTGAGATAAGAGGATAGCTTGAGCCTGGGAGGTGGAGGCTGCAGTGAGCTGTGACTGCGCCCCTGTACTCCAGCCTGCCTGGGCAACAGAATGAGATCTTGTCTCAACTAAATAGATAAATAAAGATCTGAATAGTATTTCACTGTCTGTGCATATCAGCACAGTATTTATTTTATTTTTACCAGGTCACTCTTGGTGGACATATAGATCGTGTTTTAGGTTTTATTGCTATCAATAATACTGCAATAAATATACTTTTAAAAATAGATCTTTGTAACACAAGCTGATTATGTGCATTTCAGAGTTCATAGGAAATGGCAAATCATTACAAATTTGTAACTGTTTCTATTTCACAGTTCACAATGAGCTTCCTGAAACAGACTGGACTCCCCTCAGTCTGAGAACCTCGGAAAGCTCTTCACAGGGAAGAGAACAGAGTCCACACTCCGCTACCTGCTGGGTGTTTGCCGTGCCCACTCCACACGGACTTGCCAGCACCTGCCCTCCCACCATGCACCCTGTTCTTCAGGAACGCGGGGCATCCTGCAGTTCCTTGATGACGTCAGAATATTTAGGATTCCATAGCTATGCACAGGTTTTACTCTCTGCCTTGAATTGCTTTCTCATTCTGATATGGTTTGGCTGTGTCCCCACAGAAATCTCATCTTGAATTGTAGCTCCGGTAATTCCCAGGTGTTGTGGAAGGGAATCAGTGGCAGATAATTGAATCATGGGGGCGGTTCCCCCATACTGTTCTCGTGGTAGTGAATAAGTCTCGCGAGACCATCTTCTTTTATAAAGAGAAACCCCTTCTGCTTGATTTTTTTTTTTTTTTTTTTTTTGAGACGGAGTCTCGCTCTGTCGCCCAGGCCGGACTGCGGACTGCAGTGGCGCAATCTCGGCTCACTGCAAGCTCCGCTTCCCGGGTTCACGCCATTCTCCTGCCTCAGCCTCCCGAGTAGCTGGGACTACAGGCGCCCGCCACCGCGCCCGGCTAATTTTTTGTATTTTTAGTAGAGACGGGGTTTCACCTTGTTAGCCAGGATGGTCTCGATCTCTTGACCTCATGATCCACCCGCCTCGGCCTCCCAAAGTGCTGGGATTACAGGCGTGAGCCACCGCGCCCGGCCTTCTGCTTGATTCTGAGTCTCTCTTGCCATCACCTCGTGAGGTGTGTCTTCGCTTTCTGTCATGATTATGAGGCTTCCCCAGCCACGTGGAACTGTGAGTCCACTAAACCTCTTTTTCTTTATAAATTACCCAGTCTCAGATATGTTTTTATCAGCAGTGTGAAAACGGACCTCCTTCTCACTCTTCAAGGGCCTTAATTCTTGTGAAGCCTTTTTTTAAATTTATTTTTTATTTTTTGAGACAAAGTCTCGCTCTGTCTGTCGCCCAGGCTGGAGTGCAATGGCGCGATCTCGGCTCACCGCAACCTCTGCCTCCTGGGTTCAAGTGATTCTCCTGCCTCAGCCTCCCAAGTAGCTAGGATTACGGGCACCAAGCGCGGCTAATTTTGTATTTTTAGTAGAGACGGGGTTTCTTCATGTTGGCCAGGCTGGTCTCGAACCCCTGATGACCTCTGGTGATCCACCCGCTTCAGCCTCCCAAAGTGCTGGGATTACAGGCCTGAGCCACCACACCTATCCGTGAAGCCTTTTTAAATTGATACTCCAGGCAAAATCAGTCACATCATCTTCTTTGTCCCCAGAGTTCTATCTACAGCCCTTGTTACAGTGTATTGTACTTACTGGCTTTAGATGTCTGTTCTACCACTAAACTATAAGTTCTCTGAGGCCACTTTTTATTTATTTTTGAATCCACAGTGTCTAAGCCTGTTGCAGGGCAGGTGGGAGCAGCTTGATAAGTGATTGCTGAATGAATAAGCAAACAAGCAGGGGAAGAGGAGGAGATCTTAAATATATCTGTTACAGTCTTGCAAATGGTTACTCAGAGCAAATGAAAATGGACAGCCATGCACAGCAAAGACTGTAGATCTAATTACCTTGTCTCTGCTAAATTGGGCTAGGAGGTTTAGCATGAATAAAAATAGTAGCAGATGGACTTATTTAGCATATACATTTTCCATTGGTTTAATGTGATATTCACACACTATTTTCTTAGTACACGTGCTATAAATAGAAAGCCCATAATTTGATTAGGTGTTAAATAAGTTACCATATCAATCCAGTAACACAGTGATAGTTAATAAGGTTACCAATTAATGTAAGAAAGAACATTTTTTAGCTGGATGTGGTGGCTCATGCCTGTAATTCCAGCACTTTGGGAGGTTGAGGCAGGAGGATCGCTTGAACCCAGGAGTTCAAGATCAACTTGGCCAACATGGTGAGAAACCATCTCTACAAAAAATAAAATATAAACAAATTTGCTGGGTGTAGTGGTGTGCACCTGCAGCCCAAGCTACTTGGGAGGCTGAGGTGGGAAGACAACTTGAGCCCGGAAGATTGAGGCTGCCATGAGCTATGATGGCACCACTGCACTCCAGCCTGGGTGACAGAGCAAAACCCTGTCTCGAAAAATAAAAAAATTTAAAAAAGAATTTTATATAAATATTTCCTATAATAGATTTAGATATTTGTGGCTGGGTGTGATGGCTCATGCCTATAATCCCAGCACTTTGGGAGGCCGAGGCAGGCAGATCACTTGAGGTCAGGAGTTCAAGAACAGCCTGCCCAACATGGTAAAACCCCATCTCTACTAAAAATACAAAAAAACAATTGGCTGGGAGTGGTGATGCGTGCCTGTAATCCCAGCTACTCAGGAGACTGAGGCAGGAGAATCACTTGAATCCGGGAGGCACAGGTTGCAGTGAGCAGAGATCGTGCCACTGAACTCCAGCCTGTGCAAGAGCCAGACTCCATCTAAAAAAAAAAAAATTAGATATTCGTAAATTTTACTAAGTACCTAATATGTCCTTGGCTCTATAGTAGCCTCTTTTGTGTCAAGTTAGTTATTATGACAAGCAGAGGGTTTAGTATTATTCCAATTTTATAAGTGAGGAAATAGGCTGAATATTTTGTCCAGCACCAAACATGCTACTTTGTACACCAAGAGACAAAAGTTTGGATGCAGATTTTCTGATTCCAAGTCCACTGCACTAACTATCCTGCAGTTGCCTTAAATGGCACACTTCCTCCACTTCTGAGAATTTTTACCTACTTTACTATGTGGTCGCAATATGGACAGATCTACTCTTCTAAGACACACAGAGCTGGTCAAACCCTGACACTAGCATAAATGCATCTGTGTGGAACCATTACACATATCTGAGGGCTGGTGAAACAGGTCAGTGTTTCCCAGAGATGATACCAGTAATGAGATGGGTGATTATCTCATGAAATAGGAGCCAGGAAAAATCATTTGTGTCTGTGTGAAATAATACAGAGCCAAAATTCTGTCTTCTTTTCTGGTAAATGGTATTTGTAAAAACAATTACTTCTAGTTAGAATAATGAAAATGAATTTCAAACTCTGTCAATTTCAGGTTATTTCACAGTCACAGGAAGAGAGATGACATTTAGGGTCCAGTACTTAGCAAGACTAATGTCAAGGATTTTGTTTTTGCTGTTTTTAATAAATCTTTTAAATGTTTTCCTAGAGGGAGAAGAGTGTTTTGTTTGTTTTGCTTTTTTTGTATAGATGGGGTCTTGCTATGTTGACTGGGTTGGTCTTGAAATTCTGACCTCAGTGATCCTCCCGCCTTGGCCTTTTTAAAAAAAGAATCATAAACAAACATCCAGAAAGACAGATTCCAACAAAGATTCCAACCAATCTTTGTTAGAAGCAAAGATTGATAGGTGAAATTTTGCAGAAGTCCAGTTAGATTTCTTCCTCGTAATAGCTGCTTGCCTCACTGTATGTCCATAATTAAGACTCCAAAGTAGTTACATCTTGTGAAGTCCAAGAATTGCAATTGTAATTATAAATTCTTTAAAAATATATCTTTGTGGCTGGGAGCAGTGGCTCATGCCTGTAATCCCAGCACTTTGGGAGGCCAAGGTTAGTGGATTGCTTGAGGACAGGAGTTTAAGACCAGCCTAGCCAACATGGTGAAACCCCATCTCTACTAAATATATAAAAATTAGCAGGGCGTGGTGTAGTCACACCTGTAGTCACAGCTGAGGCTGAGGCATGAGAATCACTTAACCCGGGAGGCGGAGGTTGCAGCGAGTCGACATCGAGCCACTGCACTCCAGCCTGGGAGACAGAGCAAGATTGTCTAAAATAAAATAAAATAAATCTTTGTGATTCCATTGTACCATGAGGAATTACAATTAGGAAAACCATGCAATTCTGACCTAAAGTCCAGATGCAAATTCAAGGAGCTGTTCCAGGAGGGAGGGTAACATTGCTCCCTTCATATCATTCCTTTCCACCATTGCTGGACTAGGATGAGCTACGGAGGTGTTAATGCTCTTAGTGGGCGTGCCAACTCTCAACTTACAGCCCCTGAGCTCCAAATCCACTTTTCATTGCCCTGTTTGTGATACTGGAACATTTCTCCCTGGCCAGCTGGCATGAGCTTAAGCCTTGTCAGTCCAGAGTGTTGGAGGAACACTGCAGAAGGAAGGCACTTGCTATGGTCTGAGTGTACTCCCCAGATTCATATGTTGGAACCTAATTCCCAATGTGATAGAATTAAGAGGTGAGGCCTTTGGGGAGTGATGAAGCCATGAGGGCTCCACCCTCATGGATGGGATTGGTGCCCTTATGAAAGAGGCTCAGGTAAACCTTCTGTTACGTGAGGATGCAATGGAAAGGCACCATCTTTGAAGCCAAGAGCCAACCCTCACAAGATGTTGAACCTGTTGGTGGTTTGATCTTGGACTTCACAGCCTCCAGCATATAGGCAGTAAATTCCTATTGTTTATAAATGACACAGTCTAGCATATTTTGTTATTGCAGACTGAATGGACTAAACCATGGATCTTTTGTTTGTTCTAGACACCCAGTGGTGCTCACCCTAGTGAGTTTCAGAGCCACCACCCCTCCAGTGGATTCCCGGTGATTTCCACATTTCAGCATCTCCCTGTAGGCAGTCATCTTTTTCCTGGTTCTCCAGTGGGCAGAGACTCATTGGGTTCCACCAGCGTGGAACCTTAGCAAATATCTCCATCACCCAGTGGGCATGGCTATACTGTCTTCAACAAGGTCTGGATCCCAGCCCTGGCTGGGGACGAGTTCCGTCTTCTGGGTTTCTTCCTTTCTTGGGTGCTCCGCCCCGACCCTGGAGATAGTGGCTGTTCCTTCCACTTCCTTTACCTATATTTTTCAGGGTTCTCTCTATCCCTTAGGAGGTAATCCTCTGTTACACTGAATCATTCTATACATTGAACTCCTCGTTTAAGTTACATGGTGGTTCATTTATCTTCACTGGATCCCGACTGACCCAGTGAGCTATACCCCTAATAATTCGTAGTAAAGGATATCATAGTAAAGGACGGAGTCTCGCTCTGTCCTTAGGCTGGAGTGCAGTGGCACGGTATCAGTTCACTGCAACCTCCACCTCCCAGGTTCCAGCGATTCTTCTGCCTCAACCTCCCAAGTAGCTGGGACTACAGGGGTGCACCACCACACCCAACTGATTTTTGTATTTTTAGTAGAGACAGGGTTTCACCATGTTGGTCAGGATGGTCTCGATTTCCTGACCTCGTGATCCACCCACCTCGGCCTCCCAAAGTGCTGGGATTACAGGCTTGAGCCACCGCACCTGGCGAGGGTTTTTTATATGATGACACTGTGTTAAGAACGTTACAAACATCTGATTTAATCATTTCAATAGCACTCCAATGTAGATATCATTATCTCCATTTTCAGATGAGGAAATTCAGGTTCAGTGTTGCCCAAGTAAGAAATGAAAGACCTGGTCTAATAGACTCAAGGCCTGTGCTGTTAACCACTGTAATCTGAAGAATTACCATTAAGGAGGCAATGCAGGCCAGGCGTGGTGGCTCATGCCTGTAATCTCAGCACTTTAGGAGGCCAAGGTGAGCGGATCATTAGGTCAGGAGATCAAGACTATCCTGGCTAACACAGTGAAACCCCGTCTCTACTAAAAATACAAAAATAAAATTAGCCGGGCGTGGTGGCAGGCACCTGTAGTCCCAGCTACTCAGGAGGCTGAGGCAGGAGAATGGCATGAACCCAGGAGGCAGAGCTTGCAGTGAGCCGAGATGGTGCCACTGCACCACTCCAGCCTGGGCAACAGAGGCTGGAGTTTTTTTGAGACTCCATCTCAAAAAAAAAAGAGGAGGCAATGCAATCTTGACCTAAGGCATAAGTGCCAATGCATGGGTGTGGTCTCTAGTAGGCAGAGATGAACATGCCACTTTCATCCACAGCTGAAGTCACACGTTTTCTTGGATAAAACATAAATAAATTCAATTGGCTTCCCTCATAAGTATTCAGTCGGCTCTAGGGTAAACTGCCTTCTTTGATAGTTTTCAGCCAATCAACTTGTCCAAAGACAAAAAAATAAGGGCAATCTCTGGTTGGTCCACAGATAGTCTGAAGTTTTTATTTCATAAACCTTCCCTTGCCATTGTTCAGTGACATTTGATTTATAGGTGATTGATTGCCCTAGTATACAAGTAAGTTTCAGCTAGGCTTCTCACTAAACTCACTCGTCTGAATTATTCTTTGACAGTTATTTCCGGAGGACCTACTGAGATCTGCTCACTGGAATGTATTCATAGGAGCCTACAGAGACATGCAGTTTGTGAGCACGCCTCATCGGGACCCCGTGGGTCAGAGCTTACCTTGTCTGGGTCCCTCTGGTGAGTATCATTTTGTAACACTTAAGCTCTTTGGATCTTGGGTGCTGATTATACTTCCTGGCCAAGTCTAGTTCTTCTGTGTCCATGTCCATCTTGTGTGGGGACAGGGGAGCTGCCAAACAGATCAAATCATGACAATTCTCTGGAAGTGTGACTTTTGAAGAACCCCAAGGCCATCTTCTCCCGCCAGAAGCTGATAGGCTGCTAGCTTTCATAGCTACTGGGAGCCCCAGACTTGGTTTTCAAGACTACTACAGTTACAGAGAAGGGGTGGGAATAGGGCAAATTAAACTGTCACAAAGATCATAGTTCTTACCAACATTCAACTGGTTTTCTTGAATAAACACTCCTTGGATCATCACAAGCCTTTGATTAATTTCCAGAGTTCTGAGAAAGTTAATTTTGACATTTTTGACCTGTGTTCTCATCGCTTTTAGGGAACAGGAGATTTTTGGAAATGCTAACTCCGTTATTCCAAAAGTGCTTTTGTGTCCGGAATTTGTGGGTTCTTGGTCTCACTGACTTCAAGAATGAAGCCGCAGACCCTCACGGTGAGTGTTACAGTTCTTAAAGGTAGCGTGTCTGGAGTTTGTTCCTTCTGATGTTCGGATGTGTTCGGAGTGTCTTCCTTCTGGTGGGTTTGTGGTCTCGCTGGCTCAGGAGTGAATCTGCAGACCTTCGCGGTGAGTGTTACAGCTGTTAAGGCGGCGCATCTGGAGTTGTTTGTTGCTCCTGGTGGGTTTGTGGTCTCGCTGGCTTCAGGAGTGAAGCTTCAGATCTTCACAGTGAGTGTTACAGCTCATAAAGGCAGTGTGGACCCAAAGAGTGAGCAGCAGCAACCTGTATTGCCAGGAGTGAAAGGACAAAGCTTTCTCAGTGCAGGAGGGGGACCTGAGCGGGTTGCCACTGCTAGCTCAGGCAGCCTGCTTTTATTCCCTTATCTGGCCCCACCCACATCCTGCTGATTGGTCCATTTTACAGAGAGCTGATTGGTCCGTTTTGACAGGGTGCTGATTGGTGCATTTACAATCCCAGAGCTAGACACAAAAGTTCTCCACCTCCCCACTAGATTAGCTAGATACAGAGTGTGGACACAAAAGTCCTCCATGTCCCCACTAGATTAGCTAGATACAGAGTGTCGATTGGTGTATTCACAAACCCTGAGCTAGACGCAGGGTGCTGATTGGTGTGTTTACAAACCTTGAGCTAGTTACAGAGTGCCCATTGGTGTATTTACAATCCCTTAGCTAGACATAAAGGTTCTCCAAGTCCCCACCAGACTCAGGAGCCCAGCTGGCTTCACCCAGTGGATCCTGCACCCGGGCCGCAGGTGGAGCTGCCTGCCAGTCCTGCGCTGTGCGCCCACACTCCTCAGCCCTTGGGTGGTCGATGGGACTGGGTGCTGTGGAGCAGGGGATGGTGCCTGGTCGGGGAGGCTCAGGCCGCGCAGGAGCCCACGGCGGCGGGGGAGACTCAGGCATGGCAGGCTGCAGGTCCCAAGCCCTGCCCCGCCAGGAGGCAGCTAAGTCCCGGCGAGAAGTCGAACACAGCAGCTCTTGGCCCAGGTGCTAAGCCCCTCACTGCCTGGGGCCGGCGGGGCCTGCCGGCCGCTCACAGTGCAGGGCCCGCCAAGCCCACGCCCACCCGGAACAGCCCCGGTTCCCGCCCGTGCCTCTCCCTCCACACCTCTCCGCAAGCTGAGAGAGGTGTGGCCAAGCTCCCGCCTTGGCCAGCCCAGAAAGGGGCTCCCACAGTGCAGAGGCGGGCTGAAGCGCTCCTCAAATGAGGCCAGAGTGGGCGCCAAGGCTGAGGGAGTGCTGAGAGCGAGCGAGGGCTGTGAGGGTTGCCAGCACGCTGTCACCTCTCACTTTGACAAAAAGGTTTAAGTAAATCCTAAATTTGAACCCCTTAATTTGACTAACAGTCTTTCTAAATAAGTACAGCAGAAAACAGCACAAAACAAAAATAACAGAAATCTGCTGTAAATTCCACAAGAATTGCTGTATCTTGCCCGAGGAGATTTTCCATTGTATGAGTATGAAGCTATGTTTCTAAACAGATACATTAGTAGTATTATATACAAAAAATAACTCTGGCTCCCACCTGCATGTCCCCCCACTTAAGAATCCCTGGGCTCAATGCCTGTGAAGACCCTTCCCTATATGAGCATGTTATAACTCATGACACATGTCACATAAAATCCACTGCAGTTTGCATATTGACATGTGTGCAAATTCCAATATGAAGTGTTTACAACCTTAAGTCCAAGAATTTGTGGGAAATAAAAACAAGTCAGAGAGTCACATGCCCATTTGTATGAGAGATTCTGCTTATCTGACTATTCTTGAACCCCTCTATTTTTTCCTAGTTTTAATAGTTTTGTTTCTATCTAGTTGTTATCCTCATTAAAATTACGCATGAATAGAATTTCCTCAGTTGAATAATCCTGTGAGGCTTGATCTGCAAAATGGCCAGGCACAGTGGCTCCTCCCTGTAGTCCCACCGCTTTGGGAGGTTGAGACGGGATGATTGTTCGAGCCCAGGGTTTCAAGACCAGCCTGGGCGACAGAGCAAGACGCCATCTCTACAAAATATAAAAAATTAGCTGGGTGTGGTGGTACGTACCCATAAGCTTATTCGGGAAGTTGAGGCAGGAGGATCACTTGAACCCAGAGGGCTGAGGCTGCAGTGAGCTATGATTGTGCCACTGTACTACCTCCTGGGTGACAGAACAAGACACTGTCTCTAAAAAAAACAAAAGAAAGAAAGAAAAAAAGAAAAGCAACCATCATCCCATTCTACCACCAATTTTTCACTCTGCAGGTACCACTACTTTTAACTCTTTTAACTAACTTTGACTGATTTTTATTTGTATTTTTCCCTATTTCCTTAAATAACACACTTCTCTTGCTATTTCTTGTTTTTTAAACTTTAGGTATTACCTAATGGCTTCCTGCTATGGAATATGAGGAGATAGCTTTTTCTCCCTCACATCCCCGTGTCCTCATCCTTCTAGTAACGCAATATTGTAATTTTGGTTAGAACAATAGCCAGTGTTCCATTACTAGGACTATGTAAATACCATTGGTAGATAGCTATATAATATACTTTGAAATTTTCCTTTCTGACCCAATGTTGTATTTTCTCTGGAACTAATAATTATCTTCTGAATTATTAGCTGAATTTTCTTTATTCTTACCACTGATTTATCTCCAAACTCTCCCCAGTTTGTATAAATCTCCTCTCAACATTTCCATTTTTCTTTGTCTTCCTTTTTCCTTTCCTTCTTCCCTTTTTTTCTTGACAGAGTCTCGCTCTGTTGCCAAGGCTGGAGTGCAATGGTGCAATCTCGGCTCACCGCAGCCTCCGCTTCCCGGGTTCAAGCAATTCTCCTGCCTCAGCCTCCTGAGTAACTAGGATTACAGGCACGTGCCACCACACCTGGCTAATTTTTTGTATTCTTAGTAGACACAGGGTTTTTCCATGTTGGCCAGGCTGGTCTCAAATTCCTGACCTCAGGTGATCTACCTGCCTCGACCTCCCAAAGTGATGGGATTACAAGCATGAGCCACCATGCCCAGCCCTTCCCTTTCTTTCTCAAAAAAAAAAAAAAAAAAAAAATCTCAGTGGGAGTCTTCTGATATGCTCCAAACCACACCAGGAGATGTCTGGGCCAGCTGCCATCATAGGCTCTCTTTTGACCGTTATCCTGGGAGTTCTTTTATCTTTCTCTTGGGCTGGAACCCCACATTTTCTCTTTTCTGGGTTCGCTATTATTTTGGTAGAGTGTATCTTACACGAGCTTTGTGAATAAGTTTTACAGAAGGTAATTGTTTGAGGCCTAAAAATGTCTAGATTCTGTCCTTCTGCTTGATTGATAGTTGAGCTAGGTACGAGATTCTAAAATCTTGTTTAGGAACCTGAAATCACTCCATTCTTTGCCTACAGTTGTGAAATAAATACCATCGGAGGAAAGTGATCATTTCACAACCCTTCCCATTCTTTCATCTTCCTTCCCCTCACCTAATTTTTCACTGTTGTTGCACTGAAGATGTGAACAACGATGTTTGGCACTGAAGCCAAATAAACCAGAAACACCACACTGCCGTTAGACAAGAGAAGTTTGCTGTGTACCCAGCACTGTTGGGAGATGCAGAGAAGCCAGAGGTGGTATTCTCATTCACAGAAGACACCTAAGCATAGGAACAAATGCACAACGTCATCAGAAATAAGCATCATTAATCGCATGTTTTCTCTGTGTGCAAAAAAGGCCTAATGCCCCCCATAGCTATGGGCCAGTGGATCAGGAATTTTCTAGAAGTGACAACGTTTTTACATGGATTCATTTCTTACAATTCAGAGTTCCGTTTATTTGAAGTAGAGCAACAACAAAATGCTCAAAGAATGAGATCCTATAGTATCAACTGTACACAGCCAGACAGGACAGAGCCCCTCAAGAGTGGGCTTGGAAATGGCTCAAGAAAGCCTCACCTGATATACATGAAGCAAGATTGGTTACAGTTTTGTTTGTTTGTTTGTTTGCTTGCTTGTTTTCTGAGACAGAGTTTCACTCTTGTTGCCCAGGCTAGAGTGCAGTGGCACGATCTTGGCTCACTGAAATCTCTGCCTCCTGGGTTCAAGCGGTTCTCCTGCCTCAGCCTCCCAAGTAGCTGGGATTATAAGTATGTGTCACCACACCCAGCAAACTTTTTTTTTTGTTTGTTTGAGACAGAGTCTGTCTGCGATGTCCAGGCTGGAGTGCAATGGTGCGGCCTCGGCTCCCTGCAACCTCCACCTCCCAGGTTCATGCGATTCTCTTGCCCCAGCCTCCCGAGTAGCTGGGACTACAGGCACACATCACCACGCCAGGCTGATTTTTGTATTTTTAGTAGAGATGGGGTTTCACCATATTGGCCAGGCTGGTCTCGAACTCCTGACCTCAAGTGATCCACCCACTTTGGCCTCCCAAAGTGCTGGGATTACAGGCATGAGCCACCGTGCCCGGCCAACTTTTATATTTTTAGTAGAGATGGGGTTTCACCATGTTGGCCAGGCCGGTCTCAAACTCCTGATCTCAAATGATCTGCCTGCCTCCGCCTCCCAAAGTGCTAGGATCATAGGCGTGAGCCATGCGCCTGGCCGGTTAAGTACTGATAAATTAGATGGGTGACAGGTACATGAGAGTCTATTAATTTTTCTCCACGTAAGTTTCAAAATTTTTTATAGGTAAAATAATGTTTGAAGAGGGAGGAGGTAAGAAAGCTTCATCCAAGTGTTCTGCTTCACTTATCAGCCTCACTATTAGGAATTATTTAGTAATTAACTGTCATAAACTCCTCGTGTTGGCCAAAAATATTCATCCAGTCCATGGTAAATTTTCTGTGTGGCAAGACTCACCTCTGCCTTTTCAAACTTGTGTGCACACACTATACACATATACTCACAGTCATTCACACACACTCACACCTCCCCACTGCACTACCGCCCTCAGGGTGTCGTTTTAGGCACTGTGGGAGCTCTCCGGCATGGCAGAGAGATGACTAGAAGCACAGGCAGGAAGTACATGCACTAACACCTTTGGCAAATCCTGTCTTCCCCAGGCCTCCGTTTCTGCATCTGAAAGAGGGGTCATTGCCATAAGGACTAAGGATTTCTCCCATGATCCTCTGGTTAAATGACCTGCTGGGGCTATGGCCCATGGTCTTACTTGCATCTTGCTCTTCACAGTTGGCCACAGGCTAGAGCACATTGTTTGACAAGAGGCTGGACAAGTGGACCAAGAGAATGTGCTAGGTGCAGTGATGGGAATGGAGAGGGCTTTATCAAGGGATGCTTTCCTTGGTGATTTTGTGAATGTCTGTGATGGCAATGATGGTCTTCTGAAAATACTGCAACTAAGAATTAAGAAAGCCTCAAATGGTCGGGTGTGGTGGCTCATGCCTGTAATCCCAGCACTTTGGGAGGCCAAGCAAGATGGGAGGATCACTTGAGCCCAGGAGTTTGAGACCAGCATGGGCAACATAGTGAGACCCTGTCTCTACAAAAATAAAATAAAAAATTAATCAGGCATGGTGGTGTGCTCTTGTCATCTCAGCTACTTGGGAGGCTGAGGTGGGAAGATTGCTTGAACCTGGGAGATCCAGGCTGCAGTGAGCTGTGATCATGTCACTGCACTCCAGCCTGGGTGACAGAGCAAGACCCTGTCTCAATAATAAGAAAACAAAAAACAAAGCCTCGAAGTGTTTAGAGTCCCATCACGTGTCTACCTGCACTGTCTCTCTGGCATCTGTTCACTGATTTCTTTTCCTTCTTCCCCATAGAGGAGCTTGAAGTGTGTTCTGTACCTACTCACTTAGAGCCTGGTCTAGAGCCCCATTTGATGTTGGGTGCCAGATCCAGCCATTCATATCCACCAGTTTACCTCTGCATAAACTGGTGCCTGTGGCAAAGGACCCACCCATGTGCAGAAAGGTTTAGCACAATCTTATTGGTAAAAGCAAAATCACAGAGTTGATTTCCACCTACAGGGAAATGGTAAATCACATGGGTCCACTCACACTGTGGTCTTGCGCTGCTTAAAGGGCAGGTGCTGCTGTAAACGTGGATGTATTGAGTGAGGCTATGTGAAATGAGCTTCTACGTGTAAACACAGGGACTCAGGTATAATAATACAAATATCTAATATTTATCAGTACTTGTAATATGCCAGGCTCAGTTCCAAGCACTTTATATGTATTAACTCATCTAATTCATGTTCCCACAACCCTATGAGGTAGAATTTTTCATTTTTCTTGTATTTCTCTTATTTTGCTAAGAGCTATGAGGTGTTTTGTTTTTTTGTTTTTTGTTTTGAGACAGAGTCTCGCTCTGTTGCCCAGGCTGGAGTGCAGTGGCGCGATCTCGGCTCACTGCAAGCTCCGCCTCCCGGGTTCAAGCAATACTCCTGCCTCAGCCTCCCGAGTAGCTGAGATTACAGGTGCCCGCCACCACCCCCGGCTAATTTTTGTATTCTTAGTAGACATGGGGTTTCAACATGTTGACCAGGCTGGTCTTGAACTCTTGACCTCGTGATCCACCCACCTTGGCCTCCCAAAGTGCTGGGATTCCAGGCGTGAGCCACCATGCCTGGCCAGCTATGAGGTATTTAATAGATATTAATATCCCTTTTTTACAACTGAGGAAATGGAACTTGGTCAATGTTGCACTGATAGTGACTGAGCCAGGATTCAAACCCAGCCCTGATGCAGAGCGCTGCATCGAACCACTGAGCACACACACACACACACAAACACACACACACACACGCACACACAAACACACGCACACACACAAACACACACAAACACACACAAACACACATGCATGCACACACACACAAACACACGCACACTCACATGCATAGAACATTTCTGGAAGGATGTAAGTATCAGTGGCTACCTTGAGGGAGGGTGGTCTTAGCGGGTGGGTGACTTAAGTAAGAACAAAATATTTATAATTGAACACCTTTTGGTATTATGTATCCTTTTTAAAAAAATAATAGGCTTTTCGTAGATTTTAAAAAGTCACATGGTGTGAAGAATAAGACAGGAGCAGTCACATATCACATCCATGAGTCTAATGCACAGAATATTTCTCTTTTCTTGGCCCTCACTTTTTACCTAAAACTCCTAGACAGTTTGCCATTAACCTTAAATCCTAATATAGATTGAACATTTGTGTCCCTCCCAGATTCACGTACCGGATTCCTCCCAGGGTGGCAGTATTAGGAGATGGGGACTTTGGGGACTGATTGGGTCATGACGGCAAAGCCTCATGAATGGGACTCGTGCCCTTATAGAAGAGGGCCCAGAGAGCTCCCTTGTCCCTTCTACCATATGAGGACACAGCTAGAAGGTGTCTGTGAACGCCTTGATCTTGGATTTCCCAGCCCCCAGAACTGTGAGAAATAAATTTCTGCTGTTTATAAGTCACCCATTCTATGACATTCTGTTTAGCAGCCTGAACAACTAAGACAAATCACTAAAAAATAAAAATTTCATGAAAATGAATTATTATATTTAGCTGTAGTTAATGTCATCTTTTTAAAATTATAGCATGAGAGTAGCTTTAATAACATTTGTATGATAAAATAATTCCCCTCTAATAATAATTACACTTATTTCTACAAACCAGTTATTAAGCCCAGATTTACCAGTGTCAAGAAAGATTTTCAGTATTTCCTTGTGCCTGGCATAGCACAAAAGCATTGCACATAGTAAGTATATACATTACTTTTTTTCTTTTTTTTTTTGAGATGGAGTTTTGCCCTGTTGCCCAGGCTGGAGTGCAATGGCGCAATCTCGGCTCACTGCAACCTCCGCCTCCCAGGTTCAAGTGATTCTTCTGCCTCAGCCTCTGGAGTAGCTGGGATTACAGGCACGTGCCACCACGCCCAATTAATCTTGCATTTTTAGTAGAGATGGGGTTTCACCATGTTGGCCAGGTTGGTCTCAAACTCCTGACCTCAGGTGATCCACCCACCTCGGCCTCCCAAAGTGCTGGGATTACAGGCGTAAGCCACCGGGCCCAGCCTACACATTACTTTTATGTCTGTAATGTGATCCAGTGGAAAATCTGAAACGTGACCAACGGTCCTTCTAATTCATAGAACTATGGTTGTAACAAATCACAGATGAGTCAATCCTGCCTCAAGTGTTTGGTATGAAAAATTCATGAAGTGGCTTATGGACTCCCTAGAGAATGTTAAAAGTTGCTCATGAAGCCAGCTGCCCGAATGATGTGATAACTTAACAGTAGGAAATTGTTTCAAACTGACCACTGAGCCAAGAAGTTTCTCAGGAATTCGTGGAATCAGATTGTTGAAAGAGCTCTCCAGCCACCTGCCAGTCTACTCATTCTCAGGTCTAACTGGCCCTCAGAATAGTCTGGGGGTCTTTATGTTGTTGTTGTTTTTAATACAGATTGCTGGGTTCTCCCCAGAAAGTTTAGTAGCTCTGGGGTGGGACCCAAGCATTTGCAATCCATTGCAGTTGATTTCTGCAAATTTGGGAAGCGCTGGTCTGGTTGATCTATTTACCAATACAGTTGTAACTCATCTCATTGTGCGGCTGTGATTGACCTGGGTAGACAGTGAATAATGAAATGCCCTATAACACTTTTAAGGACATATCCTGCTGCATTGAAATAGACTATATGAATTACAAAATAGGAAATAATGATTCATGGGTTCATCACTTTCTAGTTAATAAAAGGTATTTGCAAGGCTGGGCATGGTGGCTTATGCCTGTAATCCCAGCACTGGGAGGTAGAGGCGGGTGGATGACTTGAGGTCAGGAGTTTGAGACCAGCCTGGCCAACATGGTGACACTCCGTCTTTACTAAAATAATACAAAAATTAGCCAGGCGTGGTGGTGCAAGCCTGTAATGCCAGCACTTCGGGAGGCTGAGGCAGGAGAATCTACCTTAACCTGGGAGGTAGAGGTTTCAGTGAGCCGAGATCATGCCACTGCACTCCAGGCAGGACAACAGAGCGAGACTCTGTCTCAAAAAAAAAAAAAAAGGTATTTGCAGATGTCATAATAGAGGATATACAGTGTAGTGCTCAAGGTTCTGGAGTCAGGCCGTTTAGCTTCAAATCCCAGCTCCACTTTTTCCTATCCATGGGACCTTGGACTCATTTTCCTGGTTTCATCATCTGGGCCTCATTTTCTTCATCTACAAAAATGGTGGGAGCAGAGGACTCTCATGGAGTTTGCTGTGAAGCTTGAATGAGTTAATACTTTTAAGCCCTCAAATCACAGTCTGACATTTAGTAATTACTTGGCAGATATTCACTGTTATTTTATGTGATCCTCACAAGGTGTATTTCCACAGTTTTATGACTACGGAAATTGAAGTTTGGAGAGTTTAAATTGCTTGCCCCAGGTCAGATGAAAAAATAGTGGAAACTTAAAACCAGATTTCCTGACTTCAGATTCTATGCTACCTGGCTTTTAAGTATTTATTATTTAACATTTTAGATTTGTCTCTCATTCTTGCCAAGAGGATTTGTGATAAGAATTTACTATTGATTGTCTGGACGATTCTAGAACTATACGAAAAAGCAGAAAGATATACGTCAACAAGAGAGATAACTCTCATCAAAAACAGCTATTGACCAAGTAGGAGAGGCTTTAAACATAACAAGTAAATGACATGTGTAAGGATATGCATGGGTGTGAGGTTGACTTAGGTAAGTGAGGTTATGACAAAAATAACAGATCGAGTGTGCTTTTGCCTGATCTGCTACCAATGAGGGTGACATCCAAATTCAGACAAGGGAGGAAGTTACTACATTTTACATGGACAGTTTCCGAGTACCCATTTAGCCTCTGTTGGAGACCCTGGGTAGACTATTACCATATCATTGTAAAGATACAGCCCCCTCAAATAAATACAATGGATTTCAGCTCAACACAGGGATGAAATTGAAGAGACCTCCCCCTCAGTGTTTGTTTGTTTTTGTTTTGTTTTGTTTTGAGATGGGGTCTTGCTTTGTCCCCCAGGCTGGAGTGCAGTGGCGCCATCTTGGCTCACTCACTGCCGCCTCCATCTGCCAGGTTCAAGCGATTCTCCTGCCTCAGCCTCCTGAGTAGTTGGGATTACAGGCATGTACCACCATGCCTGGCTAATTTTTGTATTTTTAGTAGACATGGGGTTTTGCCATGTTGGCCAGGCTGGTCTCGAACTCCTGACCTCAGGTGATCCTCTCCCTTCGGCCTCCAAAAATGCTGGGAATACATGTATGAGCCACTGCACCTGGCCCCCCTCAGTATTATTGGCCATATGAAAACAGAAAATTACAAGCCCCATAGTTTTTAATTCAACCTTGCCAAGAGGTTATAACTGAAGCCAGTAACTACAGACGCTGGTTGCCATTTGTTTTTTTAAAAATTCAGGCTGGGCACGGTGGCTCACGCCTGTAATCCCAGCACTTTGGGAGGCTGAGGTGGGTGGATCATGAGATAAGGAGTTCGAGACCAGCCTGGCCAATATGGTGAAACCCCATCTCTACTAAAAAAAAGACAAAAAAAAAAATTCAAAGAATTGGGGCAGCTGACGTGGTTCTTTGAGATGACAAGCTTTCAGCCAGCCATTAGGCTCTCTAAATAGACAAGGAAAAGGTTACCAAATATTTACAAAACTGTTATCGTAAAAGTGAAATTAAATCTATATTCTGCATCTCGTTATCTTAAAGTTGAGTTTTAAAATTCTTTGTTAAAAATAGTGAAGAGCTTTCTCATAAATTAAGAGGTTATTTTTAGTAATTCTAAGGAGTACTTGTAATTTAGATTCTAAATATGTGTTATGTGAAACTTGGTTCATTAGAATTTTTCATGGAGAAAACTTTATTCTCTTCAAATTTATAGTTTATTTCCAGTTTATAACTATGATTGAAGTAGGGCTTGATTTTACTACTGCATTTGTAATAATTTACTAGGTGTTCACTAATCTAGCTTTATTTAACTAAAGATCTGTGTAAACTCTCTTAAACTTAGGAACAAGGCTAAAGACATTTATCACTTGTAAAATTCTGTTTTTGTTTTTTTTTTTTTTACAAATGAAAATAAAAGGTCTCTAATTGAGTAAAACTCTTGACATATGTATTAGTAGGTAGTCAGAAATGACTTGGAAGTTTTGACCAAAATATAGCGTGCCTGCATTTGGGTGTTGAAATCAGCTGCACAAAAATCAGTATGAGAGGAGAGAGAATGAGTTCCGTGGGGTGTGGCTGATTACAAGCTAATAAGCCAGCAGGGTGGTAAGTCTGCTAGAAGCTTCAAGGCAGTCTTGTGCTCTATCCACAGAGGTGCAGAGAACAGAGGAAGGTGATCACACCTGCTCTACTTTGCATCACACTTGAGTAGTATGCTAGGACCCAAGCACTATATATATATATATATATATATATATATACACACATATATATATATATTTTTTTTATACAGAGTCTCACTCTGTCACCCAGGCTGGAGTGCAGTGGTGTGATCTCGGCTCACTGCAAGCTCCACCTCCCGGGTTCACACCATTCTCCTGCCTCAGCCTCCCGAGTAGCTGGGACTACAGGTGCCTGCCACCATGCCCGGCTAATTTTTTGTATTTTTAGTAGAGACGGGGTTTCACTGTGTTAGCCAGGATGGTCTCGATCTCCTGACCTCATGATCCACCCACCTTGACCTCCCAAAGTGCTGGGATTACAGGTGTGAGCCGCCACACCTGGCTGACCCAAGCACCATATTTTAAGAGGAAACTCAAGAGTGCAGAGTGTGGCCCTGTGTGGCAGCCATGAGAGTATGCAGCTGGGATCTCCTGCAAGAAGAACTTGCTGTTCAGCAGAAAGGGATGCTGGTCCCAGCAGCCCCCAGCTGCAGTACCTTCAGATGCGACCTCAGCTCTGGGACTGAAGCTACACTCTAGCTGGGCAGCTCTCAGCCAATCCCTGAGTATAGTGGGAGCCCGGCCAGCTCAGCTCACCATGAGACTCTGCAAATGGGTGATCTTGGAGCAGTGGATGGTTGGACGAGCCTTTGTGACACCTACAGCCCAGGCCGAGGCCCTTCCTGCCCAGTGCCACTTCCTTTCCCCATCCTTTCCCAGGGCTCACATGAGCATGGTGGTCTGAAGCCATTTCCTTTTCATTCCCCTTTATCTTTCACAGGCATCCCTGTCCCCTGATAAATCACTGCACTCCTAACTCCCTCTCAGCTTCTGCTTTCTGAAGAACTTGGATGACACATCAGAGAAAAGTGATCAAAACTGAAAAGAGAGACTGAGGCCCAGTGGCGAATGGCGATGTTTATCCTGGCAGTGGGAGAAGTGAGGAAGCTGCCAACTTCCTCAAGGTAGCAGAAGGGGCTCTAGACTAGAACCCAGAATCGTGGGGTTGATCTGAGCTTAGCCACAATACACACACTGTATGACCCCACCTAACCTTTCCAGGCCTTGCTCTTTTTACCTGTAAAATGAGGGACTAGATCAATAGTTTCTTTGGGTTTTGTTGTTGTTTTCCTAGGCTGGAGTGCAGTCACACAACCTCGGCTCATTGCAGTCTTGCTCTCCTGGGTTCAAGCGATTCTCTTGCCTCAGCCTCCTGAGTAGCTGGGATTACAGGTGTGTGCCACCAAGCGTGGCTAATTTTGTATTTTTTTTTAGTAGAGACAGCGTTTCATTATGTTGGCCAGGCTGGTGTTCAACTCCTGACCTCAAGTGATCCGCCTGCCTTGGCCTCCCAAAGTGCTGGGATTACAGGCGTGAGCCACCACATGTGGCCAATAGTTCTTAATTACTTTACCCTCCCAATCACTATCAAAGAAACGAGATACAGCAGGACAGCAGCCAACACAGTATTTTTTCCTAGAAGAATGTTTAAGTGTTACAGCCTATTTACACTTTCAGAGTTAATATAAAAAGCCTCGTAAATTCTGGAAGAGGCCCCCTAGGTGATGTTTTCAGATACCATCCAGCTTTAAAATTCTTTAGGTTTATGAATAAGTGAGGGCTTGTCTCATAAAAGAGGGAGCAGATTTCTTTGGGTTGAGTGCTGAAATAAAAGTAGTTATGGGAAAGAGGATTTCCATCCACATAGAGAATTTTTTAACATCCGAACAGTCCAAAAGTGAGATGGACTGTCGCTAGAAGTCATAGGCGCCTATGTTAGTTTGTTGGGACTTCAGTAACAAAATACCACAGACTGAGTGGCTTATACAAAAAACCCCATATTTTCTCACAGTTCTGGAGGCTGGAATCTGAGGTCAAGGTGTTGGCAGGGTTGGTTTCCTCTGAAGCCTCTTTCCTCAGCCTACAGGTGTTGCTTTTGTTGGGCCCTGACGTGGTCTTTCCTCTGCATCTTTGACCTAATCTCCTTTTTAAAAAAAAAATATTTTTTAATTATATTTTTGAAATTAAAAAAATATATATATAGAGAGAGAGAGAAAGAGAAAGAGAGATAGGATCTCACTATATTGCCCTGGTTGATCTTGAACTCCTGGGCTCAAGTGATCTGCCCACCTTGGCCTTCCAGAGTGCTGGGACTACAGGTGTGAACCACTTCGCTTGACCAATCTCCCCTTCTTTTAAGGATACCAGTCATGTTGGATTAGGACCCACTCTAAAGACCTCATTTTAACTAAATTACCTCTTTAACTCCTTATCTCCAAATATGGTTATGCTCAGAGTACTGAGGGTTAAGGTTTCAACATGTGAATTTGAGGGGACACAATTTGGCCCATAGCAGCCCCTTCACTGTAAATATCCAGTGTCTCTGCCAGACATTTGCAGACTGGGTTTCCTTCACTGGGGTGCCACCAGCCCCTCCCACGTTTGCAGCCCAATTTTGTCTCATGTACATGTCTTAACACTGGGTTCCCCTGGAAACAGGCCTTTAGACAAGGATTCCAGCACAAGTAGTAATCTATTTGCAGCATGGTTCCAGGAAACAATGGTTGGGGATGGGAAAATGAGTCAGGAGAGGAAAGGGTGGCAACCAAGCATGCTTTATGAAAGCAGTCATTGCTGAGGACCCATGGGCCACTGGAAAGATACTCTCCAGTGTTTCCCCACCCATGGGGTGGAAGAGCAAGGGCATTTTCCACCCACTTCACTGTTGAGGGTTGCGCTTTGGGGACATTCATTTCCTGGCATTTCCATCCTGCCCCTGTACAGGCCAAACAAATCACCAAAGCCAGAAAGAGCCTCCAAACAGAGTGTTAGGTGCAGACAATTGGGGGTTAGGCCAGCATTCACGAAAGTGGCTCCTGCCAGGAGATATGGGCGCAGCACAGACACCTTTTCCCACAGTGTAAAAGTTATTTTAGCCACAACAGATGGCAGACTCCCTTAAGGTGACTTATGGCTGACTGAATGTGCAGGAGAGCAGGTGGCCACTTGGTCTAGAATGGACATCGTCTGCCATGCGTGGGAGGTGAGAGTGTGTGCACAGCAGCATAAAAAGATCATTGGTTTCTTGGAACATACAAGAACTTTCTATCATGAGGTCAAGGCTGTTCTTTCAAACGATTCTATTAAAAAATCATTGCCATTTGAAAGTGCAATCCAATAGAGTGAAATCATCCTGAATGTTATCCAATCCCTTAAAGTATGCAGCAAAAAATTTTAGTGTTCAAAATTGTACTTTTATGTCAAATAGAATGACTTAGAACTATATTCTTCATATATTGTGGTGTCTGGTTAAAAAAATGTAGAAAGTATGAATAGTATGGCACGTGTGTGTGTGTGTGTGTGTGTGTGTGTGTGTGTGTGTATTTTTAAGGTATATCTGTGATCATGTTTGTTTATGCAGGGGTTATCTCTAGAAAGATCCCCAAGTCGTTGGCAGCAGTGGTTGCCTGTGAGAAGGTGGGCTGAGTTGTGAGTTGACTCAGCTTCCAGTCTACCCTCATTTTAAGGTGCCATCCTGGCCGTAGAGGTTAGAAAGATGAAGACTACTTTCCCTGACTCCTTTGCAGCTAGAATCTTGAAAGTGAATGTAGTTCCCTTGGTTGAATATGCTCATGTGCAATTTGGGAAACAGAAGAGAGGCACAGGGCCTCTTCCTGCTGCAGCATTTGCTGCTAGGCAAGGCCACGGGGCATGAGCAGCTGAATTCTACATTACTGTGCCAGCGCCTACATGGTGGTTGCTGAGAGGCAGTGGTGGTGATGGTGGCTGGATTGGTTTCTTGACCTCTGGGTCATAGCCATGGTGGTTGCTCTTGAACTGCCCAACTCCAGGGGTAGCCTTTTGACAGTCCCTCTTCCAGCCCTCGCCTAGATTTTGTAAACATCACATTCCTTATAAACATCAAATCCCTTTCTGCTGGAAGTACCTACAATGAAACTGTCACTCATGAAGCATTAGAACTGGGTGGGATGAAATGGAAGAGAAACTTAATTTTTACTCAATACCTTTAAAAATGATTTTTTATTGTGATAAAATAACAAAATTGGTACATTTATGTACCAATGTTACATAAAATAACAAAATTGGTACATGTATTCAATAGTATACATGACAGTAAAAAAGAATGAATTACTACTACATGCAACAACATGGATGGGTTTCACAAACATAATGTGTAGTGAAAGCAGGAAATCCAGAGGCAAAGTATCCATATGGCACGACTCCATTTATATAAAGACAAAACAGGCAAACTAGATGGGGATTTGCACCAATCTGACCAACTGTGGGACATGACAAGATTGTGCTTTTCAATAAAATGCAAAGTTTGTGCACTTATATAAAATGGAGGATGGGATTCTGGATCCTGATCAGTTCCTACTGAGGATGTAGGATACACAGCCAGACTTCTCCTGGCCACAGCTCCTGTCTCTCCCTGAGCTTGTTTCAAAATTCAGCCATTGTTTCACCTGTCTCTCCTTTAGAAACTGTCCAATGTTGTCTTACAAAAGAACTATTCTGTAAATTACTTTAAAATGAATGAAAAAAAAATGGTTTCTTGGATTTTCTTTCATCTTTCACTATTGTCACATGAGGTCATAGGTAACTCTGTCTAACCTTTCCAAGAAATGGCTTCTTTTGGAAAAATATGAGCAGTTTATAATAATTGGATTGCATTTCTCTTTCTTCTTTTTAGTTTTCAGTCCCCTTTCCAGGACACAGTCTACAAGCAAAATAAAAGAGGAAAGTTATACCACACTAATTATCTACTCTGAATGATATTAAATTTTTTTCAAACAGACTGTGAAGTTACCGCTATGTTTTACTAGCAATCTTAAAAGTAGTGGAAGCATGCAACCAGGCTATGACTCAGGCATACCCTAGTCGCCCAATATTAAGTTAATTTAGGTAACAGTTATAAGAATTATCAAACTCATTGTATTTAAAATAATATTGACAAAAATCTGTGACATCCTCAACTTTCTCAGCTACTCCTTTGGGGGAGAGTTTATTCTTTCATTATTCTGCTTTTCAGTAGTATTACATTTTATGTATCCTTTATTTTGATTGATTGATTTATTTTTTGAGATGGAGTCTCCCTGTGTTGCCCAGGCTGTAGTACAGTGGCACGATCTCGGCTCACTGCAACCTCCGCCTCCCAGATTCAAGCAATTCTCAAGCCTCAGCCTCCAGAGTAGCTGGGATTAAAGGTGCACGCCACCACACCCGGTTGATTTTTGTATTTTTTGGTAGAGACAGGGTTTCACCATGTTGCCATGTTGGCCAGGCTGGTCTTGAACGCCTGACCTCAAGTGATCCGCCCACCTTGGCCTCCCAAAGTGCTGGGATAACAGGCCTGATCCAACGTGCTGGGCCACATTTTATGTATCCTTTAGAGGAAGAACCTGATCTATTAATTGAAAGTAACAGGAAAGTGCCTGGTTTGCATCCTGGCTATGTATTAATATATGCCTTATGAACAAAAAAAAATTCAAATATGAATATTTGCTAAATTC
Organism: Homo sapiens; assembly: GCF_000001405.40. Classification (NCBI taxonomy): domain Eukaryota; kingdom Metazoa; phylum Chordata; class Mammalia; order Primates; family Hominidae; genus Homo; species Homo sapiens. The sequence goes on from NC_000013.11 coordinate 98,092,421, forward strand.
TTTCCCAAAGCACCAAATGTCTTAAAGGACCCCCTACTGACTAGCCTATTCTCATTTTCATTTGAACTGGGTAAATGAGCTTGTTTATAGAAATAGGTAGTAATGAAAATTTGAATTCTATTAAAACTGTTAAAAAATAAAAATGTGATTGAAGAAAGCTAGTCTCAATGTCTCAGCACAATCTAATTATTTCAAAAGAAGGAATCTGACCCAGAGGTATAGTTAAACCAGTGAAAACAGAGCCTTGGGTCCCTTGTTAATTGAAAACTAGAGATTTTTTTTTGCACCTTCCTTCAGGGAAAATTGTGTTGTATTTATTTCTATGGAGGGAAAAGCAGCAAACTAATGCCAAGTTTGGGATCCCTGGTTCTTACTGTTGCTTATTGTCCATTGTCATTTTTAAGTTCTCCAGAGAGAAGTAATGAACCCTTAACAAGCTGAGGTATTTTCAGTTAGAGGGTTAATTCCTCCAAGGTCCCCCTGTATTAGTCTGTTTTCATGCTGCTGATACATCTGAAACTGGGCAATTTACGAAAGAAAGAGGTTTAATTGGATTTACAGTTCTACATGGCTGGGGAGGCCCCACAATAATGGCGGAAGGCAAAGAGGAGCAAGTCACATCTTACAGGGATGGCAGAAGGCAAAGAGGAGCAAGTCACATCTTACAGGGATGGTGGCAGGCAAAGAGAGAGATTGGGCAGGGAAACTCCCCCTTATAATACCGTCAGATCTTGTGAGACTTACTCGCTAGCATGAGAACAGCATGGGAAAGACCTGCCCCCATAATTCAATTACCTCTCACTGGGTCCCGCCCACAACACATGGGAATTCAAGATGAGATTTGGGTCAGGTGCAGCCAAACGATATCAGTCCCTGAGGATTCTAGATTCTAGAGAGTCTAAGAACGCTCAATTAGAGCCTGGTCTCCAGATTACTACAGAGGAATATTTGTCAAGGTAGGCAGGCAGGACATACTTAGCTCTTTGTTTACTTGGTTCTAAGCCTTAAGGATTCAGCCCTATGGAATGGGGGTCCATCTGTGCTCTGCACCCCCAAACATCAAGGGCTGACCTGGCTCAAAGGCATGGATGAGTGCCTGAGCTAGGGTCTGTCCCCAGCTCTTGCTCTTATGGCCTCCTTCTTTCTGCTCCTCTGCCTCGTTTCTTTTCTTGTTTTTGTTTTTTGATTTTTTGAGATGGAGTTTTGCTCTTGTAGTCCAGGCTGGAGTGCAGTGGCATGATCTTGGCTCACTGCAACCTCCACCTCCTGGGTTCGAGTGATTCTCGTGCCTCAGCCTCCCGAGTAGCTGAGACTATAGGCACTTACCACCACGCCCAGCTAATTTTTTCTATTTTTACTAGAGACAGGGTTTTATCATGTTGGCCAGGCTGGTCTCAAACTCCTGACAGCAGGTGATCCACCTGCCTCGGCCTCCCAAAGTGCTGGTATTACAAGTGTGAGCCACCGCGCCCAGCCCCTTGTTTCTTTTCTAAAACACATTCTACGCTTTTAAGTTTGCTTGGGAAAACTCAACATAGTGACGTAACCAACTGCCCCAAACGGGGTGTCTTACACAACAGAAGTTTATCCTCACCCAGTTCTGGAGGCCAGAAGTCTGAAATCAAGGGCTGGCTCCCTTAGGAGGTTCTGAGGGAGAATCTGCCCAGGCCTTCATCCTAGCTACTGTGCTTTGCTGGCAATCATTGGCAATCTTTGGCTTGTAGATGCATTGTGCCAATCAATGCCTCTCTCTTCCCATGGGTTCTCTCTGTTTATGTGTCTGTGTCTCTTGTCTTCTTCTTATAAGGAAACAAGCCATATCGGATTATTGCCTACCCTACTCCAGTGTGACCTCATCATAACTTGAGTACATTTGCAAAGACCCTATTTCTTTTTTCTTTTTCTTTTTCTTTTCTTTTCTTTTTTTTTTTTTGAGACAGGGTCTTGCTCTGCCGCCCAGGCTGGAGTGCAGTGGTGCAATCTCAGCTCACTATAACCTCTGCCTCCCAGGTTCAAGTGATTCTCATGCCTCAGCCTCCTGAGTAGCTGGGATTAGAGGCACTCACCACCACACCCAGCCAATTTTTAAATTTTTAGTAGAGACAGAGTTTCACCATGTTGGCCAGGCTGGTCTTGAACTCCTGACCTGAAGTGATTCGCCCGCCTCAGCCTCTCAAAGTGCTGGGATTACAGGCATAAGCCACTGCACCAAGCCGACCATATTTCCAAATAAGGTCACGTTCACAGGTACTGGGAGTGAGGACTTGAACCTATCTTCCTGGGGGACATGATTCAACTTACAGCACCTTCTCCCATTTTAGCCCACTTCCATGTTTTGCTGAATGAGCTAGTCGCCACATTGAATACCAATGCAGATGCTCAGCTGTGGCCACAGTTACACCTTCAGGAAATGCCCCTCCCTGGTGGTGGCTGCTCAGCAGCCCCACAGCCCGTCCCTTTCAGTGGGTGCACCTGCACATCACACAGTGGTCCTTGGGGGCTGGAGGGCTTGGTTTGTCTCTTTGTGAACTCTGTGGACCAGGGAAGTATGTACCATAGAGTCACCATAGGCTTTGCTGAGTAATTGACTGCTTTTCTGGCTCAGCTTTCTATCTTGTGGTTGTGTAATGTAATGAAGACAGAATCAATTCATAGCCTGACCCTTGGGCTCAACTCCTCGTTCTGCTAATAATTAGATGTGTGGCCTTAGGCAACATGTATTCCAGTGGGTCTCAAACTGCAGCGCCCAGCATTAGCAGAGGACTTCATAAAACAGGCTCTGCCCCGCAGCCCCTTAGAGTGGGTTCACCTGATTCGCTAGGTCTGAGGCAGGGTTCAGATATTAGCATTTTATTTTATTTTATTTTGTTTTGTGTGTATGTGTGTGTGTTTGAGAGATGGTCTCACTCTGTCACCCAGGCTGGAGTGCAGTGATGTGATCTTGGCTCACTGCAACCTCCACCTCCTAGGTTCACACGATTCTTCTGCCTCAGCCTCCCAAGTAGCTGGGACTACAGGCATGCACCACCACACCTGGCTACTTTTTGTATTTTTAGTAGAGATGGGGTTTCACCATATTGGCCAGGCTGGTCTCGAACTCCTGACCTCATGATCTGTCCGCCTCAGCCTCCCAAAGTGCTGGGATTACAGTCATGAGCCACTGCGCCCGGCCACGTTTTTCTTTCCTAAGGCTGAATCATATTATTTGTATATATACACCACATTTAGTTCATTCATTCATTCATTCATCCACAGATGCTGGTCTGCTTCTACTGCTTGGCTATTTGTGAATAATGCTGCTATGAACTTGGTGTGTGCACATTATTAAGAAATGTTCTCCATAATTAATAACAACCTTACATTATTTAATCATTTGCACAGCCCAGGCATCTACAACCACGAGCTAGAAGAGAAGACATGTGATATCTGTGTTGTTAGAAATTTGGCCCCTGCGTAAAGTAAATATTTTGTTGAACAAATGGGTCTGAAAAACAGACAACTGTACCTGCCTAAAGGAGATGTAGGCTCAAATGAGATCATTTGAAAATGCCAAACATCCATGTAAAAATCGAGGCAGTCCTGTGATTGATTATTGTGGCCTTTTCCAGCCCGCATTTCCTTCAGTGCACCTGCTCTCACTGTCCCTACCTATGCTAGGGAAGGGAAGGACATCCCCAGAGTCTGCTGCTCCCTTCTTTATCACTCAGATTTTGTTCATTTGGTTTCTCCTGCTGTTTCTTTTTGGTTTCCTGCCTACTTTTCTCATACTTCTCCCTTTGACCCTTCTTCCTGTGGGGCCTGTTCTAAAATTATACTCGGGATTTAATTTATAGAGGCCAATGCCATCGGAAGAAGAAGGTATTACATTTGCTGAGAAAGAGACACGCCACACCAAGCAGGGCCATCGGGGAAGCCACAGTGGAAGACGGGGAGGGGAAAGCCCAGCTTGGAGCCTTTTTTTTTTTTTTTTTTTTGAGATGGAGTCTTGCTCTGTCACCCAGGCTGGAGTGCAGTGTTGTGATCTTGACTCATGGCAACCTCTGCCTCCAGGGTTCAAGTGATTCTCCTGCCTCAGCCTCCCAAGTAGCTGGGATTATAGGCGCCAGCCACCATGCCTGGCTAATTTTTTTGTACTTTTAGTAGAGACAGGGTTTCACCATGTTGGCCAGGCTGGTCTTGAACTCCTGACCTCAGGTGATCTGCCTGCCTTGGCTTCCCAAAGTGCTGGGATTACAGGCATGAGCCACCGCACTCGGCCCAACTCTTAAGTAAATTGTGCGCTTTTCCCTTGTTAATCTGTCTCAGTCAGTTTACTTGTTAGGCCCAGCCACAGAACTCCACGGGGGAGAAAGGAGTTTTTCCTCCTCTAAACAGGAAAGCTTTACACCACCCCTAGGAATGAGCCGGCCTGGGAGAAGGAGTCTTTTCAGGGTTCTGTAAGGGCCCCAGGAGATGTTAAAACATCACAAGATACAGAAAATAAAAAACATAGTTAATTCAGATGTCAAACCAGCCAGTCCCACTGGGCTCTCGGATTTCTGCAACTTTCCCATGGCCAGGCTCAAGAATACTACCTGGCTTTCCCTGGACAGCTGCTTAGCTGTGGCCTTGCTCAGGGTGTGTCATTAAGGACACATGAAGCCATCTCCCAGGAAGTGGGGGCATGGCTGCCTATGAATTATTAATTATTGTAGGTTTCAGGACTAATTAATTAACCCTTTAATAAGGATCTGCTCATCTTCCTGCAGAGGCCATGGTGAGGTTTCTTAAGGTCTTTGAGTCCCTAAATTTTTGTGGTGGCGGTTGTTTTGAGACAGGGTCTGGTTCTGTCGCCCAGGCTGGAGTGTAGTGGTGTGATCGTAGCTCGCTGCAGCCTCAAACTCTTGGGCTCAAGTGATCCTCTCCCCTTAGCTTCCTGAGTATCTGGGAACTATAGGTGCACACCACCATGTTGGCTAATTTTTAAACATTTTTAATAGAGATGAGGTATTTCTGTGTTGCCCAGGCTGGTCTCAAACTCCTGGCCCCAACCGATGCTCTTGCTTCAGCCTCCCAAAGCACCGGGATTACACGTATGAACCACCACGCCCTGCTGAGTCCCTGAGTTTTGAGAGTCATGAATATGGTGGCAACACCAGTGATTTCCATTGCTGGAGTCAGTTTCCCTGCTTGCTGTGAAGCTGATCATGTCTGCGTACCCATCTGTAAAGTAGACGGGTTATTTCTGGTGAGATATATTGGTTATCGAACTGCCAGAGTATGGTAGAATCACCAAAGAAGGTCCACCATTGCTGATCACTCACGCTTGTTAGACGTTGGGTGGCAGCTTATGAGTAAATTTACCTGTCCCCTGGATTTTAGTCGAGAAAGCAAGGGCTGTGGGGCTTAGTTTTGTTATCCCACATAACCACTTGCATGAAGGAGGCAAAAAAGAATGGATATTCACGTGAGATGCCTTAGTCCAGCCCCCACACAGTTGGAGCCTGGATTACTGGGGTGGAGATTCACATTTTCTCGTTCTTCTCAAGCTTCCATCCCCACCATTTGGGAAATCACACATTCCGTTCTCTTGTTTGGAAATTCCTTTTCCCTGCTGCTTTCTTTTCTCTGCTGGACCTCCTCATTGTGCAGTATTTAAGAGATCGTTCTTCCTATCTCTTCCCCTGCTACCCCTTATTTTTCACTGTTGTGTCTTTGAAAATAATTAGGATAAGAAAGTTACTTTTACAGATGTGTAGTTTTGCGTGCAGAACCCTAAAGTTTTTGGACAAAAGAGACCATGTCACACATCAAACATGTTAAAGTTCTTGAGTCCATATTGCAACTACATTAAAAAAAATAATAACTCCTGGGGAGTTCTAAGGAACCAAAAGGTTATTTTGAAAACTGGTCATTAAGGGGAAAGAATAAATCATTTAATTTGCCTTGCTAATGTAAACTGTGTTTCTCTAGACATTTCTTTGAGCTTCAGATCCAGCAAAGGAAGAAGAAATGATAGAATTAGAGTATCTGTAAATATTTCAGTATGTATCTCTAAAGATAAAGGTTCTTTTTCGAGACATAACCATGATTTAATTACCACATCTAAAAATATCTGATCAGCATTCAAATGTTTGCAAATGAAATAAAGAGTTTACGTAAGGATCATTGATGGACACAAACTGCCTAAAGAGAGACCACATATTACCCCCCTCCTGTTGGGAGTTTAAAATATCCTCTTATAAAGTCTTCCTACCCCCTCCCCCCACAAAAAATTGAACTGCGTGAGTCAAGACTTTAAATCTAATTACCAGTTACAGGAAATGCTAAAGTCAGCAGAACACATAAATACCATAAGGATATAGTCAGGAAACTCCAGAATGTGGGAAACTATACAAGGCAAATGACCAGATTTCTTCCACAACAAAAGATTGCAAGGAAAAAAAAATGGGAAGAAAAATCGATACATAAAGAGACTTAACAGGCCGGGCGCGGTGGCTCACGCCTGTAATCTCAGCACTTTGGGAGGCTGAGGCGGGCGGATCACGAGGTCAGGAGATCAAGACCATCCTGGCTAACACTGTGAAACCCCGTCTCTACTAAAAATACAAAAAATTAGCCAGTTGTGGTGGCGGGCGCCTGTAGTCCCAGCTGCTCGGGAGGCTGAGGCAGGAGAATGGCATGAACCCGGGAGGTGGAGGTTGCAGTGAGCCAAGATCGCACCACTGCACTCCAGCCTGGGCAACAGAGCGAGACACCATCTCAAAAGAAAAAATTTAAAAAAAAAGACTTAACAGATATATTAATCAAACACAATGTTTAGACCTTATTTGGATCCTGCCTCAAACAAACCAACTGTACAAAACATTTATGAGACAAGTGGGGAAATCTGAATATGAATGTTCTTTGTTAAAATAAGAGGATTGCGATCATACCTAAAAATAGAGTCATAAATCTGTACCAACACATATATACATATACATATATATATAAAATATACCAACATGTTTACAGATGAAATCATATGATATTGAGGATTTGCTTCAAAATAGTATATGTCTGGGGAGGGACCTGCATGGAATTACAGATGAAATAAGATTCAAGAGTTGGTGTAGAGTCCTAATTAGAGAAAAGGAGTCCGGCCCGCAGGGCCAGGAGAAAGTAAAAAGAGCAAGCAGATAAACTTAAGTCTGCCTTTCTTCATGGTCCAGAACACATAGTCTTGCACAAATAACTTAAAATCTTCCCGCACCCAGCTATCACCAGACCCTCAGCTGATAGAAAAATGCAAGTGAGCTTACTGCAACCATGGCATTATCAGTACCGCACAAAGCCCTCTTCAACACACAGCACAGACACCATCCTATAAAATCCCCAGCAAGCCTTTGTCTCCTCGCAGTCAGCTCCTCTCTTGCTGACCTGCCCATTGCTTCCTTGCAACATACTTTCATACCTTCTCTAATAAATCTGCCTTTCTATACCTGTAACTGTCTTGGTAAATTCTTCTTACTGCCTGTGCTACTGGCCCAAATAGTCGCTAATCACTTGCAATAGTTGGTAAATGTTGCAGCTGGCTGATGGGGGTTTACTATATTATTCTCCCCACTTCTGGGTATATCTGAAAGTTTTCATAATTAAAAGTAAAATAGGCCAGACACCATGGCTCATTCCTGCAATCCCAACACTTTGGGAAGCTGAGGCAGGTGGATCACTTGAGGTCAGGAGTTCAAGACCATCCTGGCTAACACAGTGAAAACTTTGTCTACTAAAAACACAAAAATTAGCTGGATGTGGTGGTGCATGCCTGTAATCCCAGTGACTTGGGAGGCTGAGGTGGGAGAGTTGCATGAACTTGGGAGGCAGAGGTTGCAGTGAGCCAAGATTGTGCCACTGCACTCCAGCCTGGGTGATACAGCTAGACTCCAACTCAAAATAAATAAATAAATTTTTTAAAAAAGGAAAATTAATTAATGAACGAATAAAAGAGCAAACACTCTGCTATGCACTTTCCCTGGTGGGTGAGTGGGTGGGTGAAGTTTCTCTACCAATTTTATAAATAGACTGTAAAATTTAGGTCTCAGAAACATCTGCTCATGGTCTTGCATTGAGATCGTCGACAGCCGATGCCATTGATTTGTCTGTTAAAGTTTTTCTGTAACATAACATAGATATTAGCTCACTCAACCACGCAAACCCATATAGAGGCCCTGGATGTGCCAGTAACTGTGATGCAGGTGGCGGAGCGAAGTCCACGTGGAAACAGTCTCTCCCTGAAGAGGTGACAGCCTCTAAGGATGGGTCCACGGCTTCCTTGTTCACAGTCATCTCCACCTGCTTGGTTTTGCTCCTTTGCTGACTCACCTAGCTCATGTCACAAGGGGCTCCTAGCTCATGTCACAAGGCAGACAAAGCCGTGACATTCACTTTTCAATTCTCCTAAATCACTTAGAACAAAAACCTGCGTTGTTGAAAATCACAGCACCCTTTGAAAGCAATTAAATACACATTTCCTGAACCAGAATCAATCCATGCCTAAATATCATCTGGTTCTTAAATATTTAATATTGTTCTCTCTGACCCTTGCAAACATTGACTGTCTTCGTGGAGTCTCACCTGAGTGTAGCTGTTGTTTCCCTGGGTGTGATACAACATTTTCACTATCAACCTGCCTTGAAATTAGGTCAGCATTTATATTTCAGGGGCTGATTTTGATTCTTCCTGGTGCTCCAGTTGTGCAGAAGCAATTGGCCTAGTTAGTCTTTCTGATGCGCTCCTTTGGCCCAGGTGTGGGGCTCCTACTAAATTATCGTAGCAGAAGCAGCCCCTGCTATTCCTCTGACTCCCTTCGAAGGACCCGTAGGCCCCTCACAAAGTCTGCTCTTCCCTCATTTTATTATTATTATTATTATTTATTACTATTATTATTTTTTGAGATGAAGTTTCCCTCTGTCGCCCAGGCTGAAATGCAGTGGCGCAATCTCAGCTCACTGCAACTTCCGCCTCCCAGGGTCAAGCAATTCTCTTGCCTTAGCCTCCCTAGTAACTGCGACTACAGGTGCCCGCCACTACACCAGGCTAATTTTTGTATTTTTAGTAGAGACAGGGTTTCCCCATGTTGGCCAGGCTGGTCTCGAACTCCTGACCTCAGATGATCCGCCTGCTTCGGCCTCCCAAAGTGCTAGGATTACAGGCATGAGCTACCGCACCTGACTCTTCCCTCATTTTAGAACAACAAGGTGAAAAACACAAAATCCAGATCAGGAAAATGGTTGCTAATTTGTTTTCCTGAGTCAGGAGTTAAATCTTAAAAGGCTGTTAATGTTTAAGAGCAACCAAAATTAAAGACATTTTTTAAAATGTAAAGAATGAAAAATTCTTTCTTACAGATAGTTTTTTTTTTTTTGACATCTTTGTTGTGCTGAGAAAAAGATGGCCCCCAAATGCAATAAAAACCACATAAAAGCATGGAATAGCCACACCACAGTAATTTCTTTTTAAGCGAAGTAAAGGAGCGACTTTCTAGCCTTTAAATTAAAAAGAAAAATGAACTCTCAAGTCCTTTTAAAGACTAATTTTATTTTAAAAGCAGCATTCATTGCTTTATTAAAAACATGCATTAGTTTACCATTTCCGTATTCTAATTTAAGAAACCTTCATGGGCATTGCTAAAATATTCCTCTGTGTTTGAAGTGGGAGTAGAGGCTAAAATAAATGGAAAGAATTTTTAAAAAATATTTTTGCTATTTTTATTTCTCAGTTTTAATTTTTTTCCTCTCTAATGATCTCAGCTATGGGCAATATTGATGATTTTGATACTTGCAAGTGCCCAGAATTCGCTGCTTATCGTGCTGGGAATATGACGTCAGGACTCATGGTAATTACATCTTTGCTCTGAATGAGTGTCATGGTCATGCAACACTCCCAAATTCTCATACGTTTATCAATTTTCATGGAGGAAACAAGCAAAGACTCTTAATTCTAGCAAATGGTGTCTTAGTTTCTTAAAAAAGGAATGAGGTAAAATGCCAGAACCTATGGACTAATATGTTTGGCAAAAATTCCTCACAAGCTTTTTTTTTTTTGAGACGGAGTCTCTCTCTGTCGCCCAGGCTGGAGTGCAGTGGCACAATCTCAGCTCACTGCAGCCTCTGCCTCCCGGGTTCAAGCAATTCTCCTGCCTCAGCCTCCAAAATAGCAGGGATTACAGATGTGTGCCACCACGCCTGGCTAATTTTTGTATTTTTAGTAGAGACAGGGTTTCACCATCTTGGCCAGGCTGGTCTCGACCTTCTGAGCTCGTGATCCGCCCGCCTCAGCCTCCCAAAGTGCTGGGATTACAGACGTGAGCCACCATGCCCAGCCAATTTTTGTATTTTTAGTAGAGACAGGGTTTTGCCATGTTAGCCAGACTGGTCTCGAACTCCTGACCTCAAGTGATCCACCCACCCTCAGCCTCCCAAACTGCTGGGATTACAGGCATTAGCCACAGTGCCCGGCACCTCACAAGCATTTTTAAAATAACATGATGACAATCAGAAAACGATACTGATCAACAAAATACATGTCATGCAAAATTCATCCCATTTGCTTTTTTTGAAGTTGACACTAGGTTGATTGAGATAGAAAAAACCCACTTTTTCTTCTTTTTTAAACAGTCACTGCAACACAGAACGCTTCACCTCTGGTCACCAAAATGTGTGTAGGTTTTCTCCACTTCGACACCAGCTGGGTGTCCTATGGTTCAGTTCAAATCCTACCTGGAGGTAGCATCAGATCCCACAGGTTGAGGGCTCAGTCCCCAAATATTGTCCCCACGTCAGATGCCAGTTGTAAGCCCCAGACTATTCTATCTGACCAACTGGCTAGAAATGGGAGGTGCCTATGATCCCCTCCTTGGGTTCAATTAATTTGCTAGAGCAGCTCACAGCACTCAAAACAAATTTCACTTGTGTTTACCCATATATTATAAAGAATAATACAAAAGAAACAGCTGAACAGCCAAATGAAGAGATGTGTAGGGTAAGATGTGGGACGGGGCATGGAGCTTCCATGCTCTGTTGGTCCACACCACCCTCCCAGAACCTCCTTGTGTTCAACAGTCCAGAAGCTCTCCAAACCCTAGTCTTTGGGGGTTTTATGGAGGCTATATTACATAGACATGATTGATTAAATCATTGGCCATTGGCGATCAACTCAGCCTTCAGGGCTCCTCTACCCTCCTGCCAGAGGTTGGAAAGTGGGGCTGAAAGTCCCAACCCTTATATCACATGGTTGGGTCTTCTGGCAGCCAGTCCCATCCTGAGGTTCTCCAGAATCCACCAGCTCACAGTCATCTCATTAGCATACAAAAAATTACTCATATCACCCATTAAATTCCAAGGAATTTAGGAGCTCTGTGTCAGGAACAGCGTCAAAGAACAAATATTGGAGCAGAAGATTGTCCTAGCACACCTATCTACAAGGGTTTTTAGGAGCTGTCTCTGGAACTGGGAGCAGAGAACAAATATATATATCTCATCATATCACAATATTGCATTGATAAAGTAAGGTGATGCTAGAGTCCAATGTTCTTAATTTCATCAGGGAATTAATATCATCTTTCATGTTACAAGATAGAAAAATGTGAAGCTTCTGATAAAGAGGTTTTAGAGAAGTTAAAATAAATTGGCCTCACTCCTGAATTAAGTAATGGCGGTGCTTTCACTAAGGAGTTTTAGGGGAATATCACAGGATGTAGCCCGTGACTCCTCCTAGTGATGGGATATGAGATGGACATGAACATGGATATGCAGGAGACATTTATCAACTCTGCAGATGACACAGAGATGGGAAGGAAAATAGTGTGACAGAAGACACCCAAGAGCTTCAAATGATGGTGACAGCTTGAAACAGTGGTCCAAGGCAAACAGGAAGAGATTTAATGAAGATAAGTGAAAACAGTTTTAAATTGTCCCTGGGATTTGTTTTAATCAGGTATGGTAAAACATGCAGACAAGGACCTTCATGTCATGAAGGCAGAAGCTTGTATTATTCTCATGGCCCGTGCAGGGCCCCGCGGGGAAGCACCGGCTCAGGCAGGAGGCAGAGGGAGCAGGGGGTACTCCGACAAGGGATTTTGTTAGTTTCCACGGAAAGGCAGGATGGGCAGGCTTACGACTGGCTAGTATGAATAATTCTAGCAGGCTCTGGAGCACAGGAGCTGTCTCCAGTTGTCTGGTACCTGGCCTGGGGGCAATTAGGGGAGGGGGATAGAGGTCCTACGAGAAGAGCCCCATAGAGGAGGTGCTCAGGGTAGGGGCTCTAGTTGGGTTGGTTTGCATTTGAAAGGCACACTTGCAAGTGAGTTCTTTACCTCTAGGAACTAGCCAACCCTGGGAGGGGCAGAACCTCCAGGGTCAGCAAGGCCCCAAGATGTTAAAGCATCAAATACAGATACTAGAGAATGTCATTATCACAGAAACATAATGCATACATCCCTTGCTAAAGGCAGAATGGGAAGATCAGGCTTAATAATTCGTGTAAAGAAATCTGGGATTTTGGGTTTATTTCTTTGCTTGTTTAGATGATTGGCTCATCAAAACAATGGATGATTGGATCAACAGTGTGATACTGTGCTGTTTATGTAGTCACTTGTGGTTAGGTCTTTGCTCAAATGTCTCCCCCTCAAAGAGATTCTCCCTCACCATCCAGCCCAATACCAATCGCCATTCCCAGTCACTTCCTATGATGTTGTTGTAGAACTTTGCTCCTTAGTTGAGCTAAAGCCAGGTTCTTGTCACAATGATATAGGAGTTAAGAGGAAATTATTTAGGCAGATAGGGCACAGGAGTCCTTCATAAGGTTTTCCTTTTAAGGAAAAGCCGGCCCCAAATAACTTTCTTTTCTAACAACAAGCAGCCTGTAAAATCGAGCTGCAGATATAGACTAGCAAGCTAGAAGCTTGCATAGGTGAATGCCGGCAGCTGCGCCAATAGGAAAAAGTTACTTGGGACTACGCATGTTCAAAATGGTGGCTCCATCTTCCCTTCTCTTTGCCAGCCATGTGTACAGTAAGGAGCAGGCAACATGGCACAGGCCAAGCAAAGACCTATTTGCATAATAAGATTAAGGTGGGGCCACCAGCTTCCCTGCGAGTTATGTAAACATCACACCTGGTTCAACCAATCTTTGGGCCCTATGTAAATCAGACACCGCTTCCTCAAGCCTGTCTGTAAAATCTGGTGCACTCCACCAAGGGCCAGAATTCCCATTCGGGTGCCTCTCTCTCTCTCTCTCTCTCACACACACACACACACACACACACTTGCACGAGAGAGGGCTGTTCCCCTTTCTCTTTCTTTTGCCTATTAAACTTTTGCTCCTAGACTCACTCCTTGTATGTGTCTGTATCCTTAATTTTCTTGGCATGAGACAACAAACCTTGGGTATTACCCCCAGACAAGGATGCTGCTTCAAAATGACCAGGAAAAGTTAGGCACACAGACACACTGAAGGGTGAGGGGAACAGAATTTACTGGGCAACAGGAAAAAAGAATAAAAAAACAAAAAACTCTCAGCAAAGTGAGAGGGAGTCGTGAAAAAAAAAAAAAAAAAACTCAGCAAAGTGAGAGAGAGTCATACTAGCAGGCTCCTATCTCACGGACTGAATACCAGAGGCCACCACACAGGAACTGAAGAGGCCAGGCTCCTCCCCACTGCACACAGAGAACTTCCATGGCTCCACCCTATTGTCCCAGCACACAGGCAGGTTGGAGATTCTCCAGGGACCCTCCCCTTTATCTGCCTCCTGCATCTGTCAACATTAGACTGTTTCATGTCCTCCTAACACTTATAATCTGAGACGATCTGGTGTACTTCCCTGTCTGCTTGGCTAACATCTGTCTCTCCCACTAGAATGTAAGCTCATGTTCACTGCTGTATCTCTAATATGTAGAACAATGCCTGGCACATAGTCAGCATTCAATAAATGTTTACTGAGTGAACAAATGCAGGGACCAAAAAAAAAAAAAACCAGTTGCACCTTAAATTGAATTAATTGGTATCTAGTAGTTGATCACAGAAAACAATAGTTTCTTCGACTTGGTTTGTAAACACAGAGAACATTATATCAGATTTTTGAGTGCCACACATTTTAAGAAAAATATTGACAAACTAGAGAGACCAAAGCATAGAGAAGGGCACCCAGGATAGTCTACAGACCATCTCATATGAACTTAAGGGGGAAAGAATGGACATTTAATTAGCAGCTACTATGTACCAAGAACTGTGATAGGTTGCGAAGAAACACACATCTGGTTGTCGCATGTGGGTAACTTGCCTCTGAATAAAAGATGTGAGTGTACTGATAGGAGAGAGGCCTGTAAGGGTCTAAGCATGGAGCCCTATTCCATGCAGGGAGCTGGGATTCAGCTGAACTTCAGGTTGGTCTTTGGGAGGATGTTGCCTTCAGCAGAAGCTAGATGGGGAGGAGCAAGTTAGGTTGTATTAGGCTGTTCTTGCGTTGCTCTGAAGAAATACCTGAGGCTGAGTAATTTATAAAGAAAAGAGGCTTAATTGGCTTATGGTTCTGCAGGCTATACAGGAAGCATGGTGCTGGCATCTGCTCAGCTTCTAGGGAGGCCTCAGGAAGCTCACAATCATGGTGGAAGGTAAAGGGAGAGCAGGCATGTCATATGGTGAAAGCAGGAGCAAGGCGGCGGGGAGGTGTCACACACTTTTAAATGACCAGATCGTGTGTGAACTTAGAGAGCTCACTTATCACCAAGGGGATGGCCCCAGCCATTCATGAGGGATCCTCTCCATGATCCAATCACTTCCAACCAGGCCCCACCTCCAACATTGAGGATTACATTTAAACATGAGATTTGGGTGGGGACAAATATCCAAACTATATCATAAGTGAAACTCAGGCTGCTGCACAGGACCCTGGCTCTCTTGACCTCATCATCTCATGTCAAAGGCCCAGCCTGAACAGTGCTCAAAGGCTTAGCCCTTGGCCAGCCTGGCCTCACCCAGCTGCACCTCAGCTCACCTATGTCCTGCTGGGTACACGTGCAGATCAGCACCTGTGGGGCCTGCAGGGGCATAAGTGCCTCTTGTGCCTCTCTGCCTGTGATGGTTAGTTTCATGTGTCAGCTAGGCCAAGCAATAGTATCCACTTATTCAAGTGGATCTAGGTGTTGTGATGAAGGCATTTTGTAGATGGTGAATGTCCACAATCAGTTGACTTTAAGTAAAGGAGATTGCCCTCTGCTGTGGTTTGAATGTGGCCCCCAAAAAGCATGTGCTGGAAACTTAGTCCCCAGTGCAACAGTGTCAAGAGGTGGAGCCTAATGGGAGGTGTTTAGGTTATGAGGGCTCCACTCTCATGAATGGATTAATGCTAATTATAAAAGGGCTTGAGGCTGTGAGTTCAATCTCTTGTTCTCTTTCACTCTCCCTTTCACTCTTCTGCCATGTGATAATGCAGCAAGAAGGCCCTCACAAGATGCCAACCCCTGGATCTTGGATTTCCCAGCCTCCAGAACTGTGAGAAATTGTCTGTTATAGATCTCCCAGTCTCAGGTATTATGTTATAGCAACACAAAACAGACTAAGACATCCTTGATAATATGAATGGGCCTCACACAGTTAGCTGCAGGGCTGAAGAGCAAAGCTGAGGTTTCTCTGAGGAAGAAGAAATTTCATCTCAAGGCTGCAGTATCAGCTCCTGTGGGAGAGTTTCCAGCCTGCTGGCCTGCCCTACAAATTTCAGATGTCAGCTCCACAACCCTGTGAGCCAATTCCCTGAAACAAATCTCTTAATACAACACATATGCACACATGCACATGCACACTTCTATGCCACTGGTGGTTCCGTATCTCTGGAGAATCCTGAGTGATATGTTGCCCCACCTGTCAAGGGGCAGGAGCTCCAATACGCTCTTCTCTCTCTACCCCAGGCTTCAGAACAAGTGTCTTTTCTGCTCTTGCCTGATTAAATCCTGTGCATTAACATCAGATCTCAGCCCAATGGACACTTCCTGGGATGCGGCTTCTTTGACTACTCATGCCAAGCTCAGCCCTCACTCACGTCATAAGGTGGAAAGCTTCATCCCTATCGGGGAAGGAGATGAGTTTCTCAAGCCCCATGGACCTCACTCCTGGAACAGTGCTAGCAAGTGGTAGTTTTCCACAAATATTTGTGGAATGTGTACCAGGCTGAAAATTTACTCTCACCCTTCATGGATACACAAATACATGCAGTTGTTTTTTTTTTTGAAAATTTTTAAATGGATACATAATAATTGTACATATTTATGAGTATATAGGGATGTTGCAGTACATACAATGTATAGTGATCAGATCAGGGTAATTAGCATATTCATCATCGCAAACACGTATCACTTCTTTGTATTGGGAACATTCGCTATCCCCCTTCTAGGTATTTAAACTGTATATTATTGTTAACTATAGTCATCCTGTGTCCGGAATTTATTCCTTCTGGTGGGTTCTTGGTCTCCCTGACTTTAAGAATGAAGCCGCAGACCTTCGCAGTGAGTGTTACAGCTCTTAAAGGTGGTGTGTCCGGCGTTTGTTCCTTCAGATGTTCAGATGTGTCCGGAGTTTCTTCCTTCTGGTGGGTTCGTGGTCTTGCTGACTTTAGGAGTGAAGCTGGAGACCTTCGCAGTGAGTGTTACAGATCCTAAAGGTGGTGCATCCAGAGTTGTTTGTTCCTCCTGGTGGGTTTGTGGTCTCGCTGACTTCAGGAATGAAGCCGCAGACCCTTGTGGTGAGTGTTACAGCTCATAAAGATAGTGCGGACCCAAAGAGTGAGCAGCAGCAATATTTATTGTGAAGAGCAAAAGAACAAAGCTTCTACAACATGGTAATTGCCGCTGCTGGCTCAGGTGGCCAGCTTTTATTCCCTTATTTGGGCCCGCCCACGTCCGGCTGTTTGGTCCATTTCACAGAGGGCTGATTGGTATATTTTACAGAGTGCTGATTGGTGCATTTACAGTCCTTTAGCTAGACACAGAGCGCTGATTGGTGCATTTACTATCCTTTAGCTAGACACAGAGCACAGATTGGTGCATTTACAATCCTCTAGCTAGAAAGAAAAGTTCTCCAAGTCCTCACTCGACCCAGGAAGTCCAGCTGGCTTCACCTCTCAATCCTACAGTGGTATAGAACACTAGAACTTTTCTTCCTATCCTGTCATTCTCAGCAACATGGATAGAACTGGAGGATTATGTTAAGTGATACAAGCCAGGAACAGAAAGTTAAACACCGCCTGTTCTCACTCATATGTGAAAGCTAAAAAAAAGTTAATCTCATAAAAATAAAAAGTAGAAAAAAGGATACTAGAAGCTGGGAAGAGTAGGGGAAAGGGGTGGGGATAGAAAGAGACTTGTTAAACCATACAAAATTACAGCAGTTCTCTAATCTTCTATAAGAGATCTTCCTCTGAGTGTAGCACTCTGCTGAACAGTAAAAGAAAACATTAAACTACTTTAATTGTGAAGTATTTGTTTTGTCATTCTTTACTAGTTTAGGTAGTCTTTTTTGGGAAGAAATTAACAGACAAGAAATAACAAAAGTTTCTAGAAGCAAGCACGCTGTAAAAACATTTTTCCTTTTGCTATAATTCAGCACTGTAGATGTTTTGTAGCTCTGCAATTTCTATCCACTTTGTGTTTGTCTTCACTGGACCTTGGAAATGTCATTTCTAAAGAAATGATGCAAATAAAATAACCTAGAAGCAACCTCTAACCTTGTAAACTGAATTCAAAAGATACCCTTTAGTTTACATGGTTTTCAATTTCTGTAAAATTCATATGGTTACTAGTTATTTTTTCCTTTATCAACTTAACGTAAACTACCAAAACATTAAAATTCTGCCTATGTGCTTGTGTTGGAATTTTTTTTTTTTGAGACAGCATCTTCTCTGTCACCCAGTCTGGGGTGCTGGGGTGCAATCTCAGTTAACTGCAACCTCCCCCTCCCGGGTTCAATCCATTCTCTTGCCTCAGCCTCCCAAGTTGCTGGGACTGCAGGCACGCACCACCATGCCCAGCTAATTTTTGTATTTTTAGTAGAGATGGGGTTTCACCATGTTGGCCAGGCTGGTCTCAAATTCCTGACCTCAAGTGATCTGTCCGCCTCAGCCTCCCAAAGTGCTAGGATTACAGTTATGAGCCACCACACCAAGCTGGATTTTTTTTTTTAAATTCTGGTTAAATTTTAACCTTTTCTAGAAAAAATGTTATAAACAAATATGTTGATATTTTATGCTTCATGTTAAAAGTATTAACAATTGAAACTTCCATTAAGGAATCTTTTTTTCACAGGTTTTGTTGACTTGTAATGCTCAATAAAGACTATATTTGTAAAAAAAGATCTTTTGGATTTTTGGATGATTGATCCCTTTTGAATAAATGCTCTTATTTTCAAGGTTTTAAACAACATCAATTCAATATTGGCCTCTTCTGGTGATAGCTCTCTTCCTGGCTTGGAGACAGCTGTCTTCTCACCATGCTCACATGGTGGGGAGAGAGAGAGAGAGACAGAGTGAGCGAGCGAGAGAGAGAGACGCAGAGAGAGAGAGAGAGAGAGAGAGAGAGAACAAGCTCTCTGGCTTCTCTTCTTATAAGGGCACTGGTCCCATCGAGAGGACTCCACTGCCATGAACTCATCTAATTCTAATTACCGCTCAGGGACCCCCTCTTCAAATACTATCACTCTGGGAGTTAGGGCTCCAAAATATGAATTTTGGGGGGGACACAATTCAGTTCATTACAGGGCATTTGCCTGACCTCGTGGTAGCAGGGTAGGATGGGATCCCGGAACTTCACTCAGTCTTCTAGACATGGGTAATTCTCTGCTGTGAAGTCTCTGGTGTTTCCTAGTCCCTGGACTGGTGACCGCTGCAATGTGATGGCCCCATCTGGCCTTCTGGGATGGCAGGCTGACAGCTGGCCCTGGACTCTGGCACAGGGCTGCCTCCTGTGGTTCTCACCTGGTCTCTACTGGCCGATTAGCTCTCTCAGAGGTTCCCCAGCCCAGCAAGCTCCCAAACACTTGGGGTTCTCCTGCAGGCATGCTCAGGTGTGGTGAGCGAGGAGCACCTCCCGTTCTCAGGGCAGCCCTCTCACCCACATACTGCACTGCAGGTGGACACAAGTGTAGGGATTGGGAGGACCCATAGAGGACCTCTTAGAGGCTCCAGAGAGGCCATGGTAGGGAAGCAGGCCACTGGCACTGGCATTCTCAGGGGCCTCTGTCCTCTCTGAATGTTTCCATGACAGGATGAGGAAATGAGGATCCTGGCATCCTCCATCCTCCATTTCCATGCTCTTCTTCCACACTCCAAAATCCTTATCACTGCCGGTAAGGAAGGCCCTTGTGCAGAATGAGGGAGCACAGCAGGTCTAACTGCCACCCCCAGAAAGGCCTGCTTGCAAGGCTGGCCCTGGGCTGGTGTCTGGGAACTTAGATTTTAGGAAGGTCACACTGTTCACTGATAAGAGTGGCTCACTGCGCCTGGACTGTTTGTGTAAACAATACGGTTTGTGTAGAACATCTGCTTTCCTTCTGAGAGTTGGGAGTTTGGTACACACCAGGCAGTTCACTGCGTGATCAACCCTCAATAAAAACCTTGGGCACTGAGTCTGTGATGGCTTCTGGGCAGACAGCAGTTCTCACATGTTCTTACAACTTGTGGCTGGGGGAACTAAGCGTGCCCTGTATGATGACCTGGGGAGACGGCTCTGGAAGTTGGCACCTGGTTTCCCTGACTCTGCCCCACATGCCCTTTCCCTCTGCTGATTTTGCTTGGGATCTGTTCTCTGGAATAAGTCATAGGCGTGAGTCTGGCCTCATGCTGAGTCCCGTGGCCTTCTAGTAAATCGCTGAACCTGGGGGTGGTCTTGGGGACCCCTCACACAGCCCTCCATCGCCTGGTCTGGGTGCTTCTATGACCTCATCGCCTCTCCCTCTCCCCCTCACTACTGTCTCCAAACTCATGGTAACATCCTATTCCCTTTGCCTGGAGCACCTTCCCCTACATCACATGTAGGTTGCATGCTCACCTCATTCAGGTCTCTGCTGGAAAGCCTTTCTTGACTACCTGTATTGGTCAGAGTTTTCCAGAAAAGACAGAACCAATAGGATGTATGTATATATAAAGGGAGATTTATTGTAAGGAATTGGCTCACACCATCAAGGAAGCTGGCAAGTCCCAAGATCTTCAGGGCGAGTCAGCAAGCTGGAGACCCAGGAGAACCATAGTGTCATTCCAGTAAAGAGGCGGGGTGGGTGCAGTGGCTCATGCCCATAATCCCAGTACTCTAGGAGGCTGAGGCAGGCAGATTAATCACTGGAAACCAGGAATTAAAGACCAGCCTAGGCAATATGGTGAAACTCCATCTCTACAAAAAAATACAAAAATTAGGCAGTCGTGGTGGTGTGCACCTGTAGTCCCAGCTACTCGGGAGGCTGAGGCAGGAGGAACAGCTAAGCCTGGGGAGGTCAAGGCTGCAGGGAGCCGTGATTGCACCACTATACTCCAGCCTGGGCAACAGAGTGAGACCCTGTCTTAAGAAAAAAAAAAAAAAAAAAAAAAAGGCCAGCCAGCTCAAGACCTGGGAAGAGCCATGTTTTCCTTCGAGTCTGAAAGTTTGGAAAAAAAGCCAACGTTCTGGTTCCAAGGCCCTCAAGCAGGAGGAATGCTCTCTTACTTACAAGGGGGTCTACCTGCTTGTTCTGTTCAGTCCGTCAACTGACTGGATGAGGCACATCCACATCAGAGAAGGCAGCCTGCTTTACTCCATCTGCGGATTTAAATGTTAATCTCATCCCCAACATCCTCACAGAAACAGCCAGAATAACATTTGACCAAATGCCAGGGCATTCTATGGCCTGGTGAGGTTGACACATAGAATTAACCATCACTCTAGCCCAGGGTAAAATCGCGCCTGCCCCACTGTTCTCTATTCCCTCACCTGCCTTCATTTTTGTTGTTAGTGCTTACCACCTGATAGGTGTATATTTATTTGTTTATTTTCTTTCTTTTTTTTTTTTTTTGAGATGGAGTCTCGCTCTGTCACCCAGGCTGGAGTGCAGTGCCACGATCTTGGCTCACTGCAGTTCCGCCTCCTGGGTTCACGCCATTCTCTTGCCTCAGCCTCCTGAGTAGCGGGGACTATAGACGCCCACCACCATGCCTGGATAATTTTTTGTATTTTTAGTAGAGACGGTGTTTCACCGTGTTAGCCAGGCTGGTCTCGATCTCCTGACCTCGTGATTCCCCCCGCCTTGGCCTCCCAAAGTGCTGAGATTACAGGCATGAGCCACCCTGCCCGGCCTATTTGTTTATTTTCTTATTGTCTCCCCCAACCCTACCCCATCAGAATGAAAACTCCATGAATCAAGGATTTTTATTTTTTTTCTGATTTGATTAAACCATTTTGAAGGATGTATAGGTGAAATGATTTGCTTTAAAAACTTCATCAAATTAAAAATCTCTGTCAAACCCAGGAACAGCAGAAACTCACTTGAGAAATTGTCTAAGACAAAATGCATTTTTGAGTTTACATTGTTATCACACGATTAAGACAGGTTACCATGTGATCATTACTACCAGTATTTTAATAACATGTATTTTAAAAATTTAGCATAAACATTTTCAAACAAAAGTAGAAAGGATAGAATAGATTTTCATAATACAAAGTCTTAAGTTATCATCAAGATTTGGGCCAGGGCCAGCTATAGTGGCTTATGCCTGCAATCTCAGCACTCTGGGAGGTCGAGGTAGAATGATCACTTGAGACCAGGATTTGAGACCAGCCTGAGCAACATAGTGTGAGACCCCATCTCCACAGAAAAATTCTCAAAAATTAGTAGAGTGTGGTGGCATGCGCCCATAGTCCCACCTACTTAGGAGGCTAAAGCTGGGTGGGGGAGTGCGGGGGCTGGGGGGCGGTGGCTTGAGCTCAGGAGGTTGAGACTACAGTGAGCTATGATCATGCCACTGTACTCCAGCCTTGGTGACAGAGTGAAAGCCTGTCTTTAAAAAATAAATTTTGTGGGCCGGGCGCGGTGGCTCACGCCTGTAATCCCAGCACTTTGGGAGGCCAAGGCGGGCTGATCATGAGGTCAGGAGATCGAGACCATCCTGGCTAACACAGTGAAACCCCGTCTCTACTAAAAATACAAAAAAAATTAGCCGGGCGTGGTGGCCGGTGCCTGTAGTCCCAGCTACTCGGGAGGCTGAGGCAGGAGAATGGCGTGAACCCGGGAGGCGGAGGTTGCAATGCACTGAGACCATACCACTGCACTCCAGCCTGGGCGACAGAGCAAGACTCCATCTCTTTTTGTGATATTTGCTAGCTCTTTTCCCACTTTGTGGTAGCATTTAAAAGCACATTTCAAAGTTCTTGTCATTTTACTCCTACTTCTTAATATACCTCTAAAAATTACGGACATGTTCTTATATAATCACAGGCCATTTACCTCACCTAACAAAATTAATAATTCTTGGAATCACAATATCCAGGCCATAATCAACATCTCCTGGTTCTCTCAAAACTCTCTCTCTACATGTGTTTTGCTTGAATCAGAATCTAACCAAATTCAATACATCTTTTGTTCAGTCTCTTAAGCCTTTTTTATTCTACAACAGTCCTCTTCATTTTTCACGCCATTTATGACATATGCTTTTTAACAAAAATGTTTATTTTTAAAAACACAGAATAAATGAGGGAACAAAAATGAAATTTGCATGAACATTGAAAATATGGTCTAGTTAAAGACACTGAGAACCATGGAATTAAGGCATAAGAACCCCTCTGGTTCCTTGCATAGATGGAGTTTGCTGTGGGGGATGTTGATTGAATTACAGTCTGTTTCCTGCTAATCTAAGGAAAATAATGATTTTAATTTCTGTATTTTGAAAGGCAGGGATATCAAGGTGCTGGGGTGGTCTTGTTGTCTGGAGTGTCTGGTTCCAGTGCCCGGCGCATGCTAGGCTCTTTGTGTATAGTTGAAAAATTAGACAATTTGGTCAATAGCTATTCTAAAAAAATCTGTCAGTATTTTGTCTTACGATTGAATATGATTGTCAGAGAACTCGTTTCCGGTCTCGGCTTTTCTGTTTTTGATGGTGGGCCCTGGGCAAGTTGATCACCTCCCCAGCCTCAGTTTTGTCTTTTATAATATGTTTTACAAAAAGTAAAATTTAAAATACAATGATCTCTGGCATGCATTTTTCCTCAAAACATCATTTTGTATAATCCAGTTTGGGAAATGCTATTTTTGGATTTTGAATCAAACAGAACACACACGCTAAAACCTGGTCCGAGCAAACAACAAGCCGGCCAGAAACCTGTGTTTGGTAAGTTGCATTGTTTTTCTACTTGTCCCCTCCCTGCCCTTCAGCATTTAGTGAAAAATTTTTTCACTAAAAAAATCAAGTGATTTTCCTGCCTCAGCCTCCCAAGTAGCTGGGACTACTGCCACCATGCCCAGCTAATTTTTGCATTTTTAGTAGAGACAGGGTTTCACCATGTTGGCCAGGATGGTCTTGATCTCTTGACTTCGTGATCCTCATGCCTTGGCCTCCCAAAGTGCTGGGATTACAGGCATGAGCCACCGCACCTGGCCAGTGAAAAATTTGAAAAGCTGCAGTGCAACTCAAAAGTAAGAAGAACACAATAATGGGATTGGACTATGCCTAGCATATTAATTAGGCCTCTCTTGATAATAAGTAGGGAAACCAGCTCTGACTAGCTAATGTGATCATAGACTTTGTTACTAGGGAACTGCAAGATTCCAGGGCAAGGACACAGCCAGGCCTTCAAGATGGAGCCAGGGCCTGCTGTGCCATAGAGAATCCAAGAAATCTTCTGGTTTGGGATTGAATTATTTCCCAAAAGGATATGCTGAAATCCTAAGCCCCAGTACCTGAGAATATGACCATATTTGGAAACAGGGTCTTTGCAGATGTAATTACGTTAAAACCAGGTCATACTTTTTGAGAGTGAGCCGTAATCCAACATGACGGTCGGTCTTCTCAGAGGAGAAGAAACAGGCACAGAGGTTGGGGAATAGGCCATGCGAAGATGGTGGTAGTGACTGGAGGAGCCTATCTACAAGCCAAGGAGCCCCAAGGACTGCCGGCTGCACCAGAAGCAAGAGACAAGCATGAAACAGAGTCTCTCCTGGAGCCTTCAGAGGGAGCCCAGCCCTACTGACACCTTGATTTTGGACTTCCAGCCTTCAAAACTGAGAGAGAATACACTTCTGTTGTTTAAGCCATCCCAGACTATGGCGCTTTTTACAGCAGTCTTAGAAAACCAATGCACCTTTCTATCTCTTGCCTCTGCCTCCCTCTGGATATCTGCGTCTTTTTCACACTGCAAACTAAATGTTTCTTTTTGTTTGTGTTTTTTGAGATGGAGTCTCATTCTGTCGCCAGGCTGGAGTACAGTGGCGGGATCTCGGCCCACTGCGACCTCTGCCTCCCGGGTTCAAGCAATTCTCCTGCCTCAGCCTCCTGAGTAGCTGGGATTACAGGAGCATGCCACCAGGCCCAGCTAATTTTTTGTATTTTTAGTAGAGACAAGGTTTCACCATGTTGGTCAGGCTGGTCTCGAACTCCTGACCTCGTGATGCGCCCGCCTTGGCCTCCCAAAGTGCTGGGATTACAGGCATAAGCCACAGTGTCTGGACTTTTTTTTTTTTTTTTTTTTTTTTTTTTGAGATGGAGTCTCACTGTTGTCCAGGCTGGAGTGTAGTGGCGTGATCTCGGCTCACTGCAACCTCTGCCTCCCAGCTTCAAGTGATTCTCCTGCCTCAGCCTCCCGAGTAGGTGGGATTACAGGCGTGTGCCACCACACCTGGCTAATTTTTTTTTTTTTTTTTTTGAGATGTGGTTTTGCTCTTGTTTCCCAGGCTGGAGTGCAATGGCATGATCTCAGCTCACTGCAACCTCTGCCTACCGGGTTCAAGCAATTCTCCTGCCTCAGCCTCCTGAGTAGCTGGGATTACAGGCACCTGCCACCATGCCTGGCTAATTTTTTGTATTTTTAGTAGAGGCAGGGTTTCACCATGTTGGTCAGGCTGGTCTCGAACTCATGACCTCAGGTGATCCACCTGCCTCAGCCTCCCAAAGTGCTGGGATTACAGGTGTGAGCCACCATGCCTGGCCCAGACTAAATGTTTCTGTTTCCCTTTACATGGTAGAAAGCAGTTGCTGCAACAGTCTCCCAGCTGATGCGATGTTACCAAACCCAGCCTGGGTCTGCTCAGTCAGTGCATTAAAGCCAAACACCAACACCAAGGTTTGCAGCGAGACAAAGAAGGACATTGATCTGTAGAGTGTCCAAGCGCAGAGCAAGGAGAATTGGACAGCTGTCACTTAAGACCTGACCTCCCTGAGGGCTTACAAGCAAGGGTTTTTAAAGGCAGTGGTACACTTTAGGAAACCAGAAGTTACAGGCAAAATTATAAATCAATACATGGAGGTTAGACATTGATTTGGTCCAAAAAAGGGGGATATCTTGAAGCAGATGCTTACAGCTCAAAGGTGAATTCAGAGATTCTTTGATTTGCAATAGGATAAGGAAGCAAAGCTTTGTCTAAAACCGCGGGATCCGCAGAAAGGAATGTTAAGGTTTGGGCTATGGATGTGACTCTCTACGGGCCCCTCAGGAATAAATTTAGAACAAAGAACAGTGGTCAGAGTTCGGTCCTCAGTTCCCCCTTATCTGAGATCTACGTGACAGCAGGCATTTTCCACCTGGTGAGGGTCCAGGGTTCTGAAAAACAACTCAGGAACTAATATGTTACTTGTTATCTTTAGTTTCTGTAGGGAGCCAAACATCCTGTGGTTCTAATTTCCTTGAGTGGCTTTTTTTTCTTTTTTTTGACATGGAGTCTCCCACCCTCCCCCAGGCTGGAGTGCAGTGGCGCGATCTCGGCTCACTGCAACCTCCGCCTCCCGGGTTCAAGCAATTTTCCTGTCTCAGCCTCCCGAGTAGCTGGGATTACAGGCGCCCGCCACCAAGCCCAGCTAATTTTTAGTGGAGACAGGGTTTCACCGTGTTAGCCAAGATGGTCTCAATCTCCTGACTTCATGATCCGCCCACCTCAGCCTCCCAAAGTGCTGGGATTACAGGTGTGAGCCACCACGCCTGGCTGAGTAGCTATTGTTTTAAGCGATTATTTCCTTTTTGCTTATTAGGTTACTCATTTACTTCTCAAGGCTAGCTGGGTGCCTGGAATTCCCTTAAAGGAATTCAAGGTCTTCCATTATTTCCATGCTTACTAGGTCCCAGCAGACCTTATAGAGAGGTCCTTGCTTTGTCTCAACGATACAGCAATTGATGCCGGGTGTGGTGGCTCACGCCTGTATTTCCAGCACTTTGGGAGGCTGAGGTGGGCGGATCACTTGAGGTTAGGAGTTTGAGACCAGCCTGGCCAACATGGTCAAACACTATCTCTACTAAAAATACAAAAAGTAGCTGGGTTT
Organism: Homo sapiens; assembly: GCF_000001405.40. Lineage (NCBI taxonomy): Eukaryota > Metazoa > Chordata > Mammalia > Primates > Hominidae > Homo > Homo sapiens. Next base: position 98,118,909 of record NC_000013.11, read on the forward strand.
GGTGATGGGCACCTGTAATCCCAGCTACTTGGAAGGCTGAGGCAGAAGAAAAGCTTGAACCTGGGAGGTGGAGGCTTCAGTGAGCCAAGATGGAACCACTGCACTCCAGCCTGGGAGACAGAGTGACTTCCTTTCCATAAATAAATAAATAAATAAATAAATAAATAAATAGATACAGCAATTGAGATAATTAAGAGATAGACTAAATAGTTTCTCTTCATTCCACTCCAGATTCTTGGGGAAGGGCCCCATGGTCTATCCTGAACAGGGTGCCCATCTCAGGCCCATCCTGCTGCCCAGGCAGGATGGTTTAGGTATTATCTGTGGAAGGGCTGCAGGGGCTGGTGGTCAGATTATCTCACAGATGCCCGCTGCACTGGTTCAGAGAAGGAGCAGCACAGCTGGTGCAGGCAGGGAGGTGAGGAAACACCGAGGGAAGGGGAAGGCCAGGGAACCAGAGGTACCGGCTGGGTTCGCCACTGCTTTGCAACAGGATGGTGTTCCCCTTAGGCTGTTCTTTTTTCCTTTTCCTTTCTTTCTTTTTTAAAAAAGGGGCTGAGCTCACACCTGTAATTCTAGCACTTTGAGAGGCCAAGGCAGGCAGATTGCCTGAGCTCAGGAGTTCGGGACCAGCCTAGGCAACATGGTGAAACCTTGTCTCTACTAAAAATACAAAAAATTATTTATTTTTAAAATTTTTTCTTTTTTTTTCTTTTTTTGAGGCAGAGTCTCGCTCTGTCACCCAGGCTGGAGTGCAGTGGTGCGATCTCGGCTCACTCTGCAAGCACCGCCTCCTGGGTTGATGCCCTTCTCCTGCCTCAGCCTCCCGAGTAGCTGGGACTACAGGTGCCCGCCACCACACTCGGCTAATTTTTTTTTGTATTTTTAGCAGAGATGGGGTTTCACCGTGTTAGCCAGGACTCGATCTCCTGACCTCGTGATCTGCCCGCCTCGGCCTCCCAAAGTGCTGGGATTACAGGCGTGAGCCACCGCGCCTGGCCCAAAAAATTATTTATTTTCATTTTATTTTATTTGAGATGGAGTCTCACTCTGTCACCCAGGCTGGAATGCAGTAGCACAATCTTGGCTCACTGCAACCTCCGCCTCCCCGGTTCAAGCAATTCTCCTGCCTCAGCCTCCCGAGTAGCTGGGATCACAGGTGCCCGCCACCACGCCTGGCTAATTTTTTTGTATTTTTAGTAGAGAAGAGGTTTCACCATGTTGCCCAGGCTGGTCTCGAATTCCTGAGCTCAGGCTGTCTGCCCGCCTCAGCCTCCCAAAGTGCTAGGATTACAGGTGTGAGTCACGGCACCTGGCCAAAGATATTTTATTGTTATAAATGCTATTGTTATATGGTTTTATTTAATCTTCTCAAAATTCATGTGTGAGGGAGCAATTTTCATCTCCACCAATGAAGAAACAAAGGCTATGAGAAATTAAGTTAGATGTTCAAGGTCACCTTGGCAGTGTGTAAGAGGCAGGACAGACGCATAGAGAGATGCTGGCTGGTGATGAGAAAAGTTGAACAACATAACCTCTGTAGCTTATGAAAACTCTAAAAATTCTAGGGAGGTAGATTCATAGCAATAGCAATAAGACAAACCTTTATGCGATATCTGTTTTACGGGTACCTTGAAGTACTTTTCATATTTTCCCATTTGATTTTATATTATCCTAATAAGATTGTACAATATAAAAAATCTTTTTAAAAAGAAAAATCATATTCCTGTTCTGATCTAATCTCCGAGAATCACTCATTTTAATGGACATAAATTTTTTCACATATTTCTATTATTCATTCTTTTAAGTACCAAAATTTCACACTGTGATAATATCAAAGAGTACCTATTTTGGGGCCTCCCCAATCTGACCATTTCTATTGGTTGGGAAATGAGTTCTCTTCTTTCTTTTCTTCCAGCAAGGATTATTAGGTTGAGGTCAGATTCCAGATTTTGTTCTTTGGATTTTTTTTCTACCACTTACTTTGCTATTTTCACTTTGTTCCCATGGCATTCGTCTTTGCTGCTTTCTCGTATTTCTCGAAGACTTATCTCTTATAAGACTTATATCATTTTTCTGTGTTCCCTGAGTTTAGTTATTAGCACAGCTCAGAGTCTCCATTTCACGGGCCCCTTTTCCATGTCTCAGTGTCTTGCTATCTCTGTGCTTTGCAAACTGGGCCCCAAATATTCTGCTTTTGGAAAAAAAAAAAAAAAAAAGCAATCTAGGTATACAAAAGACAAAGGATTTATTGTCTTCATTTCCCAACAAAGAAGTGACGAGACAGGCGAAGCAACTTGCCCAAATTAGTTACTTAAACTAACCCCCAAAGGCCAGGCAGTGGCTCATGCCTATAATCCTAGCATTTTGGAAGGCTGAGATGGGAGGATTGCTTGAGCCCAGGAATTCAAGACCACCCTGGGCAACATGGCAAACCCCATCTCTATAAAAAAATTAGCCAGGCATGGTGGTGTGTGCCTGTAGTCCCAGCTACCTGGGGGAGTGAGGTGGGAGGATAGCTTGAGCCCAGGAGGTTGAGGCAGCAGTGAGTTGAGATCACGCTACCACATGCCAGCCTTGGTCACAAAGCAAGACGCTGTCTCAAAAAATAAAAATAAATGAAACTAACCCACCCTTTCTTAAGTGTCCTCACTGTCAGACTAGTACTTCTGCAGCATCTTTGTTTTATAACCTAATGTGACTCTCCCATGAAAAAGGTAGAGTAAATTAAAACCACAACCACAGCCACAAACATTATGTGAGAGTTGTTACTGTGGAGTTGAGGAAAGGTTAGGAATTGACATTTTTAGATCATATTCTCTTCTGCTACATGTCAAGACATCTCAGCCTAGTGGGTGGCTGATACTTCAGACTCCTGGCCTGTGAACATTGTGCCCAAGAACCAACAGCCAAGTTGATGCCCATTCAATTATAGGCTGTGACTGCAGTATCCTGAGAAGACAGGGTCTCTTTAGCAGGAGCAAGACTGGACACTGAGGGGTTTAGGATGCCTTAGCCTCTGTTGCAGATGGGAAGGGAAGTTATATAGAGGACAAAAACTAAAGGAAAGTCATCTACTTCTTCCTGACTTAGTGTTAGGAAGGCTGCATTGTGGTCTCCCAAAATTCCTATGCTGAAGTCCTAACCCCCAGCCTCTCAGAATGAAACTGCATTTGGAGACAGGGGCTTTAAAGAAGTAACTAAGTTAAAATGAGATCATTAGGGTGAGCCTTAATCCAATCTGAATGGTGTACTTTCTAAGAAGAGAAAATAAGGACACAGCTACACACAGAGGGAAGACCATTTGAAGACACAAGGAGAAGATGGTATCTTCAAGCCAAGGAGAGAGGCTTCAGAAGAAAGATCCTGACCGCACCCTGACTTCAGACCCCGGCCTCTAGAACTGTGAAAAAATACATTTCTGTTGTTTAAGCCAACCAGACCGTGGTGCTTTGTTAACGGCAGCCCTGGCAAATGAATACATTGAGGTTGTCCTCAAACTTGAGGACACTTAAATGAACATCCAATTGGAAATAAGCAAAACATTGCAATATGAGGTGGACAAAAGTGGCTCTCTGAACAATCTTTTCTTCCTTCCACATGCCATAGATGTTACTTACTGTAGATGACTTAGTAGCACAGAAATCAGTGAAACCACTTCTCATTTTCCTGACCTCCAACCATGGGAGCTCCCAAGGCCAGTCCTTGGGTGTCCAGCTTCACTCCCTCTCTTGGTGAGCTTAACTGGTCCTTGTGTTCAGATGCCATCTACATGCTGTTAACTTCTGTCTTCATCTGCTTGGGCTGCCATAACAAAATACCATAGACTGGGTGGCTTCAACACCATACATGTATTTCTCACAGTTCTGAAGCCTGGAATGTCCATGCTGTGGTTTGGATATGGTTTGTTTGGCCCCATCAAGTTCATGTTGAAACCTGATCCCCAATATTGGAAGTGGGGCCTGGTGGGAGGTGGGGGTGGATTGTGGGGGTGGATCCCTCAGTTATGAATTGGTAGCATTCTCACAGGAGTGTGTTCTCACTCTTAATGCCCGAGAGACCTGGTTGTTGAAAAGAGCCTGGCACTGCCTCCTTCTTTCTTGTTTCTGCTCTCACCATGCGATCTGTACATGGCACTCCCCTTCACCTTCCACTGTGAGTGGAAGCAGCCTGAGGCCTCACCAGAAACAGATGCTGCATGCTTCCTGTAAAGCCTGCAGAACCATGAGCCAAATAAACGTCTTTTCTTTATAAATTACCCATGCTCAGGTATTCCTTTCTAGCAACACAAATGGACTAACACAGTCCATGATCAAGGTGCCAGCAGATTGGGCTTCTGGTGCAGCCCTTCTTCCTGGCTTGCAGGTGGCCTCCTTCTCACTGTGCACTCCCATGGCCTTTTCTTGGTGTGTGCACGTGGAGAGAAAAGGAGCTCTCTCTCTTCCTCCACTTACAAGGGCACTAATCCCACTACAAAGGCCCCACCCTCATGACCTCATCTAATCCTAATTACCTCTTAAAGGCCCTCATCTCCAAATACTATTGCACTGGGGATTAGGGCTTGAACATATATAAATTTGAGTAGGGGGGCAAGACACATAAACATTCAGCTCCTAACAAGATCCAAATTTTTAACTCCAGTCTGGACCTGTCCCCTGAGACTGTGTCCAGTTGCCTCCTGTCATCTCGTCTTTGATATTTGATATGGTTTGGCTGTGCCCCCACCCAAATCTCATTTTGAATTGTAGTTCCCATAATCCCCACATGTTGTGGGAGGGATGAGAGGTAATTTAATCATGGGTGCAGTTACCCTCAGGCTGTTCTTGTGATAGTGAGTTAGTTCTCATGAGATCTGATGGTTTTATAAGGGGCTTTTCCCCCTTTTGCTTCACACTTCTCCTTTCCTGCCATCATGTGAAGAAGGACATGTTTGTTTCCCCTCCTGCCATGATTGAAAGTTTCCCGAGGCCTCCCTCATCATGCAGAACTGTGAGTCAATTAAACCTCTTTCCTTTATAAATTATCCAGTCTTGATAAGTCTTCATTAGCAGCGTAAGAACGGACTAACATACTGAATTGACAACCCAGACTCAACCCATGCTCAACCCTGAACAGATCTGTTCCCACAAACCCGCTCCTTTCCCTAGTCATCTCCAGCTCAATACATGGCAACTTCACTTGCCCAATTGCTAAAAAACTTGGAGTCATCCTTGACCCCTCCATATCTCTTTCATGTCGCACATCTAATTTGTCACTGGATCCCCCTGGCTCTGCCTTTGCAAGATACACAGGCTTTGACTGTTTCCCGTCACCTCCACCATTTCCAGCTTGGGCCATGCCACCATGCTGGACACCTGCTTCTGCCCTTGTGGTCAGTTCTCAGCACAGTGGCCAGAAAGATCCTCTGGCCTTAAATCTGATCTGACCTGCTTAAAACTCCCTAATCACTTCCAACTCACTCTAAGTCAAAGCCAAAGTCCTACAATTCCCTACTATCCTGCCACCTTCTCCACTGTGTCCTCAATGACCATGAGTCCAGCCTGGCTCGCTTCACCCCAGCCACAGTGGCCACCAGCTGTTCCTCAACCACACTGGGCATGCACCCACCCAGTGACTCTTGGTGCCTCCTCTCTGCCTGGACCACTTTTCCACAAATATCCATATGGATACTTCTTGTATCTATTCTAAATATGGATATTGATCATATTTCTCCTTCACTTTATTCTGATCTTTTCTGGAATTTCCCCTTCTCATAAAGCCTTCCTGGCCACCCTACCCAAAGTCACAGCACCTAAATACTCACTTCCTACCACCTGAATTACTGTTTATTCTCCTTAGGAGTTTTTCCTTTCTTTCTTTGAGACAGGATCTCACTCTGTTGCCCAGGGTGTAGCGCAGTGGTGTGATTACAGCTCACTGCAGCCTCGACTTCCTGGGCTCAGATGATCCTCCTGCCTTGGCCTCCTGAGTAGCTGGGATCACAGGCATGCACCACAATGCCCAGAATTTTTTTTTTTTTTAGAGAAGGGATCTCACTATGTTGCCCAGTCTGGTCTCAAACTCCTGGTCTCAAGCAATTCTCCCACCTTGGCCTCCCAAAGTGCTGGGATCACAGGTGTGAGCCACCAAAGACAACCCAGGATTCTTTATCATCTTACTTGCTAAAGGTTTTGCTTATGTATTATGTATATTCTTTCCTTCCCAACACCAAGATATAAGCATCATGTGGTGAAGAATTTGTGTCTGTTTTATTTACCGCTCTGTTCCAGCTGATTGAAACAATACCTGGCACATAATACATGCTCAGTAAGTACTCGAGGAATGGCAGAATTATTGTTTTCTGTCCCTGGTTCTCCTCTGGGAAGGGAAAGTTGAGGAGCTAATGCGGGTGGTAGGCACAATAATGGCCTCCTCCCAAAATGTTACCTTACATGCTAAAAGAAACTTTGCAGATGGGATTCATTTAAGGGTCTTGTGATAGGGAGAATGTCCAAGTGGACCCAATACAGCCACAAGAGTCCTTAGGAAAGGGAGGCATGGACTGTAATCCCAGCACTTTGGGAGGCCGAGGCGGGTGGATCATGAGGTCAGGAGATCGAGACCATCCTGGCTAACACAGTGAAACCCCATCTCTACTAAAAATACAAAAAATTAGCTGGGCGAGGTGGCAGGTGCCTGTAGTCCCAGCTACTCGGAAGGCTGCGGTAGGAGAATGGCGTGAACCCGGGAGGTGGAGCTTGCAGTGAGATCACGCCACTGCACTCCAGCCTGGGCGACAGAGCGAGACTCCGTCTCAAAAAAAAAAAAAAAAAAAAAAAAGGGAAGCAGGGAGACAAGGTGAGAGGAGTGATGTCAGGAGCGGGTGGAGGTGGGAGTGATGAGGGGCCATGAGCTAAGCAGTGCTGGAGTTCCCTAGGGGTTGCTGGAGGCAGGAGATGCTCCTGAGAAAAGTGCTCTTGCTGACCCGTGGTTTCAGGACCTCCAGCCTCCAGAACTATCAGATAACAAAGTTGTATTGTTTTAAACCTCTAAGCCTGTGGTGATTCGTCACAGCAGCCATGGGAAACCAACCAAGCAGACTTAACTAATTCCCGGGCCAGGCCTACCTCAGCTGAGGGCTTCTCCGGTCCAAACACCACCTCTCTCGCTGTTCTCTGAGGGGATTCAATGGATTCTGAGGAGAACTGAAGTTGTTTTTTATTCAGAGGCTCAGATAATCAAGCAAAGCTACTCCAGGGATGGGGACTCAGACAGGGACATGGAGGTAGAAATGGGCACCAGGCATCTGGGCTGGTCACGCTGCTTCCTCACAAGAGTCCAGTCTCCCTGTGGGCCCCACGTGCACATCTCCCAGGGATTTCCCATGAACCATTTCTCCTTCCTAAAGCTTTCCTCTTCCCCTCAATTCCTTGAGTCCTCTCCTTTGGGTCCTCCCTTCTCTCATACACCTATTCCCTTACCCAGTTTGCTTTTTTTTTTTTTTTGGTCTGAGACAGAGTCTCACTCTGTTGCCCAGGCTGGAGTACAGTGGTGTGATCTTGGCTCACTGCAGCCTAGACCTCCTGGGTTCAAGTGATCCTCCCACCTCAGCTTCCCAAGTAGCTGAGACTACAGGCACATGCCACCACCCCTGGCTAATTTTTTTTTTTTTTTTTTTGTATTTTTTTTTTGTAGTGACAGGGTTTTGCCATGTTGCCTAGGCTGGTGTTGAACTCCTGGGCTCAAGCAATCCTCCCGCCTTGGCCTGCCAAATTGCTGGGATTACAGGCATAAGCCACCTTACCTAGCTTGTACCCAGCTTTTTTTTTTTTTTTTTTTTAAACCTCAGTTCCTGCTAACCTTCTCACTGGAAATACAATCATGCCCCACATAAGAACGTTTCGGTCAAGGATAGACCACATATATGACAGTGGTACCATAAGATTATACTATAGCTGAAAAATTCCTATGGCCTAGTGATGTCCTAGCTGTGGTAATGTTGTACAGTAATGCATTCCTCATGAGCTTGTGGTGATGCTGGCTTAGACAAACCTGCTGTACTGCCAGTCCTATAAAAGTCTAGCAAAGGCTGGGTGTGGTGGCTCACGCCTGTAATCCCAGCACTTTGGGAGGCCGAGGCGGGCGGATCACGAGGTTAGGAGATTGAGACCTTCCTTGCTAACACAGTGAAACCCTGTCTCTACTAAAAATACCAAAAATTAGCCGGGCGTGGTTGTGGGCGCCTGTAGTCCCAGCTACTTGGGAGGCTGAGGCAGGAGAATGGCGTGAACCCAGGAGGTGGAGCTTGCAGTGAGCCGAGATCGTGCCACTGCACTCCAGCCTGGGCAACAGAGCGAGACTCCGTCTCAAAAAACAAAAAAAAGTCTAGGACAGACAATTATGTACAGTGCATCATCCCTGATAATGATAATAAATGATTGTGTAACTGGTTTATGTATTTACTATAATATTTGTTCCTTTAACTTATAAAAGAAAAACGTTAATTCTTAAATAGCCTCAAGGAGATCCTTTAGGAGGTGTCGAGAAGAAGGCGTTATTACTATAGGAGATGACAGCTCCATGCATGTTAGTGCCCCAAAAACCTTCCAGTGGGACAAGATGTGGGGGTGGAAGACAGTGATATTGATGATCCTGACCCTGTGCAGGTCTGGGCTAATGTGTGTATGTTTGTGTCTTAGTTTTTAGGAAAAAAGTTTTAAAAAATTCAAAAAGACAAATTCTAAAAATAGAAAAAAGCTTATAGAGTAAGGATATAAACAAAGAAAAATATTTTTGCACAGCTGTATAATATGTTTAAGTAAGTGTTATTACAAAAGAGTCTTAAAGTTTAAAAAGATTTAAGCATTTATAAAGTAAAAAAGTTACAGGAAACTAAGGTTAATTTATTATTGAAGAAATAAAAAATTTTTTTTCGAGACAGAGTCTCGCTCTGTCGTCCAGGCTGGAGTGCAATGGTGCGATCATGGCTCACTGCAACCTCCGGGTTCAAGAGATTCTCCTCCCTCCGCCTCCCAAGTAGCTGGGATTACAGGCACATGCCACCATGCCTAGCTAATTTTTGTATTTTTAGT